>NC_000002.12:162489618-163739618 GCF_000001405.40 Homo sapiens
ATATCAGCCAGAGTACATAACATTTGACTTATATTTAGCAAACAATGACAAATATTGAATCCATAATTACCCTAATGACAATTCTTATAGCTTCCAGATATATTGTCATTTCAATTTGCGTATTTAAATATTATTTACAGACTAAACTCAGAATATGGGAAAAACATTGGATAGGAATTTCTGTTTTGCTGAACCAAGCTTGCTGGTATTCTATAAATAACAACAAGATAATGGAAGCAAAATTAATGTTCTATTAAATTGGAATTGCTCAGAAGCAATTTTGTACTCCTGCATTACATCCCAAATTTAATCTGGAATTTTGTGATTACCATTATTTGGCAATTCAAGATGAATTCAATATAGTTTTATTGAGGTTTATATGATATATAAGTTGGTTTAGATCCAAAATGAAGTTTAGGAGAACACGTTAATCATACTCTAGAGGTATGGAAAGAAGTTAGCCAGCTTGCTTTAGGCAGACAGTAAGGGGAGGGTCCCTGGAGAACCACCAACCTGCCCCACAAGTTCTTACACCAGATGTTTTGTGCAGACAAGGGAATTTGCACAGGAAGATTGCCCAAACATGCCCGCAGTGGCCTAAGGGGCCACATGTGCACTAGGGGGATTAGGTGGAGCCACCGGGAATTAGTGCCTTATGCAAACAGGGAACCCAGCCCCATCAGCTTAGATATATAGAAGCCCTTGTATTCAACTGAAAAGGAGGGCAACCAGGAACCTACTTTCAGGATTTCTCTTTTTGCTGAGAGCTTTCCTTTCACTTAATAAATTCTACTCCACTCACTCTTCAAGCCTCCGCATGCCTACTTCTTCCTGGTTGTAAGACAAGAAGCCAGACCTAGCTGAGCTAAAGAGCAAGAAATCCTGTGTCATTTTGGGAGCTCGCACAGGATGCCTGGAGGGTGAGTAAATGAGACCCAAAACCTTTCACTTTCACTTCTGAGACTTCTAGTCCTCAGACTTTTTCTGAAGGCTGATGCAGCACCAAACCTCTTGTGAGCCAATTAAGAATAAATGGCGCAGCTACAGAGGACAGGATGCTAGATAGGACCCCAACAACACCCCTGCCCATCACTCTCAGGGCTTGGGAATGTCAGCCTCTTTGCAATCCAGACTTTTCTATGGCATTTTCTTTCTTTTTCAGGGCTGTCATGGCACCTCTTTTTAAATGATGTTAAGGGTGCTGCTGCAAACTGCAGAGATATTACTATGTAGAATGAGCATTTGGCCAAGCCACCAGATATGCAATTCAGGATAATGTGATTTCCATCTGTTCTTAGAGGCATCCCTCAGCTCCACCCAATGGCCACAGGTATGCACTCCCTGCTCCAACCTCCCCTCCCAGCTGGGGTACATGGCTGTGTCTGCCACACACATATGCTGCGTTCAGTGACCACGCAGGACAGGAATAAGCTGTGGCTGCTTCCCGGGTACCAAGGCAATCTCGGGGGCCAAGGCCCTCATGCAGCCTGTTGGCCAGCATTTCCCACTCTCCGACCCATCCTGCCATGAACCTGTGGAGCCTTTCCTCCTCTGGTTGAGCCAAGAGGGTACAAAGATTAAGAGTTTCTCTCCCTGGTGGAGAAACACATTTGCATAGAGCTAGAGGTTTTTCCCCCAGGCATTGTCCCCACCCTGCACTTAAACTGTTTATTTTTCTTTTTCCCACAGTGCCAGGAGTTAACACAGCCCTGCGGATATGGGCAGCTTTTCTATGCAAGAGGTTTTTTTGTTTCCTTTGAGAGGCATTTTACTAGGCCAGGACCCCAATTCACGGGACTCCCTTTCCTCTCCCTTGTTTGAGGGGGACCCAGCTCCACAGCTTTACCTTAGCATGACTGATTCCTGACAATTAGGCCCCCTCCCATTTCATAGATAGAGGTCATGCTAGTATCTATGACACAGACAAGGTATAGGGAACTCAAAAGTTACCAACAGCAGGAAGGAGTCTGCGTGTAGGTAAATGTGGATAATTCCCACCCATTAGGCCTCCCTGTTAACATGGGTGAAAAGTTGCATTGGCATTCATGGGTGGCACCCTGCCGAGGTTGCCAGGACTCGGGGATATAAGGACAGAAGAAAGAATGGGACACCATTATTTCTCTCCCTCACGTACCCCAGGTATTTGCTAGGAAGAGAAAGGACCTAGGGATGCCTTTTTCCCCTCTTTCTAGATGGGTAGCCATTCATCTTCAGTCTGTACTTCTCTCAAATGCCTCCTGAATCACTGGGATTCCTTTGGGGAAAAAAAGCCTTCTTTTTCCTCGAACTCTGTCTTCTCTTCGTGGATGGGTAATTGTGTCCTGTACTACAGGACACTTCCCTTAGATGCATCCTCAAATGGGGAAAAGTTAAGATCCCCAAACTTTAAACTGCTTAGCTTAAATGAGCTCAGGGGAAGGGAACCCAGAAGCCTGACATGCCCCGAAAAGGGCAAAAGTTCTTACCAGTCAGACTTCTGGCCTCCCTCTCCCTGTGCAAACCAGTTGAATGAATGATAAAATTACTGCTTATATCCTCTGTAAAGTTTTGATTAATGGAAAAAAGGATTTGTGCCTTGTCTTAAGCTGTAGCCAATCTGGTGCACTTTGTGTGTCTTTCTGTATGGTTCTGTCATAAAGAGGGGTACTTCAGGCTAGAACGTGGGCCTAGTCTCCCATAAGCCTGCTGTTTAAGCCAGCCTAGCAAATTGGTCAGTAACAAACTTTGCTGCAAGTCTCCATCTTGTTTTATGTCTTTGGGGGCTTGACCTTGTAACCACGTGGCAGTACTCTCTTTTGGTCTTTGCCATTTTAATGGCCACATGGTATCAATCCTGGCTTAGGGAATGAGTACTTTCTGGTTAATACCTTTGTGACTTTTTACCATTTGGTGATTATCTTCCCCTCCATGAACAACTTCTAGCTTCCTTTCTTAAATCTTCCCTTCCCTGAGCTACCTATAAAGATTCCAGATTTTGTAAAAACTGTTTTCCACCTCTGAAAATACATTGAACACCTTGAACACTAAGGTTAAGTCATAACCTTAGTTGAGGCTTATTGGCTTCACCTGTGAGATTAATTTTGGTAAAGCTCAAAAGCCAGAAATATTGGCCGCTTTGCATGGCTAAAATCAGGTAATAAGGAATTTAAAAGGATTTCCTTAAAGTGTACTCAATTTAATTAAAAATGGATCTCCAAGCTATAGATATATCTAAAAGGACTCTATGTTTTTCTCTTCTTGGATCTTGTTTTTTTTTTTTTTTTTTTTTTTTTTTGGAAAAGGTTTTTTTCTCAGTCAACTGTATTACTTTTCTCCATTTTGTCTTGCCACTCTTAATGCACAAGTCAGAGGCCCTAAGATAACTTCTGATGGCCTGGGATGCCTGGGGAAAAACAGAGAAGGTGCCACAGACTCCATTTTGGGAAAAAAATATTTGTTTTCCTCATGGAACCCCAGGAATTAAAAGCAAATAGGTCCCTCTCAAAATTTGTTTTTGTCTTCCAGGTATGCCTGCTTTTTGGCCTGGGAAACTACATGTTTCCCTAGCCCTGCTTCTTGGAGAGCTATACCCTGAGTCCAGTAATTTCAATTAGGAGATAGGCAAATGAAAATTCTTACAACTATTGGATCTTCTTCTGTCTGTGTAATCATATATGTGTTAGATGTGTGATGGTTATATAGAAATAGAGCTCTAATTAATTGGCTTAAAGAAAAATAAGCACTTAGATCAAATATTTTTTGAAGGAAAAATAAAAGCTATAATGCCTTTTAGTTCATGTGACTTTAATCTTTGAGAAATAAAAGTCTTAAAGATTATTGGTAAAATACAAATGTCTTCAAAATGTAAATATGTGGTCTAAAGTATGCAGGTCAGATACTAGGTTTGCTAAATGTTTTAAGGTTATAAGCTGCTTCTTTAGCCTTTGAGAACTGCTCAACTTGCCTGCTTTACAATTTGGTAAGGCCTAGGGACATATGGAATTAACCACGTCACTAACTATGCTGGAGTCAGATCTTATCTGTGCCTAGTACATAATTAAAATAACTTACCAGGTTTTACACTAAAATTAAAAATTGCTAAGAGTTGCCATCATAACATGTAATTGAGACTACTGAAAATAGATTTATATACAAGCTGTGTAAGGAAAGTAAAATGCGTTTTTAGTAAAAGGTTATAAGAAGGCATGAGAATGTAAATTTTTGCTTAGGGTTAGAGAATAGTTTTGAAATAGAAAAGATAAAGCTGAAGGTTTAAACAAATGGTGGAAGATTTGTAAAAAAGAATCTTGCAAAAGAAATTCTGTGTGTGAACATATTGACCAACTTCAAAAAGGTACTATATAGTTTTTCCATAAACTGAGTATTGAAATAAAAGCACGACAAGGTTTTCTTAAGGTATTGATCTGTTATTTAACAAAGATTTGTAAAGGGTTATAAAAGGTTTACAAGAATCTCACTGCAAGGTCAAACTGGTTAAGATGAGATAGAATTATGTTTAAGGTTTCATTTAAAAATTGGGGTTGATATTAATAGTAGACTAATGCAAGGGTAAAATTTGGCTTTCTGTCTCTTGAACAAGATTTTCATGTAATAGTAAAGGATAATAAGAGGTTTTTGGTCTTTCTTAAAATTTTTGAGTCATGATTTTGGCTAAATAACTTAGGGTAATCTGGAATTCTATTTCATAATATCAAGTGTTGTGAACCTTTACTCTTTTGGTAGGCTTCACAAAATCAAACTTCAGTTTCAATGTTGTCTTTCCTGACCCCTAACTTTTAGATGCTAGAGAGGGCCCCTGGAGCATCCAAAAGATAGGTAAACAGGATTATTTGACATTTTTAGTTATTTCCAAAGTGATGTTTTATCTTCTTTAGGTTATATTTTAGTGAACAATAAGTGTATATGTTCCAAAATTGTATGGGATGTCTAAAATTCTAATGTCTGAGTACATGCTATCAATCATAATAAAGGTTATTATGTTAACCTATTGTAAACTACAGAAATAACCAAATTTCTTTGTCAATCATGTTTTTGACTGTAACTATCCTGGGTATTTTGTCATTCACAGACAATTGTTGTCTTGCTTTGATCCTTTCCAAAAAATGGTTTATAATCAGATATAGGACTTGGACAGGAGCTCTGAAACACAAGTTTCTGATATCTTTGGAGATTGTGGCATTGGAATAGAGGGAAGCATATGGGACTCATAAAGAGCTGAAATGCTCATGAATATCAAGCAGAACAAGAGTTAACTGAATGGACTGAACTAATAGAAAACTGAATTAATCATTTAACTTTTTACTTAAAATGTTGTTGATCCTTGTTTTGTTTTTCAGAGTCAAGGAAATTTATTTTGAACTATTTAGAGCCTTTAATAATTGAGTAAGCTATACTCCTGTGAACAAAATTTTGAGCATATTTGTTTCTTTCTGCCTGGCTTCTCCAGAATTTGTAAACTATTTGTGAGTATTCTTAACTTACGGCAATATATTTATTTGCATCAGTGCAGTAAGAATCCATTATCTTTTTATAACAGGTCACAATTGGAGAAACTGGTTGTTTTACCAAGGCTTTGACTGGAAGGATGTGCTTCCCTTTAAGGAATCAAGCATGACCTGCAGAACCAATTAAAGCTCCTTAGGAACTTTGGCCTCATACCTTGTCTAAAGAGTCCCTGTACAGGGTTCCTAACCTGTGGTGAGTAAAGAATGTCACTTTCTAACAGGCCCAGGAGCCCTATGTTCTGGGGACCTCAAGAAGAGAGGAATTTGCCCAAATCATAGGTATTTCAGAGTACAAATCCATGGCTGGGCTAGGCTTTAAAAGGTCTTATCTGAGATTCCTTGTAGAACAGAGTTCTATTAAAGCCAATTTAAAAGCCTATGTTAAATATAACTATTCTTGCTGTACTTTATGCAGATAATCAAGCCAAGTATAAGACTTAAGTTTATTTTACAAAGAACTCAGTCCTATCATGATTTGTTTTTGACAAAAATGAGGACTGGAGAGAGAAAAATTGTTTCAAAACTTAACATACACTTGTGATTCCATTCTAATCTCATCAGTTGTTTTCAAGCTTTTGCCAACATTTTAGACTAATCCTGCTTATTCCTGTGAACAAACCAGTGATACCCAGCTGCAGCTCAGAAGAAACAAAAGGGATGGATAATGTAAAAATCTGGATCAATATTTTAATTCTGGGCAATTATCCTGCAAATCCTGGAGGTTTTTTTGTTTGGGAAAATAAGACCAAGGGAGTCAACCAAAGCTAAGCCCCATGCATCCAAATCTTAGCAGGGATAACTATAGCCACCAGTTATCTGGGCATGTCAGCAATCTTGGGATTGTGGAGCTGTCCTTACTCCCTTGATTCATTTTGATTTACAGCTTCTGATAACCCAAATTGCTTCTTCTTGCTAAAAGGCCATTAAACTTCAAATGGCGATGCAAATGAAACCATGCATGGATGTGCCATTCTTCCATGGACCCTTAAACAGACCTCAGGAGGAGCCCTAACTGCCACTTTCCCAAAACAGAACTCCCTGTCAGCAGGAAGCAGTTTAGAATGGTGATTGTCTACTTTCCCCAACAGCCGTTGGGGGTCTCCACTCCTGAAGAAGGGAATGAAAGGAGTTAGCTTTCTTTAGGCAGACAGTAAGGAAAGGTCCCCAGAGAACCTGTGACCAGCCCCACAAGTGCTGACACCAGATGTTTTGTGCAGATAAGAGAACTTACACAGTTCTCTTAAGCATGCCTGCAGTGGACTAAGGGCCCGCATGCGCACTGGGGGGATGGAGGGGAGCCACCTGGAATTCATGCCTTATACAAATATGGAACCCAGCCCCATCAGCTTAGATATATAGAAGCCTTTGTATTCAACTGAGAAGGGGGGAAACTGGGAACCCGCTTTCAGAGCCCCTCTCTCTTTGCTGAGAGCTTTCCTTTCACTTAAAAAATTCTACTCCACTCATTCTTTGAGTATCCATGTGCCTACTTTTTCCTGGTCATGAGACAAGAACCCAGACCTAGCTGAGCTAAGGAGCAAAAAATCCTGCATCAGTATTGTGAATTTTGTTTTTAGTAATTTCAAGAGTGAAGAATCAATGAGTCTTTATACAAATAATTGTTGAAAATTTGCCTTAAGTATAATTTTAAAACCATGAAATTATTATTGAAAAGTACTGCTATATATAAAACCACTTTTTGTTTGTTGTTGTATCTGAAAGACTTTTCAAATCATGTCATTGAAGAAATTCAGGACTAAATTTATCCAATTTGAAGGAAACTACAGAACATGTTAAGATATTTTGTACTAATATCTACGGCCATACCACCCTGAGTACATGTGATCTCATCTGATCTCAGAAATGCAACAGAGTTGGTCCTGGTTAGTACTTGGATGGGAGAAACTTTGTACTCTTAAGCCTGAGATGACAAATAATTTTAAACATTAGCTAAGAAGAAAAAGTCAATGTTATTTCCTCATTAAAATTTCTTCATTACAAATCAGCCTGCATTCCTAAAGAAGTACTAAATCATAAATACTTGTTTTGGATTTATGTCAAAAATAAGCATAAATTGAGAAACACTGAGTCACAATGAAGAGATAATGAACCTGTTCATAATGAACAAAGTTCAATATAAGTAAAAGGCCATAATCTTTCAGTTCTTCTTTAAGTCAGTAATATCAGGGTGGTTTTGCTTTTTCTGTAACTGTGCAGCATACGACCAACAAAAACCCCCATCCCACTATTCTAATCTGAAATCAGCATAAAGTAGATGGTATATAAATTTAAACAAGAGACCGTGCTGGAAATGAACCTCCATGGCAATGATAGCTTTGTAGGCTTTTTGAAGAGTTAACTAACCACTCAGATTAGGACATTTGGTGTCACAGTCAAATGTTACAAGTATGTCCAACTGCCACAGTAACTCCTGAGGAGATTTAGGGGACAAATGGGGAAACAGAACAGAATCATAAAGAGGATATATTTTAGAGAATGAGAACTTCACTTTTGGAATCAAATTACCTCAGTTTGAAGGCTACGTCCATCATTTACTATAAGACCTAAGCAAGTTGCCTCCACTCTCTAAGCTTAATTTCTTCTCTATGAAATGCATATGGATAATAACGGCACAATCTCACAGTGCTGTCATACAGATTAAAATTGAGAATCCACTAAACCATTTACCACTGAGCCTGGCACATATTAAATGCTCAATCAATGTCAGAAATCATGAAAGTTACCATAATTCTATTTTCATGCCAATAATATACTTACATGAATCCTAAATGTTGGGAATCTATTATGGCTCTAAAGTCTACATAGACTTAAAGATTATATGGCTTTTTTAATATTCAGAAATTTCTTTCTTGTGACCTAAGTTATTTTGTGATTAAATCTGAACTAATTTTCTTGAGTACTTTCCTTAGTAAAGCTACAGGAAAATTATACTTGTGGACTAGTAGTAAATTTTTTCTCATCTTCTGTTCCACAGATTAATACCTTCTGGCTCATTAAGGTCCCTTCACACATCTTATTTCCTGATTATCTCAAAATGGGTTTCCACTGAATTCACCAGACATTCCTCTTATGTAATAAAGGCCAACTTATAGAACTATTTGGTCATAGTACGACAAATACTAAGTTTAAAGGAAATGTAAACTATTGTTACTTTCATAATATGGCCTTGTAGCATTTAATTTAATTTAATTTAATTTAATTTAATTTAATAATTAGCATGTGTAAATGCTATATACTGTTATGTAGTGTTTCTCCAAGTAATTTATAATGTCTTGAGTATCTATACTAGGTTTTATATTTCTGTGTTTCTAGAATCTACCCACTGCCCAATGTGGACTCTGTGTGTGTGGGGGGGAGGGTGGGGGTGTGCACGTGTGTGTGGTTAATGCTGTTAATTTGAATTCCTATCTTCATCTCTGCAATGGGCCACTGCTGTTTGATTCTCCTGCTTTACAGGCTTGCTTCTCCCTCTGCATTTTTCTGGTGTGACTGTCAGTCAAGGGACTATACTTTTTCCTCCACAAGATGATCACATGGCCCAAGATGGTCAATAAGAGTCTTCTTTTTCTGGGAATAATATGGACACTGGAAGAAAGAAGGTCCTTCTCCCCAAATTACTAACTGTGAGCATTAGGTGAGACAGGAGAGTCTGAGGAACTTGCTGCTATTAGGTGGGGAGTGCAGTCAACACAGAAGCAAGGGAGAGAATGTCACTAGTTACACAAAAATGTATATAGCTCACCCCAAAGCAGATCTTTCTCTGTACCTTTCAGTAATATGGCCCAATAAACTTCCCCTCTTCCTTTCATTTTTTTGCTTAAAGTGGTTTGAGTTGGATTTCTGTTACTTGCATTCTGTTACAGTATTGACTGATACAATGGCCAATAAAGATTTGAAATCCACGGCACCATCTTCTTTAACTATTCGGATACTCATACTTATCCAGGGAGAGTGGTCTAATACAAAACTTGTCAAAGCTGAATATGGCAACAAAATAATATGTTTCATCCTAAAAATTGGCACAATATTTGAACTAAACTAGCCTCAGGAATAACAAAATCTTAGAATAGTGCAAAAGTGTGGTTCACTTTTATTTAAAAGGGGGCAAATATAGCCAATAATTTGATCTTCAATTGAGAAGTGCAACTGCTTGGTAAAAGGAGACCTTACCTTTGTTCTCCGCCCAAATTTTCTTACAATTCATTGTTTACTCTCCACCACTCCATTGGAATTTGGTAGAAATGGCCAGCCAAGGGCTTGCCTCCCTGAGATGTACACTACTGCACATCAGCCTTTACTGGCTGGACTGTAGTGCAGGAAAAAAAACACACACATCTTCTGAGAATTATTTTCTCTTTTCTCCAAATAAATAAAGAAGGTGAGATGAAATATGGCAAAATGAAATATGACATGATGCATTCCAGAAGACCAATAAGGCCAAAAGAGGACTATGGATCCAAAATAACAGCAAGAATTGAAGTCTTGCCTAACAAAAGATTTCAGAAGGAAGGCATTTGCTTTGGAGATTTTTGACTGCAGACTTACTCTTGCTTAATCCCACGCAATACCCTCAGTGGTTCATTTGAATCATTTAAGATGCTACTATGTGTCATATAATCATACCAGGCACTGGTCATACAAACACCTCATGCTGCATTCATTCTTTGGTACCTAGAGATTCCCACATGTGTTTCACTCCAGATTTTTATTCCTTATTTTGGAAACTTCTCACCTTCAAAACGCACTTAAGGGTTTATATTCCCCAAACACTATCCCAAACTCCCAATGTAGCTAAGGTTTCCTCTCTCAGCACCATCTGCACACACAGTGTTTACCCATAGAAAAATACTTTACATTGCACTGTAAAGTCAATGTACTGTACTTCTCTACTTCCTTCGAGACTCAAAGGCAGAGATTTGCCTTTTAATTCTGAATTCCCAGCACCTAGCACTGTGTGTGTTTATACATTATATATGGATATATATTATACATTATATATAATATACATATTGATATACATTTATATGTTATATACAATACATATATTATATACATTACATGTTATATACAATATAATATATAATATGTATGTTACATATACACATACTATGTATGTATGTATTATATTCAGCACATATAATATATAACATGTATATTATATATACACACATAATATGTATATTATATATACACATAACATGTAATATATAGTATATAGTATATAATGTATATATTATATATAATACATGTCAATACATGCTTTTGAATGAATAAACAAATACATGAATGACCAACGAATGAATGAATGAATGACCACATAGTCCCTGTGTTGAAGAAGATGACTCTAACTGAGGAGGTAAATAACTAATTGCCTAATTCTAATTTAACGTGTAATAGAGATAAGATCCAAGTGGTGAGACAGAACAACAGGAGCAGCGATTATTCTTTTCATCAATGCCTTTTTCTCTTGATGACTACTCTATTGTTTGTGCACTGTAGAGTGTTTAAAATTTATTGTTGAATAATCTATAAGCAAAATCTTGACTTCTTTTGAAGAAAGAAATATCATACAAATCTATTACGTGAATAAAATAAGAAAGAACATTGGATTAAGGAAATACTGCTGGCTGCCTACAGCAAACATGTTGAAAATTTCCTGACAAAGAGAATCTCCATGCAGGCCTAAAGAAAATAAAAAGACAAGTAAAGTCTTTTGGTTATTACTAAGTTGTTTTTGGTGACCAGAGGACAACTAATGTTAAAAGTAGTGAATATGGAAATTTCAAAGATAGCTGCAATTAGGAAACTTCACAAATACAAAATGAAGTATGTAATCCTATAAATGAGTTATTGAAGAGCTCTGCTTTCAAGTGCTTAAATAAAATTTCCAGAGGCTATGCCTGCAGGAGGAAGTTCTTGATATTTGATCTCTACATTGTTTGGTTTGACATGTGGACAATTGGAAGGTTTGTCACTAAGAGCTAAAAGGGGCCCCTACAAAGAAGATAAAGCATTCCTACTGATGCCTTTTTTCCCAGTTTCTGGTCTCAGCCTTTATTCAGTCCCTTATTATTTCTAGCAAGGACCATAGCAACTTAAGTGTTTCACCTGACTCCAGAATTTCCTCCCATTCATTGTATTTTTTACACTGTAAAAAAAGAGAGAACTTTTATAAAATATGATCAAATTCTGATCTTCCAGCAGTTTGAAAAAGGCTTTTGCCTGTATCATACCTCTCCAGTTGGGGTACTTTGGAGAGTGGGAGGGGGATACTCCACAATTTGTGGGAAGCATAAGAAGCTTTAGGAAAACTCTGGGGTCTTTCTGTGGGCCTCAGATTCACTCAGTGGTAAGTAGTCATCTTAGTCCATTTGGGCTGCTAAAATAAAATACTCATCAACTGGGTAGCTTACAAACAAGAGAAATGTATTGTCCACAGTTATGGCGGCTGTGAAGTCCAAGATCAAGTTGCCAGCCTATTTAATGCCTGATGAGGGCTTGCTTCCTTGTTCATAAATAAGCTCCATCTTTTCATTGTAACCTCACAGTGCAGAAGGGGGCCAAAGAGCTCTCTGGGGCCTCTTTTACAAGGACACTAATCCCATTTATGAGATCTCCACACTCATGACCTATTCTGAAAGGTCCCACCTCCAAATGCCATCATGCTGGTGATTATGTTTCAACACATAAATTTTGGTGGGTACACAAACATTAGGTCTATAATAATATTTTAAAAGATTTTTAAATGTTAAAACAAATATTTCTATATTACAAAGCTAAATTTGAAAGTCACAGGGCTTTTAAAGATAAAGTGTGAGACCAAAAAAAATGCAAAGCTTTTGATGGAAACTGTTGCATTTTACTCAAACCCCCATGGCACTTATGTGAAAAGGTAGAAAAGTGTTATTTTGAAGGTAAATTTTCCAGACTAGCCTCTCGCCAGCTCAGAAAACCACTTGTTCTAAAAAGTCATATGGACTTTACTGCTTTCATAACTTTGTTCTTGTGTTTTTTTCTACCTGGAATTCTTATCCCTTCCCTTGGCTAACTCTTCCATCCATTTATGCACTCATTTATTCAGCAAACATTTGATGAACTCCATTCTGCCAGGTGTTCTACTAAGGCCCTCGTGATGTAGGGATAAAGAGATCCTGCAGAGATAATGAAGAGAGTTGGGGGATCATAGAAGAATATTAATAAACATAATAATGACATGACATTGCTTGTTATGGTACGTAGTACTAGGATGGACACTTTCCACATTTCTATTTAATTCTTATATCAACTCTGAGAAGTAAGGTTTCCCAGTCCTGAAATTTGCCTTAATGTCACACAATAAATGCCACTTGCATTCATGGCCTACAATAAATGCCTGAAATAAAACACAATCCCGTTTGACTCTGATTTATGCTCTTAAAATTTACTGACTACGCAGTTTGATGTGACCTTCTAGATCTGGCTTAAATGTTTAATCCTGTCTTTTTCTTCCCTGCAAATTCTTCCCTTATAGTAGAATAACTTTCTCCCTAATATTCTTTATTACCATGCATTTCATTATTGATATTTATATATATGCTTCCTGTCCCACTATCTGAGAAAGCCCCCAGAGCAGGTGCTTCTCAGATCTCTGTGTGTATCATGTTCTCCTGGCACAGTGGATCTGCTGAACACGGCAGCATAGGGTGGCCTCTGTGGTGGACCAAGCACATGAAAGACTTGCTGAGATCCCACATGGCTGCACACAGGCCTTAAGATGTGTTTTGTTCAGCCTAAAAAAGAGTTCAAGGCATTTTTTCATTTGTCAACTTTAAGAAATAAAGAGGTTATCTTAAATTCTGCATTTCCAGCTTCTCTTTTAAAATGGAAAGATTTGCAAGCATTCATTAATTGGTCAAGCATTTCTGCCTAACCGCAGTTAGACAGAGCTGCATATCAGCTGTCTGCTTTAGATGGGGCCTGCACTCCACAGTTCGCCACAGTCCCCATTGCCATGCTGTGCTTCTCTTTAAATTTTATTCCCTTATGCACTTGCAGGGCCCTGATCCTAATATTTCCAACTTTTCTTCTGTCTCCTCTTAAGTCTCTTGATTCCTATATATTCATATAATGGTAGGAATCTATAAATAATAATACTTTTAAAGTAAAAACAATTGAAAGGAAAACACAAAGCTATCAAAATGATGTCAATAAAATGTGCGTAACAGTAAACTGTTCATTTACCCATTTTACTAAATATAAGTTAAGAAAAGTGAAATGCCAAGAAAAGAAAGCCTCTTCACTACATAAATATTAAAATATATAGAAAAAATGCTCTCAAGAATGGCGTGTATAATTTCTCATCTCAAATAAATATAGACTGCACAGGTTTATTTATAACTTGCTCATGGTCTTTTCATAGCTATTTCAGCTCACACATAAGAGGTTATCTGGAAACAGTACTATAGTGTGGTTTGTAGTGATTACAATTACAGAAAAACTTCATTAATTCAAAAACTTCAATGCTTGGGATAAAGAATGGGGGCAAGCTTGGCTTTATATTATAGAGAGTTTATGCAAAGATTTGCTAAGCAAATATACCGAGTAAATTGTTTGTAAAAGAACCGCTTGCTTGACAAATTTTAAAGTCATGAATTCCCAACAATGTAAGTGCACTGTAAGCAAAAGCTACGTACTGCTTAGGTTGGTATATTGATATAATAAGTAGAAATCATTTTTATCTACTCTCTGAAGCAGTATACCTGCTAGCTTTTCATCCTAGTTCAAGTTGCAGTATTTATTTGAAAACAATTAGATATTGTTCCAATAAAATGTGGTGTTCCACTGACTTTTCATCATCTCAGACAGCTCTTTTCCCCAAGTTAACTGACTTAGATCTGACTCTATTTAGTAGAGTAAGTCCAAAAGGATACCACAGTTCAGAGCAAATGCTAATTAGTCCCCTAAAGCTTCAATAGACACATCCATTATATTAAAAAACCATGTTTTAATAATGTGAGAGTTGGCAGCCAAACACTAAGTGTCCAAACACGACGAATAGCAGGTTAACCACCTCTACGAAAGTGGGAGCAACCATGCCATGTTAGCCCATTTTTGCTTAGTCTTGTAATATATAAAATCATAGTATACAGCTTTATTAATCTGTTATATTAGAGAGTTACCCAACATCTCAAGATAAATAGGAGTACAAAGAAAAAATGTCTTACCTCTACCGACAGTCATTTATAAGAAAAAGAATATGTTTCATGGTGCAGAAACAAACCTCTAAAACAGTTGAAATTGATAAGAAAATTGTGTCCTACCTGGGTCACTTTCTCAGTCACATTGTGTGTTCGATCTTTAACCTTGGGTGCAATAATGGTTTTATCTGAAGAAGGAGGTGATGAATTCTTTTTCTCAGTTTTGACCTCTGAAAAATTCAGAGTGAGCTGTGGAATCTTGTTAATGGTGCTGTATTTGTTGAGGTTTGAATCTGATGTGGATCCCAGGAGGCTTGACTTGATATGATTAAAAGGCCCTAAAAAAATGGAAAGTATTTGTAAGAGTAATATAAGAAGATATAGAAGAAAGAGACAGTTCTGAATGCCCTGCTAATGATTCCTGACCAATATGATCCTGATTTGAGTGTGACTGAATGCAGCCAGCTTATACCTGGACACAGGGCTTAGGGTCACCTTGGGCCACATGGAATGGCATGTGAGTATCTGAGAATAAGACTGGGTTCTAAGTGTGTACCCAGAGAGCAAATGGCAGATTTAGCTGTTAATTAGTTTCTTTCATTAAAAGCTAGAATAAAAGAAAAAACTACACTCTCTGTTACTGGTCAAATTCTACCTTTAAAGTTTCTTATAAATTTCATTTTGTAATTTGAGGATTATTTAAGAAGGACTTACCTATGGTTAAAGTCATATTGGCCATGAAATTTCCAAATGGATTGTTTACCCTGCTCCAATTTGTGTTACTCCCCTGTCTGTGTCACTGAGGAGTGACAAGCCATCTAGGCTCTTCATATGTTTCCACTACCTATATGAGATGCTCCACAGAGCTTCTGAAAGAGTTAAACCCAGATGAAGGAATTACAGATAAAGCTGCAGAGGGTGAAAGGCCATTTTTGTGTGAATGTGTGTACTCTATTGAAAACTCTTGGATCATATGTGGGATTTTTAGATCCTTTTTTTTCTTTCACTTATGTTTAAGTCTTGACCACTTTCTGAGAAAAAAAAAAGGCGCTATTAAAAACCGCAAAAGACTAATGCTCTGGCAAACATAACTTACAATACAAGTGACCACAGCTAGGTAATAGGGCATGCCTGGGGTTGATAGTACCTAGTCGCTTCTCAAAATCTTTCCTACAAAGATAACTTGGCAAGGTGGCAAGACTCCTGGTTTCTTTGTTGAGGGAGTAGACTGACCAGCTGTATCTTCCTTTGGGATGAATCTGTTGTCTGTTGCTTATGGAGAATCAGGAAATTCTCTGAGAAGTATCTCGTGTAATGAGCAATATTACGTACACTGTTATTTAGCTCTTAAAAATTAACAACAGGGAGAATTTTATAAAAATCGTGAGCTCCCTATTTTTGTGCCCCAGGAAGTGGTTAAAACATACAAATTCCATCAATAAACTTGTTAGGCAGCATAGTTGCCTTTGTTATTTTTTTCCCTGTTCAAAATGACGTGAACCCATTTTCGGGATCAAAATGTACTTTAAGCATCAAGCAAGGTATAAACACTTAAAAATTAGACTTTAAGATTTTGCATTTTGGACAATAATCAATCAACTTGGGTCAGATATAATACTAAGAAATCAATGCTCATCATTTTGTTCATAGTCACTATGGGGGAAAATCACACTATACTTGTTCATAAAAGTTTACACTTGTTTATTATAAAAGTTTGAAGTAATCTTAATAAATTTTCATGTATTTAACAAATACTGTGTTTCTTGAGTTGCATTTCTGTTGACTCCCTGAGTCTTATCCATGACGATGACCAAGTCCATCTAGAAGAAAAATGTCACGAGCTCTCCAGGAATTTATTGCCTCATATGTTCTCATTTGCATATAGAACCTAACTCTCTTTACTATTTATACAAAGATAGAAATAAGAGCCAATAGTGGCAACAAACTCATCTAGCCTTCAGATAGTTCTCTGACAGAAACTCCGTTCTTCAGGTCTTTTTGGAAGTCTCCAGCCCACATCACTAATTTATTTTATTGTAATGCATACCAGGATAGTGTTTCCCTTTCTGCAGCATTCTATAGTTGAGTTCTAGGTTTTATATCTTAATATTTACAGTTTGTAAATTATGCTAGGATTTCAGATTTCTTAGATATTGTCTTTTCCCCAACTCTAATGTCCTATTTTCAATCCTTAGGTTATTTAACTAACAGGGATACTATTAAGAGATTATAGATAACAGAGATCAAATATATAGTTAAATTGTATTCAAAGCCCTTAAGCTCATCTTTCCACTCTCTTTTTTTATCATCCTTCTCTATGCTGCATTTCTGTAGCAAATTGTCCACAGAGTTATTTAAAATTTGGCTAAATTCACGGATCATCGATGTCATCACCGATTCTACAATGTTAATAGACAGAAAGACACTGTTAATCTACTTTAATTGCCCTTGTGACCAGTGCCAATAAACTCCTCTGAATTGGCTACACTTATATAAGCATGTGATTTCAACTATGGTAGTATTTCATTCTAGGGGAGATTTGTGGGGGCATTTTTTGTTGTCACAATTATGAAAGAATTTCAATGTCACAATTCGCCTGCCTTAAAGAATTGCCTTACATGCCTCGAGGCCATTCATGCAGGTGAAAAGCCTGTTTATTCATGAACTGAGCTTTAAAACTAACTGTTTCACATATAAACACCACAATGTGCTTTTTACATGATTTTAATATAAATTGAAATTTCCAGAGCTACAATTTCCATGTAGAGGTAAGAATATATATTGTTTTATTCAGAACTTTATCAGAAATTGTTCATCATTTTGGAAGATTATGTCACTTAGAGCTACACTCCTCATGGCATTTGAGTAGCCAATAGAATATTTCAGAGTTTAGTTTACAATCTGTGTTTGGAGCTGTTATTTGCAAATATGTAAGCTAAGAGATTTGAGTCTTCTTTACCAGTGTTGGAACCAAATATTATTAAATTTTCAAAGAATTACCAAAATCACACTAATAAAAGTTCCTTCAAAAATATTTTATATAAATATCTTCCTATGTATGTAAAATGATATCATACTATGAAAAGGAACCTATCTCTTAAAAATGAAACACTTGTAATTATTATTTGTCTTTGGGTTGGCTGTTGGTTTTCAGTCTCATTCTCAAAACTCCCTGGAGATCTGCCACAACTTCTCTATAATGTCTCAATTGCCATTTCATTTTCCATTCCATCTTCAATTTCTCATTACATAACAAAGCATGTTTGCAGGATCTTTTCTAATGTATTAGAGGATGAATACATGTCCTGACATCTAGTGGGATTTCTTTCTTCTGTGCAATTCACTACTATTGCATTATATCACAGAAGGTATCATTTTGACACTACTATTAAAAGCAAGAACTAGCTCATTTATAAGAATACCATACTTCCTTATTTTCTCTTCAGTTTATATTGGTATATTAATCATAATTAAATTTTAGTTACTTCCCATTTTTAAAATTCATGTATAAATAAGTCTGATATAATTCTTGACTTCAATGGTAGTTTTGATTATGCTGCCCACTTATACTCCTGCTGTACCATTTTATCTGGTACCTGTATGGAATACTTTCTCATGTACTTAACGCTTTTAAAACCAAGTTTTCTTCATATGTCTGATTATTGTGTTATGTTTTCTAGTGAAGTTATATTTGAACACTAACATATTGAAATAAATATTTTATTGTAAACTGTTTTTCTTTTATTTCTCCTGTATATTACAGTTAGGGAATCATGTTGATATTTTAGAAATAGGTTAAATTATCTCTGAGTTCCATTTCAGGATAGGAAAATGAGTATAACAAAATATGAGACAAGGAGACATTGGATCTGATATGATTGAGAAACTGGTTGATAAAATGTCATACTCAAATTTGGCCTCAGAATTTGCAACTTCATTGCATTCACTATTTTAGCTTCTCTTATTTGCAGGTAGAAAAACCTTCTAAACTCTTATTCTATTCTGGGTTTTTTTTTTTGGCTCTTAGTCTTAAATAGTTAATCCACATTTTCTTTTAATCTATATTTTAATTAATTCAGCAAAACTTAAAATATTACTTAAAATAACTTGTGCAAGCTACTTAGATAAGGCATTTAAAATTTATTTCATGCTGTATAAAAAAGATAATTATGCTTCTTTCTACGGATTTTAAAGCAGATGTTTAAATGCAGAAGACTTCTAGAGTCTTCAAGATGATCAGTGTTGGCTTAGATTCCTCTAAGCCCATCTAAATGCAAATGAAAAAAATTTCAACATTTTAACTAAGGTAGGTATTAACAATATCCTTATTTCACCGATTGTAAACCTAAGTGGACAGAATATGAGGCCAGAAAAGAATAAGAATAAAGGACCAGAATGCAGGGTTTCCTACCTCCTAAGTCTATATTCAGAGAGGCCTTGGTTGAGGATTTAAAGGTGAAAGGCAGCCTCACTGAGAGTGATCATGAACAGATGGGATTTAGGATTCTAATGAAAGAAAGGAGAATAACCTGAAAAACAAAGTAAATAAATTTAAAGGAAATGAATGGGCAGAAATAGAGGGAAATAAGAGATTCAGTAGAAAGTCATGTAAAACGCAGAAGCATAGAGGTGGACTTGATGTTCTTCAGAGAAGCATTTGCAAGATGGATGACCAGGTTACATTTTTCAATATATTAGGAGAAGGTGGAAAACAGGTAACCAAGTAGACTAAACCAACAGCTGGAGAGTGCTTTAATATATTTCAAGGGTCTGATTAAACATAAAGTAGGCCAATTTCCAACTACAAAGAAATACCTACATTTAGACATGAAGCTAGAGGCTAAAGCAACAACTGGGAAGAATTTTAAAGATATTTAAAATTTATACGATGAGGCTATTTAAATTTATCATGAGTTATGAGATGCTAAAGGAGAATATGTTTTTCTTTTAGATGGTGCTGGAAATATAGCTAAGGGCATCTGATAGATTAAAAAAATAATGCTACTTTAAAAAATCATTTTGGAGGGCCAAATGTGATAGGAAAGAAGGAAACCAAACAGACAAAGGTTGTTTTTAAATCATCAGGTATTTGTACAATATATCTTAGGGCACTGAGTTTATTTAGCTAAAGTTTAATAAAACCCAAATTCCTCAAGTGACTTAACATGAAAGAAGATGCAAATGCAGTGTTTAATAATTAAACTTTGTAAAAGAACACTATCAATAAGTATAAGGCAACCAGTTTAGCACTTAGAAAAATGCATAAGAAGTAATCATCAAATTATTTTTCTTCATATTATCTGTTTCAGTGCATGACATATTATTTGCAGGAGTAAACTGTTATCATTGAAAATCAATTTGCAAATCCTTATCAGATGACAAGATACTGGGTAATGGCCAAGGCAGCCTATGAGAAACAAGTTGTATTAGATTCATTTATTTCATTTATGAGTCATATAGGCTAGAGAGGAGATAAAAGCTGTAACAAACCTTGAAAGTAGTTTTACTTCAGAGTCATATGACAGATTCATAGACTAATTGGAAATGGAACACACCAATGTCAGAGGGAAGCAGGGTTACTTGAGATAGCAAGGAGGTGGGAGCATTAAAGGGGCAAAATTGTATTATGACTTATTTACGAAGTAGAGAAAGTGAGGTAGATTTTTACTGATGACTTGTAAAGCAAAATAGAAAAGCCACCAAGTTGGAGGTAAAAATTAATATATGAGTGATGGAGGTAGGATTAGGTACCCCTCTCACATATTAGAGAAGTTGTTAAAAAATTATAATACATACATATGTATATGCAGGATGTGCAATTTATTTGAAATAACTTTTCCACTCTTTCACAATGGTTTACATTTTTAACAAAGAACTTTGAAATGTTAGCTTAAGGAATCATAATGCTAAGAAAATTTATTAAAGGGAAACGAAATAGATCCTAAGAAAGAAGATTAAGTGGAAATTAGTTTTAGAAAAAAGAGTACCAATTTGCTGTCTTTTTACTGTGATATTGCATCATGATTAGCAGTAGTCAGCTAGTATCTCTGTCCAGTAGAGACAGATGAAGGGGAAAAGAATACATATCAGAAAGAAGGATTTAGGTTAGCTCTTTGTGTAACAGGCACTAACACGGACTTCCCGAGAAAGTTAAAGAATGGCATCCTCTGGAGATAAATGTACCACCTGTGCAAGGTATTTAGCCAATACCTCACCTGACATGAATAAATCAGATGATATTGAAGACATTACCAACACATTCCTACGTTATTTATTTAATTCAGAATTAAATAATTAGAATTAAATTCAACCAAAAAATGTTTTTTGGTTGAATATTGAAATAATTAATTATAATTATGCATTTTGTACACAAAGCAGTGTAGAAACCTGCATTTTTTAGTTTTTTATTTAGATCTGGTATAGAAGCAAAGTCAAAAGAATTTAAAATGCACACTTGGGGGTTCCTGTACCTAATTAGCAATGTTAATGGCTTTGTGAAAAATCTTAGAGGCAGACACTTAAACATTGTTAATAGTTTTCAAAACCAGAGCTTGAAAAACGTAATGAAGACTTTGGATTGAAAATTTACATTAAATTTAATTAAGTTTGCAAATGTTTTCTCCAATTTGGGGATATAACTTCTTAAGTATTAATATGTGAAAACTTTGTGCAATGGTTTAGAGATTTGTAATGCCAAATTCTGACTTTGATGATTCTACCATATACTTTAAATTGTGATCGTAAAATTGATGAGCAATCTGAAATCTATGTAATAAATAAAGAATATCCGTGTTCAAAGACTACTCCTATTAAAAATGAGAGAGTTGAGAAAAAAAGGTTGGAGAGTAAATGAATTGTTTTATGACACTAAAATAAAATAGCTGTACTTTGACATATATGTGAACTAGTAGTTTGAAAGTTAAACAAGTCCAATTTTCTATTTGTTGAGAAAAATTAGGTTCATTTATCACTACATTTAAAAATCACTAGAAAATTAATTAATGCCTACTAATTTACTGCTAATTGTTAAATCCTAAAGCTAGTTGGCAAGAACTATCTGTATCCTGCTTCTTGAGGTTACATTCTGAATTATGTCAATGCAAACCACCACACACAGTTGACACTAATTTGCTCCCTTTTAGAAATCACAGTGGACAGGTCAAAAAAAAAAAAAAAAAAAAAGAACAATGATGTAGGTGAAATCCCATCCCACTATTGGGGTCAACCTGCATAGACCCTTTTAAAGTGCCTACAAAATAAAATTGGGGTGGGTTTGGGGGGATACTGCCATAATTTCCCTGATTTTCAAATTTCCCTAGGTTGCTGACCAAACATTTTTGCTCCCTAGCGCTATTAATTCATAACCATCACCAGCTCTGAATTATTTTAGGGAAGCAATTGAGAAATCAATATACAAAATTGCACAGTGGTCAGTGTACCAGTGACATACAGGAGAGAGTGGTCAAAACAGTGAATTCTAAGTAATGACGGTTACTGGTGGAGACGTGTTCATGCAACACACATGCACAAAATAAGTCACAATCACCATTTGCACACCCACAGCAGCATGCATGGCCTATGTTGAAAGACCAAATCCCAATGGTTTTCAATTTGATGATAATAATATGGTTATCATATTTTGTGATCCTTGTATCTACTATGATATAGTAGAAAACAGAATTGAATTCCAAATTTTCAGCCCAATCCAAATTTATCCAGAGTATTCCCAGTTAAATATAACCCTATGGTAGTTGTAGGTCATGCCAGTGATTTCAGATTAATAGAGAACAAAATTAAAATGATTAAAATATAATAGAGAAAAATAGAAAACAACTGTCATGCATATATAGTTTACTACTACAGTAAGCTGAAAACCATACCCCCTGCCATCCAGGAACGTGAAACTAGTTTTGAGGAAACAAAAGAGGAACAAGTGAAGTGATGCTGTCATGTAGCACTTTGCTTATTTTATTTAATCTTGCACTCAAATTTTTTGTTTTCCTGAAATAGGCTTTTGTGCCTCTGTCACATCAGAATATATTTAGCTTGATATTTGTGTTTTTCCAAGTGATTTAAATATTTAGGAAGTATTCATTGTCAACCTAGGCTTATAATTCTTGCAGGCAAAAGGAGCTCATGATCATTTTGGTAACACAGCAGAGAAATAACAATGTCTGTAGCAAAATCAAGCCATGATGTCTCCACCAGGCACCCCAAATAGCTAAGGGCAGCATGAAGATGTTGCACTGAACAGGGCATACAGCAGGCAAGTTAACATGCCGAGTAAAGGGGCAGGTTGAACATCAGATGGTGAAATTTGAGTTTGTACATTACCTTTGACATTGCGACCATTGTCTGTTTTGAGCACATAAGGATAAAAAAAGAGAAATATAAAAAGAAGACTAAAATTATATTATATACACTGAATTACCTGTATAAAAACAATCAGAGAAATCAGAATATGATGGAAAATTTCTCTTTAATTGAAATTAACATTTTGTACTATTCCACCAAGTAACATGCATATACTAAAAATAGTATCTGTCATAATATACATTCTTATTTAAATATGTGAAGCATTTATCTCAATTTAAATGGATTCCAAAGTACAGATTTTATAATTATGACAGTTTGGAAATAGACTTCCCCAGCTGCTGCAGTTGTGACAAAACTTTCAACCTTGTCAACAGCCAATTTTAGTGTCTCCTCAACTATCACTTAGAATATACTCAAAGGAAGACTCCACATTTTGCATGTTAAGTGTTTTTTTGCATATAATTTAACCTAGTATGTTAATAAGGAAAATGTTTCTAAGATAACAGTTCCTTCCTTCCTCCCTCCCTCCCTCCCTTCTTTCCCTCCCTCCCTCCCTCCCTCCTTCCCTTCCTCCCTTCCCTCCTTCCCTCCTGCCTTCCTCCCTTTCTCCCTTCCCTCTTTCCCTCCTTCCTTCCCTCCTTCCCTCCTTCCCTCCTTCCTTCCCTCCTTCCCTCCTTCCTTCTTTCCTTCCTTCTTTCCTTCCTTCCCTCCTTCCCTCCTTCTTTCCTTCCTTCCTTCCTTCCTTCCTTCTCTCCTTCCCTCCTTCCTTCTTTCCTTCCTTCCCTCCTTCTTTCCTTCCTTCCTTCCTTCCTTCCTTCTCTCCTTCCCTCCCTCCTTCCTTCCTTCCTTCCTTCCTTCCTTCCTTCCTTCTTTCCTTCCTTCCTTCCTTTCTTCCTTTCAGGACAAGGTCTGGCTATATCTCTCTGGATGGACTTGAACTTCTAGGCTCAAGAATCCTCGTGCCTGAGCCTCCTTAGTAGCTGGGACTACAACCACACCAGTCTGCCTGGCTCCACTCTGCCTAGCTCCAACTTACATTATTAATCACAATTTTATTAACTGCCCTCCTCCAAATGTACTTCAATATATATTTTAAAAATAGCAAATATAACTCAAAGAGTCATTCTTAGGCAAAAATAATTGCAAGAAGTAAATGAAAGATTAGATTGTTTTAAAAAATGTAAACATTTTTGTTAATGTTGTCACAATGAATTCAGTGTAATTACTAGAATATTGAAAAATTTTATTTGTAATAAAATGGGCTCTTTTAAAATCTAAGTTAAATATTTTCAGATTTACTTTGAGATCAGCTATCTAAATGTTGCATACTTGCCACTAACAAAATATGCATTACTAGCTATGAAACACACTTGCTTAAAATAAACGTCACTGTCATATCAAAACCATTCAAATATATCCAAGATTTGAAAAATCTGTTCAGCATTTTGTTGATATCTATGCTAACACTGTGCCCATTTAAAATCTTGGGATATATCATAATAATTTCAAAGCTTACAACTGAAATAATTCTAATAATGTGATATATTGAATTGCTCGTAGACATTGCATTGGACAAAGATATACAAATAAAACTGTGGCCTTAGATGACAACTCCCTTTCCTCTTTGAGAGAATTACAAGAAACAAATAGAGATAGTGGAAGAGATCTTGATTACTCAGAATGAATGTGTCTGTCAGAAGCTGGGTCCAAAAACCATTAGTAAAGTAACAACTGCTTGCAAGTAGTTATAAATTATAACTGTACTTATCAAACCTAAAAATTATATGTAAAGATTTACCAATTCCAAGAAAACTAACAAAACATTACATTATATAGTTATTACAGCTTTGACCTTCCAAGGCAGAGTGTGGCTTGTGCACTGGTCTTAGCTGAGATCTGCTTGTTATTCTTCCATGACAATGCAAGTACAGAAATTGGAGTAAATATTTAGAATCTTTTGTAGCAGTTTGGCAGAGTAATTTCATGTCTGATTAATCTAATAATAAAACAATTGGGGTTTATATTTTATGTCTATTTTTTACATTTTATTTTTCCAGTAGTACATTTTTATTGGCTTCACAAATGTATTGGTCAGTGATGAATTAGAAAACAAAATTCTGGTTCTTCATCAAAGATGGTTTGAAAAGTATGGTTCTAAGGTTCTTGATAATGTGGATTAAATGAGAGGATAAGGTAAAATATTATTCATTAATATATCTGCAAAATATTTAAAGTTCTGTGAAGATAGCCTGTACAGGAGAACATTTTTATTTATTTCAATGAGGAGACAACAACCCAACTTCGAAATCTTGTGCATGATTTCACCTGTTAATCAGTTACATGAATTCATAAAACTAAAATCACTTCTAAAAGTTTTCCATCTTTCCTTATCAATGGCTCTATTTCTAAAATATACCAAATTATAAAGTCTTAGGGAATGTAGTTTCTTTTTTGCTAATCAGTGATTTTGTAGCTAAAATTTCTTTAAAGATGAAGTAGAAAATACCCTCTGAATTTATCAATCTATAGTCACATGTTGACTCTAGCATAATCTGTAAGAAAGTAATTTTTTTTTATAACAGCTTACTTTGGGTGAGGGGGAAAAATCGAGGATGATCTTAGCACCAAATGTTTATGTATAGCACCCGTACTGAGAAATCCAAAAATATTAAATCATTCTTTCTCATAATTGTATCAGTAACTGTGCACTAAATGGATATCATATAAATTAAAAACAATGAAGTTAAATCAAGAAATCTAATCTAAACTACTCAGCACCACTGTCCAAACACAGGCTAAGTCAGTAAAATGCACTGATTATGTATCAGTTTGATTTTCAAATTTGTTGTTTTTGAATTTTACTATACTACTGTTATAAGTCAGGATCTCTCTAGGGAATCTCTGAAAAGGCAATTTCTGAAAAGTCAGTATGATTGCTAAAAGTGACTACACTAACTAAACTCACTAAAACATATGCTGGTCATTTGAATTACCATATTGAATTTATTGTTGCTGTTTAGCCACAGGACTCACTGATCAAAGATCAAATTCTAGCGGTTTCATTCTGTCAGGAAATATTGAGCCTGCCATTACTAAATGGGATATGGCCTTAGATGATTATCCAATTTGGGAATTGGCCTTGTATTTTCTTTTTTCCTTTTGACCTTCTTTGGCCCACAGATTAAAATAGATGTGCTAATTGCTCTTGTATCTTTTTCTGAGCTATTGATTTATCTTTCTTTGAACTTCTTCCTGCCAACTCTTCCTTTCACCTCTTCTGCCTTCTCTACTTCATGGTGTCCTTTAGATAAAGATCCTCTATATGATTTACTCCTAAGACTTCGTTTAACTTCAGAGTATGATGGAGCAGATAACTCATTATTTTCTGATCTGCATGATTTTGAAACAGAACTCGCAAGCACAGTCCCCTCAACATCACATGGTCTTCTCAATGTTACACCAATATTTATCGCGTATCTGCCATGAAGTAGACAATTGTGCTAGAAACTAAGGGTGCAGAGCTCACTATGCCAGAGTGCCTATGCTGGAGGCGCTCACAGCAACATAATTGCTTGCTTACATATCTGACAAGAATGACAGACATATAATACACAATAAATATAAAATGCAATCCATGCTACACTATATGTAAATATTGGTTTGCACACTCGAGTGTGAAATGATTTAATTCTTCTGGTTTGGGAAGGGGGAAATGGGTCCCTGCTGCTGAGTGGTAGTGTAAGGAGAGACAAAGCAGGGAAGAGTATTCCAGGAATAACAAAGTAATGAAGCAAGAAAACACGTGTTACATTTTTGGGAAAAGGCAAATTATATCTGTGCAGATGTAGAATAGAGTATGTAATAGGGAGGGGAGTCTTGCTGGGGCTAGAAATGAGGCTAGAAAAATAAGTGTGATCAGCTGACAAAGTGCCTAACACCTCACATTAAGAATTAATGTTTTAAAGACAAAACTAGCAGTAGCCTGGACAGCAGGTCTCTCAAGAACCAAATCTATGGGAATCTGGAAAGCGGGTCTGATGTACCCATGCCAGGAACTTTGATTCTTGGACTCCCTGGGGAAAGTCAAGAGTTTCAACAGACTCCTCCTATGGCAAGGTTTCATGGAGGAGCAGGAGTGAGGGAGGAAAAAGATTGCATGGATTTGATTGTAGACTATGGAGACAGGCAGTCCTGAGTTTGAAGCCGGGCTCTGACACTGACTAGCTCTGTAACCTTAGTCTAGTTATTTATGTTATTTATTTAACATAGTTAAGCCTCTGTTTCCTCACTTACTAAATAGGGCTTAGAAATGATTCCTAATTTGGGTTTCTTATGAGAGTAAAATGAGACAATGTGTATCAAGCACTTACATTGCCTCAGACACAGTAAGTACTTAACCGATGTTATCAATTACCATGTTCATGATAAATAGTTTCTGCCACTGCTTTTTTTAAGGATCCTTAATTTCACTACTGGCTAATGTAAGAATGTGAACATAATGTTCAAAGAGGCCAGGGAGAATAAATTCTGATTTGCTTTTCAAGTCGATTTTTGTTGAGATCAGGACTTTCAGGATTTTTTTCCCTTTAAATTTTTCCCCTTCATCCTACCTACCTTGCACCCCTGTCAGCTTACAGCTTTCTGATCACTCAGTACATCACAGTTCCTATGCTGCTCCCTTTGGAAAGAGTCGGTCAATGAACTAGCCCTCTGATGGCACAAATTCTTTCTTCCCAGGGCATGATCATTTGCTAAATGCAGCAAAATTAACTATGCTTGAGATGATAGTGTTCATTACCTAAGCACATGTTATAATAAGCATTAATTAATTAACACTCCATGTGGTAGGCAGATAATGGTTATCATACTATTTCAGAAATACAGATAAAGAAGCCAGAAGACACTAAATTACTCACAAGGGTTCAAAGAGGAAATCAGTAACAACTCTGAGTGTAGGACTCAGGTTTTTAATAGCCTTTAATCACATTTCTTTCCCCAATGCACAGAGATTATTGTTGAAATTTCAAACAATATGCAAATAATCATTTATTACCCATTAATATATGTTTCCATTTAAAAAAAAATCAAACATACCTTCGCTGGCATGTCGGTCTCTAAATATGTTCTTGGGGTGGACGCCGAATCCTTCTATATCATGGACCGAAGATGCTCTCCGTATACTACATAAGCTTTCCCTTGATCTGGAATGGGACAGCTGGGAACTTGACTGCAGCATGTCAGGGTAGAGTCGGTCCCATTGCCTTTTGGGAGAGGAATGGTCAAGAGGTCCGGATATATTCACCAAGGGAGAACATTTGCTGGGCTGTATCAAAGCTTTTGTGTCATCTGCTTCAGAGGGGCTGCAGCTTTCTTTTGTAGGAGACTTAAAATGCTTCATGGCTACTGAATCATCACTGTGTTTAGATGAATCGATGACCACCACATCGGGGTCTTCTTGTGGTAAGGACTGCTTTCTGTAAGTGAGAACTCTCAGACCAGGGAATTTGAACCCAAAAAATTTCCCTATAAATGGAGACAGGAGAGAGCATTATTATAAGGCAAATGATATATCCTGTAACAAAAACAAACATTGTTGACTCATATTTAAACACCATGTAAAAATAATTTTGAATCAATGGTTATAGTTGGAATAGAGGATATTGTAGAAAACTTCTCTGAGACCAATGTGAAGTATGATATAAATAGCAAGAAAACAGTACATAATTTTATCATATTTCTGATGATTAGATCCACATCAGTGACATAAAAGTATTTTGATGACATGAGACTTTTAGTTTTAATAAAATAAAAACATTCATCCACTATACATCCACTTTTCTAGGGAAATTGAAGGATGAACAGAGTTTTAAGAATATATGATCTAAGGCATCATAAGTCCAGGGATAGACACAGGAGTGAGTATAGCCTACATACATGTATGGGTGATGGGGAGCTAATGTGTTGGAACAGGCAGGAAGGAAGTGAGGTGAGGTAAAGAATAGACCTTGCATATTTAGAATATTTGTATTGAATAATATTGTGAGTCGAGTTTGGGTGGGAAAAGTGGGGTCAACTGTGTATGAGAGGTTTATCATTCCATCTGGAATTCTTAAAGACTTTTGGTTTTAAAGAGCGATGTACTGTACTGGTAAAGATTTCTTTTTCCTGTTTTCTGTTTTTTTTTTTTTTTGCTCCAAAATTGGATAGTATGGCATATAATGTTATGTATATCTCAGAGTGGCTGATGCACAGAAGGACAAGTAAATACAAACTTTAAAGAGCAGATGTTAAAAATTAAAATATTAACTAATAAATATAACATTAAAATATTAAACTTTAATTGTTAGGTATATAAACTCACTAGTAGTAAAAACTGCAAAGTAATACAAGAGGATATAATTTTTCTAGTCTTCAATTTTGCAGTAAATGAAAGAAAGCATAACATCTAGTGCTGGCAAAGAATGCTGGGGAGCATTCTGACATTTTGGCGGTGGGATTGCAGATTGCTGCAAACTCTTTGGAAAGTCTTTGGACAATATCTATTAAAGTGAAAAAACATATACATTTATTTTGACTCAGTAATCCACATATGGGATATTGCAAAGGCATAAAAACTAGAAAAAATTGGATTATCCATTAGAAGGAGAATTACTGAATAAATTATGGCATTTTTATTATTTGGAATCCTATGATATTCTTTAAAAGGTTGCTCAAATATAACGTTAAGTAAAAAAAGCAAGTTTAAACTCCATGTGTTCACATAATTTTCATCAAAAAAACAAAAGCTTATATTTGTTCATATATGTTGCATAAAAGCTTCAAACTTTTAATGTTGACTAGCTCAGTGGGTGGGTTTGGAAGAAGGGAGATATAATGTATGCATTCTTCTTTATGTATCTTTTTTTATGTCAAGCATGAATTTGTTTATAAACTAAAAAAACTAATACAGTAAAACTTCCACTCCTCAAAGAACATAAAAACATAGGAGAAAGTATCCAAACAATAATCTGTAACCCAAAGCTTCTCTAAGTATGATTTACAAGAAAATGCAAAGATTGTCATTTTTATTGTTCCCACAGTAGTCTAGGTCCACATTATCCATGGCTTTACAATTACACACTGACCTTATGGTCAGTCAACTTAAATCTTTGGGCTGCAATATTAACTACCTTCTTATATTATTTAAATGTCATAGACACCATTATCTTTAATATATTTATTATGAACTTTTCCTCAATGCACTGAAGATGCTTCTAAAACATGGAAGAACACTCTCAAAACTCATGAACATTTCTCCATTTTGAGTATACTCTCCCAGTGGATGGTTTTTTTCTACATGCACATATTTAATTCTGTCTTCACTCCAATGACTCCTAAATATTTATCTCCAGCCCAGACCTCTCCTCTGTGTTCCAAACCTGTATTGTATATCTAATAGATTCATCAACATCTCCACTTGAAAGACACCTTACAATCTTATAACAAGTCCAGTTTCATAATCTGACCCTCCAAGCCCAGGCTTTTTTTTTTTTTTTTTTTTTTTTAGTGAATGGCATCACAATCCATCCAGTCATATAAGCCTGAGACTTGAGGACCATTCTAGATACTGTTCTCTCTCTTCCACTCATCCCCAATATTCCATTAATATCAATCCCTTAATTGTATTGATTTCACCTCCTGAATATCTGTTTTCATTTCTCTCATCTTCACTGTTCCTACATATTTCCACGCTACTATACTGGTTCACATAATTTCTTGCAAGAAAATGCTATCACTCTTCACATTTGTACCATTATTGTCCACCCTTAAAAATAATAATTTTTATCTTTAAAAAAATTCAGAAGATGGGCACAGTGGCTTATGCCTGTAATGCCAGCACTTCGTGAAGAAAAGGCATAATGATCTCTTGAGGTCAGGCATTTGAGATGAATCTGGGCAACATAGCAAGAACCCCCATCTCTATAAAAAAACAACAACAACAAAAAAAACTAGGTATGGTGGCATATGCCTGTAGTCCGAGCCAGTCGGGAGGCTGCAGTGGGAGGATAGATTGAGCCTATGAGTTTGAGGCTACAGTTAGCTATGATTGAGCCACTGCACTCCAGCCTAAGTGACAGAGAGAGACCCTATCTCTAAAGAAAGAAAAATTAATATATGATTATGTAAACTATTGCACAATTCCACCCTTCCCCTGTGCTCCCCTGCTACCAATAACTTTCTCTTTGGGGATGGAAGACAAAACTCTCTCCATCCTGCAGCTTCATCTCTGTTCTTTGCTCTCTAGAATCCAGTCATATGGAATTTTAATTCCCCTTGAGGTCTGTGCTTCTTTCAGATTCATGGCTTCTTTCTGTTTGATCCTTTTTACTTCACCTACTGAGCTCATCCTTTAGATTTTAGCACCAAAGTGATTTCATGGGTAAGCTTTTCCTTCCTTCTGAACAGGTTACCACCCCTTTCATAGCTTTCACCACAGTTAATAATTATGCACTTGTTGATTTTCTGTTTAACATTTTTTCCATGACTGGCCCATAGGCCTCAGAAGGGCAGGGCCCCAGGCTATTTTGCTTACTTAGCATTGAGTCCCAGCTCTGACTGAATGACTTGGCATGGTAAATGAATTTTCACAAACAGATTCTAAACTGAACTCAGAATGTGCTCAATTTTGACTGTAGGAAAACTAGAATATTTAATTGCTTTGGCCATAATAATTAGAGAATCTTAACCTCCTGGAATTGTACTGACTGATATTTAACAAAAAATGTTGATTGAGTAGAACTCAATAGTTCATGGAAAATGGTGAACTCTATACCACGTCCTCTCTACTTGATTTAACTCATTGATGAAATTTATGTAAAACACCTGTTACAGAAAATTTGAGAATTTAAGAAGGCCACTTTATTATTATAAGCTTTCATTTGTGGTCTAGCAGTTAATAGTGACACAAATCATTGCAATAGAACTAAACATTTTTATTATTAATTATTATGGATATAGAGTTGTACATATTTATGAAGTGCATGTGATATTTTGATGCAAGAATACATTGTGTAATGATCAAATCAGTGTAATTGGGATATGCATCATCTCAAGCATTTATCATTTTTTGTGTCAGAAACATTCCAATTCTACTCTTTTAGTTATTTTGAAATATTTGTTAAATTATTGTTAACTATTGTTGCTCTAAAGTGCTACCAAACACAAGATCTAATTCCTTGTATCTAACTACATTTTGGTGCCTATTACCTATCCCCACTTTATCCCCCACCCCGTACCCTGCTACCCTTCCTATCCTCTGGTAACCATCATTCTACTACTTCTCTCTATGGTAAAAGACATGACAATGTGCAGACAAACCACGAGTACATTCAACATTAAACTCTGGATTAATAAGACAAAGATAAGAGTAACCAATCTGCGCAAATAAGATTAAGTAACAGTGCATCGTGACAACTGTTTTGCAAGCATTCTTACATATCTCTACTAATAACTTTTATATGCTCAAGTAATTGCCAAGTTGAAAATCAGTGAACTGCATCGAAGTCATTTGATTAGTCTTTAATGCACATGAAATTGAGTTTTAAAGCAGTTTACAAATCAATTCTGCAAGCTTATTACGATGCATTGAAAGTCAATGACTACTTTTATTAATTTTTCATCATTTACTTTACACTCCTCCTTTAAAAAACAATTCACTGGCTTTCTTAAATTAATTACCACATAGGCATTTAGTTTATTCCTATAGTTTAGTCATATCCAGTGTGGTACAGATGGTCTTTTCTGCATCACTAGGTTAATAGGACCATGTTATATTGCATTACAGATTTAGTTGTCTAACTGCAGTTCATCCGGAAAGAATGCACATTGAGAATTTTGCTCAATGTTAGCACTTTCAGGCATGAAATATAAAACATAGATGAGTGTAATCCTGTTATGGATCTTAACACTGAAAATCATCCTTGTAAGTTAAGTCTTCAGATTTTATTATATTTGATTTCTAACTTGAATAATTAAAATAGATACTATTTAACCTATTTACTATAATGCTCAATAAATGTGAAATAAGAGAAACAGAATAAAGTTTTGCACATACTTTTACACATTTCCAGAAAGAATTACAAGTACTGGTAAACTGCTTACATGATTATAATTTTGTTTAAACACATCCTTTTCATCTAAGAAGGCATATAGTTGTTAATATGCATGAATATAATTATAGTAGTTATAATTAACTACTACTATAATGTCTTTCTCAGGACATGTCATTTTTGTGAAGATGCTGAATATAAATTTAGAGGCTGCATCTTCATCAATCCTGGCATATGTAACTAACAACTTTTTGGTTCTTAACCAAGAAAACATAGATAGTCCCATCATCTTTCTCTGTGAAAAGTCTATAATTATCACTTTAATCTATACATGCAAAAATGTTAAATATTTTGCCAAATTCATGCAGAAAATTCACGTCAGGTTAGCACAAAACAGCAGTTTCCGTGATTAATTTTAGTTTTACCCAAGGTTTGGTGTTTTCTTGGGTCATAAATATCTACATGAGAATCTAATGAAAATCCTGATTTCTCTTTGAAATAAATATAGATAAATGCATACACACAATTTTGCTTATGATTTCAGAAGTTGAATAACTAACTCACCCTTCTCCCACCAAAGCCCTTCAACATTGACCTCCCCTAAGATCCCCTAAGATTAGTTGATTCTTGATATTCCTTTTAGTTTTCAATTTATTTGCTTACATATATGTGCTAGTCACATTTCTCATAAAATTACAATGATAACAACTACATTTATAACCTATTTCCTATGGTAATGGGGCTTCAAAAATTGGCTTTACTAAACTTTTCCAGTTTGAGAAGACCTCATCCATCTGCTGCTACTATATTCTCTCCCTCTTTCTCTCTCTCTCTCTCTCTCCCTACTTCTTTCCTGTGTGAATTGATTCTCATCTATTACAGTTTGGAAGAAAACTATGACACCCACTTTTGACTTCAACCAATTCTTCTAACTTAAGACTACATATAGGGATATTAGAAACAATCATTTTCTTGTGGAAAAACAAAAAATCTCTGCAAAATTATCCATCTACTTTCAATCATTGATTTTTCTCACAATACAACTGCAAATTTCCAATCATCTCCTTCACTCAATTTTTCATCATTTCTATAAATTCTTAGAACCTTGATTATGTCATATTTTTACTGCAAAAACCCAATTAAATATAATTAGAAGCAGTTTTATTCCTGCTTGGTTCTGCTAGGTTGAATTATGGACTGAAAAGTAGAGGGAAACTTAAGTTCAAGTAGTCAAGCAAATTAGACACCATGATGAAATAGGAGAGGATCTGTATGGGGAGTAAAGTAAGGTTTGTTGTAAAGGTCATAAGCAGAGATCTGTCCCCTCACAAAGGGTTGGGGTGGTGGGAGGGTATCTTAGATTGGATTCCTGAAAGTAGATTGTGAAAAGGCTTATTGAGGGAGTACTCTCATGGGTTATGGCTATTAAAAAGACAGGATTAAGAAGAGGAAGTTAAACTGATTTTCAAATGGAGCTGAAGCATCGGCCAGTCCTCCTGGAGCTCAAATGCAGGGATAGCCCCTTCAGAATTCTGCCAAATTGAAGCCAGGGTACCTGGCCTTTGCATCCCTGTATCTACGAGTCACTGGTTATAGCCACACCACGGCAAAGGCCATAATGCTGGATAAGGTAGTTTCCTGCCTTAAACTACAATTTCCAGGGAGGGGCAGCAGTGTACCTGGAACAGCTGGTATTTCCAGCAGCTGGGCTGTCTCAGCCCTAAGGAAGATGTCTGGGCTTAGGGCCACAGTGTCCAGTACAGAGAGAGAAATATAGCCATCTTTTGGCCTGAAAAATTATGATCTGAATTAAGCCTACAATCAGCTATTATCACACAAAATAAGGATGTGTGAATTGGTATCTGTGTATCCTTCTAATGTCAGAGTACTTACAAGCCCGACATTAAATTTGAAGCCTTAAAATCAGTGTGAGAATTTTCTCCAACCACATAACCCTGGATTTGCAGAGAAACACGACTTTTACTCCTGAATCAGAGAGAGAAGAAAAATGTGGTGGGATAAACAGAGATAATGACTAACATAGCTGCCTTTTCTTTTTAGGAAGAAAATTTTCATAGAGGGATCCTGCAAGGACATGAGTCTCTCCTACTCCTACTCCTACATATGTAGGAAGGTATATGACGTTGCCTATGAGCTGGTAGAACAACTCAGAATATTGTCAAAGAATGATGTAGATAGCAGCTAGACCGGGAAAGATTATCATTCAATGTGAACTCAGTTTTAGCCAAGTGGCTACCCTGATTAGTGGGTGACAAATGGGCCACTGTAGCCAGCGCAGGCCTGGTGTCAGTGATAACAAAAGATCACCAGGGAGTCCACTGACCTAGTAAACTTGAAGCTAGATATGAGGTTCTTTAAAGGAGCAGATCCGATCGGTAATGCCATGAAAGACTAAGAATCCTGTGACATTTCCTAGGGTATTAGATACCAAAGAAAAAGCAAGATCTTATAGTAAGCAGTGAGGATAGGACCAAATTGGAATCTGTAAGTTATGAGTTAAAGGCAGGAAGTGGAGGTTGGAGGAAGTCAGTGCTGTAGCAAGGCTTGAGAACAATTACAGGAGCTGCAGCAGCAAAACAGCATTCCCGTAAACATGTTTGCAAATGTTGACAATATCTGAGGGACACTGCTTGTGATCTGGCTGGGTCATCACAAGAGCAAAGAAGCCAGAAACATGAATTTGGATAAGGGAGATAGGGCAGAAGACAGGACAAGATGGTGGACTGATTTCAGCCTCTTAGGGTTAAAATCTCTCAGTGAGAGGGGATTGGGAATGAAAGCAAACACAGCAGCATAATATACACCTAATTAAGTTTCTATGTGCTTAAAATAACAGCTTAATAAATCAATGCATGCAATACCCATACTTTCTTTTTGATAGATTTCTTCATTTTGTAAATGTCAAATTAAAAAGTCCATTCAAGTCCTGTGAAAGTGATAACATCTTAACCAAAATTGAGCATGGATGATCATGTAGTCATCACATAAACAGACACTCTCTTGATGGACTGTTCCAAACACAAATGGTACAGACACCAATTACCCAAATGCTGTATGTATGTATGAATAGGGACTGTCCCTGATTGGGTGTTGCTAGGTAACACAATCTTCCAAATGATACTCACATGGGGGCTCTCTGGTGTGGTTATACCAATTTGGGCATTCATTAACATCCATGTTAATGAATAAATAATGTATTTTACTCTATCGGGGGAAATTCAGCCAGATATCGGGTGAAATTCACCCCCAATATTTCACATAGATTCTTTTCTATTTTCCCTAAGTGTCGGCCAGTCTGAGAAATAAAGGGACAGAGTACAAAAGAGAAATTTTAAAGCTGGGTGTCCAGGGGAGACATCACATGTTGGCAGGTTCCGTGATGCCCCCTGAGCTGTAAAACCAGCAAGTTTTTATTAGTGATTTTCAGAAGGGCAGGGAGTGTACGAATAGGGTGTGGGTCACAGAGATCACATGCTTCACAAGGTAATAAGATATCACAAGGCAAATGGAGGCAGGGCAAGATCACAGGACCACAGGACCGAGGTGAAATTAAAATTGCTAGTGAAGTTTCGGGCACTCATTGTCATTGATAACATCTTATCAGGAGACAGGGTTTGAGAGCAGACAACTGGTCTGACCAAAATTTATTAGACGGGAATTTCCTCGTCCTAATAAGCCTGGGAGCGCTACGGGAGACTGGGGCTTATTTCATCCCTACAGCTTCGACCATAAAAGACGCCGCCCCCCCGAAGCAGCCATTTCAGAGGCCTACACTCAGGGATGCATTCTGTTTCTCAGGGATGTTCCTTGCTGAGAAAAAGAATTCAGTGATATTTCTCCCATTTGCTTTTGAAAGAAGAGAAATATGGCTCTGTTCCGCCTGGCTCACCGGCGGTCAGAGTTTAAGGTTATCTCTCTTGTTCCCTGAACATTGTTGTTATCCTGTTCTTTCTTCAAGGTACCCAGATTTCATATTGTTCAAACACACATGCTCTACAAACAATTTGTGCAGTTAACACAATCATCACAGCGTCCTAAGCGGACATACATCCTCCTCAGCTTATGAAGATGATGGGATTAAGAGATTAAAGTAAAGACAGGCATAGGAAATCACAAGGATATTGATTGGGGAAGTGATAAGTGTCCATGAAATCTTCACAATTTATGTTCAGAGATTGCAGTAAAGACAGGCGTAAGAAATTATAAAAGTATTAATTTGAGGAACTAATAAATGTCCATGAAATCTTCACAATCCACGTTCTTCTGCCATGGCTTCAGCCGGTCCCTCCGTTCGGGGTCCCTGACTTCCCGCAACATTTTCAACTACTGGCAATTTTCTTGATCTTAGAAATAGATACGATGTTCAAATCCTGGGGGGTGGGAGAGGCACATGACATAAAATTTTTTGCAACTCTGAGTAAATTTTCCTCAGATTTCTTTTTTGCAACCATGCCATGTTTCCTTTTTCTATGTCAAATTTAATCTTTAAAAAGAGGAAACTTCCAAATACATGAGAATAGTAAACATTAGTTACAGTATAAAACCTTTAACTAAATTAATCTGAAAAAGAGATTGTTTCTATAGTAATGCTTACTGAATGGGAAACTATATTACTATTGCAGCTCTTCATCTTCAAAATAAAGAATGACTTTCAGCTCCAGTGGAGAATAGTAAAAACACTGTAAAAGCCCTCTTATAAACCAGCTCTATGGAAAATTTCTTTGTTCCTTAGCTTGAGGTCTAAAAACTGAGATACAAATTTGAGGAAGTAATGTAGCTATTGAGGCAAATGTGTATTTTATGTGTCAATTATCTAGAGTATTGAGTCCAAAGCATATGAATAAAATTTTAATGGTTTAAATTAGCTAGATAATTGTCTAAATTATCAACTATATTTTGTGTGGTTAGGCTTAGCTTCAGTTGAAGCTTTTAGAAAAATTCAAAATTTTAGTAAGCGTAAAAGTAAAATCCTCTTTGATTTGGAAAGTGTAATTTTAATCTTTTCAAAGATAATGGATATCCTTTAATCCTTAATAAGATTAAATGAAAAAGTACACTTTAAAAATTACTATAAGATACTTCAGAAATTTTAGGTTATTTCTTACATTTATTTTCACTTAAAATTTATTTTTATAGTTCTAGCTAAACATTCATTAACCTAGACCATGGTTTTCATACCTTCTTGGGCATCAGAATGACCTGAAGTGTTTGTTAAAACACAGCTTGGTGAATTTCTGTGTTTCCGAATCAGTTGTTCTGGTGTAGGGCCCAAGAACTTGCACTTCAAACACATTGCAAGGTGATGCTGATGGTCTCACACTTGAAGAACCATTGGCAGGCAATCTGAGTAATGCCCATTCAGTAGGAAAAAAGTAGCTTAATTATTAAAGGAAAAAAATAACTTTTTATGTCTTCTACGAACATGTATTAGATACTTACTATTTGCAAAATATTAGGTCTATATGGAAGAAAATAAAATGTCCCTGCCATGAAGTAGAGCTGAAGGGTTATGGGCCACTTCAAATAAGATAAAGATGTTCTCCAGTTTTCCAGTCTTCACTTCTCTCTATATTTTTACTCCTGGCCTTCTTCATTCATGTTACTTGTTTACTAAGCAAACAGATGTGACCAACGTGGTAGTAGAGAAAGGTATGAGGTATTATGATCTCACAGGACCCATGTGGGTGAGTTAAGAATGCTCCACAGATGAAGAGTCCTTTGGAATAGGTATGCTAGAAGAAGAAAAGCATTTTAGTAGAGGGGACACCACATGATACAAATTAGGTGGAATAAAGTGAATGGTAGCTTCAAGGAACCCGCACTAAAATATGGGATGTGATGGGAAATTAGGCTGAAGAAGTATCAGAAGCTATATCATGATAGGCGGATTGTATTATCCATGCATAGGGCTTTGGAGTCTTATATTTTAGGCAATAGAGGACCATTGTAAAAGATATAGACAGTGGACTATTATGATGTGATGTACGGCAATATAACATGTAATCCTGAAGAAAAGAAGCTTAAAGCAGGAATACTAATTGTGAGACTATTATATCAGTCCAAGAAAGATGTGTTGAGGGTCTGAATAGGACAATTATAGTGGGCTATATGAGAGAGATAGTTAAGAGATGTGTTTCATAGACTTGGCTAGCCTTTGGTTGGGAGAATAGAGGATTAGAGAGAAGGAGAAGTTTAGTATCATGCCGAGGTTCTGGCTTGGGAGCTTTGGATAATGACTATTCATAATGTATGAAAAGGAAGAGTTTTTGGTGGGATGAAATGGATGGTAGCTGAAGATGGAAAGGCAGTTCTTAGCTTGAAATGCTAAATCGCCCAGAAATACTAAAATCTTCTAAAGGAGATGTCTAGTGGGATATATGAGGTTGTAAGTAAGCCTAAAGAAAGATATGAGCTGGAGATACTGATTTTTGAGAGGGTCTTTACGCTGTAAGTAAACAATGAGTTTGCCTAAGCAGCGTATATAGAGATGACTAGGAAGGAATGAATATTAAAAGCAGCTCCCAGGGGAGAAACAAACAGCTTTTAAGAGTAGAGTAAGAGGAACAACAAATGGTACTGAAATAGCTGTTACAGAGGTGGAAAGACTCAAGGGAATGCGGTGACATGGAATGTAAAAGAAGGGAATCCAATTTAAGTACCAATTTTTGTTTAATTTAGGTTCCCCCAATCCCTTCAAGAAATGTTTAGAGAATTCAAAAGTGTGCATGTATCTGTGTGTGAATCAGAGTATGATACTAGATTCATGCTATAGAAGACATATGAAATTCAAATATAGTTTTCAATAATTTAAAATGAAACAAAAATAATTTATTTAAAACAGTAAAAGTGAAAACCTCTTATACTCGATGACAGTAAACTCGGGCATTAATCACGTAAACAAGAATGCATAATTTGTTTCTCCTCCATTTTTCACATATATTCTACATCATCAAGTATTACAGCTGAAAAGAAGAGAACACACTTTTCCATTACTATTGGCTCCTTTAAATGTGGCCCCTTATGCTTGGTAGGGAATGCACAATTTTCTCTTTCACTCCGTATTATTTCCATTTTTTAGACTGCAAACTTTTTACAGAAGACTTCAGTGAGAAAGTGTTCAATTTCATCTTTTATTTTGTGTTTATATCTATTATGTAGCAATTAATTGGCTCATTTATTCAGTACTTATCAAAATTTGATAGTAAGATTTATCAAAATAACACTTTCTTCTGTATTTGCTTCATTTCAGGGGACATAAGTCATCTAATTGTGGCTAGTTCCAGGTCTTCTACAGAGAATAAGTTTATGAAAAATTAGGTCTTCTGAGAGAAAGCTGCTCACTTTTCTTGTGTAGAGTTCCTGGCTCTGAAACTAGGTATTTGTACTGAGAAATGATCCACCACTTAATTCTATATAAAAGAAGTCTCTAAGTTTTCAGAATGTATGGAGCCCAATGTATCATAATGCCTTTTTATAATCCATATTTTCTACTGTGTATTTCCCTCCTTTTCTTTTACTTAATCTTTGTAATTTAATACCTCCCTTTGTTTGAAGCTATGCTTCTTGTGTAGTCATGTCACATCTTTTCCTTTATTTTGTCTCTATTTCAATAGAGGTATTTAAATTTTCAGAAAGTAACATCTTCCCAAACACACAACAACCTTTTTCTTATTACTGTCACTGAAATCCTACCACTCTGAGACACGCTAGTGTGCGCGAGCGTGCGCGCACACACACACACACACACACAATTACAAACACTTTAGTGAGAGAGTAAGCATTGGTTAAAGGGAAATGTCAGTTTAAAATTCGCCTTTGTGAATACCATTGTATACTTCTTTGTAACCATATTTTTATTTCAGATCATTTCAAGTGATACAAAAGCTGGTAGTTACAATGTAGGTTTTGAAGCAATAATATCACAATTTTGAAGGTTAAGATGTGTCTGCTAAAAGAGGTGCATCAGAATTTTTTATTCTTTATTTTTTTTAAGTGGCTATCACTGGAACAACAATGTTTGAAATAGCCAGTATCATTATTTTACACTGGTAGGAACATTATACTTCAAAGAAAAAAAATCAGCAGGGGTTTGCCAAAGATGAGAAAAAATATGAAGTCGAAATTGAGTAGTATCAGAAGGTATCAAGCATAATTTGTCTTTCTTTAACTTTTCTGCTTGATTTAACAATCCATTCCTCAAAAACTGACACCAAGTAAGAGGAAATCTAGGTCATATAATGACAGAAGGGTGTAATCAAAACCGATATACAGGTGGTAAATAATGGGCCTTTGTAATGCTCTGGAAATAATTTTATCTGCATATTTTTACTCTGTCCAACGCTTCCCTGTATGAGTGACAGCTAAAGCATAGGGAAACAACTTATGTTCATAAAATAAGAAGCAGAATCTCTACTGCATTTGTTGTAACTTGTACATAGGACTTTATTTTAATCACAATATAAAGTTGCATAAATTGTGTATTATATCCTGGAGGCTACTGTAAAGACTATCTTCCATTTAGGAAACCAAGGTTTCAATTCTCCATTTACATTTCAGTTTTAAACGGACACATTATCTTTTTTAAAAGTCCCCTTCTCTGCCATGCTGCTGATATACCCTCCCTTTTTCACTTCCATCCAATTTGATGGACCATGAAAGACAACTATTCCGTGGGAAAATATGAGAATTTGAGAAGACAGTGAAGAAACTAAACTAGGTATCCACCATCCAAACAAATTACCTTATTGGTATTCATGACAAATAGAGGTTGACATTAGAAGTGTACTCTCAGGAATCATTCATTAATGATTGCATTTGTTAGTGGAAAGTATAAGAAAATCAAAACAGTCATCAACTTTGGGATCAAGACTTTGGGGTAAGAAGTTTTTTATGGTAGCTCAATTTTTTTTTCTAAATATGTCACCTGGAAGATTGATGAATTAGTAATTCTGATAGAGTTTTCTCCAAGTATAATATTGTTCAGGGAAAAACATTTAACATATTAGAATCATATTACATTAATGTATTTGTGTCAATATTGCTTTAAAAGAATATTGTACTGTCATTTAGACATACCTAAGGAAAAATTGCTATTAAGAAAAATTATCAGCTGAGGTATGTTTGATTTGGTATTATACTTAGGTTTACAAAATAGGCTTTTGGGACCATGTTTTTCATTATACGCATATTTTTCTATCTGAATTTATACACAGTATAACAATTTCCTTTCTCAAATATTAAAGTTTTGTGATAAGGCTTCCAGCTTCCCATAGATAATGACAGATATCTAAATTACCAAATCCTCATGGACCCCTATATAAACCTTGGAGATTTAATAAAGGAGGAGTCAAATAAAAGTACCCGTAAACCATGCTTATGCAGTAACTAGAGAAAGACAACTTACAGACTTTTATTTACATGTAGATGGGGAATTTGCTAATACAAGCATAATTGGCTCAGAAAAGCACACTGCAACAGAGAGTCAAGGTGAAACTAAATGAAGAAAAGAGGAGTACAGAAGTCTCCCTGGAGTGTTGGGACACTTATTAAACAGAGTTCACCTTCAGCAGAAGAGGGCCTCTCACTGAGTAAGAAATCTCAAGAGCAGGTCTGTAACATGAGCACCAGTTCCTGGAGAGACAATAGAAGGGGCTTAAAAAGTGCACAAGACCCCAGATACCAGAGTCACTTACAATGGATAGTCAAGCAGGTTGACGTCAGACTACTTGTCGGCAACAGTTGATGTAAGAAAAGAATGAAACAATATTGACCAGAGTCACAAGGCATAGAATATGGACCAAATACTATGTCATATCTACCTAGGCTGTCCTTCAAATGTCAAAGTGATATAAAAACATGTTAAACACGAGAGAACTCTGAAAATATTTTACCCACACACGTTTCCCAAAGGGGATATACTTCACCTAAGAAGCTGTGTTTGGGGAATCTCTGACAAAAAGACAGTCATGCATACATTTCACTAGAAATTTGAGGCCAAAAGAAAAGTAAGAAGTATATACACATTATCTACTTGACAAGCTAGAAATACCATATCCCAACAAAATGGGAGGGAGAGGAGAAGAAAATAGATAAGCTCACTGAGTACCTTACTGGTAACAGATGAGAGTCAAGTGATGTTATTTTAAACTGACACACTGAATGGCAGGAGACTAAAGATACTCAGGAGCACAAAGATGAGCCTTAAGAAATAGAATATTGTTGACGAAAACTGCATGGTGGGAAGCAGAAGAAAAGGATTATAAGCTATTAGGTTGGTGCAAAATAATTGAGGTTTTTGCCGTAATAATTTTATTTTTGCTCAAAATAGGGAACCAAAATACACTGACTGAGGAAAAGAGGAAAGAGTTAAGGAGAGTATATAACATTTTCTTATAAAGATAACTGTTGGAAAAAAATATAAATTTTCCCAAATACCAAAAAAACCCCGAAACCAGAATAAAACAACAACAAAAACCAGTTTTTAAAAGGGCAAAGAAAAGATAACATAATGAAGTACTTCAAGAAAGTATATTTAACCTAGAATATGTTAGTATCAAGAAAACAAACACATCAGTTGCGTCAATAAATGTAAATACCTATTGCAGTTATAATCAATTAACGTAGAAGTATCATTTTCTTATAAGCAATAAAGAAAAGCTTCACATTGCATAAAAACAGCACACTGTATAAAAAAGACACAACCAAAACAAAGGCAAATGACTAAAAGATGACTTTAAAATACAGAAAGAAAATGGAAAAAAGAAAAGACTCAAGTGTCATGATTTAAGATACAGTAGAATTTAGGGGGAAAATTAGTAAACAAAAATGAGATACTTTGTAATGCTAAATGCTAATTTATACTAATAACAAAATATATGGCTACCTATGAAATATGAATATCTATGAAATAAACAAGAGAAGCAATATTCATAAAACAGAAATTGCAAGAGAGAGAATGAAAAATACCAAGAAATATTCTAACAGTAGAAGACTTTAATACACTTTCTTAAATCCAAGACATATCTGGAGGACAGGAAATAAGTAAGGATATAGAAGACAGCATAATAATAAGGCAGAGTTTTAAAAGTAGATATCAACTTTTGTAGCTTGATATTCTGTAATATCACTTTTTTTTCATATTCACATGACATACTCATGAAAATTGATCAAATAATAAACCACGGGCAAATTTTAGACAATTACAAAAAGAGAAATAATACAAACAGCATTTTATGACTGTAAGACAATAAAACCAGAAGTTTTTAACAAAAAATAATACTTTAAAAATACCTTTCCTACTGGAAAACTAAAAACTATATTAAACAACTCAAGTTAAAAACTAGGAAAACAAAAGTTGCATATTTTCTAGGAAAAATAATATTACATTTCTAAATTCATGGGGTATAGCTTACACAGTGCTTAGATAAAAATATATAGCCTTAAAATCATATACCAAAAAACTGAAAGAATGAAAATAAATCGATGCAATGAAAAAGAGGCAACAAAGTAAGCTGATAAAAACTGAATTAAGCATATAAAAGCAAAATTTTGTGAGTTTGAAAACTAATAGAATTAATAAACCAATAAAAAGTTAAGTCTTTGGGAAAAAAGCTACTGATTAATCAACAATTTTAAATGGAGAAAACAATAATAAAAGAAATGAGAAATTTCAAGAAAAAACTATAGGAACTGAGGATTTTTTTAAAAAATCATAAAATACTACCTTGCATAATTCTATTAAAACAAAATTTAAATATTTACATGAAATAATTTCTAGGGAAATAATGTCTAGCAAAACTGAAACTAGTTAAGATTGATAATTTGAGTAGACCATTATTAAAGAAGAAAAATAAATTTGTCAAGGAGCTACTTCACAAACAATTACCACAAATAAGTACCTCGATGACTTTACAGGGGAATCACACCTAACTTTTAAAGTCTAGATAATCCTCAAACTATTTAAATGCTTCAATAGCATACAAAAAGGAGAAGAAACTCTCAATTATTTTTTGAAGGAATTATAATATTGATACCAACACCTTAGAAAATTGCACATATGCAGGCAAAAATTATAGATCAATCTCCCTATTGGATATTGATGCAAATTGCAAAATTAATATGCGTTAAGAGAACCCAACAACATATTACAAAATGAAACATATCATGTCCAAATGTGTCTTCTTCCAAGGATGCAAGAATGGTTCATATTAATAACTTCATTTATAAAATATATTTTTAAAAAAGGAAAAGAATAATACACTCATTTCCACAGAGGCTAAAAAAGGCATTTTACAAATTTCAGCACCCATTATTAAAAAATTTAAGTCAATGGAAACTTTCTTAGAATAATAAAGCACATACAACTCAACTCACATGTCATTATTTCAATTAATGGGGAATGTTTGAATTAAAGGCACTCGCACAACAATCAGAGCCAGGGCGTAGTGTTCACTGTTGATTTCTTTTTAATGATACCTTGGAGGTAATAGCCAGCACATTTTGACAAGAGAAAACTATGAGATGTACAAGATTGGAAAGGAAATATAAAACAATTTTTATTTTATGTGATAGAATATTTGAAAAATTAATAAAAGTCAATGTATAAGTCACTGTAAACTAAGAATTCACTAAGATAGTTGGATGTAAAATTAATGTATTCAGAAAGAAAAGTTACTTTTATAAGAAAATATAATGGGAAAAAAGTTCCATTTATAATAGCAGCAACAACAAAAGTTACATGCCAAGGAGCAAAGTAAACAAGTGAGGAAAATTTTAAGACATTCCTGAAAGACACGAAAATTAGACTTAGAAAATAAAAATGCATACTATATTTTTGAATAGAATTACACCATTATAGAGACATCAATTATCTTCAAGTTAACTTATACAATTAATGTGAATCCAATAAAAATATTAAATAATTTTTTGTAGCTCTAGAAAATTTGCTTCTAAAGTTCACATGGAAAATTAATCAAAAAATAACCTCAACCTTCTGAAAATTAATATCGAATAATAAGGGATCATGGTATATTAGTTATTTATTGTATATATAAACTGTATGATTCTGAGCGATAGATAGATCAACAGAACAGAATAGAAAATCCAGGAATAGATTCAAGCACATATGGAAGTTTAGTGTGTAATAAAGGTGGCATCTTAAATTACTGGCGAAAAGATAGACTTTTTAATAAATAATGTTAGAACAATGAGTGAGCCATTGAGAACAAGATAAATTAACTGTATACTCTGCACTATACACCAAAATAAGCTTACAATGCATCAGAGATCCTAAAAAATGAAATCATACAAGTTCCGGGGAAAGGAAGTGATTTATTTAGAACCTTGGAGTGGTGAAAGCTTTTCTAATTATGTCTCAAAAATTCAGATGCAATAAAGGAAAGGGTTATAAATTTAGACACATTACCAAAAAACCCTTTAAATAACAAAAATTATGAAAAAGATAAAAGACGCATTATTTTCTAGGTAAGCTATTTGCAGCTTACATTATAAATTGACAAGATAGAGAAAAAACAACCAATATGTATAAAAGAAATGGATAGTTGATAAAGAAATGTCCTTTGTGCTTAAATATATGGACCTTACTCATAGAATAAATATAAACTAAAACTAATTGAGGTACTACTTCTCACTTATGATAATGACAATAGTTGAGAAAACGGATTCTGACACGCTTTGTTGGCATAGTTTTGGGGAAAAGGGCTAATTCATGGCTGGTGGTAGTGTAAAATGGTTCAAAGCATGTGGAGGAGAATTTGACAGTATCTGAAAAGATTATATATGCATCACCCTTGACCCAGGAATCCCACTTAAAGGACCCTGAAGATACATTTGTCCAATAATATACATATGAAAATACATAAGCAGAATTTACTCTGGCATTATTTGTAACAGACAAAGTTTGAAAACAACCTAAATGTCCATCAGGTGTCAGGGGACTGGTTAAATACATTATATTATATCCAAGTTAAATGGCTTTCAGAGCAGCCAACAAATTTTGGAAGGTACCAAAAGGTAACATGAGCTAATGGCTTACTCATGTCAAATTATTTTACTTCAAATATAAAGATATTTTGAGAACTGAATTGAAATGAAGACTGTATTAAAGTGACTACAGTAGCAGAATTATCAAGAGCATTGAGTACACATTGCCTTTTACTTACGGTTTACAGTTTTGATTGGTAATATTGGGTTTACCCTCTCTGGGGTGGCAGCGTTTTCATTATCCGTCACATATTCAAAATTAATGATGAACATCATAGCCACGCCCTCTTGGTTTTTCACTGGAATTATGTGAGTGTTACAAATAAAAGTGGACCCTAAGGAGATTAAAAATGAATGTTAGTTAAAAATATGCCTTCATTCTGAACTATCAAGTAACATTAAAATTGAAATATACTCTTAAGGAAATTTGTATCTTAAATGATCACTGATATTAAAAAATAATTTGATCTTTTTTACTTCATATTTTATTGCATACCATATTCATTTAAAATACATATGTCTTTCCAGAAAAACGTTACAAATAAATTCAGTTACTGCATTGTGGAAAAACAGAAATATCAAATTCTATTTGCTTTCACACCCATCCCTATAATAGTTAATTTTTAAAAAGATATATTCTTTAACTTTCTAGAAATAATTCTTACCATTTTCTTATAAATTTTGATTAAATCTGAATCTCTATAAAATATAGCTGTATAAAAAATGAAGGCAACTCATGTCATCTTGATTTTAAAAATAAGCAACTTATGTGCTTTTTCTCTTTTAATTTATTGGACATAAAATGGTAAATTATTGACTCTATCTTATATATGTTACAGTAATTCTTTTCTTTTCTGTGCAAAATTCACAACGTCCAAATTACAATGGTTTTGTTTGGTTTTTATTCTGTTAGAAAATAAGAACAAAGTTTTGTCTATATTATTGTGTTAGTAATCTTCTTCATGAGATGGTACTCTTCAAGACGATATTCTTCTAAAAGCAAAATTACAGGGCTAGTAAGCTATATTTCATTAGAATTCTGTGGAAATGAAATAAACAAAGGTATGACTCAGTTTGCAATCAACCACTACCATCCGTCTTCCAACAGAAACCCACAGGTCCAAGATTCAGAGCATACACTTGAAAAGTAGACTTCTTTTAAATCAACTGACTGCTGACTGACTCCTTGCAGCTGACTTCTAGAATTCCCTCAAAGCAGTTTCCTCACACTTTTACCCTCTGAATATGCTCTTTAGTCAAGGTAATGGAAATTTCACAGGCTTGAAATTTGTTTCTGTTCCAGCTATTTAAGTTACAAATAAAGTATTTTTAAAATGCCAAAACTTCAGAAGGTGTTCTTAATCATTTACAAGCTTGTCCAACCCCGTGGCCTGTGGGCTACATGTGGCCCAGGATGGCTTTGAATGTGGCCCAACACAAATTTGTAAACTTTCTTAAAACATTGAGCATATTTTATTTACTTATTATTATTTTTTTAGCTCATCAGCTATCGTTAGCATTAGTGTATTTTATGTGTGGCCCAAGACAATTCTTCCAATGTGGCCCAGGGAAACCAAAAGATCGGACCCCCCTGATTTAGGAAATGTGTCCATTTCGACTGCTTTTTTTCACAACTAGCTGAGACCACCTTGAATCTTGAGGAGAATGATGATTCAATGCAGAGGCGGGGGGAGGTTGAGAGCAAGATTAGTCTGGCATGAAACATCAGACGGAAATGTGAGCAAGTGCCAGGACCCCTGGAGGCTGGAGACAGGGGCCGGGCAAACAGCTGAAGGATCTTTTTGGGAGCCCTAACATCTGCAAAGGCCAGTAGATGCAAGTATCCCAAATGGTGACCTATGTAAGCTCTAATAAAGTCAGCATAAGAAAACTCTTTCCTTTCTTCTTATCCTGCATCTTGGCTCCTGCTGCTAGAGCTGAGAACAAAAGCTATTATGGAGACCGCCACAGATCGAGGACTTCATAGGGGAGGGATTTTGAGGGTAGGCCTGGAGATCTAACAATTATTTATAAAATTGTTTCTATGGGTAAATATGTTCTAATTTCCAAGGAATTGATCGACAGATATACTTTTAGAAAGACTTTTTGTAAGTTAGGAATGCCTATGTGCTCCTTATAATTCAGATGTGCTAGTTATAATACAAATGTGGACAGCTTCCCAAATTTGAAATGTGGATAACTTTATTTATAACTAATTTCATATTATCTATAAATGTGGCAATGGTTTTACAGATGTTGGAAAATATGCCTTAGGAATGGCAAGCTGCACCTTCAGTCTTCAGCTTCTTCAGCTATGTCTCCAATTCATTTAATAAAATAGTTAGCTGGAGCACTTGTCATAGTTTCCATGGTAACAAACGGGATGACTTTAGTAAACAGAAAATAAGCAATTTAAGACTGTTCTATTAGAACTAAAAATAGAAGTGCTTCAGGCCAGGCATCACAGCACACACTGGTTAAACAGAGTCTGAGGAGATGCTAGAAATAGTCATTATGTACTTTCCTAATGAACCAAAATACATATTGATTTTACCATTTAAAATGACATTTCCTGGATCATTTAGAATATCATTGTGAATTCGCACATTTGCTATTTAAGCAGTTTCAAATTTTCCAACACTTGGGGTGTACTGTTGACTATAAAAAAACATAAAAAGTGTTTGAGAAATCAAGAAATAAAATATGTGGGGATAGAGATCTAATAGGCTTGTAATAGAGCAGTTTTGCTTTTGGTAATAAGGGGCAAAATCATGTTTTCTAATACAAGTGTTTGAAAATTTACTGTCTAAATCAGTAAATTTTCTGATTTAGTAATTTACTGAATTACTAAAAATCATAGTACTAAAAATCATAAAATTATAGTGCTTTATATAAAAGTTCAGCTATCTGCATTGGCTCTAAAGCATATTAAATAAATGTAATTAATCTGGGATTTATTGCCCACTATCATTGTTTCCTGTACATTTCTATTAAGCAATATATTTCCTCTCAAGTCAACTGAAAACTCACATTCACATACTTTTCTCTTTTAGTTTGGGGATTTAATATCTCCATCAATCTTGCATAGCCTCCCGGAAGGCAGACAATGAAAGGAGATACATGGAATTTAGAGGAAGAGAAGAATAGAATATATTTTATAGAACAGAAATATTTTAGCTTGGATAATTCTACAAACTCCAACTAAGTTCTGTCAAGATACTACTTTGGTCAAGTGACATTGCCCTAAGAAGTCATCACTCTGTGCTCCTAAGTATTTCTCTTGAATGCAACATTGGGAGCAAGAGCAATGGAAACCTAACCCAGCAAACACTAACCAAGCAATGAAGAAAAAAAAATAGACATCTAATAATGTGGAAATAAGACTTCTAAACAAATCTAAAAAAATTTCAGACCTTGTTAAATGAATCTTGTATTCAAATGAAATTAATAATGTTTGTTAAGAAGCAGATTATTTACAATAATATTAGCTATTATTTATAAAATTATACATGCAAATATACTAATATTGCTAGACTACAGTTCATATCCACATTTTCTCCCCTGAGTGAAAACATTTCCAAAGTGGAAAAGACTGTTTAGGAGGAACAGTGCTAATTTTAATAAAATTTTTAGAGTATGTGATTTTTGACTGCAGCCATAGAGCAAGCAAACTCAAGGTAATCTGAATAATTATGAAAAGTATACTTTATTTTATAAGTTGGTGGCGTATACCTAGTTGCATTTTACAATAAGATGATGGGACTCCTCCTTTTGAACTGCTTTAAAGGCGTTTTATTGTACTGTGTGTGGTTTGTGTTCACAGGGCATCTTATGTCTTTGAGGAATAGCATAGAAGCCAATGTAACTAGGGCTGTGTATGGTTGTTGTGGGACAGGGCAAGGTGGGGAGAGTAGGCAAGGTCAAGGGAGAAGCCAGAAGCCACTGGGAAGAAGGCCAAAGAATGGATCTGAAGCTTTTCACTGTGTTAGACAGGAAGGCACTGGAGAGTTTTATCCAGGGGTTAGCATGATTTGACTTAAAACTTTCCTTCACATGTGTGTGTGATGAATAGCTTATAGAGGAGGCCAGGATGGAAGGAGGGAGACCAGTTGGGAAAATACTGCAATACTCTTGGTAAGCCAAGATGGCAGTTTGGCCCAGGGTGTTGTTGTTGCAGGTGGTAATGAGGGGTCTGTTTGGGATGTTTTGAGGTAGAGCGTATAGGATTTGCTGATACATTGGATGGGACATAAGATAATGAGAGGTGTCCAAGTTGACAACAAATTTGGTAGCAGAACCATTTATTAAAATGGGGAAGACTGTGGAAGAAGGTGGCTTTTGGGATTGTGTAAATCCACATGTTTTCAGCATGTTGACTTTGCAATTGTTTATTAGATATCTAAGTGGAGATGTTGAGAAGGTAGTTGGATCCAGGAGACTGAAGTTAAGTTCAGGGATTGGCCCAAGCTAGGATACAAATTTGGGAACAATTAGAGAATGGATTACGTATAAGGACTGGATGAGGTCACACAGGGAATCAATATAGTTGGAAAACTATGTGACCTGAGTCTGGAGGCACCATAGAATCAAAGAAGGGAAGATAAAGAACTAGCAGAGATTGGGTAGGAGCAGATGGTGAGGTAGAAAGATAATCAAGATTGTGGTGCGTTCAATAGCAAAGATGTGGAATCAGCCTAAATGCCCATCAGTGATAGACTGGATCAAGAAAATGTGGTACAGATACACCATGGAATATTATGCAGCCAAAAAGGAATGAGATCAGGTCTTTTTCAGGGACATGAATAGAGTTGGAAGCCATTATCCTCAGCAAAGTAATGCAGGAACAGAAAACCAAACACTGCATGTTCTCATTTATAAATGGGAGCAGAATGATGAGAACACATAGATACATGTGGGGGAACAACACATACTGAGGCCTGTAAGAGGCGGGGGATCGGGGAAAGGGAACATCAGGCAGAATAGCTAATGAATGCTGGGATTAATACCTAGGAGACAGAATGATCTCTGCAGCAAACCACCATGGCACACATTTACCTGTGTAACAAACCTGCACATTCTGCACATGTACCCCTGAACTTAAAATAAAAATTGAAGAAAAAAAGGCTGTGGTGTGTTGCAGGCTAAGAGAAGAGGTATTTCAAAAGGAGGACTTGAGTGATAGGAGGTCATATCTTGATGGTCTTCTATGTTCTTGAAATTCAGTCTTTTGGAGTTGGGGATATAGCAAATTGTTTTAAGTATGAAATTGTATTTTGGTGTCCAGAGCACACAGACATGGGCTGTGTTAGTATTAGTGATGTCTTAAAGAAGAGAAATAAATTTAAAAGATATAGGGTCTATTTATTTGACTGAAGAGACAAAAGCACATTTAGAAAGACTATTCTATATCTCTCTTTTTTTTTTTACTATTTACTTAGGTTTTATAACTTTATTTAAATTGTTAGTGGCTGTGATTCTTTTTTTTTCTTTGATGAGCTTCTTTTTATTATTATTATTATTATACTTTAAGTTTTAGGGTACATGTGCACAATGTGCAGGTTAGTTACATATGTATTCATGTGCCATGCTGGTGTGCTGCACCCATTAACTCGTCATTTAGCATTAGGTATATCTCCTAATGCTATCCCTCCCCCCTCCCCCCACCCCACAACAGTCCCCGGAGTGTGATGTTCCCCTTCCTGTGTCCATGTGTTCTCACTGTTCAATTCCCATCTATGAGTGAGAACATGCAGCGTTTGGCTTTTTGTCCTTGCGATAGTTTACTGAGAATGATGATTTCCAATTTCATCCATGTCCCTACAAAGGACATGGACTCATCATTTTTTATGGCTGCACAATATTCCATGGTGTATATGTGCCACATTTCCTTAATCCGGTCTGTCATTGTTGGACATTTGGGTTGGTTCCAAGTCTTTGCTATTGTGAATAGTGCCGCAATAAACATACGTGTGCATGTGTCTTTATAGCAGCATGACTTATAGTCCTTTGGGTATATACCCAGTAATGGGATGGCTGGGTCAAATGGTATTTCTAGTTCTAGATCCCAGAGGAATCGCCACACTGTCTTCCACAATGGTTGAACTAGTTCACAGTCCCACTAACAGTGTAAAATTGTTCCTATTTCTCCACATCCTCTCCAGCACCTGTTGTTTCCTGACTTTTTAATGATTTCTATAACTCTTATGCAAAATCATATTAACAAAAATAAATGGGATAGACAGTCTGAATGGCCATGTATAGTCTGTTTAGCCTGATGGATTGGGTCCCACTTGCATGTGGGAGGCTTGTGGCCTTCAGTAGAATACTTGCCCGTTTCTCTCATTTTACCAGTCACATGGTTAAGACTAAAGGAGCCTACTGAAAACAAAAAGGAGGAAGTTTTATGAACAAATAAAATAATGTATATAGAAGCATTATAAACAAAAAACTGAGCTGGCAAAAAGTTGGCAGTGTATCTGATAATACATTAGGTCTAAAGAAACATCCTTAACATAATCTCTCTCTCACACACACATACGCACACACACACACACACACAAATACAATCACCAACATGATTAAATTACAACAATAGTGAATGTATTTAGATTGTTAGGTGGTTGATGTAGTTGATGGGGTAATATGGGACTAGGATGACCCTTTCAGAATTTCCAAGAGAGATTATATATATTTACCTGTCATTTAAAAATGAAGAACTAATCTAATTAACACAAACCTGGTTGTCATATTCATGTTCTGCTGTGTGGCAGTATTGACAATGACTGAGATGCCAACAGTGTGAATAATTTATTTTCAATTACTTCTTATTTAAAACAATTTTAAACACTCAGAGAAGGGGAAGGCAGTGATATTGAGTAGTAAATTTCTTGGATGTGCAGCTCTGTGTAGCCCCTAGAATTGGACAGACTTGGCTCTACTATTATTTAGTGAATGAATGACTTTGGACAAATTACTTAGTCTTTCCAAGACTCAGATTCCTCATCTATAAAATAAGGAAGGGAGGAGAGAGAGTATCCTATTTAATACTGTGGGGAAGGTCAAATCAGATAATACACGTAAAGTAGTTAGCAAGGAGCCTGGCATAAAAGATGTTAGCAATAAGTGAGTGTTAGTATTATCAACTTGAATGATAAAAATCAATTTCTCAATTTAAAAAAGTGAGTAAACTTTCTCCAAATATTCAATGATGCAGTTGAGTCACTCAGCCCTTAAGGAGCTTGAGATGAACTCATCAGATTAATTCTCTTGTCCAGATGAGAAGGTACATCAAGTAGATTTTTGAATGGGAGTGAGGACATAGTAGGGGGAAGGCCCTTTTATCATGTAATAGGTAAAATATGCCTCCTTTTCACCTTTGCAGTGATGAGGCCCTTGGTTTATTTCTTGTATTTATTTTATCCCTGTGGATTGTCCCACTGCCTTTAAAAAGCACACTGTGCTCCGGGTAATGTATATGACAGAACTTAGCTTCTTTCAGCAAGCTCCATAGTCCATGGAATTTGGTATGCAGTAGAAATGTGTGAAACAATCTTTATTTCTGGACTGGGCTAGGTACCAGGATTAGCATTTGAAAGCACATTTTAGAAAAAAAGGTAATGCCAACAGCTAACATTTATTGTGTGCCAGCCACTGTTATGAGGGCTATACATGCTTTAATATGATTTAGATCCTCACAAAAATGGCAATAGTACCATTATCATCCCCATTAGGCAGTAGTAAAGTGAGCCATGCATGTTGTCCCTCCCGTCCCTTGGTCTTGGGACACTTTGTGCCCTTTCTGTTTTGGGACAGAATGCTTGGGTTCCAATTCCTTCATTAAGCCAAGACTCTGAATTCCATGACTTTTAAATCAGGTGTATTCTAAGATATTTTTTATGTTTTATAAGCAATGGCTTGATAATTACAGCTCTTCCCACTTCTTTCTTGCAGCCTTGTCCATTTCCACCCCACTGCACTCCTAACTTAGGCATAATTCCCTTCTCCTGCCAACTGGGAGGCAGCAAGACACCATCTATTTGTCCAGCCTGTCTCCAGCCCCACATTTCATTTTAATCTATTCAGTCCTACATTGGCTCATGACCGTTTTCCTTCTACCCTCCCTTTCATTGGCTTAGGACTTTTTAAAAATAAGGGAATTAAAGTGTTTAAGAATACTTTGCTCCCTGGATCGCTACATATTATTATTACTACAATTATTAACAACCATATAATTAAATCATGGCTACTGTTTTCTGAATGTCTTCCATGTGCCACATGTTTCTCAGGAGAAAACCTTATCTCAGAGAATTTTCTCAACTAAGTAGCAGAAGCAAGCTTTGAACTGAGACCTGTCCTGCATTCATCTTTCCCTTGCATTAGTGTTACCCGAAGAGTGAGATGTTAACAGATATTACTGGAAAGGGCTTGCCGTAATTAACCCAATTTAGGAAATGTCCTTCTCTAGGAGATGCTCAGCTCATATTAGTGTTATAGAGGTTTTGAGAAATTTTGCAAAAACAAGTAAATATACTTTGTCCAATGCAGCATTTTCTAAGTTTATTTGACTCTGAAGTCCTATTTTAGAGAAGTCTGCGATAACATCTAGCTCCTTGGAATGTCACTGGGAAACACTGAGTTGTGTCCTGCTCCCTCCCTATTTCAAAGACACCCTTCTGAGAGGGAGGAAAGTAAATATCAAAGGTCACCCAGGTCACCTAAGGAGAGGGAGGAACTGCAGGGAACAAAGTGCTGGGCCATGAGAGGAAAGGGAATGCCAAAGGCCACTGTCACCTATTTGATATATTTGCTTGATATTGGCTCTGGTCTGAGATCTCAGGAATCTAGTTAAAATAGTATTGTCATATTTGATTACATATCTTGAAGCAATGATTTCCTCATAAGCTTGTTCTAAGTTAAAAGATTATTGCTAAATAAAATATGATAGAGTTTTTCACATCCCAGGACCAATTCATACTGCTTGACAGAGATCAGGTTTTATAACATAAAAGACCTAATTCAATACTCTATTAATATTCTGCACAAGAAATTTTATGAGATAACTCTGACATATCCAAGGAAATATTTTTGACTGTGTTTCCTCAGGAGTTGTTCCCCTTCCTTTTCAAAATATGGATATATGTGAATTTCTAATTAATTGTTGACTACCACCCATTTTCATTGACACATTCTCTCTTAACATTTATCCTCAGGTGTTAGGGTCTTTTCATACTTATAAATTTGGTTATTGAGAAAATAAAGTTCAGCTCTGTTTTATATTTGATTAACAGTGGACAAATTATTTGGTGATTTAAATCAGGAAGAACTCTCACACATTTTCTGACGCATAAATCAGAGGCAGTCTCTTAAGATGTCCTATGGTGCTTACCCACTTCTCAGCTCTGGTTCCTACTTAATTTTGGAGCTTTGTGGATTGAATTAGTGTATTGGGAAATATGAGTGTTAAAATAAGCTGAGGCCGATTTGCGGTGCTGCACTCAATCTCCAGGCAAACCAAGTCTACATTTATGATCAGGAAGTTTGGGCACATTTGTGACAATTTTTAATTCTTTTTTTTTAATGCCCAAGCAAATATTTAGTCATTTGGTCCAATTTTATTTTTCACCAGACATATTTATGTTATCACACCTCAAATGTATTTACAGCAGGCCCACCCACTAAACTGCCATTTGTTCGGTCAAATTGCTTTAACACAACACTGAACTGACTGAGCTTACTCAGAATATGAGCAAATCTGCATACTGCCATAGTAAGTGCACACGATTGTGAAGGTCAAGCCGCAGTGAGAATCCTGGGGACAGCCACCCCGTGTGGATGTCATTTCTAACTGAGGCTGTGAATGGTGACATGCCTGGTGTGCCCATGATGTCCGTATGACTGTCGAAAGGAACCATACATTGTGCTCTATGTTTATAGCTTTGGAGCAGGGAGTTACAAACAATGTGAGCCTAATTCATAGCTTAGAATGAATAAAATAAATTGTAGATTAATAAAATTTAACAAGAATGGGTTAGGTACTACTGTGTAAAAAGTACTATACCAGAAAATTGTAAGAGTTACAAACATGACTAAAAACAGGGATCTTTTATTTAAAAAAAAAAGAGTCCACTCCTGGGGGTGTGATGGAGTGTCTGAAGAGAGGACAAGTAATGCCGCTCAGGCATATAAAAGGTTTTGTGAGGGAAGCTGTATTAGTCCATTCTCACCCTGCTATAAAGATACTATCTGAGACTGGGTAATTCATAAACAAAGGAGGTTTCATTGACTCACAGTTCTGCATGGTTGGGGAGGCCTCAGGAAACTTACAATCTTGGTGGAAGGGGAAGCAGGCACGTGTTACATGGCGGCAGGTGAGACAGCGCGTGTGTCAGCGGAGGAAAACTACCATTTATAAAACCATCAGATCTTGTGAGAATTCACTTAGTCTCATGAGACCAGCATGGGGAGCAGGGGGCAAACCACCCACATAATCCAATCTCTTCCCACCAGGTCTCTCTCTGGGATTACAATTCAAAGCCTAACCATATCAGAATCATAGTTTCAAGCTGGGCCTGACATGATTGTGATAGGTAGAAATTAGGAGGAGAGGCATCTGAGGCTGAAGGAGAGCATGAGCAATGTGGAAACACTGACTCCAGGGCAACGTGAGTGGTGTGTGGCCCTTTCTCAAGACGACTAATTTTATTGCTCCCATGCCCAGTACATCTGATTTTGATAATAGCTAACTTTTATTAAACAATTGCTCTATGCCAGTTATTATGCTGTGTTCTTGACATTCTTTGTCTTATGTAATCCTCAAAAGAACCCTAAGGAAGTACATCCACTAAATATCCCCATTTTATAGAAGTGGAACTTGAGACATGAAAAAAATAAGTAATTTCCCCCAAGTCACATGGCTAGTCTGTAGGAGAATCAGGATTCTGACCTAGGTGGTCTAATGCATGCAAAGGTCTTTGTATAACAGAGGGAGGCCTTCATTTACACCTATTAATAGGTGATGTCACACAAAGCTCTATATTGTCCCAGGGTTCAACTTCTGCAAGTATCTTCAGGATTCTCTACTGCAGCCAACACAGGAAAAGGCGTGTTTTAAGACAACAAACAAATTATTGAAGGTAGCTCAGACCTCTTGTAAGAGTCCCCTGCAATAGATACAGAGACCTTAGTGGGGTAAAGATTAGGCTCTTTAGGTATGTCAGGCACAAGAGTGATGATATAGAAGCAGAAAAAGGTGAAAGTAAAGGTATTTTTTTCCCTAGGTATTTTAGCCCTCTCCTCTTCTCACAAAAGTTCATATTCTGTTGGACTATTTTAACTTGGGATTTTTATTTTTATTCTTTTATGCCTATACTATTTTTACAGAAGAATAAATGGGTAGAAACGATATCCTGGAAAATTAGTGAGAATAGGGCTTTTTATTCCAGTTGGCAGTGTCATGTTTAGCATTGTCCAGCTTTAGTGGGGAACACCCTTCTCCCAGGCTTGGACACAAGGCCTTGCAGCAGGTAGCTGCTACAGATGTTCCCTGCTCCCTAAGGCTGCCAGAGGCAGGAAACTGCAGCAGATACCTGATGGCAGGGATTGCTTTGCAGTGGCTCTTCTTGCCCCAGGTGTGTTCTTCCAAAGGTGGTTGCAGGAGGGAGAGATGTTTCATTTCAAATTTCCCTAGGCTACATTTACTGTTGCTTTTTTGTCTTACACATATTAGGCTTCAGGACCTTGCTTAGTACCTTTTCAAAGTAACAGGGTAATGACTGCTATTGTCCATTTCTACATTGAGACCACAGAGAAGGATGAAGGATGAGGATGATGTGATTTGTTCACCCAGCAGCACACATTTATCTGAGTGATAGGTTATTTGTTCCCTGGGTCCATGAGAGGCTGTGTAATGTAGAGGTTAAGCTTAAAGCCTGCTTTAATTGCCAGGAGTTAATTCCTGGGTCTGCTACTTCCCATTGTTTCATTTTGGAATAAGTTACTTAACTGCTCTGACACCTTAATTTCCCTATGTGTAAAATGGATATGATAGTGTTACCCACTTTATGGAGTTACTGTGATGATTAAATAAGCAGTATCTGTAAAAAGCATAAAACATTGCCTTGTATACTGAAAAAGTATGAGTTATCATTATCATAAAGAAAATATCAAAGAGTACGTTTGAGTTCTGTAGCCAATAAGTTATGTACTGAAAGATAGGGCCCAATATTGATTAACTGGGGAGTGGGGAAAATGTGCTTGTGGTATAACCATTTCCCTTTTGAACATCTGACTGTCTACCCTATTCTCCTTATTTATGGTCCTATTATCCTGTAGCTACAGTTACCTCCCTAGACCTTGCCTCTAGTTCTGAACTTTTACCGAGTCTTATCCCTTATGAAAATTTACCAGTACATACATTTATCCAAGGGTCTTGCTTAAGCACTTCCTGACTTCAGAGATGCATGAGGCTTAATTTTCAGATAAGAGACTAAATCTCAGCTCCAGCTTTAGAATTTTTTACAGGCAATCTCTATGCTCCTCTGGCTTTACCCATAACTAGAAATATGTTGGATATAAAAGCTGGGGTTAATTCCATCAGCTGAAGGTTAAGCCGTTAGCTTCTCTAAACAGGAACTTTCATCAAAACACCAATGGTTCCTTCTTTTTGCCTGATGACTTTGAAGCTGATCATTGAATGTGTCAACATGTTACCTCTCTTAGGTAAGCTAAGTCCACTTAATAAACACTTTCTGAGATAAAGTCCTATATCAGAAAAGTTTCTCTGAAGATGGAAATTTCAGGCACTATGGTAAGCCACTGGGAGAGACTTTTTGATGTCAGTGGAGACTTTTTATAATCCCTCAAATCGTACAGAAGAACTGAAAAAAATAGAATGAACACACTGGTAAGATTATAACAGACAGTATAAAACCATTAGCAAAGCTGACCTATCATGTATTACATTTGAAAAGAAAGAGATTAAAACTTAATAAGATAAGAATTAATTTCCTAGATTCATTTTCCTTACTGTTGTTATAGTTTGCTAGAGATTAATAAAACAGATAATATTGTAGCATCAATGCTTATAAGAACAAGGACTGAGCTAATATTTTGTCATCTTGTAACATCACTAGGAAAACATAGTTAAGAAGGCCATGTACCCAAATTTCAGTTGACAGGAAGAGACTGAATTTGTTTCATTGATATTTTAGACGCTGCTGCTTCTCAGAACTCCACCTAAGAAACAACAAATATTCAGAGTCTCTGCGTGGAGTATATGGAAGGCTTCCCAGAGAGGTGAAATCAAGTTGCATCTTAATGGGGAATGCATAGATATTTTCAAACTAATTTCAGAGGCCATAGCGGTGTGGAATGCTTGGCAAAATATAGAGACATCGAATGGTATTTATTTTGGAGCCTAACTTAAGGGAAAATAATTGAACAAGCACAAATATTTGGGATATGCAACTCCCAAGCCACGACCTCTCTAGGAAAGAATTGAAATGGTGGTATAAATGGTAATATATGTCTGCTGCATTTCCTCAGTTTGCCCTTCTATGTTCACTGTCTATCCTTCTCTTCCTCCTCAGAATAGAGAGAAGGTGCTACACGGATTTCCTTATTTTCCTGGCTTCTTGTTGGGTTTCAAGCAGTGGGGATTTCCACCAAAAAACTGGAGAGGAAGGAGAGCCATGTTGGAGTATTTATTCCCCAGATTCAAATCTTATGGGGTTGCAGTGGTTGGTTTCATCTTTCACTGAGGTTTGTAGATACTGTCAACCCTCAGCATATAGCTGTCTCAGGGTTCCAGCATAGTCATTCATTCTGCTGCTTGCCCCTGGTGGCTCTATACTGTGAGTAGCCCTGGGCCACTGCACCATTCATTTAAGTGTTTCTCTTAAACACTGTCTGAGTTCTTGTGAATAGTTCTGTCATTACCTCCCCTCAAATTACCAAATTTGAGCGTTTCAAAATGTTTGAATCCTGAGTGATACAGGATAAAATTATTTGCCAGACAAAGAAAGTAAATGGAATTTTGGTAAGCAGGCATTCCGTATTTAAAGAATAAAAATGTGGCAAAATACTATGATAATGAAAATGAGCTGAATATGGTAGACAAAGCAAAAATAACAAAACTAGGCTAGATAATAATAATAATAATAATAATAATAATAAGGCACTACATTTTTCTCTATACAGATTGGCAGAAATTTTAATCAGGACAAAAATGTTGGTGTCAGATATTTGGAGAAGATAAATGACTTTCCAAGATTAAATTCCCTTAGAACTTCAAGGAGGATAAAATATAATAGACTTAGTTCTGTGTGGTGGTCAAAAGAATGACAAATTAAGGGTAATTTGCCAAGATCAAATTCAACATTTTAGTGAAAGTGAGGGGAACTAAAAGGTATTCATCAGAAGGCGAGTTCTTAATGACAGAAAGTAAAACAAAGAAACAGCAAAAACTGACAGAATGGGCTTAAAACATTTTTGAAAACATTACTCAACATTCCAGGGGAACCCTCAAAGTCATTTAAAAGCACCACAATGTGTTTACAAGAAAATAACTTGCCCACAAATCTTGCACAATTAAGTGACAAAACTATATTCATGAATGAAAAAACAAGCAGTAATTTAGGGTTTTTTCTTTTTTTCAAAATGAATAAATTGTGAAAGAGAATTGGAAAACCTAGCAAGAGTTGAAGTTCAGCTGTAAAGTAAAAACAAAGCCAAGAATAATTTGAGGGGCACTTGAATTTCTAAGTCATTAATTAAAATTAGAAATTACTTGAAGATTAAAAAAAACAGAGAAGGTGAACTAGAGAACAAATATGATCACATCACTGAGAATATACTAAGGGAAAAAGAGGAAATTCAGCTAAAAATTATTCTACTAGATATGGGAGAGTTTTAGAACCAAGCTATATAAGCAGAATGTATTGCACGTATTGGACAAAAATATTACAAATAAATCACCTCCCATAATCAATACTTAAAGTACTCAAGGTATAGTGTGGGTGCCCCAAGTATGTAACTTATTATTTTAATGATCCATGTGTGGGTCCATTTGATTCCCATAATAAGCATTTAAGAGAGAAAAGATTATAATAGCACTTCAATTCCAGGCAAGCTGCTGGTATTGGTGATAAATTGTGAGGATTCTAAAGCCCATTGAGAATAATGTATTGGTGGAAATGTAACATTTTTCTGTAAGGCAAAATCTGGTCTGACTCCTCTATTGGAGACTTTTGCATTTAAATACAAACCAAGCAGAACCAAAATGGAAAGAAAATAGAAATAAAACAAAGGACAGAAATTGTTAGTTGACCACTCTGGCCCTACCATTGTGGTAAGAATGTTAATACACTCATTAGACAATGATGATGTTCTAGAGGGTAGCAATCATTGTCCCAATTTTACAGTGGAAACAGACTAAGAAGTCTCCATAACTACCTTGCTTACTGGCTCTGCTCTAATAGCTAGTAAGTGAAATTCTGACACTTGCCCAAATATATCTGGTTCTTAGTACTCTGTTTATTTTACCAGTTTTTTAGACTTTTTGAAAAATTTTAACAGATATTTATCAGAGTTTTTAGAAGGCTTTAAATATTGAGTGACAGCTCAATTGGATAGAGTTTTACAAAGATAAGGAGCCAAATGAAAAATAAGAACAAAAAAAGACAGGAAAATCGGGCATCTCTGGCTAGCAATCACTAACAGTATTTGCCAGGCAAAATTCTAAGATGGTCCCCAAGATTTCATTCCTCTGTCATACAGATTCTGAATAATTCCAGTGCTGTGGAAATGAAAGACTTAGACTCCCACAATTAGTTTATGTTATATGGCTCAGTTTACTTTAAGAAAGGGAGATTATCCAGGTGTGCTTACTAGAATCACAGGAGACTTTTAAAAGCAGAGATTTTTCTCTTGCTGGTCACAGAAGAGGAAGTCAAAGGTGTTCCTGCTGGCCTGGAAGAAAGCAAATATCCACGTTTGAACAGCTGATGAGAAGGGAAGCCCCTGGGAGCCGAAAGCAGTGATGAATAAACAGCCAGGAGGAAAGTGGGGACACAGTCTTATGACCATGGAAAATGGATTCTGCCATTAACCAGTGAGTTTGGAAGAGGACCCGAGTCCAGATGAGAACCCCTGCTACAGTCACAACTTGATTTCAGCCTTGTAACACCCTGAGAGGAAAACCCAGTCACACCCAGCCCGACTTCTGACCTACAGTACTATGACTGGTAAATGGCGTTGTTTAAAGCTGCTAATTTGTGGTATTTTATCATTCAGCAATAGGAGAGTAACACACAGCAAAAGCTACTTCTGGAATTTTTCTTATCTGACATTTTACAAAAGTCCAGGCAATTGAATGGTAAAATTATAGGAAGTTTGTGCATATAGTGAAAGTTTGATCTGTGGGAAGTACAGTGTACGGAAATTGAGTTATGTTGACTGTATGAACTGGTAGATGTTTCAGTAGAGGCACTAAGCAAGACATTTAAGGAAGTAATACAGCTGATATTTGTGAGATGATGCACAGGTCTCAACCAGCCGTTATGATTCACTAAAGAGCCACAGGGGGCACTTTCATCATTCCCTGTAGACATTAGCATAACATGCTGCTGTTCAGAAGACAAAAAATAAATGTCATCCCAGTACTTTGGAAGGCTGAGGCGGGCAGATCACAAGGTCAGGAGATGGAGACCATCCTGGCTAACATGGTGAAACCCCGTCTCTACTAAAAATACAAAAAATTAGCGGGGTGTGGTGGCGGGCGCCTGTAGTCCCAGCTACTCGGGAGGCTGAGGCAGGAAAATGGCGTGAACCCGGGAGGTGGAGCTTGCAGCGAGCCAAGATTGCGCCACTGCGGTCCATCCTGGGCAACAGAGCGAGACTGTCTCAAAAAAAGAAAAGAAAAGAAAAGAAAAGAAAAAAATGTCTGAGCATTGTCAGGAAGGGTGTTGGAAACTAACTAGAAACAAAAGGTTTGCGGAAAATATGGTTAATTGTCTCAAAAGATAATGTGAATGGTTATCCTTCTTAACCAGACATCAGGAAATACATAAGTAACAGACAAGGTCCCCACATGAGCAACTAAAATGGTCAACAGGTCAAACATTCTTAGGTAGTACATTTTATAAATATGTCCTTTATTTAAAGAATTGAATATTGAGTTATAAACAATAAAATGACTAAATAGAAGGTCTGTTGGTAACAATCTTAGAATCTAGTTATTTGAGAAATGTTTCTTCTTTCACTTTTCTGACATTTCCTCCCATGCCTGGATCAATTTAGTTGCTCATGCAACAGTAGCATGTTAAGCTAATGTTTACAGGGAACAAAGAAAATGACCCCTGTGGCTCTTTAATGAATCATAACTGTTAGTTGAGGCCCATTCATCATCTCACAAATATCATCTGCCCATGCCTCTGGTGAGAAACTGTGAATTACTTGTTTGGTAAAATCAAGACAACATATTGGGCATGTTTGACTCATCTCCTCCTTTTTACTTCTTAAGAATAAGCCTGACCAAAGAGAACACCTTTTCTACTCTGCAAATAGAATAGATAAAGCTGTATCATTCTGGAAAATATAAACCACAAACTCCATCATAGCCTTTTTTTTTAAGTAATAAAGGTGAAAATTTGCCCCAAAAAATGTTGTCCTTTTATTATTATTATTATTATTAACTAGTTTAAAGCCTGGCGTGTTTAAAACTTGAAGGTTAGAAAACCAAATGGATTGGCAGGGCTACATTCCTTCTGGAGGCCCGAAGAGTGAATTCATTTCCTTGCCTTTTCTAGCTTTCTAGAGGCCACCTGCAGTTTTTGGTTCATTGTCCCTTCCTCCACCTTCAAGCAAGCAATGTAGCATCTTTAAATCTGTCTCTCTGACTATGAGCCCTGCTTCTGTCATCACATCTCCTTCCCTCCCTCTTCTTCTGGGTCACATATCCTTCATTGACTGTGCCCTCCTACCTCCCTTTCATAACGACCCTATGATTACACTGGGCCCATATGTATAAATCAGTACAATCTCCCCATCTCAGGATCCTTAACTTAACTGGATCTTCAGAGTCCATTTTGCTATGTAAGGTAACGTATTCACAGGTTCTGAGGTTTAGGGCATGAACCTTTTTCCAGGGCCATTATTCAGCCTACCACATGGAATAGCTTTCATTTATGAGTCTTTGTAACACTTCTAGAAAGATAAGAACTTATATGATGACACTGACAAATCAAAAGCTTCTGTTAACACATCTATATGTATAAACAACTTCATGTAAAAAGATATGTTGTGCAAAAATGTCCAAAACATCTAGCAATTGTGGAGGCTCCAGAATTGCCAAATGGATGAGCATAGATATGTCCAGCTGGCTGAAAGGTGGTGGCTAGCACACTTCAGATTTGTCTTTTCATAGAAAGCTTGATATTTTTGCAAGGATGATATATTTATTTGGAGGGCAAATTAAGACCAGGGGCTAAGGAAACTCTCGGAAGTAAATCCGTCCTTCCTCTCCCCCATCAAGACAAACCTCTCTACCACTATTAGTGTTCAAAGATTCTGCCTAAAGGGATTGAAGATAAGAGACAAGACAGGCAAGTTTGTCTAGTTGTGCGAAATTTACCAGACTTACACTGATTAAACAAGTTTCTGCTCTCTTTGACATTTTATTTCATCCTTTAGGTCATTTCAATTTTCATGTGCCAGTATACCTCAGTTTCAGTCAGTTTCTTAGAACCTAAGATTTGATATCCTTTATGCAAAATCTGTCTTCAGATATGTGTGCATATTTGGAATTTAGTATTTACTTTTTAATTAGAATTTTACCTGTCATAAAAAATAAAAGTTCTGTTTGTGACAAGCTTAGTATTAATGTAGACACTCAAGAGTTTTTTTGAACTAAGTTGTTTAAGAGAGCTGATAATATGGGATTCTTAGACCCTAGGTTTTTCTGGTTCTCATGGTCTTTTTTATTAGTTTCATCAGTATTTGTTATTTGTATGTAGATTAGCAGCCTTTTAGTGTCTATAAAGATTTAGAATCAGTAAACTACTTGTCATATAATGATAAAATATTCTGATCTACTTGAGTAAAAGTCTTTTTATATTTTAACAGGATCATTTTTCCTGTTTTTCTGCTTATTTTGTAAATAAAGATGTTAATTTCAGTGTTTTATACTAGCTCAAAGTGTTTAAAAAATAAAATAGAACGCTGCGTATTCTTCACAAATATTATTAATAAATTAGAACATGATGTGATTACAAAAACTAATGACACATATTTCTATATATCATTATAAAACCATGTCCATATTATATAGTGAATAGTTCAAAAATTGAGTTGAAAACTGAGCATTTAAAATTATATTTTTTGTTAAATATATATGACACACACACATATATATATAATTATGCATGCTTAGAATAGAATCTGGAAGGAAACACACACATCAAACTGTTATTAATTAAAACTAATGTTTGTTGAATACCTACTATATTCCAGGCTCTGTTCTAAGTGCTTTGTATTTACTATTTTATGTAATTCCACAGCAATCTTATAAACTATTATTATTATCTTCATTGTGTAGGTATTATACATGAAACCAAATTACAGAGAGATGAAATAACTTGCCAGTGACACCTGGTTATTGAACACTAGCTGAGATGTGACTATTTAGAGGACTCTTACCTCTACTTTGATCATAGTTTATGCTAGGATTTTTAATACCTAGTATGTATTACTTTTATAATTATGAAAAAGAGGAAATGTATACTTCATTTGGGGACAAAAAGATTCCCCAAAAGAGGAAACCAGTCACAGACAACTGGCTGCAATGTATCTGACATGATTATTTAAAATGTAGGAGAATGGACATTTGAAAATCCATCTTACTGAGTCTTTAAAATCCATTCCTTTTTAACATAAATTCAAATTTAATCTCAAAATCCTCACACAAATAGGTGAGTAAAACAATCTTTTTTGTCTTCACATATAGATTTCATCTTTTCTGAAGAATGGACTTCCACAGTAAATTGCAAAAACAAATGGAAATATGTCTACATTTTAAAACTACTTTATAGAATTTTAAAACCACACAGCATTACTATGAGGAAACTACTAAAGGATTTAGTTTAAAAATTATGCTGGTCTCAGTCAAATTTTATTAATGGATTCACAGGAAGGAATGAAAGACAATTACATTTGGAAAAGTCTTGCAGCAGATCAGTTGGTGTTCTGGTTGTCTGTTGCTGTGTAACAAACCACCTCAACACTTAGTGGCTCAAAGCAACAATTTGTGATTATCTCACATGGCTCCATAGGTAAATTCTGAGCTGGGTGGTTCCAGCTTAGATTCCTCCATGTTGTTGCAATTAGATTTTGGTTTTGGCTGCTGTCATCTGAAGGCTGACTTCGGAAATTCAAGACGGTGCACTCATATGGCTGGCTGCCATAGCTGGCTGATGATGGGGGTATCAGCCAGCAATATGAACTGGAATGTTTACTTGTGCCTTCTCCAAGTGGCTTGAGCTTTTCAGAGAATGATGCCTAAGTTTCTAGAAGAAGCATCCAAAAATGGGCGTTCAATTGCAAACTTTCCAAGAGGCAGGAAGCATAAGCTATTGGGCCAATTAAGGTTGAAGCTTACAACCAGCACAGCATCACTTCTTCCATATTCTATTGGTCAATGAGTCCACAGGGTCCACTCATATTCAAGGACACAGAGAAACAGATTTCCCTTCTTGATGGAGCAGTGGCAAAAGATGGGAGATGGTGGGAGATATTGTTGCAGCTGTCTTTGGAAAATGCAACTGGCTGCAGCTGATTAAAAAGCAACTTTCCCCTAGTCTTTGCAAAACATATTTGATGAAAACAATATATGATGTCATTAACAGGGAAAGGCTAAATTTATGAATATTATGAATATAATAATCACTATCACTTGGGAAGAGATGACCTGGTCGCCACAGGTGATATCTCCCCAAGTGATAGTGATTATTATAAACAATGCGGAATACGCTACTTTACACTTCTGAAAGTCTATTTTTCTGTCTCGGTTACTCTTTTATTTGATAGTTGCTGATTAAAGAACAGAGGTATGCAGAATAAAGATAAAGGTAAGCAGTAAAAGAGTGAATCCACAGAGAGAAATTGCTAGTGTAATTATACGACAAGTTTGCTGATAATTTCTGTTAATCTTCAAAGTTAATAAAAGAGGGAAGATAATCCTTTCTATATAAGTGTGGTAATGTAATACATCTGTGTACCGTGCAATTTCTAAAGCCCTTTTCCATATATTACCTGCTTTGAGCTTACATAAAACATCTTATAGGTCAGAAAACTAAGGAATAAGTCAGTTATGTGACATCCATACAGTCAGATAGATAGTAACGAAGATTAAAATGTGGGTTTTGTGTCCTCAAGCCTCTTTTTTTTTTTTCTTTTTTTGAGACGGAGTCTCGCTCTGGCCAGGCTGGAGTACAGTGGCACGATCTCGGCTCACTTCAAGCTCTGCCTCCTGGGTTCACGCCATTCTCCTGCCTCAGCCTCCTGAGTAGCTGGGACTACAGGTGCCCGCCACCATGCCCAGCTAATTTTTTGTATTTTTGGTAGAGACGGGGTTTCACCATCTTAGCCAGGATGGTCTCGATCTCCTGACCTTGTGATCCATCCGCCTCGGCCTCCCAAAGTGCTGGGATTACAGGCGTGAGCCACCGTGCCCGGCCAGGCTCTTTCTTTTGCATTTTCTCAATGGCTTTTTTTTTTTTTTTTTTTTTTGCCGAAACTGTTTTAAGAAGAAATGAAGAAAAAATGAGAACCTGCAGTATGTAGGAATGGAAGCTAGATATGTGATTTGGGGTAAGTTACATGACCTTTTAACCTGGAAAAGAAGTAACATGGTGATGGTAATAATGGTGCTCACCATGTTTAATTGTTGGGAATATTAAATGAGACAGTATAATACAATCAAAGAGGGTGTTTGATAGGAGTTATTTCATACTCCTTCTTTGGCATTATTACTATTATTATTACATTAAAAAGACAATATGGTCACGCCTGTAATCCAGCACTTTGGGAGGCCGAGGTGGGCTGATCACGAGGTCAGGATATCGAGACCATCCACGGTGAAATCCTGTCTCTACTAAAAATGCAAAAAATTAGCCGGGCGTTGTGGCAGGCGCCTGTAGTCCCAGCTACTCGGGAGGCTGAGGCAGGAGAATGGCGTGAACCCGGGAGGTGGAGCTTGCAGTGAGCCAAGATTGCGTCACTGCAGTCCAGCCTGGGCAACAGAGCAAGACTCTGCCTCAAAAAAAAAAAAAAAAAAAAAAGCAAAAAAACAAAAAACAAAAAACAATATGGTGCAGTTGAAAGAGTATGGAGTAAGTTAGATCTAGTTTTTATTTTTCAATGTAAATGATAAAAATTGCTACAGTGTTTTTAGGCAGAATTCATCAAATTCAGATTCTTCAATTAACAGATGTAGAATCTGAGGCCAGAGAGTTTGAGAAACTATACTCCAGAATAATAGATAATTTCTAAAGAACTCTTAATTACAAGGCCAGGTTCAAAGAGCTCTTATCAAAGAATTCTAATAAATCATGCAGAGAAAAAACAGTGTGAGAGTCAGCTGCGATCAGTAACAGCAAGATTAGTGATAAAGGTGTTAAATTATGCCAGAAACTGCCTCAAATGACCTCAAGGTCTACTATTAATCCTAGTACCAATATTATTATTTGCAAAACAGTTTTATTTTAGAAAGCTTAAAAGCAAGGGCTTCCTTAGTTTACCATTTCTATGACTTCAAAACATGCAAACAAGACACCCATGATCATTTTATATTATCTCCAAGTTCCCTAATTGGTTCTTTTGATCATTACCCTTATCACACTTCATTGTAACCTCTTCACAACTTAAGCTGAAGATGTGAATATAGAATGTAACAAGAAAAGAGCTGAGACCAGTGAAATGATATCTCACATTGATGGGGTAAGGTGGTCCACAAAAATGTGTCTGGATGAACTATATACCTGAGCTATAGTTGTATCTATGTGAACACTGGAAAGAGAGAGGAGGTGGCTGTGTGCCTGAAGTATGTTTGTCACAAATATTTAATAGATGGAGTTCTGAATTATGTGAGCACAGTTTACAATGTATAGCTGTATCACAAAAATTTACTGGGTAACAAAACGGGGTAGAACATGTTCTCATTTTTAGAAACTAACAACCACAGTGGGCATTCGTATTAGTTTTCCAAAATATTTATTTGCTGACATATAAACTTGACCTATATGTTTGTCTGTGATGAAGCTGTCTCTCTTTGGTGATAAACTTCGAAAAGTAGAGAGGATGCCAACTGCAAGAATAATTCTTGCGTGGCAACTAGCCAGAACATCATGTTCCCAGAATTCAATGAAGTAAATGTCAAATTGCATTGCCACAAAATTTATTAACCGAGGAAACAAGTTTTTCCTCTGTGTCTGGAAGTTATATTTCTGAAGCATTTTTCTGCCGTTTCAAATTTTTTTCCTGAATGTAAGGCTCTGGACTTAGAGATGTCTGTGCTAAAAAGCTCTTCTTACCTCCTGGCAAGTGGCTAACTTCTAACTGTAACATCGGAACAGGAGCAAAAGTATCACACCATCCTAGACTCAAGGACATTTCAGAGGAGAGGAAAGTCTGTGGCTGACAGGGAAGAGCCCACTTAGCTAGGCTGGGGACAGCTGGACATCAGAGCAAGTAGGTGGGTGGCTGGCATCCAGGGTTAAAAAGGGAACAGAGGGACAGAAGATAATGTATCATGCCCAATTCTGTGTCTATTTTGTGTGTAAAAGGCTATGTGCAATAGTCAAGGTTAAAAGTTTTATGTCTTTGAATGAGTGATGCCAGTCAAGTATGAAAATGAATTAGATAATTTTTAGAACCTATAGTTTTAATGTCTCTATCATTCTTCAGATGCTGAAATTGAAGGAGCACCAGATCAAACTGATGTGCTTTCATAAACTGATGTGCTTTCATGAACTGTATATTCAAAATAAATATAGTTTTATTACTACAAATACTTGTGATTTAAAAGTATTGCAGAGTTACAGAAAATTAATGGGGTTGCAATCAAATTCTTTAAAAGGTGACTCTTTAGCCAATGGCTTCTTCCATAATTCACTCTTCTTGAAATAACAAAGTATGAAGGCCATTTTCCCAGTATGTTAGTGTCCACAAGGGTGTCTGATGTCAAAATGGAATTATTCTTATATGGAACTATAGTAGTTAGACAGCTTCATATTGAAAATACAGAAATGAAATAACCTTTTTTTTTTTTTACTATCTGGAAATGTTGTTTTTACTGACTGTTGGATTTTATAGTATGAAAAATTTTGCTCAGTAGATTTCTCTGAAATCTGAAATTTTTGTTTATATTCTATCAAGATCATAATTATGTATCTAATTTATATTGAACATTCATGATGCATATGCTCCTTTTTTTCCTTTAAACTCTTTTCTTTCTTTATCTATTTTGCTGTGGCTGTTGCTTTTGCTATGAAGCAGTCGTAGTTGCTGTTGTTGCTGAAAAGAATCGACATTTCATTTTCTTTAAACCAGTTTTTTAAGTGAAAATGTAAACTTTCTAGTAGAATAATTTATAATCCTTTGGGTATATACCCAGGAATGGGATTGCTGGGTCAAATGGTATTTCTAGTTCTAGATTCTTGAGGAATCGCCACACTGTCTTCCACAATGGTTGAACTAATTCACACTCCCACCAACAGTGTAAAAGCATTCCTATTTCTCCACATCCTCTCCAGCATCTCTTGTTTCCTGACTTTTTAATGATTGCCATTCTAGCTGGCATGAGATGGTATCTATTGTGGTTTTGATTTGGATTTCTCTAATGACCAGTGATGATGAGCTTTTTTTCATATGTTCGTTGGTTGCATAAATGTCTTCTTTTGAGAAGTGTCTGTTCATATCCTTTGCCCACTTTCCGATGGCATTCTACTATAAAGACACATGCACACGTATGTTTACTGCAGCATTGTTCACAGTAGCAAAGACTTGGAACCAACCCAAATGCCCATCAGTGATAGACCGAATAAAGAAAATGTGGCATATATACACCATGGAATACTATGCAGCCATAAAAAGGATGAGTTTGTGTCCTTTGCAGGGACATGGATGACACTGGAAACCATCCTTGTCAGCAAACTAACACAAGAACAGAAAACCAAACACCACATGTTCTCGCTCATGAGTGGGAGTCGATCAATGAGAACACATGGACACAGGGAGGGGATCATCACACACCGGGGCCTGTTGGGTGGTCGGGGGCTAGGGGACGGATAGCATTAGGAGAAATACCTAATGAAGATGACGGGTTGATGGGTGCAGCAAACCACCATGGCACATGTATACCTATGTAACAAACCTGCATGTTCTGCATATGTACCCCAGAACTTAAAGTATAATTTTAAAAAAAGTAAACTTTCCCTTTGTTTTGCAAGATACAAATTTCACATCACTTTTTAATAAAAATTGATGGTTGATGTATAATATGAATGATTTTTATTAAAATGGTGTTCATACATAATTTAAAAGTTAGGTAATTGAGACAGGCTTTAGTTGTAAGGATGTGGGCTTGACGGCTCCTTCTGTCTGTGTATATGCCACTGTGAACACTGTGCAGATCCCTAATATGGAGGTTGGGCATCCTGTGTCCTGTTCTGAACTAGTTGCACCGTGGCTTTGGGGTGAGTCCAAGATGCTGTAGCAAAAGTAAAGTATAAGAGAGTAGATATTCTTGCTGTTGACCGCTCAGGTAAAAGTACTCGGTCCTTAGCTCAGACGACTGAGCATGGGAGGTGAACTTGCCTCTCACTGGGTCCTGCTCACTTGGACCTGGGCTTTGAGGAAGCTGAGGGTGTTGACAGGAGGTAGGAGAAGGGTGGCTTCCACCAAAGAGAAGCAGCTTGCCAGTCAATAAAGCGATGGAATCTTGCAAACCAGCTCTTCAATGTCTGTTACTTTCTTTGTCTTGCCCATCTTGCTATTCCTGGGCTTTTAGAAAGGTGTGGTTTAAATGATCTAGCATAAACTCTTTCCTTCTAGAATCCATCTTTTGTATTGGGTGCCACACTTGCGTCCCATAGCCCAGTGTGAAAGTGGCAGTTACAGGAAAGAAGAATGCTTGCTCTGATGGAGAACCTATCACTTTTGCCATAGTTCGAGGATGAGGGTAGGATATTGGTCTTTCTTCAAACCATCTCTTAGCTGACTCAGAAACACAGGGTCACTTTTCATAGGGTAATTATTTTTGACACTTGTAATTTAAGCACTGCCACTAAGTGAAAGATGGCACATTCACTGAGTTTAAATGTGCAGTGATAAGTACCTCCCAGGCAAGGACAATGGCCAAGGGCTTGAGTTTGAGCTCTGCCATCTACTAACTGAGGAAATCTGCTTTCTTCATCTGACTACTCAATTAATTCTAACTCCCTTGTTGGGGGTTTGCAGCATGAAATCATATAATGGCTTATACAAGAGCACTAGACACATAGATCGTACCATTTAGTAAGCAGCAACTGATAAGGGTTTTAAGATAAGCAAGCAGTTACATTTTAATTACTTTACCTTGTATTGTATTTCTTGATTAACACAATATAGGAATTTACATACACATACACACACAGAGGCACACACATCCTTCTCAGTGGTGGTTTTGCTTGCATGGCTTAGAACACAAAGTGATTATTCTTTTTCTAGCTTATAATAATCTAGAGTGAAAGGGTGCAAGCCTATCAGATAAAGAATGCCTTTGCAAATATTCAATTTCTTGTGTTGTGACCTTGAATTGACAAATATGACTACTTACCTACTAATCTTTAAAAATAGAAGTGAAAACTGAGCTCAAAATTTACAAAGTGTAAACTAAGAAAACTAACACAGCATGTTGGCTGTTGGGTGAAAGCATGTAATTAGTTCTAAAATGAAATCCTACTAGATATTAAGAAGTGACTTCATGGCATTGTCTCCTTTTAGGTATAGACAGCATCTAAATCTGACAATCTGTCATCTTACAAAGAACATTAATTTCTAGTTCTTTCTCTTTCTTCTTAGCATTTCCTTGCACCTGGTGTGTACAGCAATGATTTATTGTGGCGTTATTTAAGAAATATATTTTCCCAATAAAACTCACAGCTCTTCTTCTCAGGGGCTTAAAAAGTTGTTATCTACAATAATGTCTTCATTGGTCATTCATTCTTTAATAGCAATAAACTGGTACAACTCAAAATTATTTTCTTTCAAACCTTAAAATATATGTATTTCATTTTTTTCTGTATGCTTCTCCCCACATACAGTTTACTTTAGAAAACTTCTTACCACATATAATTATTTTTTTAAGTCACTGAATATGTTGCTCCTTTGATCCTGTTTTTCCATCTCTATTTCCACCCCTCCATTAATATTTATTATTAAAAAAATCTCCTGCTAGAATCCCTGGATAGCACGGTTAGGACCTGTATTTCTTCTGTCTGATTTATAGATATGACCCAGAGTTTAAATGACTTGACAAAGGTTAAGAAACCAGGCAGAGATTTCACAGGTCGCTGAGTCCCAGTTAAAAGCGTTAGCGTAGACCTTGAAAGGGAATGTTACATTTGCAGAATTCTTCTCAATGAATCTTCTTACCTCTGTCAACGTAAAGCAAGCCACATCCCCCTGAGGAAATTGGGGTCCAGAGAGGTGAAAGATACTTCACTAACCCGTAAAATTGCTTATATAATTGATCTGTTCTGCTTTTCTTTCTTGGAAAACCTTGGGAAGACTCTCTGTGGTAAATTTAGAGACATTTATACAGGTTATTTTCCCTTATTATTTTCCCACATTGCAGAACATTTTATGCATGACCTTGACCACTAATTCTTTGTAACATCAAGGATGAGAAGGATTATTGGTTTAGGATTAAGGAGGTACAACATAATATTTTTGCATCTGTAAAATTACTACATGGTTCTACCTCTAAAGTTCATTAAAGGCTAGATCCGCATTCTGTTCACTTTTAGCATATTCGTGTCACTATATCTTCTTCTGCATCAAACTGCTTATTTCACATTTCATGAACTTGGAAAATCATAATTTTTTATAGTCTCTCCAAAACCCCACTTGGTTAAAAATAACTCTAATGTTGGGCTAGACATGTTATTGGGAGCCATTTTTATATTTAAAGGCTAATTCAGCTCAGAGATGGATTAGTAATGGTATATCCCCTTAACCTCCAAAGTAATTTGTTTTTATGTTTTCAGGTTGGACTCATGCCCTCACTATTAATATTTCATACCAACAAGTAGGGGCTTCAATATGTCTATCTGCTGGGCTGGCAAAATGCCTGCTACTGAGTCTGAATATTGTCCCTAGGAAGGAGTAATTATTTTCAACCTTCTTCAGTTGCCATGGTATGCCTTTTTCTTCCCCATATAGGTATTTTTTACACAACATTTAGACTTGATTAACATAAAATATTTATTTCCTGATCATCACTTGTTTAGCAACAATGCAAATACAGTATTTTGCTTGAGGAAAAAAAACGTAACTAGTCCTAGGAAAATCTCCATTTACGTAAGTTAGATAACATAATCTATTTAAATAAATTCTAATTATTTAGTATATACTCTTACTGGAACATATATTTTACACATAAATATTGGGCAAATTAGGGGCATACAAAAATATCTAGATAAGAAGTACCAAAGGATGACAGTTTTTACTGAATGGTAAAATAAGATGGAAAGAAAAAGTCAGCATTATTTTTCTGTATGAAAGATCTCAAAATGTCCCATTAAATAGTCACTTGTTGAATGGTGCTTAGTTATCCTGATGCTATAAAATGAAGACTTGTTTCCATCGTTAAATACATACAAGGACATTGTGAGTCTGATGTCAGCTCTTGGTCTCCCAAGATTATTTATACGGTTTATTGATTTATAAACTATTTATAAACTTTATTTATAAAGTTTCACCATCTGAAAAATTTTCCTGATATATTTTGAGAGCAAGTTAGTGGCTAGGAATGTACTAACAACTTGGTATAAGTGTGCTTGCATTCAAATATTAACTTTACTTTGAAGTATGTGACCTTGGACAAATTACTGACCTTTTGTTTTTTCATCCATAAAACACAATGATGACAAAGGGGTTTTCTGTGAAGATAAAGAGTATAATAGCTATAAGGTACTTTGTATGCTAAATACTTAATAAATATGAACATATTATTTTATGTTTTAAGATATCTTACAAGTTCCTTTCATCTATCTGGGAACCATGACCTGCCACTTTAATGCTCATAGTGGGGGACTGAAAGTTTTCAAAAGATATTCACCTAAGAGGCCGCTGCCTTTTGGGGAATCTACCAGCACCAACCCTTTCCTCCTCCTCAAAAAAAAGCATCTGTTGTTTATTATTCTGTGCTTCTCCTTTCCATCATCATTCATGGAGTTTACCAGCCTCATAGCCAAGACACTTACCTGGGCTTAACATCTTTTATAAAATCTGTTTTTGTGTAAAGCATGGTCGCTTTTCAATCCAATATTATTTGGGGATAGCATAATATTTTGGGACTCGCAAGTGTTCAATAAATGCTTTGTAACCATGTACAGCTCATTTATTTATAACAATGTTAGAATGAGACTGAGCTCACAGACTCAGTTCCATGTGGTCTATCCTGCAATCACAAACTACCTGCTTAAATCAAGTGAGTTGTCTTGAAAATATGATCATTAAGTGCAAGAGGGAAAAATAAAAGATAGTCAATTTACCATCTCATGTAGACAACATTTATTCATTGATTCATTATTCATTTAATCAGAAAACACTTATTAAGTACCTAATAAAGACCACATTTATTAAGTACCCAGTAAAGACCAGGTAGTTTTTGCTTGAAGCTACAAAGACAAGACAGAGTAATTGCCATTGTAGGGCTTCCATTCTGACATTCTGATTAGCAAAGGTTATGGTCAGGTAGAGATCAAGATTTGTAAATAGCTAAATATCAGATTTTTGTATCAGCAGCTATGAGAAAATTATATACTGAACACAGGAGTATCCAAAGGAAAAGTGAAACCATTCCACCTGGATGGGTGATTGTCAGTCGAGCCTAGTCTTAAAAAAATAGTAGGATTTGATCAGCTGGGTGGGATGGAAGGATTCATGTATTCAAAGGATAAAGTCTATTAATACATGACAACAGTGCAATTTTTCACTGAAGAAAGGCAGGCCTGTTAGTATACCTGTATATGGCATGAACTCAACACATACAAGAAAATAAGACAACTGAAAAAGTAAGAAGATATCATTGTTGAGTTTTCTCCAAAGACAATATTGGAATAAATATGAATATGGTCATTATTTAGCAGAAAGAAGATGATAATTATAAAATGATCACTTTAGTAGATATGATATTCCAACATAACTCTTTATACTCTATCTTCTAAATGACCCTCTAATAAAAAATCAAAATTTACAAAGCATTAAGAACAAAAGAGATCCCTCTTTTTTACTCTCTTTTCTTCCTGCCTTCCTTTCAGAAAATAACAGTCCAAAAGCCATTTGGTGAGGCTAACAAGGTAAACACTCATACGAAATTGGGGGTTGGAGTTGAGTAAAAGTGAGAATAGCGGATGTTACCACTATCATACATGTTGATTTTCTGTACCCTTGCTAGGAAGTGTGCTTCATGGGTGGCAAGTCATTTTCAATTTGCATTTTTCCCCCCACAGTAAAAAAGCAAGTATGGCTTCAGTAGAGCATCCAAGTGATTATGGCAGGAAATGATATAAAAGCATATACCTTATATGTTTTGTATATTGATTTGTATTGTTTATCTTTCTTTTCTAGACTGCAGGCTTTATAAGAGTACTTTTCCCCTGTTTTATTCACTGGCTAGAATAGTGCCTGGCACACAGTAAGTGCTCAATAAATAATTTTCAAATAACAAGAATAATTTGGATAATACAAATGTATGTATGAAACAATGAGTAATTTATTTTAAGACCTTAAAGGTGTTAAATACACCACATAACAATGTTTCCATCAATGAAAGACTATATATAGGATGGTGGTCCCATAAGATTATAATACCATATTTTTACTGCACATTTTCTATGTTTAGATAGACAAATACTTACCATTGTTTTACAATTACATACAGTATGCAGAAGATGTATTAGTCCATTCTCACGTTGCTAATAAAGACATACCTGAGCCTGGGTAATTTATAAATTAAAAAGTTTTAATTGACTCACAGTTCAGCATGGCCTCAGGAAACTTAACAATCATGGTGGAAAGTGGAGCAAACATGTCCTTCTTCACATGGCAGCAGAAGAAGGAATGAATGCAAGCAGAGAAAATGCCAGACTCTCATAAAGCCATCAGATCCTGTGTGACTCACTCACTATCACGAGAACAACATGGGGGGAACCACCCCCATGATTCAATTAGCTCCCCCAGGGTCCCTCCCTTGACACATAGAGATTATGGGATTACAATTCAAGATGAGATTTGGGTACAGACATAAAGCCAAACCATATCAGTAGAGTAACATGCTGTACAGGTTTGTAATGTAAGAGCGACACCATACAGCTTAGGTGTATAGTAGGCTGTACCTTCTAGATTTGTGTAAGTATACTCTGCAATATTTGCATTTGGATGAAATCACCTAATGACACATTTCTCAGAAAATATCCTCATAATTAAGCAATGTGTGACTGTAATTTGTACAATTTTTATTTCCAGTTGATTAAATATACAAATATTAAAATGAGGTAAAGTTGAGTGACATATTAATACACATTTTTTTCTTTGTTAAACATTTCTTGTTGAATTGCATGACCAGCAGCCAATGGTATTTATGAATCAAAGGATGAAGTTAAAGCTGTTGGAGTAGAAACAAAGAGGAAATACAAAATATATATAAGAAATATATAAAAGAAAGAAGTCTAGCTAGAGGTCTAGCAAAAAGAATGCAAACTTTTTAAGCTTTATATAGTAACTTCATATTTTTTCTCAGATATTGCATGTATAACATAAATGTATGACATAAATAATTTTAAAAGATGCTATGACTTTGCATTCTGTAAAAAATGGTCATGGTGGATAAGCCTTTTGATGTGCTGCTGGATTCGGTTTGCCAGTATTTTATTGAGGATTTTTGCATCAATGTTCATCAAGGATATTGGGATATTGGTCTAAAATTCTCTTTTTTGGTTGTGTCTCTGCCCGGCTTTGGTATCAGGATGATGCTGGTCTCATAAAATGAGTTAGGGAGGATTCCCTCTTTTTCTATTGATTGGAATAGTTTCAGAAGGAATGGTACCAGTTCCTCCTTGCACCTCTGGTAGAATTCGGCTGTGAATCCATCTGGTCCTGGACTCTTTTTGGTTGGTAAGCTATTGATTATTGCCACAATTTCAGCTCCTGTTATTGGTCTATTCAGAGATTCAACTTCTTCCTGGTTTAGTCTTGGGAGAGTGTATGTGTGGAGGAATTTATCCATTTCTTCTAGATTTTCTAGTTTATTTGCATAGAGGTGTTTGTAGTATTCTCTGATGGTAGTTTGTATTTCTGTGGGATCGGTGGTGATATCCTCTTTATCATTTTTTATTGCGTCTATTTGATTCTTCTCTCTTTTTTTCTTTATTAGTCTTGCTAGCGGTCTATCAATTTTGTTGATCCTTTCAAAAAACCAGCTCCTGGATTCATTAATTTTTTGAAGGGTTTTTTGTGTCTCTATTTCCTTCAGTTCTGCTCTGATTTTAGTTATTTCTTGCCTTCTGCTAGCTTTTGAATGTGTTTGCTCTTGCTTTTCTAGTTCTTTTAATTGTGATGTTAGGGTGTCAATTTTGGATCTTTCCTGCTTTCTCTTGTGGGCATTTAGTGCTATAAATTTCCCTCTGCACATTGCTTTGAATGCATCCCATAGATTCTGGTATGTTCTGTCTTTGCTCTCGTTGGTTTCAAAGAACATCTTTATTTCTGCCTTCATTTCGTTATGTACCCAGTAGTCATTCAGGAGCAGGTTGTTCAGTGTCCATGTAGTTGAGTGGTTTTGAGTGAGATTCTTAATCCTGAGTTCTAGTTTCATTGCACTGTGGTCTGAGAGATAGTTTGTTATAATTTCTGTTCTTTTACATTTGCTGAGGAGAGCTTTACTTCCAAGTATGTGGTCAATTTTGGAATAGGTGTGGTGTGGTGCTGAAAAAAATGTATATTCTGTTGATTTGGGGTGGAGAGTTCTGTAGATGTCTATTAGGTCTGCTTGGTGCAGAGCTGAGTTCAATTCCTGGGTAACCTTGTTGACTTTCTGTCTCGTTGATCTGTCTAATGTTGATAGTGGGGTCTTAAAGTCTCCCATTATTAATGTGTGGGAGTCTAAGTCTCTTTGTAGGTCTCTCAGGACTTGCTTTATGAATCTAGGTGCTCCTGTATTGGGTGCATATATATTTAGGATAGTTAGCTCTTCTTGTTGAATTGATCCCTTTACCATTATGTAATGGCCTTCTTTGTTTCTTTTGATCTTTGTTGGTTTAAAGTCTGTTTTATCAGAGACTAGGATTGCAACCCTTGCCTTTTTTTGTTTTCCATTTGCTTGGTAGATCTTCCTCCATCCTTTTATTTTGAGCCTATGTGTGTCTCTGCACATGAGATGGGTTTCCTGAATACAGCACACTGATGGGTCTTGACTCTTTATCCAATTTGCCAGTCTGTGTCTTTTAATTGGAGCATTTAGTCCACTTATATTTAAAGTTAATATTGTTATGTGTGAATTTGATCCTGTCATTATGATGTTAGCTGGTTATTTTGCTCGTTAGTTGATGCAGTTTCTTCCTAGTCTTGATGGTCTTTACATTTTGGCATGATTTTGCAGCGGCTGGTATCGGTTGTTCCTTTCCATGTTTAGTGCTTCCTTCAGGAGCTCTTTCATCCCTGGGATGCAAGGCTGGTTCAATATATGCAAATCAATAAATGTAATCCAGCATATAAACAGAACCAAAGATAAAAACCACATGATTATCTCAATAGATGCAGAAAAGGCCTTTGACAAAATTCAACAACTCTTCATGCTAAAAACTCTCAATAAATTAGGTATTGATGGGCCGTATTTCAAAATAATAAGAGGTATCTATGACAAACCCACAGCCAATATCATACTGAATGGGCAAAAACTGGAAGCATTCCCTTTGAAAACTGGCACAAGACAGGGATGCCCTCTCTCATCACTCCTATTCAACATAGTGTTGGAAGTTCTGGCCAGGGCAATTAGGCAGGAGAAGGAAATAAATGGTATTCAATTAGGAAAAGAGGAAGTCAAATTGTCCCTGTTTGCAGATGACATGATTGTATATCTAGAAAACCCCATTGTCTCAGCCCAAAATCTCCTAAAGCTGATAAGCAACTTCAGAAAGTCTCACGATACAAAATCAATGTACAAAAATCACAAGCATTCTTATACACCAACAACAGACAAACAGAGAGCCAAATCATGAGTGGACTCCCATTCACAATTGCTTCAAAGAGAATTAAATACCTGGGAATCCAACTTACAAGGGATGTGAAGGACCTCTTCAAGGAGAACTACAAACCACTGCTCAATGAAATAAAAGAGGATACAAACAAATGGAAGAACATTCCATGCTCATGGGTAGGAAGAATCAATATCATGAAAATGGCCATACTGCCCAAGGTAATTTACAGATTCAATGCCATCCCCATCAAGCTACCAATGACTTTCTTCACAGAATTGGAAAAAACTACTTTAAAGTTCATATGGAACCAAAAAAGAGCCTGCATCGCCAAGTCAATCCTAAGCCAAAAGAACAAAGCTGGAGGCATCACCCTACCTGACTTCAAACTATACTACAAGGCTACAGTAACCAAAACAGCATGGTACTGGTACCAAAACAGAGATATAGATCAATGGAACAGAACAGAGCCCTCAGAAATAACGCCACTTATCTACAACTATCTGATCTTTGACAAACCTGAGAAAAACAAGCAATGGGGAAAGGATTCCCTATTTAATACATGGTGCTGGGAAAACTGGCTAGCCATATGTAGAAAGCTGAAACTGGATCCCTTCCTTACACCTTATACAAAAATCAATTCAAGATAGATTAAAGACTTAAACGTTAGACCTAAAATCATAAAAACCCTAGAAGAAAACCTAGGCATTACCATTCAGGACATACGCATGGGCAAGGACTTCATGTCTAAAACACCAAAAGCAATGGCAACAAAAGACAAAATTGACAAATGGGATCTAATTAAAGTAAAGAGCTTCTGCACAGCAAAAGAAACTACCATCAGGGTGAACAGGCAACCTACAAAATGGGAGAAAATTTTCGCAACCTACTCATCTGACAAAGGGCTAATATCCAGAATCTATAATGAGCTCCAACAAATTTACAAGAAAAAAATAAACAACCCCATCAAAAAGTGGGTGAAGGACATGAACAGACACTTCTCAAAGGAAGACATTTATGCAGCCAAAAAACACATGAAAAAATGCTCATCATCACTGGCCATCAGAGAAATGCAAATCAAAACCACAATGAGATACCATCTCACACCATTTAGAATGGCGATCATTAAAAAGTCAGGAAACAACAGGTGCTGGAGAGGATGTGGAGAAATAGGAACACTTTTACACTGTTGGTGGGACTGTAAACTAGTTCAACCATTGTGGAAGTCAGTGTGGCGATTCCTCAGGGATCTAGAACCAGAAATACCATTTGACCCAGCCATCCCATTACTGGGTATATACCCAAAGGACTATAAATCATGCTGCTATAAAGACACATGCACATGTATGTTTATTGCGGCATTATTCACAATAGCAAAGACTTGGAACCAACCCAAATGTCCAACAATGATAGACTGGATTAAGAAAATGTGGCACATATACACCATGGAATACTATGCAGCCATAAAAAATGATGAGTTCACGTCCTTTGTAGGGACATGGATGAAATTGGAAATCATCATTCTCAGTAAACTACCACAAGAACAAAAAACCAAACACCGCATATTCTCACTCATAGGTGGGAATTGAACACTGAGAACACATGGACACCGGAATGGGAACATCACACTCTGGGGACTGTTGTGGGGTGGGAGAAGGGCGGAGGGATAGCATTGGGAGATATACCTAATGCTAGATGACGAGTTAGTGGGTGCAGTGCACCAGCATGGCACATGTATACATATGTAACTAACCTGCACATTGTGCTCATGTACCCTTAAACTTAAAGTATAATAATAACACACTTAAAAAAAAAGGTCATGAAATTACAAATATGGCCTAATAATTTTTATACTTGATCTCAATATACCCTGAAATGAATTCCTCAAGAAATGTTGTGAAATGTGCAGGAAAAACTTTATGCAAATTAACTTAAAAATGTAAATAGGATCATGTGTAGAAAAGTCAAAAGGGAAATTATGATAAGAGATGGAGGAATTACAAAATCAAGCCATGACTGAGTGTGAGAACATCAAGGGTAAGAATAGTAGCTCATTCTTTAATATGACAGTGTCTAACCACTCAAGGGCTGAAGAAGAGAAACTATTAAACATTTCCTGATGAAAGATATACAAAAATGAATAAAAAGTTTGATGTAATAAAAGTAATACTAATAGCATAATTAAAATAAACGAAGATCAGGCATAAAGATTTAAGCTGACATACCTTAGAAAATAGCAAGCTATGCAATTCCATTGCTTGGAAATTTACAAAGAGTTTATTAATTACATATTTAGCAGATTCATAAGATATGTATTATTTTAATATACCTGTAGAGAACATTATTATTTTCTTTAGTCCACCAGGTAGGCAAAAGTATTTCGGCCACCTTTTTTGTGTGTGTGTTTATGTTGCATACATCTAAATTAAGAAATTATTTAACAATAATTTAACAAAATTATTCTAGGTACTGCTTTGGAAAATTTATCCAACATGTTGTTATGTTCAATATGGTATACTTGACTGCTTTACAAAATATTATTATACATTCAACTGGCAGGGAGCTTCTAATTTTCAACTTTTTAAGGAAAATGCAGAGATATTTGAATCACAGTTTAATACCTATGCAAGGACATTGTGGCATATAGTTACCAGGAAAAAAAATGCCTGTGAGGACGGGTTGCTATAAAAATCACGAATATGTTATAAAAAGAACAGAATAAACAAATTTTGAATCATAATTCTTAATTTATCCAAATTATCATCAAATCTTTTAAGTAGGTAATTTTTTAGAGTTTGAAATTTGTGTTAAATATTAGTATTTAATGATCTAAAATCACATAATTCACTGAATATCCATTGAACAAATTTATACAACATAGGTGTATTTTGCATCTCTAAGGCTTGGATGTTTATATTTGTCACTGGACACTGCAAAGTACATACTGTGCACTGAAGATTAATAAACATAAATGTTTAATACAATGCAAATGTGACGGCTTGGGAGAGCTTGGGCTGTACATTCTGACTTTTCATTAGCCATTCTTCAAGTTGACAGACAAGCCTGTCTCAACTCATTATTTTAGGGCTTTAATAGTCTCTTTCAAACTTTAGTATTTTTTAAAGTATTAATTTTCTCTTCTTTGTAAAAAAAAAAAGAGAAGAACAAAAACTCAATTATATACCTGTTAGTTGGCTCAATAGAATGGTAATAGTTGTTTATTATGGTCTCTTAATACAGTTGCATAAGTGCACTTGAAATGTAAGCTATTTAATTAATAGACTGTAATTACTTTCTGAAACTGCTTAGAGCCAAGAGTTTTTGGGTTTTCATGTAAGTATTCAATGTTATGAATGCCACTGGCACTTTCTAGAAGAACAATCCATGGGTTCTTTAGTAGTGTTCATCCCTTGGAGTTTGGAATAAAAATTTAGAAAGCTGGAGGTGAAAGGAGCCTGTGAGCTCATCGTGCCAGACTACACATGACAAGAGCAAAGCTGGGTGGTGGCAGAGAAGCCACAGTCAGTCCCAGCAGGCCCATGACACAAAGGTTGCCTTTGGAGATTCAGTTGCACATTCTTTCCTCTACACAGTATTATCAGGTTGTGTAACAAAAGTCAAACATTAACTATTGTTGCTTCTTACGATCACATGTATTTCAGGTGGAATGCTAAATGCTCAGGTAGATGAGAATACTAAATATTGTATGAGCTATCCTTGGCATATGGTATCAAATGCTAGTGGAAGTGTTGGGCATGTGAGGCTTTTACTCCTTCAATGTTTCAGTAATTGTGGAAAAATTAAAGAATTCATACCAGGTCTTGCCTCTGCACAGCCCCAACCCCCTCTTCTCTAGCTAAGTCACTTGGCAGGCAGGCTGAGCCGGGATCTAGAACTGGGAATTTGACCATGCATGGGAGGGTTGAGAGCGTGTAAAGCCTTCTATTTGGGGACACAGGATCAAATCACATCTGCTGCTAGTTTGACCCTGACCTTGTAGATCAAGTAGAATAATTGGCCTTCTGCCTTATTCCTCAATCATGGTTCTCTTCCCGCATTTACCCTACTCTGGCTTTCTTGTCTGAATCCCAGCCTTGGAACTTGATCCTCTAGAATATTCTTTCACAGGGGACTTTAGTCTGCCTCTTTCTAAAGTCTGGGACTCTGTTACCTGTATACAGATTTGCATGGGGCTCCCTTCCCACCTGCCTGCCGCAATTCCTGACACTCTGCTATGCTGCCAGTTGAGTCACCCCCTTAACTTCTATTGGATCTCCCAATTTCAAATGCTGTCCTGGCTAGCTGGCTCTTGTTTACCCCCATGTTTCCTGAATGTTATATCCTACTATGTTATATTTCTACCAGCACCAACAGCTGCACTTGATAACCCTAGAGACTGACTTTCCCACGGAACATAAAATTTCAGGTTCTGGCCACTATTATCTGCTCAGTTCTTCTGCATGTAACTGCATTGCCTTTTCAAAACAACAGCATCTATTTGTGAATTAACCAGAAAAACTATAATTGCCTTGGAACTAAGGGGATTATGTTTATGTCAGTTGTAGATTAGTTTTAAAAATTTAAAATTAGCTCACAGAGACATTTTGCAATTTAATTTCGCAGTTTGCCATGTAGCTGTAAAATTAAACCAAACAGTTTATTATTTCAGTCCTGGAAACATTATAAACAATCTTTCAGACAGCTGACTCACTTGAAGAAAATGGGGTTTTTCCATATACAACTTTGAGAACCACATAATTTGGGTTTGATTTAGAAGTGAACCCATGAGTATTGAAGAGGTCTGAATTTGGCAAAAGTGCATTTTTTTAATAGCAACATCTAATCTTTGCATAAAGCAAGATCATGGCTGCATACCAAGTAACTTGTATTTATTTTTAATTGATGTGAAGAATTCAAATCCTCTCATAAATTTTCTAACTGTGATTTTACTAACATTTGGTTTGTTAAACTTTTTTTCTTTGACACTATTTGAGGCTAAAAATTAGAAAGTCGTGATTCAAAAGACAAGAATAATTGCAGCTCTCTTAACTTCTCTGCAACTTTGCCGGTCATATCACCTTTCTAGCTTTCATTTTCTCATCTGTAAAATCAGAGTTTTGGGGATAGTGAGAAGGAAGGAGATGAAATGTCTCCCAATTCTACTATGCCAAGATTTAAAAAGTTGGAGAAATACTTGGAATTGGACCTATTCCTTAATGGAATGTTTTCTTTTAAGGCAGAAAACTTGAGACAGCTAATGAAATTAGTACTCCTTCCTTTTTACCTAATCTTAACATTTGCTCTCATTTAAATCTATTTTTCCTCTATGTTTCTCACACTTTTCCCCCTCAAAAGAGTCCACCTCAACCACAAAAATATTTCTAGTGTTTTGGGTTTTTTGGGGTTTTTTTTTCCTGTTTACAAGAGGGTACAACGAAAACAAGTGGTAAAACATACACTTTTAGAGCTAGCAAAGACTCTAATGATGACCAAGGGTCTTGTAATAAAAGAAAGAAGTGAGGAGAAGAGAGGTGACAGAAAGAAAGGAAAGGTAAGTTTTTAATTAGATCTGGTAGAACTATGAAGAACAGAAACTCTTTCAACTAGGGTACTTTATTATAAACTCTTCCTGCAATTTCTATTCTTTTTCTTCTTTATTTATTTATTTATTTATTGGAGACAGGATCTTGCTCTGTTGCCCGGGCTGGAGTACAGTGGAGTGATCATAGCTCACTGCAGGCTTGAACTCTTGGGCTCAAGTGATCCATCCTCTTGCCTCAATCTTCTGAGTAGCTGGGACTATAGGTGCACACCACCATGCCCAGATAATTAAAAAATTTTTTTTTTGTAGAAATTGGGTCTTGCTCTGTTGTTCAGGCTGTTCCTGAACTTCTGGCCTCAAGTAATCCTCCTGCATTGGCCTCTGAAAGTGCTGGGATTACAGGCATGAGTCAACACACCCAGCTTTCCCTGAAATTTCTCTCTTTACTCTCCCTCACTTAAGGCCACATCAAAGCATTAACAGATAGATCTATCTGTCTATCTATCTATCTATCTATCTATCTATCTATCTATCTGTCTATCATCTATCCATCCTATCTATCTATCTATCTATCTATCTATCTATCTATCTATCTATCTATCCATCTATCTATCTATCTATTCATAGGTAGGGGAAAAAATCAAGGAAATCATCTATTGAGGAACCCAGAGAGATTTGGAAACTCGTTACAGAAACTGGCCTTTAATTGAGAAAATAATGGAAGATCTTGGAACAAAATTATTTAATTTGAGGCTCTTAGCACCAGACTTAGCTTCCCCATTCCTATGATTTTCTTCTGCAACTTTAGCCAAGGCACATAATCTAATTTCAGTTACTTCTGCATAACTGAGAGAATACAACCTGTTCCTTTCCTCACAGAGTCATACCAACCTAGATGAGGAAGATTCAAGGGAGAGTACTTCACAAACTTCAAAAGACTACGTCAACATAAAATCACTTCATTTATTTTTTTCTCCATAGAGTGAACTTGCTTACTCCACACTAAGCACAGTTTTATTTACAAGACTATTGTTTGATAGAATTTTCCACAAGTTCCAAATTAAATGAATGAAAACTATTTTATATATTTATATTTACTAGTGTCAGGCTCCTTCTACATAGGCATTGCTATTTCCGTTTTATAGTTGAAGAAACGGAGCCTAAGGAGATTAAGTTACCTGCCCAAGGTCATAGAATTTCTAAGTGACTGAGCTGAGATGTAATTCTGAGTATGCCTAATTCCAAAATCCATGATCCTTCCACTAGTATTGGATTCCAAGGACTATGGAGACAAGCCCCTAGGCTACAATGCATACATGAGTCAAATGTGCCCTTAGTGATTTGGGATGTTTTACACAGAAATTGTTTCTAATGTGAGAGAGACAGTGGGTCCTTCAACGCTAGCTGAGACAATACCAAAGAGGGGGAAATGAAAGTAACATTTATGAAAAATAATTTTTTAGCAAATTCATATCTATTGAACCAGGCATTTAGCATAAGTTATTTCAGGGTGTTTAAATATTTATATTTATTTTGTGCTTTACGGCTTTCAAACATGTTTCCACATATATAATGTCAGTCCTTATCATGTCCTGGTAAAGTAGATATTATTTCCACTCCATAGAGAGAAACCGGTGACACATCTAAAGCATGACAAACCAGCTAGTGACACGGCCAAGGCTTCTGACCCTAAGCTTTGGGCTCACTGTTCTATGAAGGTCAGTTCAGTGCTCAAGCAGGGCAGATGAGGGTAGAGCATGACACTGGAAACTTAGGAAGCCAGGGCTGAAGCTTAGATGACAGTGAAAAAGAAAAACAGAAAACTGGAGTACTTTGTCCACTTTAGTGTTTCGCCCTGGGCTAACTGGAAGGTGGCACTTGGAGAGATCATGCTTATTCGTGGCATAGGAACTGAAGTTTTGGGTATATCCATTTACAAATGCAAAGGAGAAAAGTAATTCCTGAGTGTAGAAGTGGGACCTATTTCCCTTGATAAGCATCCTTTGCTATCATTGGGAAAATGAACATCTTATGAGGAAAATCCTACCAAATTGTAATCATTGTTACCAATATTATTATTATTATTTTCAGTTCTACTAAAATCAAAAATTAGTTTTCATTCAGATTTATGAGTTTTTTTTTTTAATCTGTGGCAAGGAAATCAATTGTATGTTATGTCTACGCATCTACTGAAACGCCTACACTTGGACTGATTGGATCATAAAATAATCCTATGTGTTAGTGAAATTCAGGCTTAGCATGAAGAAAAATGTGTCAGTTTTTTTTCTGAGCTCATTTATGAGGCTTATGAGGGCTCTGTGGATCCTTGAGTCATATAAATAATTTGAGCAGCAAGCCAAGGCATCTCTTACTTGTATCGACTGAGCAGAGAATGGGGCCAGAAGGGAGACTTCACTGCACCTGCATATGAAGCTCGTCTCTCCTCAAGAATCAGGGTCATGCTAAAGTGGTCCCTTGGCTCCCTTGTAGGCTGAGCCACTTTTTAGTCTCTCCCGGGAAATAGAAAAGGAACGTCAGTAAGATGCAGGCTTATTCAGCTTTGGTTCCTGTAGAGGGAGATGCAGCACATCTTGGCTGATGGAAGTGTATGGAAAGAGCCACTGTAATCACTTTTCCAAGGAGGTAATGTCCTTCTTGATCCTCGGCTATGTCAATATGAAACTTCTGTTTTCCTCAGTTTCAGTGAGTAGGTTGGAGACTCGTTAACCTCCCTAGTGTTTGACATACGGGTTTCAGGACAAAAACCTGTAGGGCCTCTCATCCTTGGTGCAGTGAAACAGGGAGCAATTCCAGGGATATTGGCAGATAAACTGCCCCTGCAGCAAAAGGGGACAGATGAAAAGTACCATTTATTGAACAGGGTGGGCACTTCTGAAATGTAACAAGCCTTTCCGAAAGTCTACATTTCTTATAATGGCAACAGAAGCAGTTGGTTTAATGATGAACCCTAGCGAAGACAGGCACAGAGTAGATAGAGTAATCAAAGATAGAAAACACTTTTTTTTTTCTCAGAAAGGCTGACAACTGGAACTGTGGGGATGAAGAGTTACGTAGAAGCAATGATTTCTCTTTTCGGAAATACTCTGCTAATTATTTTTAAATGACCTTTAATGGAGAAGTATAACTTGTTTTCTTGGATTGGAAAAAATAATGGTGACACCCTCCTGAATAGCTGTTGCTAGTTCCTATAGTAGTTCTCTACCTTCATTCAAAATGGGCTTGACTATAGATCAGGTCACATGTACTCCAGGCTGTTCTCTGGAAAATATGCAGAGAATGCAACTCTATGACCTTTTTGAGCTTGTGCTAAAGGCATCATAGCTCACAGTCAGGAAGGTCTTTCTAACTGAACCCTTGTCCTCTGGCAGTGCTAACTTGTTTACATTATTTATGGTTCACAGCACACGTCCATCACTTACAAATGATGTAAGTTGGTTCCCAGACCAAAGGAAAAAAGATTTTTCTGAGTGCCTACAAAATAACAAGAAATGAATGAGAGCCAGTACATATCCTTCAGGAAGATATATTTTATGATTCATTTTGTAAGTAAAAGTGTGTAAATAAAAGCCAAAACATGGAAGAAATTATCACCTCAAGAAATAAACATTGGGCTCACTATAAGAATATGAACAGGGGAGGCTTCAAAGAGGAGGGACACAGCACAAAATTACCCTATTCCACTCAATTTTGTAATACTTAGTCCATTCTGTGGCATTCAAGTCAATTTAATTCACTTCAATTTTGTTTGATGCAACTCAATCCAACATTTTAAAATGACAAGATCTTCATGGGTTGTTGTAGAAAGGAGGTTCCCTCTGAATATCATGTGTCCTGGATGAGCAATTAATTATTTGGGTTAAAAGAAAGAGGACTGGAGAGAAGAACAGATCAAACAATCCCACCCTAACAGATGTCACTGGAGAACCTCTTTTAGCAGAGCAGAGTCAGGGAGGTTGAGAAGAGTACTTGGTTTGGGGTAGGAAATAGAGGGCACAAACTCAAGGAGAGCAACCCTGTGGGAACTGAGGAACATGTAGAGAGAAACCTTCATAATTCCTAGATAGAAATAGTCCCCAGATGTCAAGAGGTCTGGGTGATATAGAGAAAGGAGTGAAATGAACAAAACATTTTGAAATGTGGTAGAATTTAAAAAATATATTAGCTGCACACAAGGATGGTCAATGAAGTATTTATTGGCATTGCTTTGCCGTAATTAAAACTCAGAGAGAGGCTATACAGCAACACGATTTTCCAAAGTTTTGAAGAATGGAAGTGGCCATAGTGGGTAATGGTGGCAGGCTTCACGCAACTGAAATTTGATAGATCCCTGGATATCTCCCTGATTTCTGAGCAGAAGAATTTCCATTTTGATTTCAAATAATAGTGGTTGCTTTCTTTATTCGTGACAGACTGAAACCAATAGGCAGATAGACCCAAATTTTAAAAACTAGCATTGCATACTGCACAACTTACTTTGCTAATAATTGCACTTTTGTATCCGTAAGTGATGGAACAAAATTTAATAAATCAAACAACAATGGATAGCTATTTTCAGAACTGCATGAAATATATGAATGGCTAAACAATACAACAATCACTACTATAACAGCTGAGCAAGAATAGAGTCATTGTTTTATTATATCCGTTACCAAGGTATTTGGGGCACATTCGTTTGGAGGTGAGAGCTTATTACCTTATTATAAAAAGAGGCATTGGAGGTTATATCACCTGCTTGTCCTTTCTAACCATGGAAAATTACCTTGTTTAACTGCAATTCTTTTAAGATTTTTTTTAAAAGTGTATTTAAATGCAGATTTTCTTACCCAAGATGCAAACGTTTTTATATAATGTTATCCTGTTAGGTCACTAGACTGACTGAAAATTAATATCTATTTCATTGGGTAATATTTGCACTTATTGGGAAAAATGTGATATCAAATGCCAGGAGTAAAATGACAATGTCATATATCTTACTTTATTGAAAATTGGTTTGATTTACAGTTAAGAAAACTGCAATAATCCAGAAAGATGCCTGAAATCTTGTTGCTACAAAGGGACCCACCCACCCAAAGAAAGAAAAAGTAGTGATGAGATACTCATGTTAAAAGGATAAACTGCTGAGTTGCACTCCCCCTCAAACTTCTCATTTGAAGATGATAAGCTCAGTGTCTGCAGGAAGACCTGGGGAGATCTCCAAGCACAAGCCAGCTTGCAAAGCAAAATAGGCTGGATAAACTGAAGTGCGATTTAGACAGGGCTGGATAAGCATGGCTGAACAATACTTCCCCGTGCAGTCTGAGATTTAAAGAGAGGTGATTCTAAAAGGTCAAGATTACCCCTGCTGGAATAGGATGTAAGACTCCATTTGGACTTAGCTGTCCACCTAGTTTGGTTTTGGGTGATGTTAAGCTGAGATTTGCTGCCCAAAAACATTAATCACAACCGGCTATTCTTTCTTAGGATTGAAGAGGGTTTTCTGGAGTCCTTCATTAAGATATAAATAAACCCAGGAGACATTATCCCATACTCTTTTATATGGAGTGATATTCTAGCATTTAACCCTTTAGTAGTAAGGAGTAGCAGCGATAAAACACAAAATAACCACTTTAGAACTGGCAGAAAGTTTCCTTACAGAAACTCTCCTATTCCATGACTCGGTTGAGACTTTCTGCCCTTTTAGTTGTAGGACAAGGCCGGGAACATACAGCGCTTTGACTCTGCAATCTAATTTTTCATGACTCAGCTTTGAAGCCAGCCCTGCTGAAGGGGGCCTGGCTGAGTCATGCTGTTTGTCCCTGGGCTTGCCCTATTTGCCTTGGCACTGTGAGACGATTGATTTGCAAACTTTGGGGCAGATAAGGTCACATTATCTTTAGATCTACAACACAGCATTTCAAGTGACAACAAAACTGTTCAAACAATTGGACTGGGAGGAAGAGAACTGACTCTGACACTAATTAGCTGTGTGATCTTCCACAACCTAGGAAACCTCTCCAACCTCACTTTCCTACCCAGATAAGGAGATTAAACCTGATTTTTCTATGATCATTGATTTGGATATTAGAGGACACCTGTATCTAGAAAGTAAAATCAGAAACAAATGAGAGTTTGATATAATTGCTTGCTCATAAATCTTCCCACGCTGAGTAGCATTTTAAACGTTATATTTTAGTTGCTTAGTGAGAGTGAGACATTTTAAATCTACTTTTAGCATAAACAATGGAGGCAACTTCTGTGGTAAATGCTAAATTTCAAAATTGCATCCCTGGTTGTATTTTTGAAGCTTTAAAAACCCCCCACTATTTAAACAAGTCTGCCTGACTAATAGCTGTAAACTGTAATTGGTTATGATATATTTAGGGAAATTTTTATTTATCAGAATCTACAGATACTTCAGGTAGGTGAGCAGATGGTTAGTAGCAAGAGAAGATACAGATTTCCAATAGTAAGGAGACTGAGATTTTCATCATGCTTTCCATAAAGAGGAAAATTTAGACATACTTTCAGAGCATGTACAAGTAGTAAAAATTGTTCTTCCTGATACACAGCAGGATATCACAGTCATCTTTTACTATATAATTACATTTTCTCCAGGGTTATTTTGTCAATATAACAAAGCTTAAACAAGTTGAAATTCACTAAACTATCACATTGTTATCCTTGTTTCAGTTATTAAGTATAATGGTAAAGAAAGTTTCTTAAATACGACTAATACATCTATTTTTAAACAAGCAAGGAAAAAAACTCCAAATTCTTCCAGTGCTGACCTATAATAATTTTACTGTAAAAGTATGTAAAATATGTGAAAAGACAAAATTCAGAATTAATTTCAAATGTTCACAGTTCCTAACAGATTTATAATCCTAATGCATTTACAAATTTAATACAACAAAAACCACACAATGGAAATGAGTAACAGTATTTAATATTATGATTGGTGTTACCTGGCTGGAAAAAACACCAGCAGTAAGAATAGGGCACTAATGTCTTCATAAAGCTGTCCTTAAAAGAGCAAACAGGGCACTGGCCACTGATGCAGATTATTTTGTAGTAATCACACCTATATGGGTCTATACATATCTTCTAAAAACATTGGGGCAAGATCTATTTCAGATTTGAAAGGCTTTCAGATTTTAGAAAGGGCAGTACCCAATAATCAAGCACATTGATATCTATGCATCAAAATATATGAATGTATACATGTTCATAGTAAAATATATAGATAAAAGCTGTAAATAATTTTATGTCCATACAGGTCACACCTTGCATTTATAGTTACTTACTGCATGTGGAATTGCTCTTACTTAAATACATGCTTACTGCATTTTAAAACTACTTATTGCATTTAGAACTGTGGATACAGGTGTATAGGCCTCTAATACCATATGCTGTTTGATGATGTAATTTACATTTTGTTTTACATCCTTTCACACACCCAAACTTGTGAAATTCTCATGGGAGGGAAACATCATCTATATCTTATGTCCATTTCCATTTTATTTTTATTCGCAGTTTCAATATGGTTAAATAATTATTATAGAGCATTATCTAATCCCCAAGAATATGTCCTTGAACTTTCAAGAACCTCAGATATTAGTCTGAGAAATGTACCAATATCTCAAATTGGGATAATATCTCAAACTTGGGAGCCAAGAAGGTGGACCCCAGGTACAACCTAAAGTGGTTTAGCTCTTGAAATATCAAAAGAATCTTGTTACAAAACAGGGAACATTGACGGTGAGGTATAAATCCTAAAGCTATGGAAGGTTGGGGTGGAAGTATTTGAGAAGCTATGCCAGGGAGAACTCACCCTTTAGTCTTTACATACATCACATCACTGGGAACCTATTACAACTGGGGAATCTAGATCTCAAGTTTACACAGCATTAGAGCTCAGAGGCACTGCTGTTGCAAGATTATGCTTTTCCCCACTAATTATGCTTCTAACTTAAACTTACTCCATGTAGAAAGAAAGAAGTCATGGGATGAGCATGAGGCCTAAGTTTTGTCCTAATTCATTCTCCTTTTAATTTTTTTTTTTTTTTTAGCTCTGGGCAAGTCACTTTCCCTGATTCAATCCCCAGCTTTTTTTTTTTTTTTTTAGTCTGTAAAGCAAGAGCTCTACCTGTCTCACCAAGTTTTGTAGGACTTACTGAGAATATGGGTGTTTATGAAAATGCTTTGTAAAAAGATGTGCTGTCAGAGTGTAACTGAATACTAATCAACACTTCACTTCTGGGCAAGAGTAGAGAATAGGCTCCTGCAGCCGGCCTGGGTTCCGAGTTCCCAGATGATGTGGATGGAACTGCTGGGTGTGGGCTCTCTCCTTGATGTTTCCCCTCTCACCTTGTTCTCCTCAACCAGGGGATTTAAAAGTGGTTAATTTGGAAACGTAAATAGGACTACTCTGAAACCCATACGTTTCTTGATTTCTGTTTTCCTATCATCTTTGCATTTTTTGTGTGCTTAGATCTTTCTGCTGCAGTTGTAAACTTTTTCTGCCAGGATCTTTTTATTCATCTTTGTGTCTCTTCCAGTCTCACTTCTTCTGCCCCACAACTAGCAAATTTATTTGCAGAAAGCAACAGTTGAATACTTGTGTCTGTTCAATAAAATGTAATAAAATGGAACATGTGCAAGTTTTAAAAATGTAGTATATCTAAAGACCTAATCTTTCCAAACTGGGATACATCTAATCATGTATAGATTTTTATTCTAATAATACAGAGATTTTGAAAGGAAATAAAATTTAAATTAATCTTCTGATAATGATTGATAAAGCATTTCTAAAATATCTTATATAACCAAATGATAGTTTCTATCTAGTATAAATAGACACAACAGTATAAAGCATTAATTTTTAAAAAGACAGACTTGAATAAAAAATGAAATAATTCCCAGTTTTATATGTCATATTTCATTGACCCAAGCTGAGAGTAAGAATTTTCAGGAGCACTATTAGATTAATATTAAGGCAAATAAGAATAGTGTTGGAGTTGATCATGTTGACAAGTCTTATCTATATTTATTTAAAATGAATAAATCATATATATTATACAGAAATGCAATAAATGTGTGAACTCATAAAGCCACAGAATGATTTGTCCAGAATCTCACAATACCTTAAAGCGTTTATCAAACCCTGAAATGTATTTTCACATAATAAAATTTTCCTTTTAAAAAAATTAAATTTTCTGATTTTCTTCCCATATAGTTATGATTAGATTACTATCAGTTCATCAAAGTAATATCCTTTTAGTTTGCTGATTGTGACAGATTATTAAATGTGGCCATAAATTCTTCCATCTTTATATGCACATTATAGGCCCATTTTCAATGTGACATCACTGCTTTACCCTCAAGGGCTGGAGTCTCTAATCCCACTCTCCTTGAATCTGGGCTGATCTTGCATCTTGCTTTGACTAATAGAATGTGCAGGAAGTGACACTGTGCAACTTTTGAGATGAGACCTCAAAAGGCCTTCCTTATAGCTTCTATTTTGCCCTTTGGAACGTTGAGAGCACCAGACTCTGAAAAACCTTAGGACAATGAACCACGTGGGGAGAAAGGCCCAGGCTCCCTGGCCATCCCAGCCATCCCAGGTGAGCCCTCAAATCTATTAGTGGAGCCATCTTAGACAGCCCATCTCCCCTCAAAATCTGATGACTGCAACCCTGGGAGTGATGCCAGGTGAGTCCAGCCAGGGTTACCCAGCTGATCAGAGCCCAAATTGCAGAATCATGAGCAAATAAATGGTTTTTGTTTTAAGCCACTAAATTTGAGAAAGTTTGAAATGCCTGATTAACTGATGCAGTAAATAACTGATATAATGATAACGGTTTCTTTCCTTTTTTTTTTTTTTGCTTTTTTCTCCTAGAAATACAATGTTGAATTTAGAATCAACACAAATTAAAAGTTGTAAGTTTATTATAAAATTAGAAATAGTGCAAAATATATGAATTTCTTAGTATAAATAATTTTCACCATGCCATAAAACCCATTAAAATTTAAAAATGAAAATAAGAAATATTTATGTCAACTTTACATGTAAAGTTAGCCATACTATACCTTTTTTGCATGCTTCTATCATCGTCATGACCAAAATTTAGTCAAGACTCCATGTCCAATTTAAGCCCTGATTTATACACTGCACACATATATTTTTTCCTACAGAAGAAATAGCTGCTTGTTTTTCCATCACTAATTCTACTGATTAAATGTTACTTGTAAGCAAAACTTAGTTAGTATTAAATGAATTCATATACATGAATTCTGTCATGGTATAGCTTAATGTTTTTGCCTGTAATTTATGAATTTAATTTTCTGCTTGTTTATTATGCCATTTACTTCATATTTATGAATGACCTGCCAGTCCCATTAGGAAAACTTGTGTAGATTTCATCAAACACATTGACTACATCTTTTATTTGGGTAGGTATTATAAGGTTCAGATATTATTTTTCTGGGAAATTGTCATGGGAATATTGGACGCAAACAAAACTTTTAGAATACAGTGCAATGAGGTTTCCTTTAGAGCATAGATTTTCTTCCTCCAGTCTCTATGACATCAACTCACAATAACTTCCTAGAGCTCTCACAGCTTGCTGTGGAAGAACTAATACAGAGTTCATGTTGCAGAAATTGCTGAGATTGTTGTTAGTATCAATTTTATTGTGAAGCCTCTGTCCTTATAGCATTTAGAATTTTTTTAAAAAAATATAAGATAGCAGAAGCAGCAGAAAAAACACGTTTATATTTAGTTACACACACACACGCAAGCACATTGTGTCATCCCAACCCTCTCTGTGTTTTATGAGTCTATTTTGGTTTATATAGTTTCCTTTTCCCATTTTTTTCGAGAAAAGACACTAGTGTGTGCAATGGTAAAAAGCAACAAAAAAAAGCATCTCCCTTTTTGCCTTGTAGTAAATGGTTCTATCTATGGAATAGTCAAACATTTACTTCTTACCACAATGTGTGTCAACTTTCATTTGCTTTGCCTTTGTATCCACAAGAAGCCAAATTCATTTAGCTCTCTGTTTTCTCACACCCTAAGAACACATAATGAGTCAGTATATATAAGAATACAAGCTAACAGCCGACATACCTACAAGTTCTACTGCTTATACCAAACAACGCATTTCCCAGGAAACAGCCTTATATCTCTAATTGCTGCCAAGAAATGAAAGCCAGCCATGCTATTGAATAGGAATACTAGTGGCATTGGCAATCCCATGCCTCCTTCCTCCCATCGCTCCTGCACTGAACTAGCTGTTGAAAGACCATGGAATGTAGACAACTAAAGCACTGCCACAACCTACCATGAGAAAAGAGGCAAGGACAATGATGACGCCACTACTGACCTTCACACCTCTGAGTGTTACCCACAAAATGATATTAGAAGAAAAGTTAGGGAAAAGATTAAGAAACAGCACAAATCTTTCTTTGGTTATTTTTCTGAAAAAAAAATTCAATTTTTATGTTATCTTCATGTAATAAGTTCTGTTTGATACAGATTCTAGTAGCTTCACTATTAAACATAATGTAAAGCAGATGTAAATGTTTATTAATTTTTTACTATTAACTGATTAATATATTACTATGTTACTATTACTATGGTCTTTTCCTTATACCCCCTCAAAAACAAAACTTGGGTGTTTGTCAAGTGGAGATGTGTGTAATCAATTTATGAACCTCTTGTTGAAATCAAATTTGTCCCTCTTAATTCAGTCTTTACTTGTTATATTCTAGATTCATTTTAAAGTATTTTGTATAGTTTAAAATTTTATTTTTAATGACACATAATTGTACATATTTATGGGGTACATAGTGATGTTTTGATAAATATAATGTATACTAATCAGATCAGAGTAATTATCTGTCATCTCAACATCTACCACTTCTTCATGTTGGGAACGTGTGATATCCTCCTTCTAGCTATTTGAAACTATATAATACATCATTGTTAACTACACTCATCCTGCAGTGGTATAGAACATTAGAAGGTGTTCCTCCTATCTAGCTGTAATTTTGTGTCCTTTAACAAAATCCAATAATGGTATTGTCATTAACCCACCTACCCTCTTTCCTCTCCCTCCAATGGTGGGTGCGATCCTAGGACTGGGTTACTATCCTCAAGGAGCACAGCCTGGCTAACCAGGAGCCCTGACACCCTGCCTAATCCCAACCACATTTTCATGAGTAGATAATCTGGGTAGTTAAGGTGGCTCCCAAAATGTGGTCTAAATTCTTCATTTTTGACTCTGTGCTAAATATTTCATGCCCACCTTTACCTCACAAGGCTGATGTAGAAGAAATGCAACTAGAATTCCAAATGCAGAGTGGCAATGTGGCCATGGCACTCTGGGGCTTTGTAGACCGAACGACTCCCAGTGCAGGCCATAAACCGTGTGAATCGGGAGAGCGCTGAGAAAGGTCTAGAAAGCTGTCCTCACTATTTACTGAACAAAACCCCACTTCTGTAGAAGGCAGTCTCTTCAATGTTTAACAAGAGGCAGAGAAATGAACATTCTTCTTTGTAGCTTAGATGCATTGCCATGATCCTAGGAATGAGAGGTGTGTTTGTGTTTGTGTGTGTGTGTGTCTCATTATCAGGATTAGTGAATTATAGTCATAAAAGTAGAACAAATAAAAGAGTTCCCAAACCAGATGTTTTAAAGAAACAGAAATTGAATAATTTTTTAACACTGAGGTTTTCAAGTGCATTTTGTAGAGCACAAACTCTCACATGGATAAATATCTCAAGCATAATCATAGGATGCACAGAAGGGGTTGAAAGGGTAGCTCCTCCACTCCCCCAGCAGAGCAGCTTCATCATGCATTTCATGTACCAGGGATTGGAATCCCACATAGGATTCTATCTGAGGAAGGAGTCTACTGGTAAAATGAGTTTCAAAATAAAACCATGAATTTAACATAAGAAGACACCAAATTTTCAGATTTTATACTTGGGTGGCTTCTAATACAAAAAGTGACAAGTAATGATGATTTTGAAAGTACTATGTCTGCTACTAACTGTATTATTTAGGTGTGGAATATCCATGGGTACGTATGTTCCCTTAAACAGTTATGTTCTTGTTAAAGTCAGTATATTAAGGTAAGAACCGACATATTGAGGAATGAACTTATGAAAATAAAATCCACAAAAAAGAAAACCATGCATGGTATATGGAAAATTAGATTATTTTAATTCAATTCAGAAAGTGTTTGTTAAGGGACAAAATGCTAGTTGAGCTCTAAGTGAGTAACTCTGGGTGCAAGTCGGGGGCAGAAGAGGGAAAGGATATATACAATTTTAGAATACAGAAGCTGGAAAATAATTGGTTTTTAGAGCCTTTTATGTAGAAATACACCTGAAAATAGTTTTGTCCCACCTAAATCAGAGTTTTAGAAAGTTCCCAACCACAGCAGGGCAGGAAAGAAGACACCTTGAACTAGGCATTTATCCGAGTGCATCTGAGTGGGAGGAGAGCCGCACCTCCTGAAGCTTGAGCAAGTGAAATCACTGCAAACAGGAAAGAGCTAGAGCAAGTATTTTAAAAACTGCAATTGGAGACAAAAACAGAAAGGGTCATTGAGATTCACATTTTAGCTCTAACAAAGGAATGAGATTAAAGTGATGGGCATCTTGATGGATCATACCTAACTTGACCTGGACTGGAAGGTGACACAGAGCATATCACAGGGGACCTAGACCCAGAATAATAGCAAAGGGAAATAAATGAAAAGCCATATTCTCTAGTCTTCCTCATGCTCAAGACAAATACTTTAGAGTTATTGTTTATTATTTTCCCAAATTATCAGCACAAAGTCCCTGGTCCAATCTATCAGCAGGAAGTCTTCTAAATTAGAGCTCTGAAATATGTAACAAGCCCAGCCACTGATCTCCATTTCTCCTCCATTACCCTAGTGAGTACCATCTGTAGCCTGGGTGACTGTAATAGTCTCCACTTCTCCTCTTCCTTTCTTTTAACCTATTTCCACGCACATCTGTTAGAGTAATTTTTAAATATGTAAATTAGAGCATGTCATTAATGTCCTCCAAGGGCTTCCCAATATACTAAGAATAAAATTCAAACTCTTGTCCATATAAGCACCATGGCCTGGCCCTTGCCTACCATTTGACATCATCTCCTACCACTCAGTGTTTCAGCTATAATAAATTTTCTGTTCCTGGGATATACTCACCCCCAATGCCCTTGGGGATTTGCTGGTTCTTCCTTTCTGACTGCATTTCCCGAGCTCTTCGTTGGCTGTCTCCCTCTCCACCTGTAAGGCTCAGCTAAACCCTCTTCCCAGAGAAATCTTCCTTGAGCAACCACTTCACCTTTCTCAACAAGATTATCTTACTTATACATCACCCAATTTATTATCTATACCACATTTCTTTTATTTTTATGCATTTCTTTTATTTTTCTTTATTTTTTGTGTCTTATCACAATAGAATGTGATTTCAACAGTGCACAGACTCTCCTTCACATTTTTCTCCTCAGCGCTTATAACTGTGCCCAGCATATTACAAGCATATAAAAGAGCTCAATGATTATTTATTTTTATAAAAAAAAACAAGCTAGAGTCACTTCTAACTATTCCTATTCCAGAATTCCAGCTTTTATCCCCTAGAATTAAACAGCGACATATTTTGTGGAGGACACAAACACACACTCACAAAAAAACAGACCCCATGCAAGGGATAAGATAAATAGCAAGTACCTTCATAGTGGTGCAATTAATTTGCATGCAGTGGCTCGTAAGTAGCTAAATGAGTAACTTTAACTCTCAGTGAGTCATGGGGTGACATAGGTCCTAAGTTTCATCATGTTACTATGTCAAAAATGGGTAGCTGTACATATTTGACTGCCACAAAAAGTCTATAGAATATTTGTTATTAAAATTAAAATAATAATTGAAATATGTTCTTATTTTAGAAGTAGCAAATAATTTTTTTCTGTGTTTTTAAAATTTAATCCTCATTATTGACGTATTTTTCTACTCAAGAGTCAATACACCGGTTCTTCCTGTTAGCACTTCCTTTTCTTCCTCTCGGAGATTACATTCCTAGCTCTGGTGCTTTCAGGCAGCTTGTTATATATGTCCAGTTAGTAACTTTCTGAGAAAAATTTTTAGACTTTAAATGTTGAAGTAATCACGAAAGTCTCATGCAGAATGGATGGAAATTCAATCCTCTTTTATTTTCCCTTCTACTAAATTGACCGGAAAAGCGAGAAGGGGAGGCAGTCTTATCTTTTTCAATTTAACAAAAATATAGGCAAAGAAAGTTAAGAATAGTGTACTAGGTTGGTGGGGTGATTCAAGTCTCCCACAGCTTAAAGGTTACTTAATTCAGAGTTGTGCTGAGTTTCCTGATCTATTCCTAGTCTCCTGATAGATAAAGGTTTCACCCACAATCTGCAACCAGCATCAGAGTTATATTAAGGCAAGGAGGCTGATATGGTTGTAAGTATTTAATATATCGCCAAGGAAAGGGGTGGAGGCCACCAGAGTCAGAGAGATATCCTTAAGTACTGAAGGGTCCAGCCTAGTAAATATAGTTCCCAGACGTGTATGGGGGAGGATGGAAAAGCAAGGGGCACACTTATTTTATGAGGGCTTCCACATGACTCTTTTAACCACAAAACCTGAAGCACTTTGAGAAAATGGACTCTTGGCTATAGGCTATGGGCAGGCATAGAAATTTAGCAGCATGAACAGGTGTCAGGACTTAGGTGATCTGGCTCAAAGAAGCCAAAATGCAAGCTGAAAAAATTGGCTGCAGCTAATGCTTACTATCTCTCCCTCCAGGGACCCTCAGAGCCTTTGTTTACTTACCAGAGAATTTAGCACTACTTTATTCATATATCTGGGTTAGCATAATGATGTTAAAATAAATATATAGTTTTTATTTATGACTCCTATTTATTAACTATACTGGCGAAGATTGGCCTTATCAACTTAGTTTCTGTTGAGCTGGCCACGTTTACAAATAGAAATGTGTATTTGTTCTTGTTATCAAAATATTGATGTAGTTTTGACATCCACTAATCTACATCAGAAGTGTATCACAGCACTTTGTAAATGAATGAGTATCTGCAGCCTATTTCTATTTTCTAGGTTCAGATAGATACATTCTATTTTTATTTAAATCATTTAGTTTACTCATAATCAATCATCTAAGTTATATTTTAAAGGAACTATATCATTTATATCTCTGCCAAGGGCCAAAAAATAAAAATGTTTTAGGACTTATGAGCCACACAAGGTCTCTATCACTTCATAATCATATTTTTGGCAACTCTTTCAAAATATTAATAACATTCTTAGTTCGAGGGTATATAAAAAACAAGGGGCAGGCCTGTGGGCTGAATATGGCCCATGGGCCTTAATTTTCTGATCTCTGGCATAAGTAGTGGAAGTTATGTTTAAGAATTTGCTTTGCTTCAATCAAATAGTTCCACTTTTCCTCCTCTGTATAGTGGGGATAATAATATAGGCAGACAGAAGTGACAGGTGTTCTGTATTATTGAAAAGTGATGGCTCTCTTGAAGAGTAGGGATATTAAACACTTCCAAATGCTCACAATAAGCAGAGTCAATCTTAGTCTAGTCCTTGTCAAATCTTAGCAAAAATGTGACCCAATTTAACATTTGTAGGTAGCAACATTTTTCTTTCCTTCCAGAAAAGACACTGTATGTCATTCTGAAATGCCACCTTCAATATTGTTCTTTGGTTATTGAAGCTGGAATAGTGTAGGCAGCAATAAGAATCGCCACTTCTCATATGTGATAATATGTTTTATTCATGTTTTTTTTCCTGCTTTCAGGTCAAATCTTCAGTCTTGATAATTAATCACAAAAATAATACAGCCATGAACCTATTTGACATTTTGTATTTTGCAAAACTCATTTCTAAATGAAAATGAAGATGATTTCCTTACCATTTTGGTTTCTACAGCTTGAGTATCCCTAATCCATACTGCTGAAAAAATTTTGAAACTTTTTGAGGACTGACATGGGACTCAAAGGAAATACTCATTGAAGCATTTTTGGACTCATATTTCTCACTTTCATTCAAATGTTGCATATTCTCATTCTAGTGTTATCTTTCCTGTCTTGCAGTTGACTGGCTAATCCTTTGTATAAAGGATGGCATTAGTAACATCACTTTGTGCAGGGAGTGCTATCTTCCATGACCTTTTGGGACCAGGTCTTCATTCATCTGGGAACACTTTTCTTTGGTTTCATAGCATAGTTTCAAATTAGACCTTCCAAATTAAACTTGAAATTTTGATGAAGGCCCCAAATTTCAGAATTTGGGGAAGGTGAGGGCATATCCTTTCAAGCGTCTTTAAAAGAACATTCTAGTTTACCTCACAGACATGCTAGTTTATAACCAGTAAGTATTCCTTCCTTTGGAACCACTGGCTTCATACAATTGCTTTAACTACTTTTAGTCTTTGTCAGTCTCTTTCTCTCTCTCTCATTTCCTACTCTCCCCATCCCCAACCCAAGGAAAGTTTCTTGTGGGAAGGGGCTTTGAGTTGAGGGCAAGGAAAAGAGATTATAGCTAACCTAAATTTACATTTAGAAAAGTTTAAAACAGAGACTACTTCCAAATTAATTTTACCAGGCCAGCATTACTGTAATAACACAGCTAGTTGAGAATACTAGAGGGAAAGAAAAATATAGGCCAATATCTCTGATGAATAAAGATATAACAGTCATAAAAAACACAGTTAGCCCTTCATATCTGTTGGTTCCACATCCATAGATTAAGTAAACTGTATATTATAAATAAATTGAGAAAAGAAGGATGGCTGTGCTGTGTCTATATTGAACATGTACAGACTTTTCTCGTCCTTATTCCCTGAACAATACAATATAACAACAATTTACATAGTATTTACATTGAAATTAATCTAGAGATGATTTAAAGTATACTGGAGGATATATATAGGTTATATGCAGATGTTACACCATTTTATATAAGAAACTTGAGTATCTGTGGACTTTGGTATCCATGAGGGATTCCAGAACCAATCCCCCACAGATACCAAGAGACAATTACACTAGCAAACCATATTCAACAATATAGTAAAAAGATCATTCACCATGATCAAGTGGGATTTATCCCAGGGATGCAAGGATGGTTGAACATATGTAAATCAATGAATGTGTGTATTAGCCCATTCTCACACCCAAGACTGGCTAATTTCTAAAGGAAAGAAGTTTTATTGACTCATATAATCAATTGACTGGGTAATTTCTAAACGAGAGAGGTTTATTTGATTCATAATGAAAGAAGTTACTTGGTGGGGAGGCCTCAGGAAACTTACAATCATGGCAGAAGGCAAAGGAGAAGCAAGCACCTTTTTCACAGGGTGCCAGAATGGAGTAAGTGCAAGCAGGGGGAAATTCCAGAAATGCTTGTAAAACCATCAGATCTTGTGAGACTCACTCACTATCACAAGAACAGCATGGGGTAAACTGCCCCCATAATACAAGTACCTCCACCTGATCCCACCATTGACAAGTGAGGATTATGGGGATTACAGTTCAATATGAGATTTCAGGTGGGAACACAGCCAAACCATATCAATATGATTCATCATATTAACAAAATGAAGGACAAAAACAATATGAACATCATAATAAATGCAGAAAAAGCATTGAACAAAATTCAACATCACTTCATGATAAAATCTCTCAACAAAATAGGTATAGGAGGAAAGTTTCTCAACACAATACAGGCCATATATGACAAGCCTACAGTTGACATCATACTCAGTGGTGAAAAGTTGAAAACTTTTCCCCTAAGATCAGGAACAAGGCAAGGATATTCACTCACCACTTCTATTCACATTGTGCTGGAAGTCCTAGCCTGAGCAATTAGTCAAGAAAAAGAAATACAAGGCATCCAAACAGAAAAGGAAAAAGTGATATTATCTCTGTTTGCCAATGTTATGATCTTGTATATAGAAAACCCTAAATACTCCACCAAGAAATGTTAGAACAGCGAAATAAATTGAGTAAAATCACGGGTTACAAAATCAATAAATCAATAGCATTTTTATACATTAACAGTGAACTTCTAAAAAGTAATTAAGAAAACAATCACATTTATAATAGCATAAAAAATAAAATACTAAGTGGTAAGGTTAACTAACCAGGTTAAATATCTGTATACTGAAAACTATAAAAATAAATTGATGAAAGAAATTGAAGATGACAAAATAAGAGGAAAGAAATTCTGTGTCCTTTGATTAGAAGAATTAATATTGTTAAAATGTCCATCTTATCCAAACGGATCTATAGATTCAATGCAACCCCTATCAAAACTCCAATGACAGACTTCATTCAAAACTTCACAGACAGAGAATTCTATGTGGAACTACAAAAGACCCAGATAGCCACAGCAAATCTAGAGCAAAAGGACAAACTGAAGGCATTGTACTACCTGATTTCAAAACATATTACCAAGTTATAGCAATTAAAGCAGCATGGTATTGGCAAAACAACAGACAAATCAACTAATGGAATAAGACAGAGAGCCCAGAAATAAACTTATGTAGCTATGGTCAATTGATTTTTTTGACAAAGGTGCCAAGAACACACAAGGCAGAAAGGACAGTCTCTTTAGTAAATGTTGTTGGAAAAACTGGCTCTCTACATGCACAATAATGAAATTGGACCACTATGTCACCTCTTACACAAGAATCACCCAAAATGAATTAAAGCCTTAAGTGTAAGGCCAGAAGCTATAAACTTCTAGAAGAAAACATAGGGGAAAATCTAAATGACTTTGATCTGATCAATAATCTCTTACATAAGACCCCAAAAACACAGACAACAAAAGCAAAAATAGACAAATGAGATTACATCCAGCTACAAAGCCTATGCACAGCAAAGGAAACAATCAATAGAGTGAAGAGATGATCTATGGAATGGGAGAAAATATTTGCAAACTGTCCATCTGGTAAGGGGTTAGTATCCAAAATATACAAGGAACTCAAACAACTCAACAGCAAGAAAACAAATAACCCAATTATAACCAGGCAGAGAACCTGAATAAACATTACTCAAAAGAACACATACAAGTGGCCAACAGGAATATCAAAACATGCTTAACACTACTATCAGGGAAATACAAAATAAAATCTCAAAGATATATCACTTCACACTTTTTGAAATGGTTATTTAAAAAGATGTAAAATAAGCGTTTGTGAGGATGTGGACAAAAGTCCGAGCCTTGTACACTGTTGGTCAGAATGTAAATTAGTACATCCATTTTAGAAAACAGTGTGGAAATTCATAAGGAAATAATAGAATTACCACGTCATCCAGCAGTCCCACTTTTGGGTGATACATCCAAATGAATTGAAATCGATATACCGTAGAGATATCTCTCCTCCCATGTTCATGGCAGCATTATTTACAACAGCTAAGATAAGGAAACAACCTAAATGCTCGATGATCAATTGATTAAAAACGTGGTATATACACACAATGAAATACTGTTCAGCCCTAAACAGAAACAAAATTCTGTCATTTGTGACAACATGGATGAACTTAAAGAACATTATGCTAAAGGAAATAAGCCAGGCAAGAAAGACAAATATCACATGGTCTCACTTATATGTGGAATCTAAAAATTCAAACTTATAGAAGTAGAGAGTAGAATGGTGCTTATCAGAGGCTGGGGAGGTATGAAGGTGTAAATGGCAGCGTTGGTGGAGAATGTTGGCCAAAGGGTGCAAAGTTTCAGTTAGGAGGAATAAATTCTGGTGATCTATTGCACAGCAAGGTGACTATAATTAATAACAATGTACTGTGTATTTCAAAGTTGCTAAAAGAATGGATTTTAAATGTTCTCACTGCAAAGAAATGAAAAGTATGTAAGGTGATGAATAAGTTCATTGACCTGATTTTCTCATTCCACAATGTATACATGCACTGGAACATTTCATTGTATCCCATAAGTATATGCAATTATTGTCAACTAAAAATAAGAATGAAATTTAAAACAACATTTTGAAAACTTAATTTTTTTCTACAAATTGAAACATGGAGTATTTTTGAATATGTACTGAATCAAGTATGTAAATTATGAAATCTAAATTTGAGTTCTGTTTGTACACTATTTCCCAGAGAATCTTTCTACCCCTAAATCCCAGTATTCCTGGCCAATCTCTTGTCATTTTGCTTCCCCTTTACCTGCATTTATACTCTTGTTTATTTCCGTTTTTTCCCCACCTTAGAGATAGCTGATAACAGAGATAGAAAAATTTCTCTCATTTTAAAGGAGAAGCTGCCGAAGCCAACACTTTACACACAAGTTAAGGTGTTCAAACTCTAGGTGGGTTCTGAAGAGACTTTGAATAATTGATTTTCAATGCCTATGAAGTTAATGTGGATGTTACCATCTAGTTTTTCTTTTGTAAGTAAGCTAGACTATAGTAACGGAGTGAAATCTTGCAAAAAAGAGACCTTTTCAGGAAAGTAAGAACACAAGTGAGAAAAACCCCTTCAATTATACAGAGACTAATTTGATGGAAAAGTGATACAAATGATAAATATCTACATTCACAAAAAGTCACTAAAAATTATTTTAGTGTTATATGTGGCCAAAAAAAATCCCTTCTAGGTATTTAAGAAAAGCAGTATTTTAAAATCATAGCAGCATCTATAAACTAGCATGTGGGATATGTATTTTATGTGCACTTAAACTAATTTAAAAGACCCAATACTGAGTAATTTGGTCAATTAAAAATGTTACTGCACACTGCTGAGTACTGTGTAACCATCACTCCTGTATTTATAACTATAAAAGCCATTGTTACATTGAATATGCCAAATGAAATTGTTTACTGAGATTAGGTCAAAAGTTCTTTCTAGCATTAAAGTTTCATATATAGTATAAAAGGTTTCACCCAAGTTTTTATTGCTTTACAGAAGGAAGATTTTATGGAATATAAGCATTATAAAGGAATGTCACACATTCTTTGTGGTGTTCTATATGAACTAATAATATTAAAGATTCTAGATTTTATGAGTTTTGAGGGAGAGTTTGAGAAAATATTATAATTTCATAATAGTTGAAACAGTAAATTTGTAATTGATTGCTTTGAAAGCTTATGTGAAGGCTGGGCGCAGTGGCTCATGCCTGTAATCTTAGCACTTTGGGAGGCCAAGGCGGGTGGATCACTTGAGGTCAGGAGTTCAAGACCAGCCTGGCCAACATGGTGAAACCCTGTCTCTACTAAAAATACAAAAATTAGCTGGAAATCACTTGAACCCAGGAAGTGGAGGTTGCAGTGAGCCAAGATCATGTCACTGCACTCTAGCCTGGGCAACAGAGCGAGACTCTGTCTCAAAAAATAAATAAATAAATAATAAAAAGAAAAAAAGAAAAAGAAAAAGAAAGCTCATGTAATCAAACAATTCTCAGAAATTAGCCTTTCTTCAGAGTGGGAATTTAAACTCCACATAAGTATTTCCCCCTACAAGATGACATTATTCTGGGTCTTCTGCACTGTTGGATCCAGGCAAAGCTGTAAGTTAACAGTGTAACCTTTCCTCTATGAAATAATGTTGTGAAATCAAATTAGAATTTATAGCATTCAAGAGCATTTGTTTTTATTTGTGACCTAAATTCTCTATGATACTATTTAATATATATTATTTTCATTCCTTTTGACAGTGAAAAGCTTTGTATTCCAAAATTTCCAAATTGTTTTATTAATGCTTCCTAACTTTTTATATTTCCTACTCTTGTAATTATTTATTATTTCTATCTACATGTGGTCTCTTTTTTTTTTACGGTTTTCATTATTTCTAATTTATGTATCTCATAACTTACTTTGGAAATATTACTTAATGATTAATCTACTTTTTCATTGGTTTATTAACAAAATTATATACTATGTTTCACAAAAATTACATTGTACATTTTATAAAGTCCAAATTACTCTACTTTTCTTAATTGTACAATACACAATTATGCTAACTTTCTAATCAGTGAAGCCATGTCAACCAAAGTACAGATTACAATTCACTAGGTAACAACCAGCACTGGGCTCAATTCATCCATTTCAAACTTGAATTTGTGCAGTTGGAGGTCTATTTAGTATTTTGCTGCATAGTTGATTGTAGGGAACTCAATTTCATTTGTTTGTAATCATTTTTCAAGCAGTTAAGGTCATTTTTAATTCTAGTCCTGTCTTTCAAGGTGCTCACCCATCCTGATGATGTGATGTACTTGGCAAACTTAATGACCACTCTCTCTAGCTTGTAATCAATCACATACAGAGATGTTAAATGCACCCAGGACTAATCTCTGCAGAACACCACCTGTTATGAGCTTAGGGGCAAAAGGTGTACACTATGTTATTTTTACCTTCTGGTGATTGCCTTATTCTCTACACTGGGGCTTAGAGGAAAATAAATAGGGAGCTCATTCAATTAAATGAGACCAAGCAGCTCCAGGAAGGTGATCACCAATAGGTCCAGCATCTTCCTTTAGGGTACTTCACAAATTACGGCACCCCACTTTGACATTCATTCACTCATGAAAAAACCAGATAATTTGGGGGTGGACAATTTTGTCTCTGCCAGTTTTACAGGTGTTATGATTTTCTAAACAGCAGCAAGTCTCCCAGTATTTAGGAACATTTTATCTTGTTGGTATGAAAAGAATTGGTTTCAGTGACAAGCCCCTAAATGCTCTAATATTTTGTGCACAGTAGAAATGCTAAAGAAGCGAGCCTTTCAAAGTCAGCTCTGTATTAAACAGATCTACATACATGTTTCAGTTCAGAAACTTGGAATATGGGGCAAATAAGATGGAAGTTTTACTTGTTGCATGAATTAACACTTCCAATACAGACAAACTCCATTTCAGGGTTACAGGCTGTGTCTCTAACCCAGTTGCAAGTAGTTCTGGGTCCCTGTTTTGTTAACTGTAAAATGGAAATTTGCCTAGATCAGGTATGGCAGGTAGTTTTTACCTGGAGTACCAGTTGATTGGAAGTGGATGCCTTAAATGCTCTACTAGAAATTTTGAGATGCATTCTATGCTTCATGGGAAAGGACATTCCATGGAGTAGTGATGTCTCCCATGGGGAGAAAAGAACAGGGTAAAATATGTTATTTATTATCCTTGTACTATATTATTTTTAAAGTTCTTTTTTGCTCTAAGATTCAATAAGAACTTAGCCAAAAGGAAAGGGGAAAAAAGGGTAACTCATATTGTTCATATCAATACTCTTGAGAGAACAATACCTAGCTGAAGTTTTGTTCCCCTAGCTAGTTGGAGAAGAATGTGATTGGTTAATGTATGGTTCACGATGCTCCAGTTTATGAAAGTCTGAGGCCTACGGGTGGTCAGTGGTTTATAGATAACAGGGGCAAATACTATCAGCAGACTGAAAGTTCCTTCACTTAAGATGAAGCTTTAAATTCACCAGTCAAGGTTCTGGGCATTTGGCTCCAAATTCATTTGCCAATAATCATCTGAATATATTGTATCTGTTCTGACTTCCCAAATTTTAAAAAAGTACTTCTTGTGCTTTTTTTTTTTTTTTTTTTTTTTTTTTGCTTACTTTGGTGTTTTTAACATTTCTTACATGGAACTTCTAAATCAGGACACAAATAACCTTTAATGATCTTGCCATTATTCAATCTGTAGTTAAATGTCATGTTCCCTAACAAACTATAAAATTAATCTCTTTAACATTTTGCTTGGACTATCAATGGTAAAGTTAATTGTAACTTGTCTTCTTTGAAGGTTAATAATCCATACAATTATCTGTGTACTAAACGATGTACTCAGGCATAGCTGATCAAAGTTAAGAACTCTGGAATGCTTTATCTTAGAAAGTTACATTAAATATTGTAAACACGTGAGTTCAGATGCTCCCTTTCATATGTTAAACATGGACTGCACTTAATTTTTCCTAATAACCTTTTCATGACATGTACCTTATTAACATTATAAAGGATGAACGGTTTGTAGCATTTCCATTCATGTTCTCTGACAAATGGATTAATGTCAATTTTAAGAATAAAAGTGAAAGTAGTTTAGTTGTGAGATAAAAAGAAATTATTACAAAATGTTATAAACCAGACATAAGAATTTGAATGCTATAAGTCTCACTGGGAGAGGAACTGGAAGTTGAAATGTCCTTTTGGATATTAGGGTCCTTGCAGAGGAGGGGGGTGGAGTCAGAGTTGGAGAGGACCCACATAGGAGAATCTATTAGGATATTTTGTAATAAAATGCAATTTCATTCTGTTTTACTACATACTTTCAAATGGGTGAGGGAAAAGATCCAGTAAGTTTGGTTAGAGGTGAGTTGGGGGCCTAGAAAGAAATTTGCAATAGGTGTCTCCCGAGTGAGAGCCAAACCACAACAGATGAGAGGCAGAAGGTATACAGCTTCAGGGCCTAGATGAACTGGAAGGTTGTTTAACAAGTTCATCCAAGAAAGTCTGAGGCATGGTGGCTGATGGGAAAATCCAAACCATGTTTGAAATTCCACCAAGGTTAGAGATCTGAGGAAGGTGCTAAATATTAAGTTCTCTCCACAGCCTACAAAACCTTAACTAATTTGGCCTCTGCTACTTTTTAAACTTTGTTTTCTTCTCTTTTTCTCACTCACTGAAATTGAGCCACCTCTCTGTTCCTAAATACACCAAGTCCATCGCTGCCATCACAGGGCCTTTGCACATCTGTTTCCTCTGCCTAGACCTTCACTGGAATCACTGCTTCACTTTATTCAGGTCTCTGCTAACACTCTGTTTTTCAAAAGAACCTCCCTAACGACTTTATCTATAATATTCCAATACTAGTTATCCATTTTTTTCTGAAGTTTTTATAACTCCTATGATCATTTCATATTATATTGAACTGTGGTTTTGTATCAATGAATAAACAGAGGCCAGTAAAGGGGAAATAAGCAGTAAAGGTAAAAGCTGAAAATATCAAAAGCCATTCTAGATATTACAAAATGTCATAAGACAAAGGGATTGAGTCAGTCTTTCAGAATTAAGACGTAAAAATGTGAGGAGGAGGAGGAGGAGGAGGGTGAGGAGGAGGAGGAGGTTGAGCTGGAGGACTTTTTTTTTTTTTTGGTAATGTTTCTGCAGAATAACATTGAGTTTAGTTTGGAATCACAGCAGGGACTACACAGGGTTGGACTAGTCCAGCATCATACTGAGGAGATACTTTCAGAACCAAACAGGTGAAGATTACGAGTTGGAGATTGAGTTTTGGCAACAATTCTTTGATTTTTGAGGTGTAGGGTCACTAGTTTTCATTTATCCTGAGTTCTAGGACTCAAAAATATAAATAAAGTGAACTATAGATATTGCTGGTACAACATGTATGCCAGATTATAATTAGACCTTGAGATATATAGATTGCAAGAAGATAAATTATGACCCAATAAAATAAAATATGGTGGTTTTTATAATTTATTTTTAATTTAAAAAATCTGTTTTCTGTGAGGGTATTAATGTTGTTCCCTCATTCTCATTTGTTCTTAAATTTGCTGAGTTTTGAAAGATTGTTTTTGGTTCCATATAAATACTATACTTTTATTATATGGCAAAGCATTTCTGTTGTATATTTTCAAAATTTTATTGAAAGGTGCAAAAAGTGGTTGTGAGAATATTATTCTTGCTTTCTTCAAGAAATATAACAGAACAGTTTCTAAAAAACAAGTAAAAGCTGGGTATGGTGGCACACACCTCTTATCCCAGCTACTCAGGAGGCTGAGATGGGAGGATCACTTGAGCCCAGAAAGAAGCATAGCCCAAAGAACTGGACATAAAAGGAAAAGAAACAAGAAATAAGTAAACTATCAGCTTTCAGAAAACATCCTATCTACTTTAAACTACTTTTTTTTTCCATTTTATATGTGATATGTGCTTGAACACTGTCCTCAGTGTATTCTCCTCCAAGAATGGAAAGATTTAGCTCCAAAATTCAAAGGCTAGCTTACTATACCTTAATAAACTTTACTAGTATTACATTTAAAAACATATAAAATATTTGCAGTATTGTTTTCATTTGTTATAGATGGTAGACAAATACCTAATTGTGTTTAAATATACACCTTAAAAATAAAATCTCAATCTGTAATGTACTGCAACTTCAATTACTAAGGAAACATGGTGTTTTAATTGCTCTTTGATTGACATAAAAATATGTTACCAGCAAACACATTCAAAAAGAGAGTTTACTAACTTAGCTAGAGAAAGTTCTGTTTTATACTAGGAATTCTATCTGAAATTAAATTGATTTAGGAAAAAATTACACATTATCCCTAATTATGGCTGTTGGCTTCATTATTTCTTTAAGGAATAAAATTGTTGCTTACACATGGTTAAGTTGCTTTGGTGATGAAAAAGAAGGTAGTAAGAAGTAGATATGAATATTCTAGAAATTCTACTCTTTGTGCTTTTATTATTTGGCCAGATTTTCAATACGGTTCAATAATGGATTGTTGAGGAGTTCTAAAATTAAAAAAAATTTAATAATTTTCCATTTGGAAAACTGGCATAGATTTATAGACTATTGCCATTCTACTTAGGTATTCCCACCCAATCCCACGGTTTCAATGACCTCCTAGGTGTTAAGGATTACCAGATCCATTTCTTAAGCTCTGATTTCATTCTTAAGCTACGATTTGCATATCAGATTTCCCATTCCACATATACTTTATAGGCAATATACCCCAACTGAGCTCTTTGTTTTCCCCTCTAAATCTCGCCCTCCTTTCTGTATTTCCTATCTTGATGCAAGTGTCCTTAGACACCTATTGATTAACAGAAACAGAAGAGCTAATCTGGAGGTCTTCCTCTTCCTCAGTGTTGTCTTACTTCAACTCTATTTATCGTTTTTGATTTAAATTTTTCTAAATTTTTCATATCCATCCCCTGCTCCCTTTTTTCATACTAAGGCCTTAGCTGACATTTTTCTTGCCCTAGAAAGGAGGAAAAGAACAATTCCATTGACCTGCAAAGCAAGAAAAGTCTATGTTCAAAAGAAGAAAGAAATATTAAAAACTGGATTTTTTAGTATACAAAAGTGAGTACTGTTAAATAGCTAAAAATATTGTATTTCATCTACTTGTATTCAACATTAATAGTACATTAGGGAAAATAACTTCAAATGCTTATTAATTATTTCATAAATGAGTCCTAAAAATCTCGTCAATGAGATTATAAATTATTGAGGTGATAGACAATCATTTTTCTCCCCACTGGAAAACAGAAAAATATCTACTCTTACATTAACCTGAAATGAGAACTGTGAAGAGGAAATGTGTTTTAGAAGCTTCTTTAAGACAGATTGAAAGTGTGCAGACATGCCAATCTTTCTTCATCCTGTAGTGGAAATGAATGAAGTTCAACACAGGTTTTCCACATACCTAAATTACTACTAGGTTTCTTGGGCTGAGCATGGAAAGAAAGCTAAAACAGCATTAATTACTGTCACAGACTACATGTTAGGCTAGAGTTCACCTTTAGAAAGGAAGATTAATTTTGCTTTTCAATTTAGCTTCCTCTGTAGCTTTGACAAGATAAACCATTTCAGAGAAGGTTTGTTAAATCTGATTAGGATTCTTGTTTTAGCAGCTATCAGACTTTTATAATGGTCCAGTGGCCAGCAATAAACAGACACCTAGAGAATCACAACTAAAACTTTTGGGAAAGGAATACTGAATGCATTTTTATTTTTCAAATTGCTAGGAAAAAGTAAAACCTCCATTCTTTTGAAAGACTTTTCTTGTTTTGATTTCTAGATGCCTGGAAGGTGATAGATGTGAGTACTAAAATTCTGCTTCAGTGTGAATTCCACAACTATCATTTCGCTGATGGAAAATATTCTAATATAAGAAGATATTCCAGTTGCTTAAAGTTTCATTTTACAGTATTCACCCTTTCCCCTTGAAAGCTTGCACTGTCTCTATTATTGAGCTTGATAATTTGCTTTTCTTAGCATTGAAATAGACCCATGACAAAGTCAGAAATAAATTTTCCACAACTTTTACAAGTTAAAAAGACTGAGTTTCCACCTATGGCTTAATACAAATAAGATTCAGAATAATTATTTAATATTTACTCCAATATGCCAAGACTTTTTGTATTTTTATGTTAGTATATTAGGGGGATGTATTGCATACCGTCTAGTAAACTCCAAATATACATATACATATATTTATTTTAATTTTAACAAAAATATTTATTGTTTGGATAGATTTTATAAGCAGTGGCTGATTACATAGTGGAAGATAATTCCTTTGTGTATAAATAAATCTCCCCTTAAATTCTATTGTTAAGAATTCATTTCTGTGGCCCATGAATTTTTTTTCCAGAATTTTTGTCTGCTACTGAGTAATATATTTGAGTCTGTAGCCCAGGAGAAACAAAGAGTATAAGTAAGTGAAAGAAAACTGTGACAATGTACAAATTTTCAGTGAGAAGGCTGGTTTAGGAATTCAGAAGTCAAAGCCAAACTTAAACCAAAAAACCCTGAATTTATTGTGTTAATTAAAATCATCATTGATTTAACCAGCAGTAAATGAAAAGTTGATTAATTTTTAAGTATTCATTCAGTTATAAGGTGACATTTACTGTCATTGTTTCTTAAATTATTTTATTCAACTCGCTGTTTTAAATCCTAAGTTCTATTCAATTAATTGGAAAGACAGTAAAATAAGGGATAGTTAATAGAAGCAATACAAATGGCTTATAAATGTGAAAATCCTTCCACCTCGCTATGTATCATATAAATGAGAATTTGAGCAGATGACTATTTTCTGCCTACCAGGATGAGCAAGATAAACAGTGTTCAGCCTTATAAACTTTAGTCTAACTTGGTTCCAAAGCAAGCAAACAAAATATCTTGAGAAGAAATGTGACAAGATCATTTTTAAAGTTATATATTTTGATTCAATAGTTCTAGAAATCTATGTCATTGAAATAATCAGCATCTTAAACAAAATATATAAACAAAGATAGCCATCAAAATGCTATCTTTATTAAGATAAAAGCGAGAAACAGCTTAAATTTTATAGCATTCAAAAAGCAACTAAATTATTATGTTTATAGTTGGGAATGTTATATTATCACTAAAATTGTTTTTTGAGCATACATATTGACTTGGACTAATGTTCAAAATAATGTCCATATAAAAACATGTATATATTATAACACTAATTTTTAAAATGGAGAAAGATTAAAAATAAGACTAGAGGCCAGGTGCAGTGGCTCATGTCTGTAATCCCAGCACTCTGGGAGGCCGAGGAGGGCAGATCACGAGGTCAGGAGTTCGAGACCAGCCTGGCCAATATGGTGAAACCCCGTCTCTACTAAAAATACAAAAAAAAAAAAAAAAAAAAATAGCCGAGCATGGTGCTGCGCACCTGTAGTCTTGGCTACTTGGGAGGCTGAGGCAGGAGAATTGCTTGAACCCAGCAGGTGGAAGTTGCAGTGAGCCAAGATTGTCCCACTGCACTCCAGCCTGGACGACAGGGTGAGACTCAGTCTCAAAAAAAAAAAAGAAAGTCTAGAAATGAATTTATGAAACTATGAATAGTGATTATTTGTTGGTGGTGGGACTAAAAATTTAATTTTTTTCATATCTTTATTTGCCAATGGACATTCATGTTATAATTAGGAAAATAGGGTTTTTGAAAATTGAGAAAAATGGCTTATTGATTGCATAGTTGTTAAATTTTGAAATATTAAGAACATGTTTTGAAAAAAATTGTGAATTATTACCTAGTGTTTCATTTGTATCACAGAGAAATTAACAAGTAATCATTAAAGCTATGTAAAATAATCTTTATTAACAGTTAATATTTCAATAACAATTGCATACTTAAGTTGAATGAAAATTCCAAGCACATTATAAGTTATACAAATTATTTTCTGAATGTAAATTATAGCTAATATTCTATATTTTATATATCTTTACATAAAAATATACAATTTTAAAGTACTAGATTTTACCAAAATAAGTTATACTTTGGGCCCCTCCAAATCTAACAAATTCAGCTAGCTTGAAGATACAAATATAGTTAAAGAATTACAAAAATATGAACATCGCTGCCTTATGAGTTTTCTTAATTTACAAAATCTGACTTATTCTTTTAGATGTTTCTAGACCTAATAAACGTTCCAAATTTATATTTCCTAGACAGTTTCATTCTATTATGCTAGTTCCCAAATGTAGTAGTTGCGGGTGTACTTGGACTTTGTATGTTTACAAAGTATGTTTACAAAGGAGTCATGTTCTAAATATAAAACCTGACTCCTATGTGTTCACCATATCCACACACAGGGCACAACAACAAATAGTTCAGCCAGTCGGATACTGGTATGGCCCAGACCAGAGAGAGACTCTGTGGGAGGGTTTGATAGTATGATTAGCTATCAGCAACGTAATTCAGTACTTTTAACTCCAAACAAAATTTTCTTTAGTAGGTTTAGCTCATACTATAAACACAGAACCATACAAAACTCTGGGGTGTAACCTGGGCATTTCTCATCTGGACCATAGCTGGGCATAATGTGGGCGCAGTTCTGTACTCAGAAGCCATTTCTCTGATTTTCTAAGTTAGTATAATTTCCTCTCCCTTCTGGTGGGCAAGTGGGGATCACTTTGTGGAGTTATCAAAATTTTTCTTTTTATTTAGCATTAGGAGAAAGGTATGTTTGGAGGTGGCAAATTTTGTCCAGTGAATCTCTTTTCATATCCTGACTTTTGTCAAATGGTCCCACCTAACATCCGCTGAAGGTTCCATGCATTCTTCCAACTCTGCCTTTAATCACATTGTTAACTGTACTAGGAATAGCTTGTCATCCTATCCTCTCCACATGTGTTAGTGTAACTCATTTCTAGTAACTTGTTATTTAACTAATGAAGCCACAGCATTCTGTCTACCTCATACACCTGGCAATTCACTTATTTTCTATGGCATCACTTGAACTGTACATTACTGTATGGTTTTATATTGCTACTTAGTTGCTTTCCAGCCAGACTGAAGTACTATTAGTTGCCTGAAAAGGAGGTGCTGTTTCACCAACTTCTGGACCATTACAAGTGCTATTCCCTTTGAATAACACTTATAATAACAGACCATTATTCCCCTTTGATTCAATTTGATAATGGCTCTACCAAACAAGTACAACACACAGACACCGCCAGCCCCCCAACACACACACACTCTTCACGCAGTTTTCAAGGTTTTGCTGAGACATCACATTTTCAAAACAGACATTTCTGCCTTCTCCTATGGGATGTGGTTGGGTGCTTTTCCTACACAAACCCAAAGTATCCTCTACGTTCCCCATGTGTCCCTTTGTAATTGTTTACTTCATCTATAAGTAAAGCCCCACAAGACTAACAGTTCCTTTATCATAAATGAAAAAATGGATTTCTCAAGTATTATTTAACTTTTCTTGCATGGAGTTCTTCTATACTTCATAATGAGGTAATAGGGTTGTTGAGACTAGAGAATGCATTTTTCTTTTTTTCTTTTTTTGGAGCCTGTCCCCACTCAGCATTTCATACATACGGATTTTCAATACTTACAGGATTTTTTAAGGGACTGTATTGGATTTTTCCCTTGCGTTGTTGTCCTTATATGAAGTCACAGAACTCATGTCCAGGAGGGCCCTCAGAGATCATTTAGTCTAACCTTTTTATTGATATTGCTTTTAGATTTCACTGTGAAGGCATTTTAGGTATTTTGGCCCAGAGGCAAGATGAGTTAGTTAAGGGAGAAAGTGCTAAGAGAGCATAAATGAAGTTAAGGCAAACTTCTTACTGGTTTTTCCTCCTTTTTGAAGGGAGAGTTGGCAGAAAGTAGAAGAAAGGGAGGGGAAACTGGGGAGTGGAGAGGCTCCCAAAAGAGACTGAGACACGAATAATAGCGACTCCTGAATAGTCAACAATTTGAATGGGTGGAGGGGCAGGAAAAGGGTCTAACAGTGCATAACACTCTGGGGACGGGTCTGGTCCTGGGACAAACCTGCCAGCAGATTATCGTCAGGAAGAGTCTGAATCCAAATCTAAATTAAGTCTAATTTAGGCCCAAACTGGGCCGTCTCTAGGAGGGTTCAGATTCTAAGCTACCTTTAGGAGAATAGGGAGCTTGGGGAAGATGACACTTACTGTGTGTCTCTTTCTCTCACTAGCACTTTTACATAACACAGCTGGGTTAAATTGAACCTCAGAATGAGCTGGAAAAGAGACACAGTCACACATTACCCAAAGTTGGAAATAAGGTCAAGAGAATGTGGTATATTCATTCAACATCATATTGGGGCATTGTTCTTAACTTTTTGAAAAAGTACATTATAGCAATATAACCTGAGAGGTTATGGAGAATGGGCAGGCAAGCCTCACCTGAACACCTGGGGACTCATTTACATTTTAATTTGATGTACCACAGTTCCTTTAGAGAACAGCTAAATGAGGATTTTTTTTTCTTCCACCTAGGTATAGCTTTCCACACCATCTTCAAGAAACAGCTACTATTAACTGCTGTTCTCCCAAGGCCTAGGATTTAGGAATATCATTTCAATTCACTACATGCTAGGGCTATTCTGCCATTGAGCCAGAAAATAAAAGTGGTTAGAACATTGTATTTGTATGTGTATTTCTGAAGACAAAGATTCTGTAATTTTATTAACTTACATATGACACAGAATTTATTAAAATATTTTCCAATTTCCTAGCCCTGGTTTTCTCCCAATATTATGTAAGCAAAATCATAATCTACTTAATAGGAGGATAGGCATAGGACTGATGATTTAGCTATTTTTATCTTCATTTATCTCATCTCTGCTAAGGTACTGAAATTATAACTGGGTTAATATTCTGAAAATTAGTAATGTGTTTTCTTTTTCACCTCTCTAAGTACTGGACATTTACCCTACTTTCCCCACGGTAGGGAGAGAAGAATGTGGAGAAATTAGGATTTGTCATAGAAGGTATTAAATGATATCCCAAAAAGGACTGTTCTGTAAGACAATAAATGTGAAAGCCAGGTTCAGAGAAAACACAACTGTTGGACAAAATGGAAAGATGTGTTAGGTTAATGAGGACAGAAGGACTCAGATCCTGCTCCCCGTAGGGACACTGAGAAAAAGCCACACTGTCCCTCACCAATTAAAGGTACAGCATATGAGAGTAAATTTATAGGCACAGAAAACTTCAGGCAGTTCTCAGGCATGTCATGTGGTTTAAGTTTTCCAAACCATTTTCAGACACACTTGGCATGGGTGCAAATGTGAGAGCCAGGGGGCCCACCGTGGGGCCTGCTGGGTGGCATTGGTGTGGACCACCAGGCAGAGGAGCAAATGCTGATTATGGCAATGACATAGTATTCCCTAGCCAAAGTCAAAAGAAACAAGATCTTGAATTACACAGGCCTTATTCATTATCGAAGAGTTCTAGCAGGACAAGCAGGAATGAGGTGAACAAGAGATCTTATTCCGTGACATAAGTAGCCACATAGCACCACACCTCTAGACTTTGACTTTTGCCTTCTGGTACAAGTTTGTGTGAGATACACTCTGCTCTCCGATACTCAGATGCCATTTTAAGGAAGAATTTTGAATATGATAATGAGCTAAGAAATATAAAATATTAAGAGATGTTGTTTTACTACACAGAGTGAACATTACTTAGAGGGATTAATTGAAGCAACAGATCTAAAAAAGAACTGAATGGATTAGGTGTTAAGTTACTGTTCTAAAACTGAGAAGCCCATGAGGCTATGGGAAGAGACGACATTAATAACAAGAGTAAAAAGAGTTTTTATTTTTTGTTTTTGCATATTTGAGCATGTTGTGAGTTAAACCTGCAATTTTACCTCACAATGTACCAGCTATATACACTGAGGAAGAGTAGCACCCATTTTCTCCCCTGAGACACCAGCAACTGAGTAGAAATCTAGATATTACTGCTAAACTGATATCTGACTCTTACCCCATATGACAGTCCAGTTTAGGGTGGGATAGTCAAGGGATTCTTCAAAAGAGGCAGAAATTGAGTTGTCTTAATTTATGGATTGGACTTAGGAAAATGGAGAAAGTCATTGCAGGAAGGACAGATGTTTGGAATAGTCCGGATCACACAGCGTATGACCAATATAAAGGATAGAATTTCACTTCTATTTTCAGCATTATGGTATATCAAATAATGTGAAAAGCCCTATGAATGCAAAAGACCTAGAAACATCAGACACAATATAGCAAACATTAATTTTAGACTCAGAAGTGAGTTCCAAAAATGGATGAGAAATGATCAGGAATCAATATGAAAAATGCACTAAAATACAGAAGGAAAGGTGATGTAGGCATCATGGCACCTTTGCAAGAGTTTGCCAATCTTGGCAACTAAGAGGATTGAATATTAATGGTTATGTAAGTTTATATCAGCAGGTACCACACAAAGTCAGAATCCCTAAAGGATTAGATCCTTGGTGAAAGGTGGACTTGAAAAAACAAGTAAACTCATCTATCTTGACCTGAGCTTGAGTCAGAGAAAACATCTCCTCTAAAAATTACACATTTTTAATGCTTACAAAGGATTAGCCTATATTCATATAGGTTTAAAGTTCAAATTTGAACTCTCTAGGTGGTCTAGGAGACCCCAAATAGTAAATTATCATAAGTAATTGATATTGATTGATACTATACAGGAACATCTGGCAAAAGGAAATGACACATCTTAGGATTTCCAGAGATAAGACCCTTCTAATCATAAACTCAAAGTCCATAATTAAAAAATATATGGAGAAGAATCAGCAAAGTGATTAACTAAAATTAGATCCACATGAATACTATATAATTTAGTGACTGAGTATATAATATACATACATACATTTGAAACATTTAGAGAAAAATAGATTGAAACACAGAAAAGAACAATTTTTTTGAAGTAAAAAGCATTTATAGAAATAAAAATAATAATTAAAATGGAAAATCCACTGGAAACCTTAACTTACAGGCTGCAACAGTCTCCAGCTGAAAGGATCACTAATAAATTACTAATATGTTTTGAAAGAATTATCCTGAATTTAGTACAGAGATACAAAATGAAAAATATGACAGTTTAAGGAACTTAGAGGGTAGAATAAGAAGATTTAATATGTATTTACTTGGGCTTCTGGTAAAAAATATTCTATATAATGACAGAAAGTAGAGAGAAAACAACCACATATGCCTTTCAGAATGGAAAAGCAAGGATACTCAGATTGAGGGAGGCTAATACATTTCAATCAAGTAAATACAAAGGAATCCACAGTCAGAGGTATCATATCATACTGAGACTGCAGAACACTAAGTACAAAAAGAATATTTCAATAGCAGCCTGAAAGAAAGGTAGATTTTCTCCAAAAGACTATAATTAGAGTGACTATCAACATATTGATAGCATCAATAGAAGTCAGGAGACAGTAGAACAATTCTTCAATCTGTGAAAAGAAAATATTGTCACATAGAATTTTATTCAAAGGAAGAATATATATTTTAATCAAAACAACACTAAGAATTTGCTTTAACAAATCCTCAGGCAAATGAAAAAATTCTAACCCACAAAAAATATCTTAGTTACTAAGAATAAAATTATCCCCGAAGCCTGTTGTTGCAGCCTGTTATTTAAGCTTTTCATCAAAATTTACACTTTAATTGTCATTATTTTTTGTTTCTAAAACTCCTTTTTAAAATTATGACTCTTTCAAAAATACACTGTTCTTTCCTATATTTCAAACTTTTTTTTTCTCTAAAGGTATTGCTCAAAAGGTATTGGGGCAAAACAAACAAACAAACAAAAAACCCATCTGATTAAAATTTAGATAATCCGAGACAATCATGGATGGTATAAAACAATAATAACTATTCACTCGAAGGGCAAAAAATGGGATTGGAGAAATATACTGGATAAAAATAACACGTAAGAAGGGAAAGGGTAATCGTAGACAAATATGCATGCTACATTTTTGAAGGGTTATCTCTAACAGGACAGAAACAGTGTTTAAATTCTACTAGAAAGGAAAAATGAAGTAGAAACTTAAATAATCCTTCCCCAAAGAGAAAGTTTTTTTTTTTTTAATATAAACAGAGAAAGCCAAATAAACAGAGTACAAAGAAACTGAGCCTCTTACCCACTTCTAGTGGGAGTCTAAGTCAACACAACTATTTTGAAGAATAATTGGCAATAACTTAAAGATTAACTTGTACATACCTGTGACAAAGCAATTCTTTTCCAAAGTATGTAAACTAGAGCAGTACATCTTAAGCTATCTATGGTTATAAAAACCTTTTAAAGTGCCTAATCTACTACAAAACCATAATTTTGCAAAATAAAAAATCACATACATGGATGTTGTAGCAATGCCAAATTGCTATAAAAGTTTTCACATGCTTACTCTTGGTGGTTGTACTTACTTCATCATAGATAACTAACCATTGAGAGATTTACACTTGTCCACAAACCACACTTTGAGTAGCATTGCTGTATGGAAAGTCTTAAACACATGCATAAGGAGAAATGTACCAGAATCATCAGAGTAGCACCGTTTGTTACTGTAAACAAAATGAAACAAAACAAACTAGCTAAATGTCTCTCAGCCATAAAACAGCTAAGTAAAATGTGGAATATTCATACATCCAATAATATTTAGTGATATGAATGAATAAATTAAAACTACATCAGATTTATCAAAGTGGATAAATATTAAAAACATAATAGGATAGAAAAATCGATTTTCAGAATACATGTCATATGATAGAATTTTGATGCTATGCTTTCCTGAGGAATGTATATATATTTATATATATTTATATATTATATACTACATATTATATATATATTTGTAGTGAAGTATAAAACATGACAGGAAGGAAAAGCACAAAATTTAGGATAGTTACTTTTTCTAGGTGGTAAGAAGGGAAGAAAATACTATTGGATAGGGCTACTGAACTATATTTGTACTCTTATATTTCTTCAGCTGAGTAGAAAGTTCAAGTGTGTTCATTATATTCATTATATCATTTTTGCATGTTTAAAATATTTCATTATTTAAAAAGAAAAAGATAAATTCATAAAGTATTTCATAAATTGAGAGCTTAGAATTATAGCAATACGGTTTAAATGTAAGACATCGTTCAGATCTGCCATTCTCTAACATACTTGAAGAATTTGGGTTCTCACTCCACAGAACTTCAAATTGTGTGCTTTTAATATTTCAAGCTAGCATAGGTATATCACTTGTGGTTTTCATTCACTCGAACACCTTGCCCTGAGTACTACCTCTGCACGAAGTGTTTTCTAGGCATCAGTGTGCAGGGAGCCTGTAGCCAATCACGGAAGATTTCACATGTAGATTCTAATAAGCATAGAAAACTGCTGTGCCTCCCACATTGTAAACCAAGAGTAACTACTGTATGTTTTTCATTTGCTTATTTAGCACTTCAAACATTGTCTACAAATATGTCCATTGTAAATAAATAGGCAATTACTGTTTTCTGTTGACTATTTACATAAAGGACAAGACATTAAAAATATATTGGTCAAGGGATTCAATTAACAACTTAAATCTAGCTAAGATTTGCCTCAGGGGTCAGGGTGGCTTGTGCATTCTTTGTAAGATTCTCCTGAGGCTTAAAAAATTTATTAGGGTTCTCAAATGGTAGGTAGAAATGCAAGTCATACACTTGTCTTAAGAATCATATTACACAGTATACAAATAGAAAGTATTATCTATTGTTACTTTTAATTATAATTACTTATCATTTATGCAACATTCTTTCAATGCAGAGTAATTTAGAGTCATTTTTATTTATTGTTAAGGTGGTAAAACAATGAGGTTATGAAACTCTCCTGTTGTTTCACTCTATTTTTTTTAATTGTGATCAGCAAAATGTCCTAGCTCTGGGACAGTGTTTATGAATGTAATTATAATTATGAATGCACATGCAGAAATGTACTAATGATCCATTCTCTAAATACACTGGCAAGAGAAGTACAACTTTTCTCCTGGATTGCTTGTAAGTTACTTTTCAAGTAATTAACAAAATGATGTCCTATTTCTCACTAAATTAGAAGTTACTAAATTAGAGATAGGAAAATTGCTGAGATGAGTTTCTACACTATGGTTTTGTAAACTGCCTTCAAATCGAAAGTGTTGCTGGAGTGGAAATCAAGCACACTTATTTTAAAATACCAAAGATTCTGATTGTGTACAGGTTATGACAGGCATGACCCATCAGTCCAGATTTTGTTTTTCTCATTAGTCTGATCTCCATTTCCAAAGTTCAGTTTATGACTCACGGGATAAAAGAGTGAACTTCAACTCCATCTAATTCATATGTATTAAATAAACCTATGACCCTTACATTGTAATGTTTATAAAGGTTGAAAATGCAGTGGATGACATAGCTTTCCTCATCTGGACACTGGGTTTTGGGGAGATGAGACTTGGGAATACTAAATCTTTTAAGTTAAAGAAAAATAAATCACACGATTAATGTGCCACGTTGGGGGTGGTGTGGAGAAGTAAACTGAACTTTAGAAAACTTAGACTTTTATCCTTGTGTGTCACTAACTAGTTGTTCGTCTTTGGCCAAGTATCACTTTTAACTTTCTGGGTCTTTGTTCCTCATCTGTAGAGTGAGTGGGTCAGATTGTATGGTGTTTAAATTCCCTTCCAGTTTTCCTGCACCGTCAACTGTCCTACACTCTTTGTCCTTTTATAAAATTTGTCACTGGTCTCATCCTAAACTTCTTTACACCACGTTGAAACTTGGGTTGGGTAGCAGGATGAAAAACAAGTAGCAGAGAAATGGAAATTCTATAAAAGTCATTAGAGTTTGCTTCCATCCTGGGATTTCTCTGTGACATGGGGAAAATGTATAATGATAGAAAGCATTTGTACAATTTATATTACAAAGAAAATTTATTTCTACTTAAAGATGTACCCTATTTTTTTCTCCAAAATGCCACTTACTTTCTTGCTTGAAAGTAGAGAAATTGATTTTAAAGAGGAGCCTTCAGTCATCCCATTTATGCCTACAGTGTGTCTTTTAGTTTGTGCATAATCGTTCTCTCTCTCTCTCTCAGGCTCTGCATACATCAAGTGTAGATGGCTCAGAGTCTACATACATCAAATCATGTCATAGACCTAGAAAAGTAAAATTTAAGGTTGGGGAGGGGACTGGTGGATCTGAGATACAGTAAGTCATTTAACAACGTGATTAGAGTAGCCAAAGTTATGAAGAAGCACAGCTGAGATGAAGATCTTGGGCAGGTTATCAGTTGGCTGCAAGAATTTAGAAAAGCAGGCTGGGCGTGGTGGCTCACGCCTGTAATCCCAGCACTTTGGGAGGCCGAGGTGGGCAGATCACGAGGTCAGGAGATCGAGACCATCCTGACTAACACGATGAAACCCCGTCTCTACTAAAAATACAAAAAATTAGCCGGGCGTGGTGGCGGGCGCCTGTAGTCCCAGCTACTCAGGAGGCTGAGGCAGGAGAATGGCCTGAACCCGGGAGGCGGAGCTTGCAGTGAGCTGAGATTGCGCCACTGCACTCCAGCCTGGGCGACAGAGCGAGATTCCATCTCAAAAAACAAAACAAAAAAAAAATAGAATTTAGAAAAGCAAAGCAACGTGTCTCCAAGAGAGATTGGATTGGGTCAGACATTAGAGGAATAATGGGTGACACAGAAAAACACAAAAACAGTTATATATATAAAGCTGAGCATGAGTTAGGATTCTGGAGACCATGGTTGCTTATCTCAACACAGAAATTGTTTGGAGAAAAATTGTCTGGCAACCGATATTAGTGTAACGTTTCTAAGGGATTAAACTGGTTACTAATGTACAAAAAAAATCAAAATATTTTGTAATTTCGTGAATTGGATCTAAATAAAACCTGTAATAATGACTATGAAATCAAATTTCTAAATAGGGGGAATAATCTTCTGCCGTCATTAAAATGATGTGCCATTTAGAATATTTTTTTCTAATTTCTTGTCTCTCTTTAAAGCTCTTCCATAAATCATAGAAATGAATACTTATGATTTTGGGGATTTTTTTTTACCCTGATAAACATAAACTTAAAATTTAGGGAGCTTTTTAACATTTATGTTTATTTTTATAATTAATACAAAATTACAGAAGAAATGAATAATAATATTTCCAGTTAAACCTAGCTTTAGTAAAGAGATGTATATTATTAATTTATCCTCTCAAGCAGAGAAATGAAGAAACAAAAGACCGATTAGGTTTTCTAAATAAATACTGCATAATAATAGTAAAATGACTATAAGGTCATGACATCATAGATTATTGCAGCTTGAAGAGTTTTATCTATCCCTTTCTCTTCTTATTTAGTCTCAGGCCTCTTTATTTTGTAAATGAGAAATACCATGAAATAATACTTTCAGACAGTATTATTATGGTTAGGAAAGATAAAATCAAATTATTCTGGTAATCCTTGATACTGAATTTTACAACATGGATCCTAAAGTATCATTAAATGAGCTAATTATTAGAAAATCTGCATCTTAAAGACCATTTAAGAGGACACACATACGTGCTTACATAGAACTTTAATTTAAATGAATACACAGAAATCACTAGTTTAAAAAAAACCCCAAGTACTGATTTGAAAATAAAACTATATCCAATTTTACTTTGGCAAAATGAAATAAACTATTATACATTTGAAACTTTAATATTTTATAAACTGCCGTATTTGGTTAAAACATTTTTGTGTCTTATTTTTCATTACTTGTGATCTCTACAAATTTATGTTTATTGTTGTGGATGTAAATAAATTGATGGATCAAGTGAATCTTCCCTCAAAATAAATGAATTAGCTTAATAAATGTCTCTGATTTTCGATATACACTAGAGAAGGTGTGGAAAACTGTCCGACACAATGAACTAATTTTAAGACATGCCATCATAACGATTAATTAAATGGGGATGCAGAAGAATAAATTAGCTAGATTAGGAAACATTAGACTAAGCAGTGTTGCTATGGATCATTTGCATATTTATTCATGCTTGTTTGATTGATTCTTTTAGCAAATACTTGTTAAAATTTTGGCTTGGGCAAATTACTCCTCTAGACTCAGAGACAAAGAGGTGAAGTAAAAAAGTTGGTGCCCTGAAGAAAATTATTATCTTGGACAGTTTCCACTGAACGTTCAACTCATCTGCCTATCCATTCATTTATTCATTCATTGAATTACTTTTCATCAATTGTGTGTCAGAGCTGTGCTAGGCTATTCAGCCACTAACCGTGGAAATGCATGGTTACTAACTAAGAAAAAGTAACACACCTTAAGAAATATGATACAATTCACTTTAAGATGTGTCCCCCAAAATAAAAAAGGCTTGAATAGATACTAAGAGAGGTGAGTACAAGATCAGAAAATATCAAAATTTTATTAATTGGGTATATTCAGTGGCCAGTCAGGGCAAAAGACCTAGGGTAATACTGAAAAGTTCTTTAAGATGTAGTTACATCTTTTATAATTCTCCCCAAGTATGGAACAATAAGAATTGGCCCCTTGGTCCAGGACACTCAATTGTTAAAAAAAAAAAAGAAAAAAGCCAAATCCCTTTCCTAGTCTCTCTCCCTCTAGAAAATCTTCCAAAATCAATGTCAGATGACAGCTAATCTAGTAATGATTTCCTCTGTGACAGCACAACCTGAAAACAAAACAGAAGAAAATTATATCTTTCTCCCAAAGAGACCCTTTTTATAAATAAGCCAATATATATATCTATCAATGGTGAAAAAAATTATCTGTTCTCTTAAGTGTTTGCTGAAAACTAAATACCTTGTTGACAATTGCAAATTAATCTCCAGATCCTGCAGGTTGCTCCATAGTGATTAAACGCATCTTCTTCTACAAGACCTTGCTCCAAAACAGAAAGCTTGACAATCTAATTTATTATTTATTAATCAACTTTTATTTATTTGTATACCTTATTTTTAAAAGGACATAAGGTATTTGCATAAATATTTAGATTAAGTATAATACTTATTGACCTTTAAGCTTTTGAGATTTTACAACCTGTTCTAAGGAAGCAGCTAAATTATAATGAAGAGCTAAGTCCAACATACTGGGAATAAGAGACCTGTGCTGTTCTCAGACCCACTATACACAGTATATACATATATATGTTTGAGAGAGAGAATATGTGTATATATATTCTCTCTATAAAAAATCTATAAAAAAAGGATAATAAAAAATCTACCAATGGGTAGAGAAATATAGATATATATATAGAGAGAGAGATAGATATTTTTGTTATGTATCCTTTTATTTTATATATTAAAATATATATAGAGAGAGGAAAATCTCTTAATATAGAGAGAAATTTTTCATATATATATGTATGTATATAAAATTCTATAGTTAAGGTGTTGAACCCCATGATCTCAAAGGTCCCTTTTAGAGATTCAAATGTCATCTTGGCCCAGAAATTGTAAGAACCATGCAAAATCACCTATATGCTGGTGATTCCAACAGTGTATTTTCTGTTTCTTTAGACCTTTATTTCTTGGGCATTGGAGCATGTCATAACTTCATTAGATTGCCTTTTTTGACCCCTGAAAGCAATATTTTAGATCATGGTCTCTTTAAAAGTCTTCTTCCAACATTTCATCCCTGTTATTGACAATGTCATTTCCCCAAGCCCCTCAAATTTACAACTTAGATCTACATAGTTTTGAAATCTTTCATCCATCATATTTTATTGTAAATCATTTTTAAATTCTGCCAATTATCTTTTTTATGGGGTCTCACAGATTCTCCTCATTATTTGTCTTCTGATCACCAAATAACAGTCAGTTCAGGTAGATAGAAATGGCAAAGCCTCCTTACAATTTTTCTTGCATCTTTTTTTAGGTGCCAAGAAATCATAGAATAATCTTCCTATTACAGATCCTCTGTCACATAATTCCTTTGCTCAATAATGCAGGAAATCTCTAATACCTAGCATAAGTATGACAGATTATCCGAACTGGGACACATTTGAGAAACAGGAATTCTGTTATTATGCTGGGATGAAAGGCATAAGCTGGGACTGCCCCAGTAAATCGGGACATATGGTCACTGTAAACATAAATAACCCAAACCTCTTTCCCTGACTTCCAAATGCCTCCATCAAATTACCTTGTCCCATTCTCTCTTTCATTTCACACCTTCTTATGGTGTGTGTATATATTCATTTGGTTAAGCAATTTTCTTAGTTGTCTATACACAGGATATTACTAATTTTAAACATTGTGGCTTCTATAAGGCAATTCTTTAATTTTATTTTGTGATTTTTTTTTGTTTGTTTTTCCTCTGCTTCACAATCTGGGTATCATCATCTTTTTTTTTTTTTTTTTTTTTTTTTAAGAGAGAGAATATGTAAGAGTGACCTATGGCATGGGAATTACTGAAGACATGCCCCTGCCGGCAAATGAGGAGCCACAACACAATGACTTGCTTCTCAACTGAGAACACTCCTTTTCTCTGCCACACTCAACATTGTCACTCCCTGTGTTCCAACATGGGGAAGAGAAAGAGGGCTGGAACCTTTTAACAGATATTGTAATCCTATAAGTACTTCTCTGGGGTTTTGAAAATAATTTACGCTTCATCCATTTTTCTTGACAATTGATTATGTACCACTTGCTGAGTGGGTGAATAAAACCACGTAGAATTATTATGTGCATATATATTTAAGTCACAGGCTTTAAATAAATTCAGTAAGTATATATTCAGTACTTACTCTGTGCCAGTGTGTATATGTATAGAAAAAGCAAAAAGATTAAGTGTTATTGGCTGGTTATATTTCTCCAGAGGCTGAACTTTTTATATAACACCTTGTTTTACATGGAAAATTGTTCACTATACAAAGTAACCATTGACTTTTGTTTTAGCAAAATTGAAACAGGTTTATTTATTTACATTTGTTAATGATCTGTTTGCATGATTCTCTGTATCATCATTAGTTGCATGTGTAGTACAAATATTTCTTTTATGAGAAAATTAACCAAAATAACAAAAGATAAAATTTCTATTAAAGGGTAGTTTCCTTTTGCCACTTCTCATGTGTCTTTTTAAAGAATATTCAGTCTAATTTCTCTCTTGATATATAGTTTGCTATTCTATTTCTGCAAAATGAGAACATTCTGTTCTATTCATTCTCCTACTTACTTTTAGAAACTGCAGAAAGGCTTAAATTAAACTCCTAAAGAATTAACTGCCATTCTTATGCATAGTTATCAAATATACAATACTTCTGTGTGTGCTGCCCAGAGGAGCTGTGCCTTGCTGATGAAAATGATCAGCTCGGCATTCACATAAAACATCATGGGAGAGAGTATCAAAACTGGGTCAGTACCATCCCTTCATATGATGATATGGAGGCTTCGCTTTTGCGAGCAGTGAGGGAAAAGGAAAAGGATATTAGCCACCTGATCACAATGGGATGTACAGAACAGAATGGTTTCTTTGGGTCTAACATAACTATTTTGTTCTTTTTTTATTAGAAGTAAATAGCAAGTATCACTAAATAGGTCCTTCAAGGCTGGCAGTGGTCAAATGGATTTAAATTAGTTTCCTCTTAACACAGAATAGTTATAGTTAAGTAGCCACATGCCAAAGGATACTTGGCAGTACTTCCCTTGGTTTCAATTTTGTCCTTTATTGGGGATGGGGTGAAAGAATGAATTGATCTCTGAATTTTCTTCTAGGTCCAAACTTGTGTCTCTTAATACCTAGAGTCGTGAAATGCAATGATAAATTTTCTAATTTATATTTATGTATGTGCCACTAAGAGGCCAGTTGCAACTGGTCGTAAAACCTGGTAGTAAATCTCCTTAGAATAAAAAGTCCTGATTACAAATGTCCGAAGAATAAAAAACTATTAGGGGATGTGACTAGGAAATAAATAAGAGGTACTGTCATGAAATTTGTGCTATGAGTATTGGCTTTGCCTCTCATGCATCCTGTTTCATGAATTTTTGTGGTTGTTTTTCTACAGATTTCTATTCTGTAAAACAAAGAGGCAGTATGAAATATTTCATATTTCTATTCTATGAACCTAATTAGCCCAAAGATAGAAAAAAGGAAGTAAATTTTTATTTCAGAAACATTCCTACATTATTCATGGTTGAGATGGGTAGAATTTAGACAGATTTTATGCTCAAAAACAGTCACAAGGTGGTTTTGAGAATTTTATGGATTATCTGAATTCTGTTTTTCAAAAGCAGTGATTCTACTAGGGCCTGGTGATTTTCCATAACATTAATCTAGAAAAGTTGAAGATATCTTCTTCCTGTACCTCTGGGTTTCCTTAGAAGCAAATATTTGTCAGTCACTAACAGCTTTAAGCATTTCTAAAATGTTTATATTTCAAAAAACTGTTTGCCTAGAGATACTACATATTGTAACTTGCCTTTTGTTGTCATTTTTGTAAGTGTAAAGTGGCTTAGTATTAGTAATTTCATATGGTTTCACCTAACAGTAATAATTTATACTTTGGCTAAGATTTATATTACACATTTTCTTATAAAAGAATTTTATAATTCAACAAAAATAAACTCATTTGACTGTAGAACTGCTTTTTATATGGGGTCTATTAATATCATGGACACACACTGAAAAACACCGATGTAATTAAAGTTCCTCTTAAGGTGTTTTAGTGCAGAGATTTAGAGCATGGATTCTAGGGCTATGCTGCTTGAGTTCAAAGCCCACCTATGTGAATGAATTATGTCACCTTGTACAAGTTACGTAACCTTTCTATATCTCAGTTCCCTGTAAAATGGGAACAATACTACCTTACGTACCTGTGATGAATATGAAATGAGCTAACCTTTGTAAAATTCTTTGAGCAGTGAATGCGCCTGGTACACATGATATATCTTAGCTAATATCATTATCTTTTGACTCAATAATTTGAGGAGTGTTTGAGAGGTAGTACAGTAGTCCCCCTGCCTTATTTGCAGTTTTGTTTTCCTCAGTTTATTACCTGCAGTTAACCGCACTCTGAAAATGTTAAATGGAAAGAATCAGAAATAATCAATTAAAACGTTTTAAACTGTACACCATTCTGGTTAGCAAGACAATATCTCATGCCATCCTGCTCTGTCTTGCCCCAAATGTGAGTCATCCTTTTGTCCAGTGTATACAAACTCTATACACTGCCTGCCCACCTCCTCCATTAGTCAGGGACATGGTCTGCTCCTGACAGTCAACCAGCAATATCATCATGACTCAATGACCCAGGATCACCTGAAGCAGGTGATCATCCTCCTAACCTATCTTCAGAACAATAGTAGCCTAACACTAAGTCACAATGCCTACATCATTCACCTCACTTCATCTCATGGGTAACCATTTTATCATCACATATCATCACAAGAGGAAGGGGAAAAACAGTATAGATGGTGTTCAGGCCTATCCACAGTTTCATGCATCCACTAAAAGTCTTGGATTGTATCCCCTATGGATAAGAGGATACTACTGTATAACATGGATTAGGAGGAAGGGCTGATCAGAAAAGCTAAGATTTGAATTCTTAACCCATTGAAATCCTTTTCCCATCTGAAAAATGGCAAACAATAGTGCCTAGAAATGCATGGTGTAAACCTGGTCTGCTGTCATTAACCACCAGACAATGCCCTTCTTTTATTATACACTCTCACCTATGTAAATTTCCAAAGTTCTATTCAAATTAGTATTCCAAAATGTAATAGACACGTCCTTACTCATTTTAGCTATATCATCTGCGATTTTATGGGCTGCTATCATATACATCTTTCCAGAATGAGAAACTTTAATCATTTTTAGTAACTCCTTACATGATAGCCCAGTTATCTCCTTTACCAATATATAAAGCTGTCTCCTAACCTCTAACCTCTAATTCCATTGGCAGCTGAGCAATGATTCATATTACGCCACCAAAGGGAGTTTCAGGTGGTTTCAAGGAGCATGGTGGTTAAACGTGCACTCTTGGTTTTTTTTTTTTTTTTTTTTTTTTTGAGATGGAGTTTCGCTCTTGTTGCCCAAGCAGGAGGGCAATGCTATGATCTAGGCTCACCTCCACCTCCACCTCCGAGGTTCAAGGAATTCTCCTGCCTCAGCCTCCTGAGTAGCTGGGATTACAGGCATGCACCAACACACCTGGCTAATTTGGTATTTTTAGTAGAGATGGGGTATTTCCATGTTGGTCAGGTTGGTCCCGAACTCCCGACCTCAAGTTATCCACCTGCCTCGGCTTCCCAAAGTGCTGGGGTTACAGGCATGAGCCACCATGCCAAGTCAAAGTGCACTCTTAACTCTAAATCTCTAAGTTCAAATCATGGCTCTGTTACTTACACCATCCTATGAGCTGGGGCAATATACTTAACCCCTTGGGGCTTCTACTTTTTAATCTATAAAAGAAGGAAAAGGAAAGCCCTGGCCTCACAGAGTTATTGTGAATATTGAGTTAATGCAGGCAAAGCACTTAGGACTTTACCCAGTATGTGATCAGTCTTCAACACATGTTTCCTGTTATTATTTTCTTACTTGAGGTAAGTAGGAGCTAGTAGGGGGTGAACAGACTAGCAGGGGAGGAAGCATTTTAGGGGTACAGCTGCTTTAGGCAGCATCAGGGCCCAGGCAGCAAGACCCCATTTTAAAGAAAAGGATGCTTTGTAGTTATTGCAAGATTTAAAAATAGAATTGGGTAAGCACAAAGAAAAATATCAATATAAGAGTCTTCACAACTCCACCTCACCTCACAGGGTTTTGTTGCCTAGCTTTCTAGTATTTGTTATGCAGGTAGGATAATGGGTAGAAAGAGCCGCAGCGTTGGGGATTACATTGTATAATTTACATTGGAAAGGTAGAAGCTATAATAACAGGAAATAATTAAGAAAATTACGGGAGGAGTGAAATGAAAAGATATAGATTGAGATGTGTGTGAGGTGACAGAAGAGAGTCTTTGGTCACCTGGGGGAAAGAGACTTCTAAGAAGTCTTGCTTTGGGAATCCTAGTACGTATTTGAAAATGTAAAAAAAATTACATAATTATGTCCATCAAATGGAATTCACCTCAATGTGATATTGCCACAGAGCTAGGACTTAGGGGCAGCTAGTTAAATTATGGTTCAACTTTGGCTATAGTTACTATAGATCGTGGAGTACTGTAGATGTGGGGAAATTTTATTTATATTAATATGTAATTGTTTAGCTCAATTTTCAATAAATATGTACTATTTTTATGGTATGCAGTTTCAGTTGCACTCTCAAATACAAAACACTAACTGTAGGAAAAACAACTGAGAAAAATGTCAGCAAACAGGCGATTTGTTAATTAAGACAATAAATATTTAGACACAGAATACCTACTGAAAGCTGGCATATTTGGATGATGAAGGCCTTATGTAAACACAACATCTTATAACCATTTTAAGTCATGTTGAAAATCTCATAAAATAAATCCAATACTAGAAATAATCATAAAACAAATTTTTGAAAATGGAAGATACTGCTACTTGGTAGAAAAGAGGAAGTTTAACATGAGAGAAAACTGGAATTCTGAAAGTCATGAAGTACACTGATTTATTTCCTGTGATTGAAGATACAAAGTTTATTTTACCTGCAAAAATAAATGACTGCCATGTCTGATATATGGTAATTTTTAAAAAGTTTGATGAGTATTGGACGCTGTAACAAAACAAATTCAGTCATAAAATCTGAGCCAATTTATCCGAATTGTAGGCTAGCAGCATTGGCATTAGGAATAGGTGCTATCACTGCATAGAGAAGATCAACTATATTCATTATGGGAGAATTATTAAATACCTAGGTAACACAGGGTTTTTAAAGCATGAAAATTAATAACTGAGCCTGTATAACCACAAGGTGTATACATTAAAGGTAATTAGTTAAAAGGACGATTATCATTATAGGAAATAGAGGGTAACTAAGCTGATGGAACTTCAATTATTCTGCTGAATTATTTCTCCAAAACCCCAGGAGTGAGTTGTCTTTCTTACACTGTGGTACCAATCAAAGATAAGAATTTTAAAAACATGTTGTCACTGAGTTTCTACATCGTGGCAATTTGTAAGATCATGCTTATAGAATGCACTCCAATAAAACTATTTGTTAATTAGTGAGTGAATTCCCTTGTAGTCTTAAGATAGGCTTTTCTGCCATGTGGATTACATCTGTGGGGAAACTGAAGTGTATCCTCTCACATTTTGCTAGAGGCATTCAGCACTGGGGAATTCAATGTCTCCTGCATCTAAGAACATCAAGAGTGCACTGCATGCTAGATTTACTTAGGGCTTCCAGATTCAGATAGCAGCAGCTATTGGAGAAGTCTGTGATTGGCCACTGAATTCCCCATCTGTCTGTATTATAACTGGAATAACAAAGAGGTTGAGATTGTGAAAATAGCATCTCTGACCCAGGTGAACATTAACTTATCAATGCCATAGTTAAATATATGAAAAAATTGAATCCATGGACACTGAAGCAAAATTAATATGTATTTTCTTAAATAAAATATGTTCCTAAACATGCATTCAGGCAAAACATTAGAGGTAACTGAAAATTTTAATTTGCTTATGCATAATAAATACTAAGATAACACATAGTTCACAGTCAATAGGAATTATTTAAAATCCATGGCTAAATATTCTTGAATGAAGTAAAAACTGAAGGCTATGAGACTATGATTGATTTTCATATTTCATGACTTATACAATGAAAACTTTAATACATTTGACTTGGAATCACTCAGGAACTTGTGGTGGCTCAGTGGTTGGCTTGGACCCTGGAGTAATCTGGCCATGACATCTGTCACTACATTGATTGCCAGGACAGACTTGCCTAATTGAATGATTGACATAGTCAACATTCAAATTTTTCTAGTGATTAAAATCTTTAAGAAGGAAACTATATCTTTATTTTTCCTTTAGCCTAATAGTATTGCAGTGACCTGTGCTGAGTGTGCACCTAGAAGTTGCTAGTCAGAAGAAGGACAGAATTATTGACTATAAAATTTAAGAAAGTTTTGTCTTTGTTGCCCCTACTGAAAACATAAAATTGAATAAAAATAAAGAATGACGAATTATAGTTTTTACAAAACCAAGAACACTTGGAAGTATAGTAGAGGAATATGTGTGTATCTATTTATCTAGATAGAATCTTTTCATGAGAGTATTGGTATTAAGAGGAAAATACATTGTTTTCTTTCAACTGGCATAAATTGCATTGTAAATGAAGGTTTTTAAAATAGCATGGTACTGGAGAAAGATAATTCTTCTCCTACTTTGAAATATGCCCTAAAATGAACACATGGAAAAAGGAAATTAGATTTACTGATCCATAGAACAAGGAAATTTCATCCTCTCCTTGCTCCAGGAAGAAATTAGTATTAACCAGACACAAGCAAAGGTCTTCAGGCCAAAGAGGTTTTGTGATGCCTTAGTTTCTGATGCCTTACCCCATCCTTTCCACACTGTCTCTCTATGTGGGGTGAGGAATGCTCATCTTCTCTCCTTGAGAAATCTTTTCTTTTTTAACTTTTACTCAGGGGTACATAAGCGGGTTTGTTACATAGGTAAACTTGTGTCATCAGGGTTTGTAGTACAGACTATTTCATCACGCAGGTATTAAGCCTAGTAACCATTAATTATTTTTCCTGATCCTCTCCTTCATCCCATTTTCTGTCCTTCAATAGGCCCCCGTGTGTGTTGTTCCCCTCTATGTGCCCATGTGGTCTCATCATTTAGCTCCCACTTATACGTAAGAACATGCAGTATTTGTTTTTTTTGTTGTTGTTGCTGTGTCAGTTTGCTAAGGATAATGGCCTCCAGCTTCACCTATGTCCCTGCAAAGTACAAGATCTTGTTTATATTTTTAATGGCTGGCTAGTATTCCACGGTGTATGTGTGCCACTTTATTGCTAGAGAGACTCATCTCTCACAGCAGATTGTAGTTTTTTCTGAACATGAGGACCAGTATACATTTTGGACCTCAAGTTCATGAATGACAGAACACATAGGATTATCATCACTCTTGGGGCAAGGCATAAGGGCAGTAGGAATATGGCAGTATAGCATAGAGGATTGGGACAAGGCCAGAATCAATCAATGCCACCCCCACCCACACCATCACCACATACACACAAGTTTTCTGTAAAGCCAGGAACTGTGTGGTGATGTGGTGGAAATAGAAGTCTCCCACACAGGCCAACGCTGACTTTCTTACCTCACTAGTGGGCTGCTGAATAAGGGAAATACCCTCATGTATGGCCGTGGTGAGTGGTCCCAAGTAGTTATGCTTCCATTGGATCACTGGCATAGCAGACTATGATTGAGGCATTTTAGTTGAAACTCAGAGAATTGCGTAACAGAGCCAGCAGCTTCCTTTCCTGGCCATTACTTCCCCCACCATTCCCATTGCCATTTCTTCCCCCACCATCGCTGTCAGAGGAAATGTAAATGTAGGGCCTGATGGGGTTTAGAATCTGTCATGAGGCAGGATATAGAGGAAAAGGAAGTGTAGATGCAATGAAGTGGGCTAAAATACAATTGTTGGAGATAAATAAAATACCAGGACAAACTGGCTCAGCTTGCCAGCCTAGTGTTCTTCAAGTTCAGCTAAGAAACCTCACTCTGCCCAGGTCCAGCAGCAGTTGACACTAACCTAGTAGTGGTCTTTTACTCTGGGTTTAATATGAATGGTGATGGTGCTGGAGTCACCTTTGCTCACACAAGCTCTCCAAAGCCAATAGTGCAGAGTTTTTCCCAATACCACATTCAGTGACGTCATGTTAGTAGCTTGAAATTGGCCATGGTATGAGTATTTACACTCCAGAAATGAGCAAATGCTATAGATCAGGGGTTTTCTCTTCTGTGAGCTGATTATCAAATGTTTACCATCACAACACTGTTTGAAGTGAATCTTTAGAGACAGAACATTGAATTACTAATAGTGACAGATATAACAATACTAGAATTTAGATTTACCCCCAAAAGATTACATTATAATTGGACATAAATGAAGAAATTTGGATTGAGTTGATTTTACTGACTGAAATAAGTAATTTATATTTCAGTTTTCAGAGGCAGAAAATGTCCAGGTGATGACAACATCCGAATATTGATCATGGAATAACTTACCTAAATGAAATGGATATGAAGCTCCATGGAATTAAGGCAATCAAGAAACTACAAGACTTAGGGCCTGGAAAGGTCATCCCATAGGCATGAAAATAACTCAAGGTGATTAAAAACTCAGATATATGTAAAACTGAGTTAAGTTTTGCAAATATTGAATTTGAATTCTCCACAAAGTCCTACAAATAGATAAACAATAGCCATAGGATCTGTGGATCTAGAGCTTAGAGGAGCATAAAGGTTCAAAATGCAATTCTGGGAATTACACCCATTGTTATGACATGAAAATATGAAGCTAGATGAGATTATCTAGGAAAAGATATGGAGTTAGATGGGAGAAGTACACTAAGGACAAGACCTTCAGGAACATCTACAACCAATAGATGCGGGAAGAAGAGGAATAAAAACTAACATTAAAAAAAGACATGGAAAAAAAAGACGCAAGAAAAGTGAAAAAAATGTAATGTCATTACAGCTACAGGTGAAGACACTGGCTTTAGCAATTAGGATTTCTTTCTTCCTAAAAAGATAGTTGTTTCAGGCAGTGGTTTAAAATTAGACAATAAAAACACTGAGTACCAAGTATCCTTTTTGAGAATATTAATAGATGTTGTTCAAAGTAAAAGCAGTGATTAAACACAGATTAGCAATATTAATGTAGTGCATTAAATATACTCTAAGCAGGTCTAAAGGTTGGGTCAGCCAGGGAAAATAGCACCCGTGAGAAAATAACCTTTAAAAAATAAGGTCTCCCATTAAGGATGGAGGTGGGCTAAAGTTTTAATCTTAATGGGAGAGGGTAAAAGTTGGGAACATATAAGCAACTCTGTCTTGGTGTTCTGCCAGTCTAATCTCCCCGATCAGGTTCCAGGTAGCTGGGAGAGTCCTGGCATGGCTGCTGTGGTTCTGAGGTTCCCTATCTGTCACAGGCCCTAGAACCACCACCATTCATATTAAACCCAGAGTGAAAGACCACTACTAGGTTAGTGTCAACTGCAGCTGGACCTGGGCAGAGTGAGATTTCATAGCTGGATTTCAAGAACACCAGGCTTGCAAGCTGAGCAGGTTTGTCCTGGTATTTCATTTATCTGCAATAACTGCATTTTAGGCAATTGAATTTTGTAGGCTGCCACTTACTGTGTTGTAACAGGGTTCTGCTGCACTTTCACCAGATGAGATGCTTGCCCTGTACCCCTACTGGGAATACCACTCTATTACTGACTCTTTACATTTACATTTTACATTTTTGTTTCTGTACATTGAGGCAAATTGCATTTTTTCCCTGTGTCTCTGGGTATTTTTTGATTAGAGCAGATCTCCCTGTGATGATTGTGTGTAACAGGGGTGGTTAAGACATGGTAAAAATTTGGAGGAAAAAAATGTATCTGAACTGTTTCTTATCAATGGACAGATTCTGTATTTAACTCTTAAGAGTAAAGTTGAAATAAATTCATACACTATTATTTCTTAATTTTAACTTATAAGATTTTGTTTAAAATATTGAATTACAGAAAAATCTGTGAAGAAAAAGGTTATTGCTAAAATCATAGAATAATGTAAGTTTATTCCATTTTATCTGAGTTGGTAAATATAGTTATAACACTCAAAAAGTATCTGAAACATCATAGAAAAAAATTAAAAAGTAACTGTGAGAAACAACACCAGATGATAATGAATCACAGAAAGAAATTGATAGCTTATTGAGAAGGAAGAATTTGAAGTCAGGGAGAGTAGAGAAACTAACAGAGGATTAAGAAGAATGTAAATGTAGTTTGACACAAGAAATATTAAAGCTCGGCAAGAAATTCTGTTTTAAAGTGTTATGAATTAACTCCAAAAATTTAATGAAGATTATCTACCAGAAACCCACGCCGAAAAGAATCATTCCTAATGGTTAAATATTAGAAACAGTCCTGCTACCAAATGTAAGGGAAAAAACTACTAGAGAACATCATATGTAGGTCTTATTCATTTATAGAAAAAGGAAGATAAAAAAATGAATGTATAAATGTTGGAGAGGAAGGAAAAAAGCTGCCCGTATTTGGAGATAAGGTTATATAATAGGCAAATCCACATTAATCAACTGAAAACTACTGAAAGACATAAAATGATTCAGCAAGATGGTAAGTTTAACAAATTCAACAGCTTTTCCGTAAAGCAGGAATACCCAATTAGAAAATTTAATGGAAAAATAGTATCATTGGTAATAGCAACAACAACACAGCATAAAATACTTGAGAATGAAATTATAAAGGAAGGTGTATGCCTAGATGGAGAAAGCTGCAAGTTTAACTGATTGTGTGGTGCTGAAAATAACTCAATAATTATAGAAGTATATCAAATTTTAGGATTTAAAAATCTCAGTTTCATAGGATATCAATTTCCCTTGAAATAATCTATAAACTGAAAATATTTTTTATCAAACTCTCAACATTATATTTATAGAACCTGATAAGTTGATTTTACAATTCATTATGAAAAAGAAAATATTCAATATTAGAAAGAAACTTTCAATAAAGAACGGTGTCTAAAAAGAGATCAAAATATTAATCTATTGTAATTATAACAGGGAGGTTGGCTGAGGATTCCATAATCGATCAATGGAAAAGAATTGATTCCAGAAAAAGACCTATAAATACATATAAATATATGTTGAATAAGCTTTATTTAAAAACCTGAAGAAGGGATAGACTATTAAATGGTCTTGTGACAATCAGCTAACCATCTAAAATGAAACAAAATTAGATCATATATAGTGCTCTGTACTAACAAATAAATTTTATATGAATTGAAAATTCAAATATTAGATAAAAATACAGGAGAATGTTTTTATAATCAGATGGAGAAAGTTGTAAAGGAGGGAAAGACTTTCTAAATAAAATGCAAGACCCAGAAGTGGGAGGAAAAAATTTGGTAGATTTGGCTAAATAAAAATGAAAGACTTTTCCAAAATACAAGAGAAATAAAGGTCACAGAAAGTAACTGCCTTGGAAAAGTATTTGCAAGTTTCAGATCAAAAAGAAATTAATATTAATATTTACAATTCATAAAGCTATATAACTAGGATCTTAACTCCTTTTTGTTTTTAGCCTATCGTATCATTTATTAATTTACTATGTTTTAGGTAACACACGGGGGTTTTATACATTTTCACATTTGTCTTGTTAAACCTGTAAGGTATATATTATTTCAAATTTTCCTTTTAAAGATAAGAAAAATAAACTTGGCCGAAATAATCAGGCTAAGGTTGTATAGTTACATGTGCCTCAGCCACCATTTAAACCAAGGTAAAGAATTCCTAACTGCAGTACTCTAGGAATTTCCCTTTCTTTGTGCTTATGAAATCTTTTTTCACAGTTTATGGTGTATAATTTAATTTTGTTCATACGTTAATGATGATAAAACACTGAAAGATTGTGTAGATGTATAACTGTTAGTTGTTATCTATGTTATTTACTTTCTTTAAAGTTTAGTATGCTTTCCCTACACCCATCAGATAATATTTTCATCTTATTTCTTGGTGTCATTTTATATAAACCCTTAATCCATCTAGAATTTATTTTTGGAATACAGCCCAAATAGAAATGGTAAACTGATTTTTTGCAGGTGACCCTTTTTCTATGTTAACTTATTTTACTAGGGGCCATTTTGAATGCATCCATTTTATTCCACATATTATGTGTCTATTCTCGTACCTACATTACATTTGTTTACTCATTTCAGCTTTGTAATTTGCTTTAATACTTGATAGGGCAATCTTTTTATTCTTATTTTTCAAAAATTTCCTAGAAATTCTCCACAGGCCATTCAAAATAATTACCCTTCTCTCCAGCATTGAATTTTTTCATCCAGGACTAAGGCATGCCTTTGCATTAACTGAAATCTTTGTACATATTGAATAACTTATATAAGTTTGACAATTTTCTTTACATAGATCCTTACCATTTATTGTTAAACATTTTCCTAGAATATGTATTTATCTGTGTGTGTAACGAATGAGTTGTGTGGGAAATTAATGTTACTATAGTTAATGGGATGTTTTCTGTTCATCATATCTTCTACTCATAGCTGTTACTCATCGCTGTGTACTATAAGGACATTGTTTTCCTTTAGCAGCAGCAGTAAATACTATATTTTTATATCATTTAAATTCAATAATCATTTTAAAGCACTATTAAATACTATTAAATACCAGTCTCTGTGCTAGGATTATGAAAATATAGGTAACACAGGGTTCTCTTTCTTTGTATAGGTAACACAGAGACCTTGAAAGCACGCAGGTCCTGGTAGAAGGGCATGCCGTCTTTATATCAGCAGCTAGGATGACGTATTGACAAGGGACATATTGACAAAGGGCAGAAAAAATATTGGTACTTAACTATATCTTTCAATATCTTCACAGCAATTAGCATATTATCTTATCCTAGCAACAACTACAGTAGTATCAGCTACAATTTACTGCCTTTTATGTGTAAGTGTTGCAGCAGGAACTAAGAATATTGCCATTAATCCTCCTGCCAACCTATCAGGTGAGCATTGTAATCTCTATGTCACCGATGAGGGGACTGAGACCCAGGGCCTTAAGGAATGTCTCCGCGGTTCCAGTGCAAGTCCAGCAGGTCTGTGTGCTTAGTATTCTTCCATTATGCTTGGCTATAGACAGAGTCAAAGATTATAGGAGGGAATAGGAAGCAAAAGAAAGTCAATGAAAGTCAATAAGAAAAAGACCTGTCACTGTTCACTAACTTGAAATATAAGACTATTTTTCTTTACTTTGGGTTTCTTGATGAAAGATGACAAATTGGGAGGGTAGCTAGACAATAGTCAAAAAATATTAAAATAGTCAGAAAACCAACACCTTCCGTTCTCTTTATTCTTTTGTAAAATATAGCACCACACTGTCTAACATGTGGCTACTTAATTCTTAATTTTACATTTTACTTAATTCAAATTAAATAAAATTAATAATGCAGTTCTTCTGTTATACCAGTCATGTTTCAACTGCTTAATAGATACATGTGGCTAGTAGTTACCATATTGGACAGTGTAAAAAAGTTTTATCATTCCAGAAATTTCTATTGGACAGTGCTGATTTAGCATATCTGACCCAGAGGTCATAATCTGCAGTTGCTTTATAATTTCAATTCTCAGCAAATATTTAATGTATGCCAGGATATGAGCTAGACATTGGGATATAAAATAGGTAAGACACAGTTTGTCTCCTTAAGTTTTTCAAAATCCAGTGGCAGAGAAATGAAATGAAGTTGCCATTCTTGGGAATAATAATAAATAATTATAATAATAATAGGTCCCCAAGATATTACTATACTTTTTCTGGTCTCTTTCCCTATAGAACTGTTGCCTATTTCAGAATGTGTAATCATTGCTTATTCCAGATTGATCTGGGGTGCTCTGAATTATCTATTGCCTCAAGAATCTATGTGTTTAGTCCAGATTTTTGGCTTTAAAGTTTTGCAAATCTCAGTGCTGATTTTACACCCACCCACACAGGCCTAAAATTGCTGCCATGCACATATCTGAATCACAATTCCTGCTAATTCTTTTTGAATAGTAACTATGTTGGTTGTGATCTATTCACCTCTTCTTTGTCTTTGTTGCCTAATGAAAAAGACAAAATCTTGACTTAGAATGTTTCTCCATTTTATCTTGTGCAAAATGACCACTGACAAAATTTTCAGCGAGAGTGCAGTTCTTTGCTATTAAACATTTGAAATTTTTAACTTATGAGAAGCTGCTGAAAACCCTGTTGTTTTCTCACACAAGAAAGCTCAAATTCCCTATGAGTTTTCATCCACAAGCCAGAGGGATTTTTGGAAACATCTTGCTGCCAGAAAAAGCTATCAAATATGCCTCCTTAGTGGGCTCTCTCTTACGAATAATTCTTTTTCTCACTTTACGAAATACATCAAAAGCTCACTTTACCTCTCTTGGAAGAGCCCATGTCCATTTCATTAGAGCTTCCTTTTTGACACCTACTTTGGTTTCAGGTATTTTAGTATCTATGCATAAAATGTATCCCTTCCAAATTGATGTTCAAATGAAGTATTTATTTAGCACATTTTTTTTCCATTTGGCAACAAGATTTTGTGGGGTGGTATTATTTCATGAAGACAGCCTAAAATTAGCACTATCAAATCAGGGTAAATTAGAATCTCAGCCAAAGGTAGAAACGGAAAAGAAGAAATTATTATATGTATCTAAAACATTCATCTTCTTCTGAGAAAAGATTTGTTTTTGAATGTTGCCCAGCATTTACCTGGATCATTCTGTTTGTAAGACAGTCATTGTATCTGTTGCCAAGTGCTGTCAACCAGAGAGCCAATGTCGTGTCGATTACTGCTTCCTGCTAGCTGTTGGACTCTCATCGTGTTTCCTAATCCATGCAAAATCAGCCTTGGCTAGTTTCTTATGCTCTTATTTTTTCACTGTCTAGATAAAATTTTCTTTTTTGTTGCCAGGCCTGGATGATTCAAAGCATAAGCATTTTAATTCCAAACCAAAAACTGAACATAAAAGTTCATTGACATGACATAGTCATCACATACTTCATGTCACATCACAAGTGCACATTTTAATAAACTGATCATATTCTGTTGCTTTTAGGTATTTTTTCACACAAATGGAAGCAATATATTTCATTAACATGGATGGAAGCAAATAACATCACAGGATTAACCTATAAATCCCTTCAGGGTAGAAAACAAAGCTATTTATTCTATTTTCCTTCAATGGCCCAAGTTATGAATGTTGCTCTGCAAGGCTAGCCTGATACATTTTACTGAGTAATAGATCTTGCTTTGTCATTTACAGTTTTACTGTCAACACTTTGCAGTTATTCAATCTGTTTCTTCACTTAATCTAGGGACACTTGGCTGCTTGCCACCACCCTCCCCACCATTCTTTCAAACTATGGAATCTTATAGGAGTCCCCTTAAAGGAATTCATTAGAGGCTCAATCAAGAAAATTCAATATTGGATTTTTCTTTCTTCTTTACTCCTCACAATCCCCCATGACTTTGCCTACATCAAAATGTGCCTTCTTGCACCTCTTTTTCTCATCTCTGAAAGTTGATAGTGCCATTTTCCATGTTAATGGTTAGGGGAATTCCATCCTCTTGTTTTCATGTGGAGAATTTCCACATTTCTAGTCTCTTTCCATATCATTTAATCCTTCCCTATGTGACCTGTTCTTCTTTCCTTTGCCAGGGCCTGTGGAGTAAGGCAGTGATTCCCCTTGCAACTTTCCATGTAGGTGTCTGCTTGGCAGACTATCCCCTGGATCATCTTGCATTAGTGGAAGAAACATACCCGATAGTTCCAAGTGGCCAAACATCTAAGCCTTGTTCTCTAATCCATTTAACTAATTAGAAAGCTCATATGCTATCAACTGATATATTAGTCAAAGGATAAAACATTTCACTTAGAAAGAAGAAATGAGTTTAGGAGCTGTATCGTACATCATGGTGACAATAGTTAGAAACAACATACTGTATACTTAATAATGCTGAGAGTAGATTTTAAGTGTTCTCACAATAAAACAAGTATATGAGGTAACACTTTTGATAATTAGCTTGATTTAGTCATTCCATGATGTAGACGTATATCAAAATATCATGTTGTACATCATAAATATATACAATTTTGATTAAAAAAACAAAACAAAGAAAATTGATGTGCTGATCTCTATCTGATCTTGGGAAGACAGAGAAGAGATTGTTGTGATTTATTAGCTCCTTCAGATCCAGACATTAACATGCTGGTTTACATGTAAGTTGATGAAAAGTTGTAGTGTGTTACATCTCTTAGTGCTTGTGTTTGAATTATCTTTTGATAGTATCATGTGAGAAATGACATTTTAATTCAAAGGGGTTACCATGATTGAGGGAATTCAGAATCAATGGCAAGCCTATGGAGGAGCATTTTTTAAATAGGATGCACCCCTCACATTTTATCGTTCAATGGGAAGCACACTCTAGCTATAATATAATACTTGAGGATAAAGTTCTTGGCTAGATTGTTTTTGACATTGAGGTGATAGTTGCAACGTGATCTGGAGGTACTCCTTGGACATTTCTAGCTTTACCTTCGAATACCAAGGATTGTGCTATAAAAGTGCTTATGGTCAATGACAAAACTCACGAGAAGACAAAACAGTCACTGGAGGCACATAAAATTAGATTCTGCCTTATATTGGTGCCCTTGGGAAAGGATTTTTACTTAATCATCAGTTGCATTTTTTATACTGATTTTTTAAGTCAGTTTTTCAAATGTTGATTTGAATATCAATATGAGGTCATTTTATATGCATTGCTGTTTGGAGTACTTTTAACAGAAAATATTAATGGCTTAGGGTTACAACAAATTAAATTTCTGCATTTTGAAAGCAGAAGAGAAAATTTCTAGCACTGTTACTGAACCTTACTGATAAACAACATGTCACATCATTAACTCTGAACGGTTGATGAAATAGTAATAAAGAGCAAGAGCTTAAAAAGTAACCAGCATCTAAGATCAAAAAATCAAAGTCGAAAGAAGCGTGATTAAATGTATTTGATGACTATCAGCAATATGTACTAGAAAAATGGAGTTAGTTATTTCCAAGGAATATGAAATTTCTGTGTGCAAACATTTACTCTCTGGCTGGTGACCCAACTCAGATCATTAAGCATAAATTAATAAATAATTGAAAGCATACCAGACTAAGGGCAGTTCTAAACTGGGGGAGACCAATCGATAAGAGGGCCTAGAGAAAGTAGGTTTAGTCCAAGCATTAAACGGGAAATGGAAATTCACTGGTGAACTGCAAGCTATTTTTAACATATTCACGCACAGACATCTATCCATATAAATCAGGTTTGCCAAACTTGGCACTATTATCATTTGAACCTTACTCATAATTCTTTGTTATCGGGGATGCTGTCTTGTGCATTGTAGGATGCCTAGCACAATCCTTGGCCTCTGCCTATTAGATACTAATAGCACACTTCCCCCTACCACCAGCCGTGGCAACCAAAAATATCTCCAGACATTAACAAACATCCCTTGGTGTTGCAGAAAGATCACTCTTTTCATCCCAGTTGAGAACAACTAAATACATTCTTACAGGAGAATCTTTCATTCGACACTATTTTATCTAACACTAACAGTGATGATAGCTAAAATTTAAATTATTACCTTGTGCTAATCATTTTACTAGCATTATCTCATTCAATCCTCACAGTTGTGTGAGATAGGTAGGCACTTTTATTATCAATTCTTTAAAAATATTACATTTACATTTATTGGATGAATGAATGAATGCATTGTACCATTTTGCAGATGAAGAAACTGAGACTTAGAGAGTTTAAGAAACTTGCCCAAGGTAACACTACTAGAAATGGATCGAGTGAGGAATCATAGCTAGTCCTGACTAACCCCAAAGCTCATGCATACAAGTAGCACATTAGAAGGTTTTTCAGTATAGTCTTTACCTGGCCTGTTATGGAAATTTAAAAAAGCATTAAAATAGCTGACATAAAAGCTAACCATAATGACAAAATTACAATATCAGAGAGTCTGAAAGATTGAATGTCTTCCCCCTAAGACTAGGAACAAGGTAAAAATGTCCAATCTCACAACTCTTATTGAACACAGTGCTAGAAATTCTAGTGTAATAAGGCAAGAAAAGGAAGCACAAGCATCCGGATTGGAAAGGATGAAATAAAACTGTTCCTATTTGTAGTACACATGATTGATGGCACACAAAAATCCTAAGGAATCTGCCGAAAATCCCTCCTGAACTAATAAATGAGTTCAGTAAGGGCACAGGAGACATATACAAAAGCCCCATTATATTTCTATATACTAACCATGAGCCAAAATTAAAAATGTAACACCATTTCCAATCACTACCAAGATTACTTAGGTGTCAATCTAACAAAAATGTATAGCACCTCTGTGCCAGAAACTACACGATGCTGATTTTAAAAAATCAAATATTTAAATAAATGTAGTGACAAAGTGTGTTCATGGATTGGAAGACTCAATAGTAACTATTTCAATTCTCCCCAAATTGCTATACCGGTTTAACACAATTCTTATCAAGATCCCAGCAAAATATTTTTTATGTAGACATAGACAATATTGCATGAATTTTTATATTGAAAAGCAAAGGAAGTAGAATAGTTTTAGAGCAATTTGAAAGAGATTAAAATGGAAGTAATTAGCCTATATGATTTCAAGACTTATAACATAGCTACCCTAATCAAGATTGCATGTTATTAGTGGAAGCATAGATGCATAGATCCATGGAATATAACACAGTACCTAGAAATAGACCCACATAAATATGCCTGCCTATTTTTTTTAAGTTATAAAAATGATTCAGTGGAAGAAGGATACCTTTTTCACCAAATGAAGTGGGAGCAATTGGACATCCCATATACATTAAAAAAAAATGAAATTTGACCCAAGTCTCAAACCTTGTGCAAAAACTAACTCAAAATGTATCACAGGCTTAAATGTAAAATGTACATCTACAAAACTTTTAGAACCAAACATGGAAGAAAATCTTCAGGATCTAGAATAGGCAATAATTCTTAGACTTGACACCCAAAAGATGATACGTGGAAGGAAAAATTGACAATTTGGATTTTGTTAATATCAAAACTTTTTACTGCAAAAAGGACAAGATATAGTGTGGGAGAAAATATTCGCAATGACATACCCAGTAAAGGACTGGTATCTAGAATATGTAAAGACCTCTCAAAGCTCACTAGTGAAAGAAACAAACAACCCAACTAGAAAATAGATAAAAGTCATGAAGAGATTTTCACTGAAAACTATATTCAGATGGCAAATAATCACATGAAAAAAGTTCCACCTCATTAGCCATTAGGGAAGTACAAATTAAAACCAAAATGAGATATCACCATACATCTGTCAAAATGGCTAAACTAAAAAATATTGATAAAACCAAATGCTGGTGGGGGTTAGAAAAACTAGATCATTCAGACATAGCTGATGGGAAGGTATAATGATACAGCCATTATGGAAATCAGTTTGACAATTTCTATAAAAACTCAACGCAGAACTACCACATGACCTAACAATTACAGTCCTGGAACTTATGCTCATGTAAAACCTGTACATGAATGTTTATGGTATCTCTATTTATAATAGCCAAAACCCATAAATAACAGAGATTACCTTCAACAGATGAACAGTTATACAAACTATGGTACATGTGTATCGTGGAATACTACTCAACAATAAAATGAACTACTGATATATGCAAAAACCTGAGTTAATATGCAGAAAATTAAGCTGACTGAAAAAAGCCACTACTAAAAGATTACATTGTATGTGATTCCTAGGCCAGGTGGCATGGCTCACACCTATAATCCCAGCACTTTGGGAGGCTGAGATGGGAGGAGCCCTTGAGATCAGGTCAGGAGTTCAAGACCAGCCTCCTCAACATAGTGAGACCTTCTCTGTATTTAAAAAAAAAAAAAGATTGCATAGTATATTATTCCTCTTACACAACATTCTTGAAATGACAGAATTACAGAAGTGAAGAACAGGCTAGAGGTCAGGGATTAAGGAAGGGGTTGGGAAGTGATTATACAGGCAAACTAGTTGTGAGGGAAATGTTTTGTATCTTGATTACATCAATGATAATATTCTGGGTGCTATCTTGTAGTATAGTTTTGCAAAATGTTATCATTGGTGGAAACTAGTTTTGCAAAATGTTATCATTGGTGGAAATGGGATCTCTCTACATTATTTCTTACAACTGCATTTTTTTTATAATTATCCCAGAATAAAAAGCTTAATTTAAAAATATGAACATAGAGTCTGAGGAATTTAGATATATTTAATAACTGGAAGGCCTTTCTTAGCCATTTCAGTTTCAATGGAGCCCCAATGGTTATTTTATTTTGTTTGTTCATAAAGAAGCAGGACAACGATCTGGCCACTCAGAGGACATATTTCAAATGAAACTAAAGACTCTTCAGCCCAATAAATTCCAATAGATAAGTATAGAGTACGAGAGTTTTTGCTGTGGTTAAATTCAGGATCTCAAGCCTTAGTATTTTTGCACAATTAAATACTTCACAGTGACGGCTTCTGTCTGGACTCTTAAGGCACTCAATTTGTAATCACAACTCAGCTAGTATATTAATTACAACAATAAATATGTATTGATTATCCCATTTGTTAGGCACTGAGCTAAAACACTGCCTTTACATCATTATCTTGCCATTTAATATTTATTATTTTAAATTTGCATTTGTACATGCTTTTCTTAAAATTTAACATATGAGTTGTACAGCCCTTAAGTTAATTCTTGTCTCTGAATCTTGTCTCTGTATGTACCATGACCCTATTACAAGGTCTTATGTGCAGGAGGCATATTGCACATATTTCTGAGTTACTTAAATGAAAGATTCTCAGTTTAGCTAATCACAGTACTTCCACAGGAAAAGGCATAGCATACATTGTGGGCTCTTGGAGAAATGTATTGTTGTCAATAGTTGAATGATTCATGGAGGACCATTTCTGCTGTTATAGAGCGTCTTTCATTTATATCACACTGTGGTGGCTCCTAGGAGCAAGAGAACACCTGGCAGCAGAAACACCTGTACATATCTGTTGGAAGCCACAGACGTGCTTTAGGGCTGCAGTGACACTTGCCTAACTCAAAATCCACATCATCATGCAGCTGTGTTCTTGCTATTCCTGTAGAATGGAGAGTGGATAGCCAGGAGGCTGGAGGAAGCACTAAGTAACCAGACAAATGCTAAAGAAAACACCACAGATATCCAACTGTATTTAATTTTAAGCTGAAACAGTTTAACCAGGCATAACATGCTGGTCAAATTATGGGCACTAGGGGAAATGTAAGATGAAAGAATGCATATGGTTTGAGAATTTTAAGAATATTTTATGGAGTGCAATGGAGATAAAATAGAAATATTTATGCAATTAAAGCTTGAAACTACACAGCCCAAGCTATTACTTAGAGAAATCCAGACTTAATAGAATTTCTTCCTTTGAAATATTTTAATGACTCTAAGAATTGCCCTTCCAGTGTTTTATGGTAATTTTTATCAAATAATGCTAAGGCTGTTCACCTTCCAAACTTTTTGTATCAAGCAGGGCAGCAGACTGGCTCAGAGCAGCCCCAGGTGATGACCATTCAGACTATTGATTTTTTTTTTTTAGCTAGCACACTGAGGAATTTATCAGAACCTATTTGCAAAAACAAACAAACAAAAAAGCAAAAACAAACAAAAAAACCCAAAAAACAGAAAACAAAACCTCTCAGAATATTTTTTACTCTAATTACACAGTAAATTAAAGTATAAATATTAGGAAAAGTATTTGTGAAAATTTATAGCTGAAATGAAATTGCATTTACATTATGGAAAAAGTAAAGTGGATTTAATTGTTTAAAGAAAAATGATTAACCGCCGGGCGAGGTGGCTCACACCTGTAACCCCAGCACTTTGGGAGGCCAAGGCTGGTGGATCACAAGGTCAGGAGATCAAGACCATCCTGGCCAACATGGTGAAACCCCGTCTCTACTAAATACAAAAAATCAGCCAGGCATGGCGGCGCACACCTGTAGTCCCAGCTACTTGGGAGGCTGAGGCAGGTGAATCGCTTGAACCCAGGAGGTGGAGGTTGCAGTGAGCCGAGATCATGCCACTGCACTCCAGCCTGGTGACAGAGCAAGACTCTATCTCAAAAAAAAAAAAAAAAAAAAAAAAGAAGAAAAGAAAAAAGAAAAATGATTAATTGAGCAGACTGATATATTAGTAGGTAAGAGTTGTCTGGACCTTTAAAAATAGTGACTGACACTCAGGGGATAAAGGGAACATTATAATGGAAAGTTCTAACTCGTTATTTAGTGGGCAAACACCGTGGTTCTTCAGTTTATGGGCTTGGAGTCACCACCATACTGCTCTTTTCCTCTTAACTATCTTTTCTGTGGTATGTTTCTTTCTTACCTGCTTTTCCCTCCTACCCCCGCCCCCCACATCAACTGTCCATGGTAAAAGGAAGTCCTTTGGGCAAATTCAGAAAAACAAATGGACTTGAGGAAAAGACTGCGCTGTATCTGTGCTATTTACAATGACCCACTCAGTATCAACAAATAACCTGTTTCTCTGAAAGGAAATTAGCAAGTAAGAAGTGATTTAAATAAGAAGAAACTGATAGTGGTGTGTCTTTTTAGTACATTAAAGTTTTTCTTTTTTTTTTAATAAAGTTGTCCACGTAAAATAGTTAAAAGTGACTAATGATCCCACCCCAGAAAAATACCCAGTAGCGTTATACATTGGATCTATTTATTTTTATCAGTGAAAAAGCTCCCTTAGTTTCTATCACAACATATCTACAATTCTTTCTGTCCAAAATGGTAAGCTAAGCCATCCTGTCCTGAATATAACCAAAACGGTACTTCAGTGGTTTGAAATCTGACCAACATTAGGATTTATCCAAAGTACAAATATAAGATTTTATCTATCAATACTTCGCTAGTAAGAGATAATGGCCATTCATTTTAATAACAACTTTTAGTTAAGCAGTCACAATTTAGAATAAACTTCTTTTTTTGTACTAATGTGTCACATACCTGGGGGAAGAAACCTCTTTGCTTTGTCTTTTCCAAACAAAATGACACTAATTGCTTTCCTCAGAGGTCCTATTTTTTTCCTTAATTATTTTAGTTTATCTTCTCCAAAAACCTTTAAACCTCCTTACAGCAAGTGAAGACTATATTTAACACACTGCTTCATTAAATCACTAACACTGCAAAATATGCAGAATGCCTATTTAACCAGGGTTATTTGACCTTAGAAAATAACGATCTTGTCAATAAAATTTAGTCAATATATGTGTGTGTGTATATATAAATTTCTAAAAATCATTACCATTTTGCCTACTTATATTTAACTAGTGTTTCTCTGCAATAAGTACAACTTTTCTGCTCTGTTTTAGCAAAATCAGTGTATGTTTGAGAATATTTATGTTTTTAAAAATCCCCATGGCACTACTTTGTTTCACCTCTGCTTGATTTGAGTTTATATTTATTGAAGCATTTTTTTTTAACAGAATTTTGCTCTGTCACCAGGCTGGAGTGCAGTGGCGTGATCTTGGCTCACTGCAACCTCCGCCTCCCGGGTTCAAGTGATTCTCTTGCCTCAGCCTCCTGAGTAGCTGGGACTACAGGCACGTGCCACCATACCCAGCTAATTTTTATACTTTTAGTAGAGACGGAATTTCACTATCTTGGCCAGGATGATCTCCATCTTTTGACCTTGTGATCCACCTGCTTTGGCCTTCCAAAGTGCTGGGATTACAGGCATGAGCCACTACACCTGGCCTATTACAAAATGTAATTTTTAAACAAAAAATTCACCATGGAACAGAGGTACCATGCTGATCTGAGGTCATTTGCAAATTTAGAATGTGTTGAACTCTTATCATCTGTATATCATCTCTATAAACGTTAAAATTAAAGAAGACATTGCTCTTCAGATTTGTGAAATCTTGGGAAACTTTATCTAGACTTTTTTAGGTTATAAACCATGTGTATTTCTCCCCTACTTTCCTAGAGACTGACTTCCTTTGCAAAAGAGGATAAGTCAATTCATTATTTTTCATTATGCATTGAGCATGGGTAGAATGTACAACAGTATCCATTTCCTCCAGCTCTCTGTCCTCTTTCCCAAATGAGGTCACACTGAGAGTTTCTGGTAACACCCAGAGAGTGTATGTTTTCCTGGGAAAGTTTTTACATTGCTGTCCAGTGAGAGAATTTGAACTTCTCATGTAACACATCTCTCGATCTACACAAATCACCCTTTTCCCTGTTGATAAGCCAGTCACAGTTATTTGCCCATCTAATTCTACAAAGGCATAAATGAGTGGTTTCCAAACACCGTGAAATCTATAGGGGCTTGAAAAGATATACAATCCATGTGGTCAAATTATACAAGAACTAGTTTTGTCAACTCAGTGTATACAGCAAAACATACCATGTTTTGAGGATTCAAGCCAGGAAAAACAAGAAGAGAGTTCCAATAAGCGATTTATATTTGCAAATATATTTATGTTTTATCTGTATATATTAGAACTGAGAATGCCCACGTAGGACAGAGTAAGGCCTTACTAAAATACAACACTGTTGCATCTGCTTCTCATACATCAATGTGATCCATCACACTGTAATAGAGGAAGATGAATTTATCTGGTATATTATGCATTTCAGAGCCCATAACCTATGTTGTCCTCTCTACCTATTCTTTTACTGCTTTCTCTTTCTATTCTCCATTTGTTTCCACTCCACACTACAGAACGGCCCCTTCCCTCAAAGATGTCAGCTGTCATCTCCAAAACCTGAAATATAATGAGATACCACTCTTGTGATTGTGTTATGTTGCATGGCATAGCTAAGCATAGCTAACCTTAAGATGAGAAGTTTATTCAATGAGCTTATTCTATGACATGAGCACTCAAAAGCAGAAAGCGTCCTCTAATTGGTGGCTGCAAGGGAAAACAGAGAGATTCAAACTCTAAGAAGGACTTGATGAGCTGTTTCCAGTTTGAAGACAAAGGGGACCATAAGAGAAGAAATGTGGGTGATTTCTAGGAGCAGACAGCAGCCCTCAGATGACAGCAAAAAAAGAAAAAGGGACATCAGATACACAATTGCAAGGGACTAGATGCTGCCAACAACCTGAATAAGCTTGGAAAAGGATTCTTCTCCAAAGGCTCCAGGAAAGAGCCCAGGCTGGGTAACATCTTGATTTTAGCCTTGTGAACTTTGAGCAAAAAACCCAGCTGAGTCCATTCAGCCTTCTAACTTACAGAACTATGAGATAATATATGTGTATTGTTTTAACCTGATCTGATAACCTTGTGGTAATTCATTACCCAGCAATAGAAAACAAATACATACAGACTTTGTCTAAAGTCGGTCAGTAGTACCAATAAATACAGAGGGGCTTCAATGTGGACTTCCCAGGGCCATGAGGTTGCTGGCTCCAAAAAGAAAAGATAGAGAACCTTAGTTTATGTGTCCACCTAATGGCATGGGTGTCATGTTAATTAGTTAAGTAGTTCATAGCCCAAACTGCTAAGAGATTTACAGTTGCCCAGGGTTGCCGCAGTCTCCTAAACTAACTCAACCAGGGCTCTGACGTGTTTTTTTGTGTGTTGGTGTGTATGTGTTCCAGTGTGTTTTGTGGGAATAGTTATACTTAATAGCTACAGTAAAAAGCAGCTAGCCCCTATTACATATGAGGCTTTCACAGTATGTAGGATTAATTGTTTAAAAACTATGGGGGTCATCCCTAAATTTGTGTGGCCACATTTACAGATTCTTTATGTTTATATCCTAATATGGTTGGCTGTGTCCCCAACCAAATATCACCTTGAATTGTAATAAGCCCCACATGTCAAGGGCAGGGCCAGGTGGAGATAATTGAATCGCGAAGGTGGTTTCCCCCATACTGTTCTCGTGGTAGTAAATAAGTCTCATGAGATCTCATGGTTTTATAAATGAAAGTTCCCTAACACGAGCTCTCTTGCCTGCCACCATTTAAGACGTGACTTTGCTCCTCATTTGCCTTCCACCATGATTGAGAGGCCTCCCCAGCCACATTGAACTGAGTCAATCAATCCTCTTTCTATTATAAATCACCCAGTCTTGAGTATGTCTTTATTAGCAGTGTGATAACAGACTAATACATATCCCTTTGTAGTTTGTGATCCAAAAAACCCTAAACACCTTGGGAATAAGAACTATGTTGTATGTATTGTCATATCCCTAGTTTGCCTGTGGTGGGTACTAAATAAACAATTATTGAATTAATGATGTTCATAAAGATAAGTAAATCATAGGAGTTAGAATATAGGATCTGGAGTCAAATTCTGCATAATATTGGTTCATAAGAAGTGATTGGTAAATGCTACTAATGAATTACCTATTATAAACTTGCAGTATTTTTCCATTAACTAAACTTTAACACTGTAGTAGTCCATTCTCACACTGCTATAAACAACTACCTGAGACTGAGTAATTTATGAAGAAAAGAGGTTTAACTGACTCACAGTTCTGCAGGCTATGCAGGAAGCATGGTTGGGAGGCATCAGGAAACCTACAATCATGGTGGAAGGCAAAGGGGAAGCAAGCACATCTTCACATGGTGGGAGGAAAGAGTGAAAGCAAAGAGGGAAGGGCCACACACTTCCAAACAACCAGATCTCCTGAGAAGTAACTCACTATCATGAGAACAGGAAAGGGGAAGTCCGCCCCCATGATTCAGTCACCTCCCACCAGGTCCTTCCTTCAACACATGGATATTACAATTTCACCTGAGATTTGGGTGGGGACGCAGAGCCAAACCATATCAACCACATCATGCTAAGCTCTCCATGGTCTAGCCTACAATACATTTCCAGTTTCCTCTCTCTCTACTTTCTCCATGTGCCTGTTAGCATTCCATGAATACACATCTCTGTGCTTTTGCTTATGCTTTTTCTCAGACTAGAATATTCTTTTCCTTCCAATCCATATCTTACTTTTTAAGTCAGGGGTCGACAAACTGTGGCCCAGAGCCAAATCCAGGTTTCCACCTGTTTTTTTATGATTTTGTCTCTTGGCCTATAGAGTCTTAAATATTTACTATCTAGACCTTTACCACCCCCCCAAAAAAATTTTGCTCACTCTTGATTTAAGATCAGTTCAAATGCTACCTTCTTTAAGAGCTTACCTAAATTTTTCTGGGTGGTGGGACGTGAGGTGGGGGAAGATACTTCTCTTAAGTTTCCAGTAGATGTCTTATAACCATTTTAAGCACTCATTACACATTTGCTTACTTATGTCTACATATAAAATGCTCAGACATGATTCTCCAGGTTTTGGCAGGACATTGTTTCACATGTCATTCTTGACAATGAACAATTAAACATACATCAGTATTAGGTAATAACAGAAGTAATAAATACAGAGTTCATGTTTCAGGAAGATGGAAATTTCATTAAGACTCTATTTCCACTATCAATTATTAAATAAATTCACCTAAGTATTTTCTTCCTCTAATCTATTCAACAGGAAACCTCAGAGAAAGAGCATGTTCTTTGTTATGCATGAATGGATTTTGAAATAACATGCACCAAAACCTTTTTTTTGTATGCTGAAGATTTCCTTAAGATTATATCAGAATAATTATGTCACAAGACTTTTTGTTTTGAGAGAAGCTTAACTCTACACAAATGGTAAATTGTTAGAGAATAAAAGTATGCCAAACATTTGAAAGTGATTTTTACTTTTAGATCTGTAATAACAACTGTCTAGTGCTATTTTGTATTCAATGAATTTGTAATATTTACTTATTATTTTGAAGTTATTTAAATATTAACTCTCTCCTGATAAGTCACATTGCCTGTGTATAATAGTACAGCATGTGTTTTCTTGTTCTGTGTGCTGACTCTTAGAGATTTCTCATGAGATCTCAATACGACAATGGCAGAACCTGAGAACAAATCCTATAGAAATGGGTCTTGATCTCCCATTTCTGCATGAAAGACTTCTGTGATCTGTTGCCATTGTATACTGGTACCAGAGAGAGAGAGAGGGAGAGAGAGAAAGTGGAATTTTCAGAGGTTATTTTCAACTCAGAACATTTACTCTAAGTTAAAAGGAATTCTTCAATCTCTCTTTGTTGGGTCAGTAACCGAGTATAATTAAACATAGCTACATTTACCTTCATATATACAACTAAGCAGCAATAACAATATATCATTATTGTAATGACACCAGGTTATTTGATAGCATGTGATACTCATATAAGACAGTTAATATATTCCTAATATATTGGGCCATTAGGTAAAGCAAAGGAATGCAGTAAAGACTGAAGAAAAACAGTTGCTTCCAGCTTTACGTTCTTACAGCACTTAAATAAGCTACAGAGTTTGACCTTTTACATATTACATGCTATTTAGCTCATTGCTATTATAGATCTTTAGTTTGATTGTGGGCTGGCAGCACACGGGCATTATCTTATATTTCTTAGAATCACTTAAGCCTAGAATAATTTCTGGCACATGGTAGTAATTTGGAAGGTCTTTAGAGAATTCAGCATGGCTAAAGCTTTTCCACACTTCTCCATGGTCAAAAATAATGTAATAAAGTTACCTCATATGTCAATAAAAATGCTTCATAATTGTTTCTATGATTGTATAGTTAAAAATGATTTTTTTGTGTGAAGATATGTATGAGCCAAAAACTTATGATTTTGGTAGTTCATTTGTAATTCTATAGCGAATCTTTTACATAATTTAGGATCCAGTTGTTCAGGAATATTCTTGAGGGCTATGTTTCAATATATGATATCTACAAAAGTATGAAAGAAGCTAGCAAGAAATTTTGGCATATGCTGCTACCATGAAGGGAAATTTTCCTTTCCTCTTCATTGGATCAAGTCTTATTCATTCCTCGCCTAGGTTCAAATGTCACCTCTTCAGCAAAGCCATCTCTGACCTTCCTGAAAAGGTTAAATTCTCCTGTCAGGTACTCTCGCAGCACTGGGTAATTCTCCCTCATGGAAACTAACTCAGTTGCCAATTTTCATCCCATCAGCATGACTGTTTATTTGATGTCTGCCTCCCCTACTAGACGTTCAGCTCTACCAGAGCAAGGGTTGTGTATGCTTTTGTACTCATTCTCCCATATAATATCTGATACGTAGGAGGCATTCCACCAATATTCAGTAAGTGACTGAGTAAATAAACAGAAGAGCCTGTGAACTCACTGAGGCTCTGTCAGCAGGTAGGTACGTATAACTAAAGCCACACTCTACCCTCCAAAACTCTGAGAAGAATCACACCATGAGTAGCATTCAGAGATAGCATATTGAAAAACATGAATAATTACTTATTGTCTTGAAAAATGCATGCTTTCATGTAAAGGAGGACTGCTAAGTTTTTGAAACACTTATGAAGGACTAACACTGCCCAAAGGTATACTGACCATTTTTTATTGGTAAAATGTTCTGTATGCATGTCCAAGATTAATTCTGAAATATGGATACTATAAAATGTAAGAGAGAAGTATCTTAGTGCATAATTTTTGAAACAGGATTTAAAAAATAAAACTTTTATTTTAGGTTCAGCAGTACATGTGAAGGTTTGCTACATAGGTAAATTTGTGTCATGGGGGTTTCTGGTACAAATTATTTCATCAACCAGGCATTAAGCCCAATACCCAATAGTTATCTTTTCCACTCCTCTCCCTCCTCCCACCCCACCCCCAAGTAGGCCTCAGTGTCTGTTGTTCCCTTCTTTGTGTTCCTGAGTTCTCATCATTTAGCTCCCACTTATAAGTGAGAACATACGATACCTGGCTTTCTGTTCCTGTGTTAGTTTGCTAAGGATAATAGCCTCCAGCTCCATCTGCAAAATACACAATCTTTTTTTTAATGGCTGAATAGTATTCCATGGTGTATATGTTCTACATTTTCTTTATCCAATCTGTCATTGAAGGGAATTTGTGTCGATTCCATGTCTTTGCTATTGTGAAGAGTGCTGCAATGAACATTTGTGTGCATGGGTGTTTACGGTAGAATGATTTATATTCCTCTGGCTATATGCTCAGTAATGGGATTGCTGGGTCAAGTGGTAGTTCTGCTTTTATCTCTTTGAGGAATTGTCATACTGCTTTCTACAATGGTTGAGTTAATTTACACTCCCACCAACAGGGTAGAAGTGTTCCCTGTTCTCTGCATCCTCACCAGCATCTGCTATTTTTTGGCTTTTTAATAATAGTCATTCTGACTGGTGTGAGATGGTATCTCATTGTGGTTTTGATTTGCATTTCTCTAATGATCAGTGATATTGAGCTTTTTTTCATATTCTTCTTGGCCACAAATATGTCTTCTTTTGAGAAGTCTGTTCATGATCTTTGTCCACTTTTTAAAGTTTTATTCTTCTGTAAATTTGTAAAACAGGATATTAAAGAAAAATGTTTTGTTTCCCACAAACTTCATAGTTATTTTTCATTTTAATTAGGAAAATTACAAAGCAGTGAAATTTGAGTTTGTGATATGGGGGAAAGAGCCGAGACTTAATAATCTAAACTGGTATGTTCAAAACTACACATTAGCAGTGTATTCTTGGGAAAAATCTAAACTTTTGAAGCCTTTAACTTACCTTCCTGAAAATGGGAATGATAATAATACCATTTAGCAAGACTTTTATGATGATTACATGAGATATTTTGAAAAACAAGTATACAGAAGCAGCCCTCAACCTTTTTTGCCACCAGGGACCAGTGTTAGAAAGACTTGGACGGGGTGGTGGAGAGTGTGGGGGGAGGGGTAGTGTGGGGGATTGTTTCAGGATGAAACTGTTCCACCTCAGATCATCTCAGATCATTGGGCATTAGTTAGATCCTCTCATGAGGAGCACACAACCTGGATCCCTTACATGTGCAGTCCACAAGAGGTTTCACGCTCCTATGAGAATCTAATGCCACCACTGATCTGACAGATGCAGAGCTCAGGCAGTAATGGTCGCTCATCTACCACTCATCTCTAGCTGTCCTGCTGTGTGGTCCAGTTCCTAACAGGCCACGGACTGTCACTTGTCCATGGCCCGGGGGCTGGGGACCCCTGTTGTACAGTAATAGTGCACTTTAGATACTTTATAAACACAAGTTCCAATTTTGACACTTTCATAACAAATATTTATAAAAAGCTGCTTTTCTTTATAAAGCATACACATTTTTAAAAGTATTTAAAAGCTGTAGATTGTTTGAATGAAGGTAGATGGATGTCAAGCAATCTGAATCTGGATAAAACCTTCTTTCATTTTTTGAATTAACGTAGCTGCAGATACCATTGAGCGGTAAGGCCTTACTTTATGCCAAAGGCCTTACTTTTTCTCATCTAATCCTCATGGAAACCCAGAGTTATAATTCCATTTCACTTGGGGGAAACTGAGGCTTAAGGGAAAAGCCTAACTAAGCTCTCGATTTAGAAGGTATGATGTTGAACCTAGTAAAACTATGCCACCTAACTACATATTCCTGTTGTTTATTGTGTTTATACAGATACTGTGATGAACTCAACAGAAATTATTGATTGACATTTCTATTAAGTATGGTACTGGAAGTCCTAGTCAGATAAATTAGGCAAGAGAAAGAAATAAAAAGCATCCAACTTGGAATGGATGAAATTAAGTTGTCTTGTTTGCAAAGGACATGATCTCAGATTTCACTAAAAAACTATTAGAACTAATAAATTAATTCAGTAAAGTTGTAGTATACAAAAATCAACATACAAAAATCAGTAGCAGTTCTATACATGAACAATGAACTATCCAGAAAAGAAATCAAGAAAACAATCTCACTTACAATAGCTTCAATAAATACATTTAACCAAGGAGGTGAAAGATCTGTACACTGAAATCTATAAAACACTGATGAAAGAAACTGAAGATGACATAAATCAATAGAAATATATAGGGTCAATGCAATCTCTATCAAAATTCTAATGACATTTTTCACAGAAGTGGAAAAAAAATCCTACAATTTGTGTGGAACTACAGAAGAGCCCAAATAGCAGAAGGTATCTTGAGTAAAAAGAAAAAAGTTGAAGGCATCACACTACTTGACTTCCAAATATACGGCAAAGCTATAGTGACAGAAATAGCAAGGTACTGACCTAAAAACAGATACATGGACCAATGGAACAGAATAGACAGCCCAGAAATAAACCCACACATTTATGGTCAATTGGCACAAAAGTGCCAAAAACATACAATGAAGAAAGAACAGTCTCTTCAATAAATTATTTTGGTACAACTGGCCATCCACATGCAGAAGAATAAAATTAGACCCTTAAATCAACACCATATACAAAAACCAATTCAAAATGTATTAAAGACTTAGTTCTAAGATCTGGAACTCTAGAACTACCGGAATAAAACATAGGAAAAAAGCTCCATGACCTTAGTGTGAGCAATGATTTTTTTTTTTTGAAATGACCCTAAAAACACAAACAAAAGCAAAAATAGAAAAATGGATGAAATCCAAAAAAAAAGCTCATACATAACAAAGGAAACAATCATTAGAGTGAAGAGACCTATGGAATAGGAGAGAATATTTACAAACCATACATTTGATATGTGTTTAATATTCAAAATATATAAGGAGCTCAAACAACTCAATAGCAAGTAAATAAATAATCCAATCATTTCAAAATGAGAAGAGGCTCTGAATAGAAATTACTCAAAAAAAAACATAGAAATGGCCAACAGGTATATGAAAAAATGTCCAACATCACTAATCATCAGAGAAAGGCAAATTAAACCCACACGAGATACCACCTCCTACCTATTAAAATGGTTTTTATAAAAAAGATGAAAGATAATAAGTGTTGGTAAGAATGGGGAGAAAAGGAAAACCTTGCACACTGTTGGTGGTTATGTAGATTGGTACAACCATTATAAAAAATGGTATGGAAGTTCTTCAAACAACTAAAAGTAGAATGACCATATGATCTAGCAATTTCACTCCTATATATATATCCAACAGAAATGAAATCAGTATGTCAAACAGATATCTGCACTCCCTTGGTCACTGAGCATTATTCACAATAGCCAAGATATGGAATCAACAGATGAATGGGTAAAGAGAATGTGGTATATATACACAATGGAATACTATTCAGCCTTAAATTGAAGGAAATTCTTGTCATTTGCAACAAATGGATAAGCCTGGAGGACATTATATTAAATGAAATAAGTCAGGCACAGAAAGACAAGTATTACATGGTCTCAATTATGTGTGGAATATAAGAAAGCTGAACTCATAGAAGCAGAGAGTAGAATGGTGTTTACCAGGAACAGGGGAAGGGGAGGAGCAGGATTAGGAGATGTTGATCAAAGACAAAATTTCAATTAGACAGGAGGAATAAATTGAAGAGATCTACTGTACAATTAGGTGACTACAGTTAATAATAATTTATTTTATTATTGAAAATTGCTAAGAGAGTAGATTTTGTGTTCTCACAAGAAAAAATAGGTATGTGAAGTAATGCATACATTAATTAGCTTGAGTTAGTCATTTCCTAATGTATACGTATTTCAAAACATCATGTACATAATGAATTTATATAATTTTATACACACATGCATTTTATCAATTAAAAAATAAATTGATCAATTAAAAAGTTTATTATTCCTCTTTTCAATGTAATAAATATTTTTAAAGATATTGATGAAATTTTAATATTTTTAAAGCATCGAGATTCAAAGTCAGACAGATCAAGGTTTTAATCCCAGCTCTGCCATTTATTTGTGGTGAAATCTTGGACAATCTAAAGCTTCATCTGCAAAATGAGGATAATAATATCTGGCTCATAGAATTATTGTGGTCTGGCCGGGCGTGGTGGCTCACGCCTGTAATCCCAGCACTTTGGGAGACTGAGGTGGGCGGATCACGAGGTCAAGAGATCGAGACCATCCTGGCCAACAAGGTGAAACCCCATCTCTACTAAAAATAAAGAAAAAAAAAAATTAGCTGGGCGTGGTGGCGCGCGCTTGTAGTCCCAGCTACTTCGGAGGCTGAGGTAGGAGAATTGCTTGAACCTGGGAGGCGGAGGTTGCAGTGAGCCGAGATGGTGCCACTGCACTCCAGCCTGGTGATAGAGCAAGACTCCGTCTCAAAAAACAAAAAACAAAAAACGAATTATTGTGGTCATATTTTGAGATAGCATATCAATTCGTAGCATAGTTCCTGATACATCGATAGTTCTCAAAAATACTTGTCTTTAATAATGATAATAACAATGACATCTCTAGTATACATCTCTCATAGGAACAGCTCCCTGATCAACTATTTGGCACAAATAACAACAATATAATACATTTTAAAAAGATACAACTATGTACATCTACAATCACTTAAAATTATTACTTTATGTGTCAAGCCCTTCAAAAAGATTCCATTGTACTGTATATAAATTTTGTAAAACATGAAAGTCAAGCATATTTTAAATGTTCTCTTTTGAAATTTGAAAGATCTGTGTGGATAGCTAGTCTGTTGTAAATACTGTCTTGGAAGTAAAACATGATGCCTGTTTTTCTAGAGAAACAGAAGCACAAACAATAAATCCACTGACTTGTTTCTATACAACCTTCATGTTAGTCTTCTAAACATTCTATAAAAAGACTATATAGATCATAAAGTCTGTAAAGACCATAAAATAGTGGTATGTATATATACACACATGCACAACATAATACATGAGGAGTAAGGGTATAGAAATGTGTCTCAAATTCAGTTTTCTGTTGCTCTATCTCCTTGACTTCCCCTAACTTTCTTATCCATCATTTTTTGTAAGAAAATAAATCATAAATCGAAAGCATATAGAGAATATGAGGAAGCATGAAAAGTCATTACGCTGATTTAGTGAAAATGATGAGAAAGGAGAGATGAGCATAAAAGTAGCAAAGTAACTATTCTCCTTTCCACTTCTATGAGACTGCACCCAGGGTATGTTATTAGGACACTACATTTTGGTTGACATGTTTGATGATATGGTAGAAAACAAAGTTTTGGTCATATGGTAGAAAACAAAGTTTTGCAATATAAGCATATTGCATCAATGATTAATTTTGAGGCATATTTGCTGTGGAGCATCAAAGGAGAGTAGAAAAATACAAAGGAAAAATGCAGAGATTTGTTTGGCTAGATTTAGTTTAAAAGAAATACTGATTATTGCAAGCTCAAGCATTGCAAATTCAAATGACTACAGATAAGAAAAATGAGAAATGGGCTAAGAAGGGACCATGGCAATTTAGAAAGCATGTCTCCTTTAAAGGTGCTAAGGCAGCTTTAGCAGATTGCTGCTAGAAAATGGGATTCTTATGCAAAACTGCCACTTAAATATACTTTATTATTTAGAGCAGTTTTAGATTCACAACAAAATGGAGCAGAACGTACACACAAGTACAGCCTCCTCCACTATCCACAACCTGCACCAGATTGGTACATTTGTTATAATGGATGAACCTACATTGATGTACCATCATCATCCAAAGTCCATAGTTTACTGTTAGTGTTCACTCTTGGTGTATGTACACTTTACAAGTTTTGAAAAGCTATAATGAAATATATCCAGCGCTATAGTTTCATAGAGAATAGTTTCACTGCACTAAATAACCTCTGTTCTCCACTCTATTCATCTTCCCCCTTTCCCTGAGCCCTTTGCAACCACCGATTGTTTGACTTTCTTCATGGTTTTTCCTTTTCCAGAATGTTTTACAGCTGTCATCTCACAGTATGTAACCTTTTCAAATAGGCGTTTTCACTTAGTAATATGCATTTAAGTACCTTCTTAAACCATGTCTTTTCATGGCTGAAAGCTTTTTATTACTATTTATTTATTCAGCTTTTTATTGCTGAATAATATTCCATCGTATGGATGCACTACAGTTTATTTATCTGTTTACCTACATAAAAAATATTTTGTCTGCTTCAAGTTTTGGCAATTATGAATAAAGATGCTATAAACAACTGTGTACAGGTTTCTGTGTGGACATATGTTTTCAACTCATTTGGGTATATACCAAAATGTGTGATTGCTGGATATATGTAAGTGTATGTTAGAAACTGCCAAACTGTCTTCCAAAGTGACTGTACCATTTTCCATTCTCATTTAGGTTTACGATCTCCACAGTAATTAATTCAAAATGAATCATAGAACTAAATATAAAAGGCAAACTATAAAACTCATAGAAGATAACAAATAACAAATTCTAGATGGCTTTGGTATTACAGACTGGAAGTTTGTGGCATTCCTACAAATATATAAGTTGAAATAATCATAACCCCCAATGTTATGGCATCAGGGTGTGGGGATTTTTGTAGGTGATTAGGTGATGAGGGTGGGGATCTCAGGAATTAGATTATTGCCTATATAAATGATACCCTGGAGAGCACCCTCATTCCTTCTGCCATGGGAGCACACAAGAAGAAGACGGCCAACTATAAACCAGGAAGGGGGTGCTTACCAGACACCAAATCTACTGGTACAGGCTCAGCTTTTTTTTTTAATTATTGTTATTTTTTTATTTGTGTGGACATCCAGTTTGTCTGGCATCATTTGTCAAAAAGACAATGTTTTTCTCCATCATATTGTTTTTGCTCCTTTGTTAAAGGATAGGTGACTATATTTGCATGGGTCTAATTCTGAGTTCTCTATTTCATTGCATGGATCTGTTTGTTTATTCTTTTGTCAATATCACAGTCTTGATTACTATAGCCTTACAGTATGTCTTAAAGTTGGGTAATGTCAGTCTTAGGACTTTTGTCTTCTCCTTTAATATTGAATATGATGTTCTGGGTCTTTTACTTTTCCATATAAACCTTAGAATTAGTTTGTTGATATTTATATCAACAAATAACTTGCTGGAATTTTGATTGAGATTGTGCTGGTTTCACAGATCAAGTTGGCAATCTTCCTGTCTATGAACATGGGGTTTCTCTTCGTTTATTTAGCTCCTCTTTGATTTCTTTTGTCAGAGTTTTATAGTTTTCCTCATGTAGAGGTTGTATATATTTTGTTAGATTTATAACTAAGCATTTCATTTTTGTGGTGTTAATGTAATTAGCATTATATTTTAAATTTCAAATTCCAATCATTTATTCTTGGTACATAGGAAAGTGATTAACTTTTGTACATTAGCCTTGTATTTTACAACCTTACTATAATTGCTTATTAGTTCCAGGAGGATTTTTTAGTTAATTCTTTTGAATGCTCTACACAGACAATAATGCCATCTGCAAAGAGAGTTTTATTTCTTCCTTCCCAATTTTAAAGCTTTTATTTCCTTTTCTTGTCTTGTTGCATTAGTTAGGATTTCCAGTACAAGCCAAAAAAGAATGACATGAGGAGACACCCTTGCCTTGTTTCTAATCTTAGAGGGAACAACTACTAGTTTCTTGAAATTAAGTATAATGGCAGCTTTAGATAATTTTAGATGTTCATCAAGTTGAGGAAGTTACCTTCTATTGCTAGTTTGGTGAGAGTTTTTATCATGAGCAAGTGATAGATTTTTACAAATGCTTTCTCTGTATCTGTTGATTTGATCATTTAACTTTTCTTTTTTAGCTTGTTGATGTGATGGATTCCATTAATTGATTTTCAAATGTTAAAGTAGCCTTGCATATTGCATACTGGAATATAGTCTACTTGATAGTGGCATATAATTCTTTTTTTTTTTTTTTTGAGACTCAGTCTCGCTTTGTCACCCAGGCTGGAGTGCAGTAGCACAATCTTGGCTCACTGCAACCTTTGCTTCCCAGGTTCAAGCAATTCTCCTGCCTCAGCCTCGTGAGTACCTGGGATTACAGGCATGCGCCACCACACCTGGCTAATTTTTGTATTTTTAGTAGAGACGAGGTTTCACTGTATTGGCCAGGCTTGTGTCAAACTCCTGACCTCAAGTGATCCAGCCCAGCTCAACCTCCCAAAGTGCTGGGATTACAGGCATGAGCCACTGCGCCTGGCCAATAGTGGCATGTAATTCTTTTCATACATTGTTGAATTGAATTTGATAATATTCTGTTGAAGTATTTTTTATCTATATTCATAAAAGATATTGGTCTCTAGTTTTTTTTCTTGTAATATCTTCATCTGGTTTTAGTATTAGGGTAATGATGGCTTCATAGAATATTAGAAGGTATCCCTGCTACTTCTATCTTCTTGAAGAGATATAGAGAATTGTTATAATTTCTTCCTTAAATTTCTGGTAGAACTCACCATTGAACTCATCTAGGCCAGGTATTTTATCTTTTGGAAGATTATTTTCTTTTTAATATCCAAGGAATGTGTAGTGATGTCTCCTCTTCCCTTTCTGATATTAATAATTTGTGTTTTCTGTTTTTATGTAGTTAGCCTGCCTAGAGGGTTATCAATTGTATTGCTCACTTTAAAAAACCAGCTTTTTGTTTCATCGGTTTTCCTCTATTAATTTCCTATTTTCATTTCATTGATTTCCACTCTAATTTCGTTATATCTTTTCTTAGGCTTACTTTGGATTTCATTTGCTCTTCTTTTCTGGTTTCCTAAAATGGATAATTAGATTATTGATTTTACTTATTTCTTCTTTTCTAATATAAGCATTCAATGCTACACATTTCCCTCTAAGTACTGCATTCTCTGCATCCCACACATTATGACAAATTCTGTTTTAATTTCCATTTAGTTCAAAGTCTTTTTAATTTCTCTTAAAATTTCTTGTTTGACCCATGTGTTATTTAATCCTCAAGTACTTGAGGATCTTTCAGTTATCTTTCTGTCATTAATTTCCAGTTTAATTTCTTTGTGGTCTGAGAGTATCCATTGTACAATTCCTTTTATTTTAAATGTGAAGGTATGCTTAATGGCATAGAATGTGTTCTATTCTGGTGAATGTCCCATGTGAACTTTAGAAGAATGTGTATTCTGCTGTTGTTGAATAAGTATTCTGTAGACATTAATTATATTCAATTGGTTGATGCTGCTGTTGATTTCAACTATACCATTCTGGAATTTCTGCCTGTTAGATTTGTTCAAAAACTCCTAATTTTTCAGTTTAGAAATTAATTCAGTTATTTTTTATACACTGTCAAACAAACAAAAAACACCTGCTTGAAATATTACAATGTGTTAAATCTAACACAACCTTTAAAATGGTATATGTCGAAATAAACACCATGAGAAGTTAAACTATCTGTTTATCATACAGCTACTTCAAGGTGGGACTGAGAAAAAGACTTAATTTATTAGATACCAGTAGACCCCAGTATTGTCTCCTCTATACCACGCTTCCCAGTGATTGTTAACAACAAGTTCTGTACAATAAGATAGCCCTTTATTTGACAAGGAATCTATCTTACAGTAACTTTTAAAATATTTGATTTATTATTATTTTGAAGAAACTACCACACATTAAAATTATTTTCAAAATGTTTTGAAGAATGATACATTCCAATGCAAGATTCAATGTGACAATATTACGATTCCAGTGCCCTAACCGTACAGTGTTATAGCTCAGTTGCTACCTCCTGCCTGCCAATAGAGAAGTGCTCTGTCAATGCAAACTCTTTGGGTCTTCACCTGTTAGGAAAAATAAAATCAATTTTTATCCCTCAAATTTTCAGGAGGTTACCAAAACAGTTCATTCCTGTTTTCAACAGGAATTTGGAAAGGTAGAGAATTCAGTGTGGAAGAAAGATCATAGCAAGAAAGAAAGTTTATAAAAGATAAAACAGATGTTAAACAGAAAGTGGGGTATTGCATCTTTAATAAAATACAGTGAAAAAAATAAATATGGTTGGGAATCTTTAATTTTTTGAGAGCGTTATTTATATTTATGAACATGAAAGGTCATTGTATGTAATAGAAGATTATTTATGAAAGTGTCTGTAAGGCGTAAAAACCCTAAACGTTTCCCTATATCCAAATGAGGTGTGTCAGTTGTTGATATCGTTGATACCTTGGAGGCTCAATGTCTGTGGTATAGACAGGGATCTGTGAATTCTGATACATAAAAAATGTCTCGGTAAGAAGCTATTTTAGGTAATGAAAATATCATAAACTTCATGGGATAAAGGTCATGTAATATTGAGAAGGAGATACTACACATTTAGAAAAGGAAATGAGAAGAAAGAGCAATCCAATGACACTGACAGATGTTTCCAAAGAACTATTGCATCATCTCTTTTTCAGAGTCTGCAGAGGTTATAACAGGTCCTGATGTTGGGTTTTTTAAATTATTTTTTATTTTTTGTTTTTTTAAATAAGGGAGCAATTCCAAACTCTCATATTATTGTTGTATGATGCTTTTTTCAACTTTAAAGAAAATTAAGCTGGGCGCAGTGGCTCACGCCTCTAATCCCAGCACTTTGGGAGGCAGAGGTGGGTGGATCATGAGGTCATGAGTTCAAGACCAGCCTGGTCAAGATGGTGAAACCCCGTCTCTACTAAAAACTACAAAAATTAGCCGGGCATGGTGGCGCGCACCTATTGTCCCAGCTACTCGGGAGGCTGAGGCAGGAGAATCGCTTGAACCCAGGAGGTGGAGGTTGCAGTGAGCCACAATCGCGTCACTGTACTCCAGCCTGGGTGACAGGGCGAGACTCTGTCTCAAAAAAAGGAAAAGAAAAGAAAAGAAAAGAAAATTAGATTGCATTAAAATTCTGATTTTCCATGTAGTATTGATGACAGTAAAATGCATTCATTTAACACACTACTTACACACTATTGTGGATTTCACATATATTTGTGAAATATATATGCTTCTATTTTCAAATAAGCTTGTTTTAGGCAAAGCAAATTACAGACAGATACCTGAAATACTAGTCAATCAATTTATATGATCTATGTAAAAACACAGTTTTATCCTGTGTGCCAAAAAAGTCTTTGATTGTTGTGTTCATTAGAAATTAGCAAATCTAGTCTGTCTGCTATTTCAGAGTCTTTGCACATCTTCTGTCTGACAGGAACATATAAAAGCTCTCTCTTTACAGCTAGTTCCTTTAGAGGTCCTCTGTGATCACCCTCCTTTCTTTGATCTCAGTAAACTGTACTCTTCTTTATAGCCCTTGTTTGCTTGCTTGTTTACAACTGGTTTCACCTAAAAGTGTATAAACTCCATTAGAATAAGGAATAAGAATGTTTATTCACCATGATTGTGTGCACAGCTTTTAATAAATGCCTGGCAATTATTATGTGCACAATAAATATTTGTTCTGAGAATAAGTAAATGAATAAATATGAAATAGCATAAAAAGCACTGAATTTGAGGTCAAAAGACTTGGGTTCTTCTTACTCCTCTGATGCCTTTCCAGCTATATAAGCCAATTATTTATCTTGGCCTTATTTAATAGGTGAGAATAGGGATATAAAAGTAAGGCTTCTCTTACATGGTGGTTATTAGGATGAAAGACAATCAATGAGAAGTGTAAGCACATGATAGGTTCGTGGTAAACCTAGTTGTTATTAAGGTTGTGTAGCCATGGGTAATTCATCTGTAAAATCAGTAATTGCATTATTGTGAAGTGACAATATGATTGCTATGAGTTTTGTGCCTGGCACAGAGTAGGCACATGGCAGACGTCTGTTGAATATGCATTTTAAGACACTGTATCCTGTAATATTAATTTCAATACTCACATTTTACCTTCTTGTGTTTGAGAAAAAAATTTTACATTTGCAGAAATTTTTCTTGTTATGTTTTCATCAACATCTGTTTCTTTTTCATATTTAGCTTTATTTGAGGATATATTTTGATGATAATTCTTGATGATTTACTAATGACAATAAATTCAAGTTGAATTTCTCTTTTTCACTTTCCTCTTACAGTAACACATGATTCTGATTATCACTAAATTCTCCTTTTTCATGTAGTGCTGATTAGTTTGCTCTTTGAGAAAGCCATCATTAACTGTTGCCCCACTGTGAAAATTTTCAAGATAATAAAATGATCAGCTGTCAAGAGTGAATAGAAATTGAAATGCAAATCTAAACATTTAACCTGTGTAGGGAAAAGCATTCTGAATAAGCTTCATCAAACCCTAATATTAGTATTGAAAATAAGTAGCATCAGACAATATGATAATATTACAGTGATGAAATGGCTTGGATGTCTCAAAATGGGATAGAAATATCAATGTAAAACACTCATTACAATAAATTGAGCTATGTAAATTGTTTTGAGTATCAAGGAAAGGTGAAACAGAAGCGATTTAAAATATAATAGCTTCCCAGGAATTTGTTAAGAATCACTGCCTTACTGCAGAAACCATGACAAATCTGCAATATTTTCTGTCCGGATTCACTGATTTTTAGCTGACCTCCTCTACTCATTTCTACCAACTCAACTTTCTTTCCAAGACCATGCCAATGCTATAGTCTGCATTCTCTGCAAATTCTCCACATTGGTTCCTCTGTTTAGTTGCCATCTTTCCCCCTGATCTTCATTTCTTTCTCTTTCCATGTCATTCCCCCTCCTCTTTCTGCCAACTTGTCTTCACTTTTTCTTTCCAACTGTTTTAAATTCAAGACACCCTTTAAGAACTTTACAAATGTTATTGACCCTTTCTCCAGAGAAGTGCATATGTGCACATATAACCTCTTTCACTTTTAATTTTAGAGGATTCTTAGACATCCTAAAGCCTAATCCTGGATAAAACTCCAGGTGAAAAATTGTGTTAGCAATTTCTTCCCAATTCTCAAAGCAGTAGCAACAGTTACCATTTATTGGATAACTGTCATACAGCAGGTGCTATGCTGGATATCTTTTATTCTTTGTCTCTAAAACTCACAAGCCTCATTTAACAGAAGATGACATTGAATGGTAAAGAAGTTAAATAATTTGCCCACTGATACACAATTAGTTGATAGTGAAGTTGGGATGTGAATCTGAATCTAATTCTAATTGCATCCTGTTCTTGCTGCACTACACTGCTTCATGAGACTTGGTGAGAAGAGGAAGGAGAGACAGAGAAAGTAATTGAAATATCGTAGATTACAATAATAAATTGGAGTTTGTATAAGGTATTAGTTATTCCATATGCAATATATGATGTCCTTTTATATAGAAGTATTAGGTAGGGATGGGCAATATTGTTTTCAGTTAGTATACAGTAGATATACATACTGATTGTTAAATATTGAAAAAATGTATTTACCAGTCAAAGTGTTTAACAGAAAAGATTCAGCATTAAGTTCCCCAAGTGCTCTTCTTATGGCTGATCTGGCTTCCCAGCCCTTCACAAAGGACATATCACTATTATAGGGCTAAAACTTGTTTACATCAGGCCCCAGCTATGGCTAGTTCAGATGTGGAGATGTTAAATATTTTGAATATCACTCTTGGTCTTTCTCTACTTCTTTCTTAACTAGTCATACTCAACTCATTTTGTAATCATTTATTATTAACTTTGAAAGTGTACTTCTATTCCTATAAAAGCATTATGAAAAGTGAAAAAAAATTCTTTGGATTTTGCTCACAATTTTGATATGTATTCTGAACTTCATTTCTCATTTCTTTTTATAAATTCTGTAAGAACACAGATGATTTAAAATAATCTTGAAAAAATCTTCTATCACACAAGTCATGTCAAATTGCAATTTGTATTCTTTTATTGTCTTACCACTATTGAGTGTAAAAAGCAAACAAAATCCTCATTTTTATTATAGGTATATTGAATAAATCCAAAGTCACAGTAGAGGATTTTGGATTGTCTACAAATAAGAATGAGCTTGTTTATAATTGAGATTTTAAAAACTTACATAGACTCTAAGAACACAAGATTTTAAATATAGCTCACTAACATATTTTTTATGTATTTTGATGAAAAGTTATGTTTGGCACCAAAAATGTGAAATTACCAGAAAAAACTAAATTTGTCATTTCATAAATGGAGTTCTTTTTCTAATACCTCTCTAAAAAACTGATGATAGAAAAATTTTCTAAATACTAATAAAAACTGTTGCAAACTAGAAAAAGAGAGACTATTCCTAACCTGCTATCTTGTATAAGCAACTCATTCTTGGGTTGTTACTAAGAAAATCTTGATCACTCTCTACTTCTAATTATCCAATGATTTAATAATCAGGTATTTTGCTACATGGATCCTATGCCCTGATTAATTTTCTTTAGTCTAATTAAATTCAATTAAACTATGCAGGGAGTCATCTTCGCTTCTTTGCATATTTTTTCCTCACCAACTCTAACTAGCCTCCTTATTCTTCCTTAGTCTCATCAAATTTGCTGCTTCAAAGCATTCACAAATGTGATAAGGTATGTGAAAACTAGTATTTTGCACAGCATGGTACACATATAACACTGATAGCGATTCAAGGGTATAGAGAAAAACTTTTTTTCATTTTTATAATTATATTCTTTATTTTAGTGTAGATTAAGAGAATAACAAGAATTACCACATCAAGGACATCCTTTCATGAAAATTATTGCTTAGAATGAGTTTAGGAGTTTAGATCCTCCATTACCTTGTGCTCTAGAAGGCAACTAAACTTAAACCAAATAGGGAGGCCAGTTGTCCCTTGGTTTGCAATCACTTCTATATTCCCTAATTTTCAGCACTAATGTCATCATGCCTCACACTTCTGTTCACTTCCAACAGCGCTAGAAGCTCAACCATCTTGGATTCTCTAACATCTTATTAATTATCATCTTCCAAATATTCCAAATACTCCATACAATCCCTAATAAATTCTGCCCCCCGCCCCTCCCCACAACTTCCTTCCTAAACCATTTCACAATACTTTTGAGAATTCTCACTGCATCCAAAGAACGTGTCCTTCTATCTTCAAACTCATCTATGATTTTCTTCACTTCCATACTCTTAGTGAAAACTTGATCTCTCCTGAGACTATTGTTCCCCTGCTATGTTCAAATAAAACCTAGGGTGCTTTTTCTTTTCTTTTTCTCCCACACCTCATGTGCCTTTAGGACCTGTAGCTACAATAAGTGTTTTATTTGTCCACTACTGGTCCTTCCTGTCTCTACCCTTTCCTCCTTAAAAAACAACTCCTTTAAAGCACCTTATCAAATTTTACCATCCTTTACTTCTTTTTATTGTCATTTGCTAACTTCTTGATCACATTATATCATTTATGGATGATGTCAGCAACAAGCTGCTGACATCTCTGCCAGTGTTCTTGGAGATTTCCACTGTCCATCCCAAGCCTGGCCTTTTAGTTCCTCTGGTCATTAAAAATTATCTTTTCTTTTATTTTGATCTTTAGTCACTGCCATGTCCTCTGACTTTCTTGTTGAATACCATCATTTCTTATTTGCATATTTTCTCTCAAAACTTTATCCATTCCACTCTTTCGTCAGAACTATACCTTCTAGTCTATTCTTTTTTCTTTTTCTTTTTTTTTTTTTTTTTTGGAGTCATGATCTCACTCCATCACCCAGGCTGGAGTGCAGTGGCACAATCATGGCCCACTGCAGCCTCGACCTCCCGGGCTCAAGCGATCTTCAAACATCAGCCTCCTGAGTAGCTGGGACTATAGGTGTACACCACAATGCCCAGCTAATTTTTCTTATTTTTCATAGAGATAGGGTCTCACTACTTTGCCTAGGCTATTCTCAAACTCCTGGATTCCAGTGATCCTCCTGCCTCAGTCTCCTGAAGTGATAGAATTACAGGCGTGAGCCACCATGCCCGGACTCCATCCATTCTTCATACATCAGCTAGGTGGATTTCCCAGAAGTGTAAATCAGATCATGCTACTCCCATGTATAAAGCACTCTAGTGGTTCCACATTCAACTTATTAAAATATCCAAATCCCTCACCATGGCCTATATACTTTATTTCTCCTGTGCCTTTACCTCTGACCATATATTCCTCTACTCAACTCTTCATCTTCTATAATTAGTTACACTGCTATATTTCTTTCCTCAAACACTCAAACTAATATGTATCTCAGAACTTTTGCAACTGCTATTCCTTCTGTTTGGAATACCCTTCCCCTTTGAATGAGTGTCTAGTGCTCATTATTCAGGTTTCACTAATATTTTAATTCTTCAGATCTACTGGTTCCAATTCCTAGATAAATCAGGTCCCTTGTCTCAGATAACTCCACTACATCACCTTGCTTTATTTGCTTTATGGCACTCTTTGGTGTCCAAAGCTACTCTTTTTATGTACTTGTTTTGTGTTTGTTGTTTTATTTCCTCCCTCTAGAATATACTAAGTTCATTGAAGGCATGAATTCTGTTCTGTCACATGATATGTTAAATGCTTAAAACAGTGAGTAGAATGTTGTATATATTCAATAAATATTTATTGGATGATTAAAGTAGATAACATTGTTAGGCTTCAGTTTATTTATATAAGCTAGTTTTTAAAAGCATATAAAATTGATTTCCATTTTCAACAGTATATCAGAAAAACTCTGTGATTAATGTTCATGCTTCAAAATAACTAAAAGCTCTTATTGAATTCTTTTATGATATTTTTAATTTTATTGCAGAGATGTCAAGAAAGTAGGAAAAATACCAGGAAGCCAAAATAAGGGAAAGGAAGAATCTAGGAAGGTAACTATTATCTGAACTTGACAGCTACCCTGAGGTCATCTACCAATCCATGTTTATGGTGGGCTTAAATTTGAACATTTGCTCACTGTGTAGATAACAAGACATAAAATCTAGAGTTTACCAAACTTTGAAAATATGACAACTTGAAACTTAGAGCCTCAAGAGACTATGCTTCCAGTAAACTACACTCAACAGAAGTACACAGTGAATATTTTTTCCTTTAGCTTGTTACCAGGTAGAGGAAGGACAAGACTTTTCATGAGAACTAAAAATCACAAGCCACCACTGATGTAGAGCTGTGACTCAAATTAAGTTACCTGAGCCATCTGTAAAATGCCAAATACAGAACAAAAGTGATACAGGGTTTCACCTAGCTTTCCCTAGGGCTTGACGTATGCAGGAACTACTTCTCCTTGGAAAAGAAAATAAATCTTCCAAGAAGGGCTCATAATGTTCTCCTAGATAAAGTTATATTGACTATGAGCACACACTCACAAAACACACACAAGAATAAGGTATCATGAATGAAAGGCAGTAGGAAAAAAAGGATGGAATCTTTACAATTTCAAATATTTTAAGTATTGGGATGACCTGTCAAAAACTATGAGACAACTATAATTATTTTGCTTACAAATGTAAAAACCATCGTAAGTACATACAAAGATTTAGAAACTTTAAAATGGCTGACAAATTTGGAAAAGAACAGTCTTATGGAAATTAGAAATGTAATACTTGAAATTAAAAACTTAATAGATGTGTTCAATAGCAGATAATGCAGCTAAAGGTAATTTTAAAAATTAGAGGGTAGATATAAGAAATGTAACGAAAAGGCAGCCTTGATGGTCAGAAAGATTTAAAATCTGAAAGAGCTTAAGAATTATAGAGGATAGAGTGAGAAGTTATATGTTCAGGTGGATATCAAGTAAAGGGTCATAGAGAAAGATAAGCAGAAAATAATTAAAGGGATTATTTAGATTTTTTTAGATTTTTGAAGATATTTTAGAGTTTTCTAAAAGCATTGAAAGATGTGACTGTTTAAACTCAAAAGTCAAAATGAATCCAATGTAGAGCAAATAAAATGTAGACTGACTTACATTCATTAATAAAATGATGTAACTTAGATACATCACTGAAAAACTGCAGGACTTCAAAGACAAGTTAAATAAGACATATTAGCTTCAAAGGAATAATAGTATTTCAAAAGCAACAACAGAAGCCAAAAATCAGTGGAATGAATCTTCAAATTGCTGAAAGAAAACAACTCTCAACATAGAATTATAAATCTAGGAGGTGTACAACTCTTCGGAAAGGTTTCTATTTTGCTATTGCTCTCAAAAGAACAAGACAGAGTTTAATAACAAGGACACTTTTAAAGCAGTGGTTCCCAAATGGGAGTAATTTTTGGTACCCATATTTGCACCGCTCATTCAGAGAATATGAGAATATTTGGTAATATCTAGAACATTTCTGATCATAATAACTGGAGTTACTAGCATCTAGTGAGTAGAGGTCAGGAATGCTGCTAAACATCCTGTATTGCATAGGACAGCCCCCCACCCAAAGAATTGTCTCGTCCCAAATGTCAATAGTGCTGAGGTAATGTCTAAAGTATGTGCTTAAGAAAGAAGGCCGGGAGCGGTGGCTCACACCTGTAATCCCAGCACTTTGGGAGGCCGAGGCGGGCGGATAACCTGAGGTCAGGAGTTCAAGAGCAGCCTGGCCAACATGGTGAAACCCTGTCTCTACTAAAAATACAAACATTAGCCAGGTGTGGTGGAGCGTGCCTGTAATCCCAGCTACTCGGGAGGCTGAGGCAGGAGAATCACTTGAACCCAGGAGGTGGAGGTTGTAGTGAGCAGGAGATTGCGCCACTGTACTCCAGCCTGGGCGACAAGAGCGAAACTCGGTCTCAAACAAACAAACAAAAGAAGAAAATTGACTCCCAAAAGAATGTTTGAAATGCAAATGCAAGAAGGGATTATTAGAAAAGATATCCAGTTGGTCAGGCATGGTAGCTCATGCCTGTAATTGCAGCACTTTGGGAGACCGAGGCAGGCAGATCACCTGAGGTCAGGAGTTTTGAGACCAGCCTGGCCAACAAGGCGAAACCCCACCTCTACTAAAAATACAAAAATTAACTGGGTGTGGTGGCGCATGCCTGTAGTCTTAGCTACTCGGGAGTCTGAGGCAAGAGAGTCGCTTAAACCCGGGAGGTGGAGTTGCAGTGGGCTGAGATCATACCACTCCACTCCAGCCTGGGCAACAAGAGCGAACTCTGTCAAAAAAAAAAAAAAAAAAAAAAGAAAAATATTGACTGTATAAACAATTCAAAGGTAAATAATAGATTTAAATTACTAGAAAATAATAGGATATAAATTGGGAGGTAATTACATTTCCATTGCCCTGTTATTGTTAAGGAAGCAGGTGAGACAGTGATAAGATTCATACTTTGTCAAATAAGCTATGTAGGCTACATTTCCTAGGATAACCTGTAATGATTAGTTTTGCTAAATATTAATGTAGAAAAAAATGAAATAAGACCAAAAAAAACCCTAATTTAAAAAACACAAGAAAGGTGGAAAAAAATTTCCAAAAAGGTGGAAAAAATCAAAAGCATAAAATAAGGTGAAAGAAATAAAACAAATAAAACAGTAATCATGATAAATTTAACTTAAAGAAAAAGATTATCAGACTAAGAAGTGAAAATACAAGTTAAAGTAAAAGAGTATACAAAAATTTCAAAAGAAGACATATAAGTGGCCAAGAAACATATGAAAAAAAATGCTCAACATCATTAATCATCAGAGAAATGCAAGTTAAAACCACAATGAGATACCAACTTATACCAGTCAGAATGGTTATTATTAAAAAGTCAAAAAACAACAGACATTGGTGAGGATGCAGAGAAAAGGGAACATTTATACCCTATTGGTGGAAATGTAAATTAGTTCATCTATGGAAAACAGCATGGAAATATCTCTTAAAACAAAAAAGAGAACCATCATTTCTACTGGATATCTATCCAAAAGGAAAGAAATTATTTTATCAAAAAGACACCTAGACTAATATGTTTATTGCAGTACTATTCACAATACCAAAATCATGGAATCAACCTAAGTGTCCACCAATGGATAATTGGATGAAAAATGTGGACTATATATACCATGGATTACTATTCAGCCATTAAAAAAATGAAATCATGTTTTTTTTTTTTTGCAGCAACATGCATAGAACTGGAGGACATAGTCCTAAGTGAAATGACTCAGAAACACAAAGTCAAAAGCTGCATGTTCTTATTTGTGAGAGGTAACCAATGAGTACACATGGACATACAAAGTGAAATAACAGACGTTGGCAACTCCAAAAGGTGGGATAGTGAGAGGGGACTGAGGGATGACATACTACCTACCTATTTGGTACAGTGTTCTCTATTTGGGTTGTGGGTACACTAAAAACCCAAACTTCACCACTATGCAATATATCTATGTAACATAACTGCATGACATGCACAACTGTAGCTCCTAAATCTATAAAAATTTTCAAAAAGAGAAAAAAAAGAAATAAATATGCTCTAATAAAAAAAGAAGGACCAAGCAAATTGAATCAAAGGAAAGCTGATATAGCTGTATTATTACAAATAATATAGGTTTAAGACCTAAAACAATATCTAAAGATACTAGAGAAACTGGAGATTAATTGTTCAAAATATATGATTAAAATTTAATTCACTTTAAACAACTATAAACATACATATAGTAATGAGATAGCACAATAAACATAAAGCAGAAATTTACTGAAGTATAACGAAAAAATTACATGTAACTAATGACGTGTAACTAACATATACTTCAATAAACATAAAGCAAAGATTGACAGAACCACAGGAAAAAAATTGATCAATTCATTATCGTTGTGGGAGATTTTCCTACACAGTACTGATCCTTCAAGCAGACAAAAATATTTAGACAAAACATTTGACAAACAAAAATAACAGCTTGATTTAATGAAACATACAAAACATTGCCAATATCTACATGGAATATTTACAAAAGGTGGCTAAATAATAGGCATAAAGTAACTTTTAGCAAATTTCAAGAGATTGAGTTTATGTACACCATATTTTCTGATCACAATGATTCTGTTAACAATCATTAGTAAAGAAACAACTTGAAGATGATCAAATACTTGAAAATTTTAGAAACACACTTGTAAATGTAACTCATGGCTCAAAGAAACAATAATGAAACTTTAAAAATACTTGAAAACGACCAATAACAAAAATAGTTAAAACCGTGTAGGATACAGCTAAAGTAGTATTTAGAGGGAGTGTAATAACACTAAATATTTTTATTTATTTAAACAAGATGAATAAACTCAGCAACAAACTTAAGAATGTATGAAATAATAACAAATGTTAATGAAATGAAGAGCAGAAAAAATAGAAATAATAGTATTGGCTGACACCCACATAGCGATTACTGTATGCTGAGCATTGTTCTAAGTTTTTTATTTTTATTAACTTAAATTCTCCTTACCAGGCATATGATGAATTACTACACAGAATATTAAAATATGATATTTAAAAGTAAGCCCAAATATTCTTTAAAATAAAACAATAAAATAGGCAAATTCTAGTATTTCAAGAATAAAAGAACACACCAATAAACAAAATTAAGAAAGAAAAACAGCTCAAATTTACTGATGTGATAGTTTAAATAACAAGACAATAAACCAAACATTTTGAGAATAAAATGCAAATTTAGATGCACTGGACTAATTCCTAGTAAAATGTAGCTTATCTAAATTGATTTAAGAATAAATGGAGGAAAAGACGATAATAATTAAAAGGTTGTATCAATACTTTATAATAGTTCCACATGCAACCAAGAATGTTTACAATTCTACCAAACTTTAAAATAGCTGATATTTGCAATATTTGCAAATTCTATCAGAGTATTCTACAAAAGGATTATATAAATATTTATTTTTTCTAGACTACAATTGTACTGATGCCAAAAGGAGAGAAGGGCAGTAGTAGAAAGAAAAAATAGAGATCAGTATCACTCATGGATATATGGTTTTATATAAAATATAGCAAATGGTTTTATGTAAAATATAGCAAATCATATCTAGCAATGTATGAAAAGGACGAAACAACATTATCAGTCAGGTTAATCCCAGAAATGTTATTTTGACATTAAGAAATCAATTAGTAGAATCCACCACATATCAGATTGTATTATCTAGTCACAATAATTTATTCTTTCCCTACCCTGTCATGCTTCTTAATCCCAGGGTCTGGGATTTGGCTACGTGATTTACTTTGGCTGATAGAATGTGAAGAAATAGAAAACACCATGCCCAATTGCATGATTTGGTTTTCTCCCTTGCACTTTTGCTTTCTGCCATGGGAATACAATGTCCCAGTTAGGGGTTGCTCATTCAGTATGGCCCCTGGAAAGGGGAGAAATTTGGAGCTCAATCCATATATATTTGACATACAACAATCCTGTAACATGAGGAATAAATGAGTGTTTTTGTTGGAAGCCACCAAGACATTGGATTTTTGGTTACTGCAGCAAAACAAATTAAAGCAGCAAAACCTTGTGATAATCTTCAATAGAGCTAAAAATCATTACAACTTAACATCTACTTATATTTTTTTACAAAGGAAATTAGCAAATTAGAAAATGAAGAAAATTCCTTAATGCTATCTGCCAAAATACCAAACCAAAACAACAAAACATACTTACATAAGTACTTAACAATTTTTTAGTGATAAAATATAAATTTTATCTTAAAGATTGGAAACAAGAAAAAATGTCCACAATCATCATTGCTAGTAAATATAATCTAGCCTACACAGTAAGGTAAAGGAAAAATGAACATGAATTGAAAAAGAAGAATTTGCAGATGACACATTTATATACAAGGAAGGTGGAAAGATAAATTTTTAGAATTAATAAGAGTTTAGTATCTTTGCTGAGTACATATTAATATAAAATTCAATCACATTTATATATACTAGAGATAAAAGTGTTAGAGAATGAAGCAAAAATGATAGTAGCAGAATTATTGAGTAATTAAGTATAATCTAATAAGAGACGTGTGAAACCTTTACGGGAAAAGATTTTAAATTTTAATGAAAGGCATTTAAGAAGATCTGAGTAAATGGAACAATATCCACATTCCTGAATAGAAAAAGTCAATATCTTCATTATGCTACTTCTTCCTAAATTGAACCACAGATCCATGTAAGTACAATAAAACCCTAACAAGTGTTCTTTGTGAAATTAAAAAGCTTATTCTTAGTTTTTTATAGAAATGAAAAAGCCTATGAATGACTTGAACACTGATTTTAAAAAAGAATAAATTTAGGGGATCTATCCAAGAGATATCAATATTCATGTCAAGGCTATAATAATTAAAAGAGATGATATAGCAGAGACATAAACAAGTAGAGCAATTCAACAAAACAGAAATTACAGAAACATTTCCATACATAAGAAAAATGGCTATAGAACAGAAAAGGCACAGCAGATCAGTGCATAAAAAGACAGACCATTTTACTCAGAAAAACATCTATATATACTTCAAAGCACACTGAAAAATCAATTCTAGGTAGATTAAAGATCACACATGAAAGGCAAACTGTAAAAGTTTTAGAAGATAATTTGGAAAATATCTTTATGACCTTGCAATAAGGAAAGATTTATTAATGAAGACTTCAAAAGCATTAATCATGAAAGAAAGTATTGATCAATATGATTCTTATAATACACACCTTTTATTCATCAAAACACAACTCAAGAAATTTATAATGACAAACTACAAATTGGAAAAAGGTATTTATAGCAAATAACTAACAAATAATTAAGACTACAATAAACAGCCTAATAAAATAGGAAAAACGAGCAGATATTTTATAGAACAAGATATATTATGTTCTGGTTCTACTGATGGATGGAAAAACAAAAACAAAACAAACAAATGATATATTATATATGATACACTAAAATACTAAGAGATGATCAGCACAATTATTAGGAAGTGAAATGCAAATCAGAGCTCAAATGTGTTAGCATTTTATATTCATTAAGTAGATCCAAAATTAAGAAGCCAAACAGCATCAAGCATTGATAATATGTGGATTTAAAGGAAGCCCATGGACTCCTGAAGAAAATAAATTGATACAATTACTTGGAAAAATAATTTTGAATTACTTAGTAAAATTAAAGCCTACAGGATTGTTTGGAACAGCAAAAAGAAAACTAGAAACAATAAATGTATATTAAAGAATATTGGATAAATTGTAGTGTATCCATACAAAGGTATTTCACTTAGGAATAAAAATGAATACACTATTGATACACACATCAATACAAGGTAAATCTTAGAGCAGTCATTTGAGTGAAAAATATGCAGGTACAAAGTAAGATGCAATATATTACCACTGATATGTAATTCAAAGCCATTCAAATGTAACCATATGGTTTACTGATATCTTATTACTTTTTAAAAAATGAGAATTATTATAAACACAGAAGTACATCAGGTAGGGAGGACTACTTAAGCTGAGTAGTGGATACTTGCGTATTTTCTGTAATTTACATATGAAAATACTATTTTATACATGTTAATTATTTTACTGAAATTCAAAAAATAAGCAAAATTTTGTATGGCAAAAATCATGAAGGTGGCATGCAAAATATTAGAATTAATAGTGTATACAAATAATTTAAGATTCTAGGAAGTTATATGTCTGTTTACTGCTGGAATTCAATTACTATATTAAATACATAGGTAATAGCATTTCAAAATTAGAAATATGCTATCTGGGACAGAGATGGTTTGATAAGAAGGCAGTGCTGAACCTTCCTGTATTTAACTCTCATGTCCTTTCCTAAACACCTCCTCTTCAAAATTTAAATTAACTTGAATGCCTAAAAGCAGACACAGTGTTTGCTTGAATACATTGTAATAGTGATTCTGCTAAAAGGCTACCTTCCATGCAGCCAGGTAGATTTACCTCTAAGGCTCTGCTTCACTTACAGGAAAGCATGTTAGTATATAAAAAAGTTTGTTAAGGTTTTAAAGATAACAATGAAAGTTATGAAGTAATCTCTTGGTAAATCTCATTGACGGCACCTCCAAATTTCTGTTGGGTTTAAACAGATAGCAACGTTATGGTAAAACAGGTATAGTTCATGTTCTTATTTGTTTCTGAAATAATTATAAACTTTTTAGCATTTGGGATTCAGAACTTAGGGAACCAATCAAGAGAAATACCAAACATTCCAATTCCTCTACTTCCATTGACACAGTTGCATTAAAACAGTATCTGAAAAGGGACAAAATAGAAAGAACCAATTGAACCTTCCCTAGCAAACAAGGCACTTTCAATTTCTATTTCAATGTCTAGGAGATGCACAACTGTCAGAGTTGACATCCTCTGGAACTTTTGAGGCAATTTTTAAAGAAATTCAAAACTAAATGGTGCAAACAGAAGTACCTTGGAGAGCTCCAATAGTTACTACAGTTATGGTTTTAAAATTTGAAATAAAAATGAAGTCCCCCAGTGTAACTTCACAGAAAAGCTTTCTCTATTCTGTACTACCACATAAGGGTCCATTTTGTGATAGAATCATACTCACTTTCTTGTTTTGCATGCTTAATGCTTCCCTGGGAAATATTACTCATATCTATGAGTTTACAAGGATATCATTTACGAAAAAAATTTGCTAACTTAGCTTAAATGTAGAAATGATTTTTTAAGGAATTAGTTTAAATTAGTTAAAATAATAATAAATTAGTTTATTATTTTGTGCTGATTAATATCAATAATCCCTTAACTTGTGTAATTGTTTTAAGCAATTTAATTAACTGAATGTAAAATGATTATTTTAAAGGACAGCAATCACAGCAAATCCATAGTGCTAGTAATTTTTGAACAGATTAAGTAGCAGAAAATATAGAGATTTGGGAATATATACCTCAAAAATGTTTGTTTTATTGTTTGGCCATTAATTCGTTCATTGATTCATACGCATTTTGCCAGTGTCATCACATTATTTTTTTAAACATTTTATTAAAGTGTATCACACAGAGGAGTCAGCCAATTGTCATACATAACCTAGTGAATTTTTTACAAAATGAATATATCTATTTTATCAACAGCCAAATTAAGAAACAGAGTGCCATCAACACTGAAGAAGAATCCTTCATACCTCATTCAAGACCCCATCCCTCAGATACTCTTTTGTGCCGGCTTCTTTTATTCAGCATTACATTTGAGAGAGCCATCAATGCCACTGCATGGAGTTGTAGTTTGTTCATTCTTATTGCCATATAATATTCCACAGTATACTACAACATGTTTATCTATTGTACTCTAGATGAGCATATGTAGTTTCCAATTCAGGGTCATTATGAATAATGCTTATATAAACACTCTTGTAGTTTCTTTTGGCAGACATATTATGCATTTCAGTGGAATTTACTGAGTCATACGGTACAAATGTGTTTAGCTTAGTAGATTCTGTCAAACATCTTTCCAACCCGGGTTTATCAATTTACAGTCACATCAAGTAGTTTGTGGGAATCTTAGTTGCTTCACATTCTTACAAATATTTGGTATTTTAGCCATCCCAGTGGATGTGTAGTTCTATCACTTTTTGGTTTTAATTTGCTTTGTCCCAGTAAGTATCTATTCATTTATTGTCCATTTGAATAGTCTCTTTTTAAAGTGCCAGCTTAAGGTTTCCTGCTCATTTTTTTCTATTGGATTGTTATCAAGTTATTTTGAGGATAAATTAAAACACTGTAATTAAAAGGATCTTTGTAAATATGCAAGTGTTAAACAAGTATAAAGCACTGTAATCATTTAATTAATATATGTGTAGATGTATGTACACATACATACACGTGTGTGTATGTGTCTGTGTGCGTATGTATGAAATATTGACAGATGCCTATTTCTAGATCACATGATGGCTGAGAATTTTCCTAATGTGGCACTTTCTTAACAAAATTTATCTTGTGAGAGTAAGAAACTATATATGTAAATTCCCCAGGAGAGAATATGACATGTTGTACAAGCTCAATACATGATAGCTACTCTTATTATAACATTTAGTTGACTTGAGTTTGAAGCATTGATAACATTGCTAAGGAATGATGATATCCCTGAACTAGATGGAGCTCAAAATCCAACCAAAGGAACAACTGATAGCTGATCAAAGATTTTCATCAACAATAAAAATATTCTATGTCTAATAAAAATCTCCTCATGGTGACTCCACACATATTGGACAGAAGGGCCTTGTATAAAGTCTACCAATAATCTCAGAATAATCTGAGAAAGAGGACACCCTAAGAATTATGGCTTCACTGACAACATTAGAGAACATATCAAACTCAAACGAATATTCTGGGGTCTTTTTCTGTGTGGATTTTGCTTTAGAGTCCATGAGAGTAAGAAACTTCTTTAACCCTTATGATTAACAGATTTGGATACATATGTTTGAATCAGGTGACCTAATTTCCTGTTGATCACAGCCCAGGAACTCTTTCAAAATTCTTGTGATTGGTCATATTTTCCTAGGAAGTACTGAGCATGTTTAGGGAATGGGGAAAATATTTGCCTTACATAGGATATTTATCCAAAGGTAGAGTGAGAAAAGTCTGTTGCCTTGAGATTGAATAAAGATCATGATTACATATTTATACCTAAAATTGACCAAAGAGTTTCAAATATACACAATTGTCACCAATGCCTTTGCAGGATATTTGAATCCAGGAGATTTATATTCCAACATGAACTTTCAGAAATGTACTTTAATGCTGAGGCAAAATTTGAAATAACAGGTCACAGGTGTGAAACTGGAAAGAGCAGCATGTTATCCTGGAATGTAAGATTTCAGAAACAGAGTGACTCTTTTTAGCAAAATTGATTATAAGTCCCTGAGATGTAAGGAAATAGAAGAGACCCCACTAAATAAGATTGATAGAAAATACTTTCTCAGAACAGCAATCTTGCTTGTATAGTTAGAGCAGAAAGGGTTGCTATCATGTATTCATATCTTCAGTCATCCCAGAGAACTGTTCAACAATTTTAATATTCTAATATTTTCAGGTTCGCATGAGTAGGCTTATATGTTTGTGTGTATTTAATAATAGAGTAGAGTGCATTGGTAGATGATTGAGATATATTGTTTTAATTTAAATTATTTGCATGTTATGCTTTTGGGAAGAGGGATTATTAAACCTTTAAAAACTCCTAAAGTTAAGACTATTATTCTATACTAATGCATCCCTGATGTGCTAATTACTGAAACGCTCTGAGCAGTTGTTTGAAATATAGGATCAATTTAGAGTTAAATACAGAATAACAACATCAAAGTATGCACATCTTGCTTTTTTGTTATGAGTTTCACATTCAAGTTTTCCTTTATATCATTATCTTATTTCTTATCCATTCATTAACCTGAGAGTCATATGAAAAATGCTTTACAGTGTTGTTTTTAATTATCTATCTTTCAGGGTGAAAAACAAGGCAGGGTTCAGCTTTGTGTTAATTAATGTATTATGCTTAATTTATTTCTACACCCCACATTTCTCTGTTTTACTTGGCCTTCTGAAACATCTTTCTGAATTTGAATTAATGTGCTTTTGAAGAACCTTTCTAAAAATGTATTTAAAGTTTGTAATGTCTTTGGAATTTACAAATTTAAGGCAATAAAGTTTTGTTTTATAAAAGTGGAACACACGCCATATTTAAATCTGCTGCAGAAACTAAATCAATAAAGAATATGGCATCTTTCTAGATAAAGAATGGCAATATGTGACTAATTTATGTTCTGCAATTTTAAGGGCTTACAGTATTTAACATTGCAGTCTCAATATTTTGTGCTGATTCACTTTGAAGGACAAAAGCAGAAAAAGAAGCAATTTTTACTAGAACAGTACCATGATTATTCCCAGAGAAGAGTGGAAGGGTGGGTATGATCATGTAGTGGGCCACCCTCCCTCTAACAATATTTTCACCTGAGTCAAAGCAGTCTGAAAGTCTTGAAGAGGAAGAGAAGGCAGGGAAGACATGGTGAAGAGCAACATACAAACCGAGTCACATGAAAAAGCAGAAAGAGGTGACACAGTTGCTGGGCAAGAATGAGTGAATAGGACTCGTGGAGAAAGAAAAGGAGTTAGATATATGTGATGTGCATATACAACACAGGAGAAACTCAAGTCTTTTTATGTTTTTTGTTTTTCCCGTAGCAATAGCTGAATGTCTACAAAATGTATATGTAAATAAATAATCAGCCCCAGTCCATCTACTCATCTATTTATTAGATATAGACTCAGTTCCAGTAACTAGGGGTTACAGCAGTGAACAAGACACATCTGTGTTCTACTCTCCTGGAACTTATAATCTATTGGGAAGCTGCCATTATACTAATAGAAATGTAAATACATATCATTAGAAGTCTGATTCTGGAGTCAGGGTCTTGGGTTTCGTTCACTTATTGGCTGTGCGGGTGTCAGTTATTAAATCTTCTAAGCCTTCCTTTACTCACTTTTAAGTGACTGTAATACTAGTGTCTACTTTATAAAATGTCCATAAAAATTAAAGAGCTAATACTCCAAAGAAGGGGAGATAGGAGATGAGATCAGGAAAACGCCCATAGGGCTTTGGAATTGGTACAGTTTAGCTTCAGGTTACAGAGTAGAGCATGACTGAGGGTTATCATGCTAATGTATATCACATATATTGTTTTGTATATATAAAATCCTTTTTATTTAATCATTAAAAACAATTTTTAGAAAACTTAAGGAAAGTAAGACATCAGTAGTCTTTTATACGGTGATTATCTCTATGGCCTAGGATTATGGGAAAGTTTATTGCTCATTTCTGAGAATTTTTAATTTGTGAAAATGAATTTATTAAAACAAGAGAGGCAAAATAAAAATAAATAAAGTGATAGTTAAGTGTAAAATATTCGTATTCCAGTAATGGACTGTAGAGAGCTGTAAAAATAAAGCTTTTATTGTAGTTAAAAAAAAAGCAGTGTATGTCAAGTAGTGATGCGGAATGCAGTAGTATAAATATACCACACACAAACTATTCCTGGGTGACCTTTAGGAAGAAGGATGAGAGTGGTGATTGAATTGAGGCACAAGGGAAATGTCAGGGCTTATGGTGATATTCTCCTTTTTGTTCTGGTGATGATTACACGAGGTGTTCATTTGTGATAATTCAGAAAGCCATATGCTTATGAACTATGCACTGTTCTCTATGTATATTTCAATAACTAAATCAATTTAAGAGAAAATAGAAAAATGTACAGACTTCTCCTTCAGCCCTACCCAAAAACTCATGCCTTAGCAGTCAGTATAATATTCATACTGTTCGTGTTGGATGAATTTGGACCAAAAAAAATCACCCCATTAATGTTGCTAATTGGAATGTTACAGGTTTTATAGTTTGTTTGGAGCCAATTTAAACTTAGATTTTAAAATTAAATGTTGGCTACAAGCATAACAGTAGCTTGCAACTAGTTGTAAGTGTATACGTGTTTAAATTACATAAAGAGAGTTCAAGTCAAGACTTGGGGTCTGTGATTTTTTTTTTTTTTTTACTTTAAAAGGAATCCTTCTATTACTTAACTTTCCTATATGCATTTGGAAGACAGTGCCTTATAAAACAAAAGTCATGAGAGATAAAGAAATTTCTGAAAATCTTAACTCTTTGACACTTGTCATTTGCTACTACTACAGGAAATTAATTTTTTCTGTGTTTTTTTTCAAAAGTAATTTCCTCCTTTTAGAGATTGGTAAAATGAATTTATTTTCACGATTAGTTCACAAAGGTAAAGTCATAAAGCTATTGTTGACTCTGTTCAATGATGTGTCAGATCTTGGAATGCAGTACCTACTCCAATGCACAGAAATTTCATGAAGCCAGAATGGAAGAGCCAGACCTCCTTTCCCTCCAATTCAAAATTCATCCATTCATTGAAAAAAATATGTATCTGAATGTCCATAGGTGCCAGGTACTGTTCTCCAAAATGGGAGTCCAGAATGATAACACATACATGTGATATGAAGAGCAATGTAAATCTGTCTCTCAAAGTTAGAACCATAAAGCCTTGCTGTTGATATCACCCACTTTCTACCAATTGTAAGAACCGATTCATTAATAAGTCTAGTTGTCCTGAGAGACAGAGACAGAGAGAGAGAGAGAGAGAGAGAGACTATAAAAATTTGGGAAACTTTGTAACAAAATAGTACTCATATCTAACACAACAAAGTCATAGTTTAGATACTCTTATTTCAGAATTTGTGGCAACAGCTATAGGTTGATAAAGTGGCATTTATTTATTTTTCAAAAGACATAGGTATTATAACATAAAATACCGAAAGAATGTCGTACCAAATGTTATCCATGGTTATTCTGTGTAGTTGGATTATACATGATTTTACTTTCTTTATGCTTTCTGTAATTTAAATTTTAAATACACAGTAATCGCTGTTGTAATCAAAGAGAAAATAGCAAATTGTAAAGTATAGACCTTGAAACTAAGTTTAAAAATGTACAAAGAGACCTATCTGTATTTGTAATGGTCAATATCACAACATTTATATATAACCATGGAGAACCATAATTTCCTAAATGTTGGTCCAGAAAAAACCCAGACAATAAATGATTTCTCAATCAATACAACTGAACTCAAGAAAGACTTTTTATAGTGTTCTGGCACTGAATTTGGCTTGCTTAATATAGGATAGTCTAATTTTTTTATTTCTTCTTCCGAAGGGTATGGATCAAAAATAGGTAGAGAAGATGATATTGAAATAGGAAGTGCTGAAGCAAGAGTAAAAATTTCAAGCATTGTAGCAAAAAGTATAATACAGAAATGCTTTTACTGCTAAATGAACCAGAACTCTTTATTGCAGGGCATGAGAAGGTGATGATGTCTATTTATTTGCTTAGAGACACATTATATTTAAGTAGATAGAGATTTATATCCCTCTTTGTGTAGCAAATCAGAATATCCAGTTTCTTAAATGTACATCTCTTATTCAGTAACAAAGCACAGAATTTCCTATTCAGAGAGGGTTTAGATATTTTTAAAATTAACTTAATATATTTAGATCTATGAGTTAAAAATTCCTCATTTAGAAAAATTTCTACTTGAAAGTTACAGTATTTTAGTGATGAAAATAAGCTTCGGATTAATCACCTATAATTTCCTTACTTTTGAAATGAAGGCATTGAGATAGGGAAATTAGATGACTTTTCAGCTCAAACTTTCAAGGAAACTACTCCAGAATATCTGAATTCACAAAGGTGAAAGAAAGTGGAGACATTTCTAATAAGAGACATTGGGTCACATTAGGAAACTGTCTGATTTCCTAAAATAGAAAGACCTTCCCTGTGTGTCTAAATTTATTTAGACATCATGTTTCTCAAATTCAATCATAGCATTTTCTGGTATCAACAATTAATTTTTAGTACTTGTTGGGTGCCTGGAAAATTATTCCACAATACAATCAATATAAAAAGATATTTTTGAATGCCCAAAGTAATTTATAAATTCAATGCTATACCCATCAAGCTACCATTGACTTTCTTCACAAATTAGAAAAAAAATACTTTAAATTTCATATGGAACCAAAAAAGAGCCTGTATAGCCAAGACAATCCTAAGCAAAAAGAACAAATCTGGAGGCATCACACTACCTGACTTCTAACTATAGTACTACAAGGCTACGGTAACGAAAACAGCGTGGTACTGGTACCAAAACAGAGATATAGACCAATGGAACAGAACAGAGGCCTCAGAAATAATGCCACACATCTACAACCATCTGATCTTTGACAAACCTGACAAAAACAAGCAATGGGGAAAGGATTCCCTATTTAATAAATGGTGTTGAGAAAACTGGCTAGCCATATGCAGAAAACTGTAACTGGACCCCTTCCTTACCCCTTATACAAAAATTAACTCAAGATGGATTAAACACTTAAACTTAAGACCTAAAACCATAAAAACCCTAGAAGAAAACATAGGCAATACCATTCAAGATACAGGCATGGGCAAAGTCTTCATGACTAAAGCATCAAAAGCAATGGCAACAAAAGCCAAAATTGACGAATGACATCTAATTAAACTAAAGACCTTCTGTATAGCAAAACAAACTATCATCAGAGTGAACAGGCAACCTACGGAAAGGGAGAAAATTTTTGCAATCTACCCATCTGACAAAGGGCTAATATCCAGAATCTAGAAAGAACTTAAACAAATTTACAAGAAAAAAACAAACAACCCCATCAAAATGTGGGCCAAGGGTATGAACAGACACTTCTCAAAAGAAGACATTTATGTGGCCAACAAACATGAAAAAAAGCTCATCATCACTGGTCATTAGAGAAATGCAAATCAAAACCACAATGAGATGCCATCTCATGCCAGTTAGAATGGTGATCATTAAAAAGTCAGGAAACAACAGATGCTGGAGAGGATGTTGAGAAATAGGAATGCTTTTACACTGTTGGTGGGAGTGTAAATTAGTTCAACCATTGTGGAAGACAGTGGGGTGATTCCTCAAGGATCTAGAACCAGAAATACCATTTGACCCAGCAATCCCATTACTGGGTATATCCCCAGAGGATTATAAATCATTCTACTATAAAGACACATGCACACGTATGTTAACTGCAGCACTGTTCACAATGGCAAAGACTTGGAGCCAACCCAAACGCCCATCAGTGATAGACTGGATAAAGAAAATGCGGCATATATATACCATGGAATACTATGAGCCATAAAAAAGGATGAGTTCATGTCCTTTGCGGGGACATGGATAAAGGTGGAAACCATCATTCTCAGCAAACTAACACAGAACAGAAAACCAAACGCCACATATTCTCACTCATAAGTGGGAGTTGAACAATGAGAACACATGGACACAGGGAAGGGAACATCACACACCGGGGCCTGTTGGGGCTGGGGAACTAGGGGAGGGATAGCATTAGGAGAAATACCTAACATAGATAACAGGTTGATGGGTGCAGCAAACCACCATGGCACATGTATACCTATGTAAAAGACCTGCACGTTCTGGACATGTATCCCTGAACTTAAAGTATAATAAAAAAAAAGATATTTTTAGACCATACGTTCTGGGAACTTAGCATTATACTTAAGAGATAACCTGTACAATTAGAACATTGGTATAGTACAAGGTAATATCCAATAAAATCCCGACTGAATATATTCTAGCGATGAATTGTCTAGCAAGAGGATGACTTGTTACACATGCTCGGAAGGAAACACTTGGATTATTGGCAATGGCTCTATGATGAAATCCCATTCCAAATAATCTTAGTATACCTGAGGTGGTGCTGGGAGATTTGGTAGAGTTCTGAAAACTGAAGCAAAGGAACACACAAGTGAATGGATATATTACGTTTTACAGCAGTGATGGAAGTGCCTGGTGTGAGGAATATTTCAGATGTATTAGAAAAAAAAAAAGTCAGAGTGGGAAGTTAGGGATACATCTGAGAAGCTATGGTAGTCATTCAGGAAGAAATGTGTCAGGTCCTGGCCTACAGAACAGAAAGAAAGATACACAACTAAAAATCAGAGAAAAGTAAATTAAACAGGACATGAAAAAACTCAATTTACCTAAACCTTAATAATGATTGATTGTTACTCAGTCAGGAAAGAGAGAACAAAGAAGACAAAACAATAAAATAGATATCTCACCCTAAAACGAGAAACAGTTATTCTCTAATATTACTGTCCGGACCATAAGATAGTTTTAATGGAATAAGTCAACCAGGTCAAGGGGATTGAGAAATAAAGTGGGAAAGTGTATTCATCAGCTATTAAGAAAAGTTTAGTGTATGGTGGGGCAATGGCATTACCATCTGAAGGGTATAAAACGTTTCTCCTAAGATTTTGCTGTCATCCTATATAGTTCTCTTTTATAGCTGAGGAGTTAAGCTCTAATTCATTAACAGCAATCTCCCAATTCAAAAGCCCAAATTAAAAAACATGTTTGCTTTCTTTTTTAGCTGGATGTTAAAAACAAAACAAAGCAAATCAAATATCCAAAGCAGTTAACTTCTCGGCCAAGCAGAGAAGTGAATGTACCAATTCGTTTCCAATCCTGAGTTTTTGCTAATTTCCCAAACAAATAAAAGTAATTTTATCAGCCAAGACTAGCCAGTGCAAACCATATTCTATTTATTATCAGAGATAACATTACCAAACTTGGCAAGTAATGGTATAGATGTTTGTCATGGTTTGGTCATAAGGGTTACCCAGTGAGACAATGTGGATCATGTTTTACAAATGTTTGTCTACAAAATATGCAAATTAGTTCAGCCTTTAGAGAGAGTCTGGCAGGGGTTCATCTAAATATCTGAATAAAGTTGCATGCCTTAAGAGAACTGTGGATCTCTACTTGTCTCCTTCGAAATGTTTCCCTAATCCTTTCTGTAATTGTGTATATTCTTCTATATTCTTTCCTTTTATAAATGTGCCTGTGCCTTTTAGGCCTGAACCAGTTTCACAGACAAACCTACCAAGGTCAAAAAAGTTCTTGAGGGTCATCAGTCTGCCAGGCATGTGAGCTGCTGCACATGAAGTTTCAACAACTGCTTCATTGAAGATGAACAATTTTCTGTTCGTCTGAATACTCCAGATCCCCAGTAAAGCCCATGTTCAGTATGGGACAGTTATTTTTAGAAGAAAGTATTTCTGTCAAAGAGGAGTTGTGGCTGCTAACAGTCCCCAGGATTCCCTCTCTAGATTTGTAAAGGGCATCATAAGCAGCAACACACCAAAAAGCGAGTGTCCCTCTATCTTTCCTCAGTAATAAAAATTCCCATTAGGAAAAATACGGCTGGTAACACCCTCAGCCTTGACATTGATTTTGCTTGGTCAGCCTCGGGTCATATTCTCCACGGTGCCATCTTCACGCCTCACTCCCTCACATTCACAACCTTGACGATTTGCGTTGCCATGTAGTCATGGAGAAAATGTGCTCAGTAACAATGGCCTGCTGGACCTGGCTTACAGTGGTTCAGACTAGTTCACACTGGCTCTCAAGAAAGAATTTTCAGGACTTTTGCAGGACAGTGGCTAAACATAACTATTTTTAATAATTAAATTGTGTACCTTTAAAATTAGATTATACTTTCTAAAAAGGTAACAAATATACAAAAATATTACTTTCTAATTATTGGACAACATTTTATTATTATATATGCCTTTGGGTTATGTATGCCTATGAATCTGTACAGTCAAAATTATTTAACAGGAAATATGGCCTGTGACTATGCAATTTTTCCCAATTCTACATTCAGCGATGTCACCTTGGTAGCTTGAGATCAGCTATGTTGGAAATATTTACACCACGAAAGTTGGCAAATGCTACAAATCACAACTCCCCCTGCCCATTAGAACATTGCTTGTTAGATATTTATTAGCACACCACTGGTAAAGACCCACTATTTTGACAGCTGAGCCATGGGTCAAGATTAAGGGTACATTAATTTAAATATCAGCTTTTTCTTTCTGTGCAAACATCACTAGACTGATTTTGTCTAACAAAAGTACATTCAAAAGATGGGTTTCTAAGTAAAATGGCTCACAAGCCTTTCTAGTAAATAAAAACTATGTGTATGTACAATGCAGGTTAATGTTATCAGGCATTTAATCAAGAAATGTTCAACTAAAGCATATTTCACTGCACGGTAAAACAATTAAAAAGCAAATTTACTAGTGATAATTTATAATATGTAGGACCAATATTAAAGTTTTGAGAATAAAATTAAAAATCATTATGCAATTAGGAGGCATGTAGATTTAACCAGTCTATTTTATTGCATGAGAGGAATACAGGGCTAACTCTATTTAAGACACTCCATTTAGTCAATTTACAGTTTTCCAATGGAGTTATGATTTATTAAATAATCTGGTTCAACTCATCCTTTAGCTGTTAAGAATTTGAAACATGTAGATATAGCTACCTCAGGAAAAAACACAAACTGTCTCCTGTCATATTTATTCCTGAACATATGTTCACCTCCTTTTGTCAAATTTAATTTTAGGACACAGATTCATGGATTCCAGTTTTTCACCCATAAAGCTCTACTGGCACATTTCCATAACTGCGTAGTTGTACACTATGCCTAGAATTCTCTTGTGTCACTCCCAGTTGGGCGCTAAAGACTGCATACAGAGATTCCATAGCCTCAACAAATAGGGAACCCAAAAAGGTTCAGATTTGTAATCATGTGGCTGGCACATGAAAACACAGTAGTCTCTTTTAGTTTAATCAGAAATCATAACATTGAAATCTGCTTTCGAGTTGCACCTGGAATTCACACTGAACTTTGTCCTCGATTCAAGCCACTGAATGACTCCTAGAATCAGGTATGCATAAAAATCACTGTGGTATAGGTATTTTTAATATAATTCTCTGGTTCTGTGTTATCTCTTTAAGAATAACCTCTCCTGCCCCCATTCTTTTTTTTTTTTTTTCTTTTTTGGTCTCTGCTGTCTGCACTGCTGTTTAATGACATGCTGTGTTTAATTGTCATTTAACAGGTGGGTGTATGGTCTTGTCTCCCAGAGTTTTATAAGCTGCTACAGTGCAAAAAGCCAATATATGGAGGCAGAATGATCTGGAATGAATCCTTTTTCTGTTGCTTATTTGCTGGGTAACTTTTGAGCCTCAATTTTCTTATCTGTTAAAGGCACTTATTTCCCCCTACCTTGACAGAGTTGTAAATCTAAGTAGAAAGGCAATAATGTTCCCCAATTGCCCAAGTCACTTTCTGGCACATCATACATCTTCAATAAATAGTATCTATTATTATACTCCCATGATACTAAAGGCTGAAGACAGTATTTCATTATTGTATTACATTTAGTTACTATTATTATTATTATTATTATTATTTGAGATGGAGTTTCACTCTTGTTGCAGGCTGGAGTGCAAAGGCACGATCTCGGCTCACTGCAACCTACATCTCCCAAGTTCAAGCAGTTCTCCTGTCTCAGCTTCCTGAGTAGCTGGGATTACAGGCATCCACCACCATGCCTGGCTGATTTTTTGTATTTTTAGTAGAGATGGGGTTTCACCATGTTGACTAGGCTGGTTTCAAACTCTTGACCTCAGGTGATCCACCTGCCTCGGCCGCCCAAAGTGCTGGGATTACAGGCATGAGCCACCTTGCCCAGCCAAATTTAATTATTATGGGTATTTAGATGTCTCTCATTCAGTAGCACAGGAATGTTAAAAATATGTTTTCTGCTGAAAAAGCAAACACAATGCCTACAATAACTCAATAACTACAATATGCAAGGTTTAGTTAAATCTGCTTATTTTTTTCTGTGAAAATGTATTTAGGCCTCACATTTTAATATAAAACATTTTATTTAATTAATGTTTAATTTAATAAAATAATCAAATTAAACATTCTTCAATGTTTAATATAAACAGATTTAACTGAACTTTGCATATCGTAGATATTGAGTTTTAGTTCTAGGCATTATGTTTGCTTTCCCAGCAGAAAATATATTTTTAACATTCCAGTGGTTCTACTTAATAAGAGAGAAGCCCAAATAACAGAAGTGCCATTCAATCTAGCAATCCCATTACTGGGTATATACCCAAAGGAAGATAAATCATTCTATTATTAATACTAATGACACATGCATGATGTTCATTGCAGCACTATTCACAATAGCGAAGACAAGGAATCAATTTAAATGCTCACCAATGATAGACTGGATAAAGAAAATGTGGTACATATACACCATGGAATAATATGCAACCATAAAAAAACAATGAGATCATGTTCTTTGCAGGGACATAGATGGAGCTGGAGGCTATTATCCTTAGCAAACTGACACAGGGACAGAAAACCAAATACTACATATTCTCACTTATAAGTGGGAGCTAAATGATGAGGATACTTGGACACATAGAGGGAAACAACACACGCTGACCTTTCAGAGGGTGGAAAGTGGAAAGAGGAAGAGAATCAGGAAAAATAACTAATGGGTACTAGGCTTAATACCTAGGTAATGAAATAATCTGTACAACAAACCCCCATGACACAAATTTACCTATGTAACAAACCTGCACTTGTACCCATGAACTTAAAATAAAAGTTAAAAAAAAGTTTTTAGTGCCTTTCAGGGCCATATTGACTCAAGTAAAGGAAATGCTGGTTTTACCCATCATTCATTTGTCTGGGATTGCAGATGCACTATTTAGTATACAATTAAATTATTTCTAGAAATTCTGTTTTATAGAGGAAATATATAAACATCTCAATATGCCTTTTAGATTAAAAAATACTTGAGGAGAGTAAAGAGGGTAAGGAGTATGAGTAAGAGAAGCATTACTATCTTATTTACAAGCAATGGCTCTCTGAAGAATCTTTGCTTTCTGCTGGCATCCTGGGACTTTTCTTTATACAACCCAACAAGGACAAAGAGAAGGAAGGGAAGCAATATACAGTAGAATTTGGTCAACATTATGTTCTCAGATAATTGGCATGTTAACAGCACCTTTATTTAGGGAGAGAAAACTTGCACAGAAAAGTTTACTTTTTATTTCTACAGGGGAAGTGTATTGCTTATATAATTTTCAGCACTATCCCATGTGCTGGAATTTCTTGGTCAGATCCCTGCATTCTTATTAGGTAAATATCAGGTCAGTTCCAATTATCTTTTGTTCCACTTCTCAGTGTTAATAAAGATAGGGAGGAATTTGTCTGCTTCCTGGCCACAGACTCTACTCAGTAGGGCTATTTCCATCCATGAATGATAGGGACTGACTACTAAATTAACCAACAATAACAACAATCAGATAGCTCTCTAAATATTAAACAGACATCTCTCCAAACAGGTATAGCTCTAAATATTACATTTGAGATTAAATGACTATACACCTTAACTATAATAGAAAGCATGTTGATATGCCAAATTCATAGAGAAGACAGAGTGGTGGTTTCCTCTGAATTGTTCTGAATATATTTTTCTAGGACCACTGTTACGATTTAACTTCATGGACTCCATTCCTATTTATATTTTAGGCTTTATATGCCATTTATTATTGCTCTAGGTCAATAGCTAAATTTTTTGTAACCTGTGGAGACTTTTGTTTGAGTGAATTTTTACCTATAAACTCAATTTGAGAACTGATCAAAGAGACATTGTTCAGCAGGTAGGGTAAGAGTGATTTCTGCTAACTCACTTCTCTTACGAAAAATTTTATAGTAGCAAATTCTTTAAAATGATGAATTATAGGAAAAACAAGAGATACTTTTTGTAATAACAATTTTATAGCTGTGGTCAGTCTGTTATTATAAATTCATGAGTATTATGATTGGCTAGATCATCTCTACTCATGAAAATAACAGGCTAAGAGGTTATATTTTCCACATGTATATGAGGCATAATTTAAAATTCCATTGAAATAAGGCTAAAAACTGTTCCTTGATTCTACATTTCCTCAACACACCCCACAACTGAATAGCAAACCAAGACTACTTGCACATAATTTGGCAGATTATGTCACATTTTAAAGTCAAATATTGCTGTTACTACTAATTAATTTTTAAATGATGATATCAATCAATTGAAAGATTGTGAAACAATTCTGACCTTTGAGAAAGACATCAAACATCAGTGTCCCTGAGGTTAAGATTTGGTAATTGTCTCTTGATAGCTTAAATTAAAAGCTTACATTTTTCTCCTGTGATTTCTACTGCTGCTGATCTATTGGTACCATATGATCAACTGTGTTTAGTTCTGCAAATATGATAACCTGCATCTATTTATCATTAAGACAATGACATTGGCATTGTGTAAGGGAAATTAATGTTGATGCAAACAACATTGAGTTTTTTTTTTTTTTGGAGCTAGAGTCTGGCTCTGTAGCCCAGTCTGGAGTGCAGTGAGTAGTGTGATCTCGGCTCACTGCAACATCCACCTCTTGGGTTCAAGCAATTCTTGTGCCTCAGCCTCCCAAGTAGCTAGGACAATAGGCACACGCCACCACACATGGCTAACTTTTTGTATTTTTAGTAGAGACGGGGTTTCACCATGTTCACCAGGATGATCTCCTACCCACCACGAGTACAATGAATTGTGGATCTTAGAATCCATACCAGACTTCTCTGAATAAAATTTCTTGATATACACACATGCACACTCATACACACCACACACAAACATACTTCTGCATCTGGAATGTCAGTTAAAGTGTGTGAGTACTTCAGTAAAAAGACAGTATACTAAATTTGAAAAGTCTGTGTGACAGCGAGAAACAGACTTTCACTGCCGTATTTTTCTACTGACAACCCAGTAGGTAGAAAAAAGTGTAGATAATTGGATTTTTTTCCTCTATTGATATTTTAGAGTATAGGATGGCACAACACCATGCAGGAAAAAAGCAGTACTTTAGGTGAGCTGATAAGGGTTGAGAAAAGTTCATATTTGTGCTTTATTTTCAAACACTGGAAAATAAAACAAATATTAGTGTTCAAGAATTTGGGGCCACATGGGAGATCTTAAAAGCCACTTCGAAATAAATGAAATCCAATAAAAGTAAGCATCATAAGGTAGCCAACACACCAAGAGTAATCCAGCAAGAGAGAGTGTAAAGGGAGAGACACAGAAGTTAATGCTGGGATTCCAGATACACCTTCTAAATAATCAAGACAAAAAAAACTAAAGTAAATAAAGGAAAACTGCATGGTCATTTATTTTGCTTAGTTTGTAAAAAGGTAAATTTGTAAAAAGGAAAATTTAGATTTTATCCACACAGATAATAATGTTGAGTAGTCCACATATATATACTGAATAAATGGGGAAAAAAGAAGATGTTTTGGGAGAAAGGGATTCTCTAAATAGTTATCTTCATGCACTATTTGTTAGAGGTCTTTTACTTGTTAAAATTGCTCATTGAAAAACACATCCCTGAGCCCTTTGGCTTAACTCTGATTCTTCATTACAAAGCAGTTCTTGAGTAAATTGACCACACACAAAAAAATGATCACATCCAGCACACATGCATCTGTAATACCTAGAAACAGCCTGGAAGATAAGAGGTTATAATGGAAAGAAATGAGCTAAATTTTCAAGATGGGTGTGGTGAATAAGTTTAATTTAGTAGTTTTTCAACTACAGCATGACATTTGTGTTTTTTTCAGACCAGCTCTAATCACATATCAGAAAATGTCATAAGTTGGGAAGTATTAAAGATAAATAAGGTGATGTGGAAGAATTATTCTATGTTCAAGCAGCATCAGGAGAGTGAAAGGTTATTTTCAATGTGCAATGAGTTAGGACGTTAGCACATATATCCAGTTGCAAATCAGAATAGTTAAGGAAGAGAGAAACCACTGATGGCTGGATGTCTCAGGAGGTTCTGGCAATATTTCTCTTGGGAAGAAAGTTGGCCAAGAGGCAGGAGCTCGTGAACATGTGGTCAAACCTTATAAAATAAGATGGTATGTATTTCTTAATGACTGAAAAGAATGAGGATAATTTCCAAATCTCTGAAAAATGTGTCAATGTAAGGTGAACACAAATATGAAACTTTCCTCATGTTAACAAATATAGAAAAAAAGGAAGACTGGCCTCTATCTCAGAGGAGATTACAGATTAATAAAGAGTCAATTAATATATTATGGATAGAAGAAACAGTATTCTATTGTTGTTAAATTTAAATGGTACAGTGATTTAATAAATTAATGAAAAAAGCCTGTGAAGATTGATGAGATAGTGTTTTCAAAGTCCCTTAGAGAAAGGTATTATACCAGTATAAATATAGCTATTAACAAGTATCTACATATTTTAATGATATGTATTCTCATTCTGAAAACATTCCTGAAGAACTATAATTAACCACCAGTTTTAAATCTCTTATCATTCAGTAATTTACATAGCATAAGTATTATAAAGAACTCTCACCCATGCTTCAGAACATGGGAAATAATGAACATCCTTCTGTAGTTTGGAGGTTGGGCTTTTACAACTACTAGAAAAAAAGGCATCCAATGCCATTGAGAAAGATATCTGTAATAGATCATTAAAACTTTAACTCCGAACTCAGACTGTTCTCCTCTACCCTAACAGCTCAGCTTTAAATAGTTCTATTTTACTCTGGCAGACAGGCAGTGGGCATTCATAGATCTTTGCAATATTAAACACTCAGAGAACCAGCTGGTGCGTGTGGGTATGTGTGAAAGAGTGTGTGTGTGTGTGTGTGTGTGTGTGTGATCCTCACATGAGGAATCTGGGCTCTTATGATTCTTTAAGCCCCTCACTCAGAAATCTGATGTCACATTCTCTGGGAGTGAGGATTCATAATCAGAGGTTATCTCATTAGTTCATGCTCCTTCCAGGAATAGAGGAAAACCTTTGGCAAAACTACTAAGAGGAGGTAGGGAAGCACTCCTCACAGCCAGAAGATTGCCTGAAATACAACTTCCAGCTAGCTTAGAGTTAAAACAAACTTGTATTTTTTTTTTTTTTAGACGGAGTCTCGCTCTGTTGGCCAGGCTGGAGTGCAGTGGCGTGATCTCGGGTCACTGAAACCTCTGCCTTCTGGGTTCAAGCGATTCTCCTGTCTCAGCCTCCTGAGTAGCTGGGACCACAGGCATCTGCCACCATGCCAGCTAATTTTTGTACTTTTAGTAGAGATGGGGTTTCACCATATTGGCCAGGCTGATCTTGAACTCCTGACATAGTGATCCACCCGCCTCGGCCTCCCAACCTGCTGTGATTACAGGTGTGAGAAAGTGCTGGGATTGCAGGCGTGAGCCACTGCACCAGGCCTAGAAACCTGTACTTTTTAAAGTCATTATTTTCTCAATTAGTGGAGAAGATTTTTACTAAATCTAGCTATTCTTATTTTGCAGTGGTTTTTGGATACTAATGATATTTTAAGGAGTAAAGTATCATGATTTTCCTAAGGAAGCAAGTTGGAAACGTATCGGTTGGGTTATCTATGTTAAGTATATTAATTTTCTATATGCTGTTAACCAGAATATTTTTATGTCTCTACTCAATAGTAACCAGTTATTGGATTTAGGGAGGGTGGTGATGGTTGCAGCAGCACATAGTTTTCAAATTTGCCCAAATCCCAACATCAAGATGGGCAGATTAACAGGATAGCAAAACCAAAAACCCATAGACAACATTTGCAACAAAGCTGGGTGACAAGATATTTCTGTGAACTCCAAAATGCAAGATTATAACGACAAACCACTGCCAGCCATAGGCCCATGGATATTTGAGTCTCTGTGCTGAGGAAAGTCACTGGGCATCTGATGACCCTGAGAATCCCAAAATGTTCTAGAAGTTTTCACTGAACTGCACAAAAGTCAGCTTGAGAATAGCAGTTTAATCTGGGGATGGTTTTGCCTGGTATAATGGTGAGTGGAGCAAGAGATCCAAGCCAGATATATCTTCAAAGCAGAAGGGGCAGCAGCGGTTTAGGCCCTGTAGCTCTTGAAACTGACATGCCGGGACCCCACACCAGGGGAAAATTATTGAAGGAGAGTCAAATCCAACTGGATATTGACAACAGAGATGAAGGAGAGAGAATGTCCATATAAAAGTGGGGTAAAGGAACAACTACATGAAATCTTGGAAAGCAAACCACCTTATATTTTGGATCACTTCAAGAAAACAACAAAAAAGAAGCTGCATGTAGTTAGAAAAGAAATCCTGAACCCTAACTATTCCTAAAAACTCAGAAAGACCACTTTCAAATAAAGAAATATTGTTTGCATAAGCTTTTCCTAAGGAATCTACCAGGCAAGGAGCTTCAGATAAGTTAAATGACTAACGAAGGTGTAGAAATAAGTGATAAGGTGATCATTAAACTTACTTGTAAAACTAAGGCTTTGCTTACTTGTAAAACTAAGGCTTAGTGACAGTAAAAGGAGAAATCAGACATCCAAGTACTTAGATAATGTAGATATAGTATTATTTATCTACATTATAAAAATGTAAATGGCGGATAGAACTGGAGATTTACTATGCAAAAATATTTTATGAATGTTTTTAGTAATTATGTTGGAAATAGGATAAGTAGTATTGCTATTCTGCATCTATTACTTGTGTAATGTGGTATAAAATAAATAATTTCAGGTTACTGTAATTCTATCATCCCGAGTCCTTCGAAACTAGAATTTTTGCTGTGGAAAATAAAGAAGAGCTTCAATAATGACCATAGTAATTCCTGGAGTCCTGATATGAATTGGGTAGAAATACATGAGGTATTTTATTTTTACAGATGTAGTTCCTAATGCTGTCTATTGAAGAAGTCTAGAGACAAAGACCACTGCACTAGCAATGAACATCTCTTGCACTTGAACTGTGGCCTTTTCCATAAAAAGATCCTAGGTCTTCTTAAAAAAAAAAAGATTGATTCTAGGTTTAGAGCAAGGTCAACATAAATGAGTCTAAGTAATCTTATCATATCAGTTATTGAAGAAGCTAGCAAGAACTGGTCAAATCGTATGAAAAAGCACTCAGGAACCAAAGTAAAAATGCTTCCTCTGCCAAAAGCGGGACTATTTGAGCTTCAATGAGAATAATAATTGCACTGATTGAAACCTTCCAAATATGTTTAAATTTATGAACTCATAATTATACTTTAAAACTCTAACTGGTCTTTGGATGATGACAGGAAATCATTTTATCTTGAAAACTGGTAAATAAATGGAAAGAAATCAAATATTTTCTATTAGTTATTTTCATTTATTTAATATTTCTGTATAAACTGATGGAGGGGGTCTCTTTATAAAACTATTTCCATTAATAAATAAAAAATAAATACTAGAAGTTTGTAACCACCAATAAATGTATAGGTCTAGGTATTGAGCACCAATGAATGTTAACATCACAAAAGAGAGGTAATGTAATATTATATCCCTCCTGAGAAAAGAATACACCACCACCCATAATTTTGCCAGAGGGGTGGAACTGAGTTTGATCCAGTCTGAATCCATCTGCCACCTTGCAGGAAACACAGAGTACAGAGAATCATGTTGCATTGTACCAAAAGTGTGCAATCAGCAAAATGCACACTGGGAACTCTACAGGTCAAAAGCCCTGAGTACTTGTGCCAATCAACTATAAGAAAAATAAGGGATCGAGGGTCAACCTGTAGATTGAAATAATTTTAAACACATTGTAAATTGATAAAGAATGGGCAAGGCTAAATAAACTATGGTGTCTAAGTATACAAAATGGGATGAGAACTCCAAAAAGAAATTCTAATTGATAATATTAAAGTCAGGGTAATTGTTATTTTGTGGGCAGGAAAGAGAAGGGAAGGAAGGGATTGAGACTGGCAGAGGGCATGGAAAGGGCTTCTGGGGCAAGTGATAGCCCATGCTTCTCAACCTAGGTAGAGATAGAAGAATGTCTGTCTTATAACAATTCATAATGCTAAACATTTGTTTTGCATGATTTTCTGTGTCAGTGCTTTATTTATTAATATTCCAAAATAATAATAATAATAACAATCAGATTATTGCTAAAGTGACTTAAGGAGTGGACAACTAGCTTCTGTTTACCTCGGTTGCCTCATCTTAATTCCTCCTATAGTTTTAATTCCTTATTTCTGCCTTTCTATCTAAAAGAAAAAAAAACTGCATGTTATTTGCCTCAATTTCTGAAAACAATAAGAATATTTAATTTCCCAAATTGGACTTCCAATAGTTTGAGTGTGAGATTTTGCTATTCCTAAAATTAATGCTGCCCCACTACTCTCATAGTTTCAGAGCGCATACAAATTGGATTCAACATTCACATAGTTGATACAGGAAGACTAAATTTCATAGACTCTAGTTCATCTTTTCTCTAATTACTTCTCCTCAACCTTGAGTCTGCTATTCTCCTGTTTTTAACTTCAAATCCATAAAACATTTAATTTTTGCAAGAAGATAAGATTTTATACATATGAATGAAATACTACCGATATCAATGAGAAAGTGTTTTATCCTGTTAAATTAATGCCTCTGTCTAGAAATGTTATGTACCCTAGCATATATGATTGTGTATTGAAATCCATGACAACTTATAAGCACTAAATTTCCCTTTTAATCATTCCTCTGCCTGTGACTCTTTTCTCTGGGTCAGTGAATGTATATTTTTTTTGTTTTGTAGGATAACTTTAATCGCCGTCTTTATTTTTTTTTTTTTAACTTCCATTGCATGAGTTTTTTTCAGGCTTATTAATATGCCATTTAAAAAAAAGGTTTGTATTTCACATAAAATTTCCATTCCTTTTATAATAGCTACAAATTAGAGACCTCTAAGAATCAACTGTGTTTGAGCAAAACTCAAAGAATTGGATATTAGAAAGAGCACCGCTTCACATCAAACAGACCTGTAATTCATTTCTAGGTTCTACATTTACTTAGAGGAAAAATTACTTTATCTCTTCAGTTCTCCTCAATGAGCCTCAATTTCTTCATCTGTAAAATGGAGACCATAAGATAAACATCATGGGACTACCATGGAGATAAATGAGAAAATGCACTTAAAATATTTAGTGCATTTAAAATACCCCCTATGTTATAATTACTCTCATTTACCTGTTATTATTTTCTCAAGTTTATGTTTTGTGGCAGAGTAGATTTAATTCTGAAATAGTTACTATGTGGGAAAATATTTTCTTTGGTCAGGCATATTTGCAGTTTTATTAAATTGACAAATAAAAATTATATATCTTTATCATGTATATGTTATTTGAAATATGTATACATATTATAAATGGCTAAATTGAGACAATTAACATATGCATTACCTCACATGCTTATCATTTTTTGTGGTGAAAAACTTAAAATCTATTCTGTTAGCAGTTTTCAAGGATACAATACATTGTTATGAACTCCAGTCACCATGTTGTACAGTAGATCTCTTGAACTTATTCCTCTTATGTAACTGAAATTCTGTATCCTTTGAACAACATTTCCCCAATTATTCCAACTGCAATCCCTGGTAACCACCACATATAAGTGAGATCACATGGTATTTGTCTTTCTGTGCTTGTCTTATTTCACCGAATGTCCTCCAGGTTCATCTATGTTAGCACAGGTGACAGGATTTCCTTTTTTAATGGCTGAATAGTATTTCATTATGTGTACTTGCAGTTTTAAACTTCATTACATCCTCATTCCCCAATAAATTTATTTTAATCCAAAAGATACAGTAGAAATGTACTGGATAAGTGTACAGTACTCTATAGCCTACACTACTTAGTAATGTGTTCTTTTTTGTTGTTATGCTTTAAGTTCTGGGTTGCATGTGCAGAATGTGCAGTAATGGGTTCTTTACTTCATATTGAGCTTCTTGTCAAATATTTATATTTTTACAAATTTGTTACCTTTGTGATAAGCTTGAAAGTTGATAGCATGTCTTTTATTTGCTTTTAACTTAGTAAATGCTAACTGACAAATGGATCATCAATAATCACCTCTAATAACTTAAAGGACAGCTTTTCCTGTTCCTGGTGAACACAGTTTCTTTCTCATAATGTTCTAAAGAAAATGGGAGGCCACCCTTTGAACATCATGGAAAGAACCATTAAGTTCTACATCTTTAAGATAATGCCCTCCCTCTCCCTCCACTCTTTGTTTTCTGAAATAAATAAGTGATGGGGAAATAAAGGAAAGCAAATAGCACCTAGGAAACGTGACCTAGGAAATGAAGAAAAGAGAAAAATTACTTTTTTTTTCATTAAAAACAGCTACGATACCTTCTGACTATGACCAGAATTTCAAGTTGGCATCGACCTCTGTAGCACGATTCCAGAAGCAATGGAAAGAAACACAAACTTGACAAATCTTCGTGTATTTCCTTTCCTTTTCAGGAAAACTTTGAGTGCTCCTCATTAATAAATAAAGGCATTCAGGACATAAGAAATGTGTCAAAAGTTGAGGCTACTAGGCATGAGGGGGCACATAACCCCCCAGAGCCCCAGACAAAGGGAGGAGACGAGAAGAGACATTCTGAGTACCACTGTAGGAAAAGACCAAAAGCAAGCACTTTTCATCCATTTATGATTTTGCTGTGGAACCACGAGATGCTATTCTGAATCCCTGTTCATGCTGCAAGCTGACTGACCTCGTGACTGGAAAGTCAGAGAGATCCGCTTGGGCCAGCTTCTCTGCTTTCCTTTCAGTGGGAAAGTTTCCACCCTGTAAAGATCATGATTTGAAATGTATCTTTTTGGTACGTATGGGAAAGGAAAGGGGGCTGACTTAAATATGATGAGACTGCCATTCGTTGCTCTACTAGACAACCAATCAAGAATTCTACATGAAAAAAAATGTAAATGTTTGCAAGGATTCTCTTCTTTTAAAAAAATCCATTACTTCATGACTGTCAGCATATTTGAAAAATAAAGATCATTTCCAACTTCTTTGAAGCTAACAGAATCTGTTTCTTAGTGATTGTGTCAGAGGTTTAAAAACTGTTGCTCTCAGTTTTTTCCTTAACATTTAAGAATCTGTTTCTTTTTTGAGTCTGTCAAAAGCTTTAAACAAATTGGAAGATTGTTGCTCATTCATTTAGATTTCTTTTCCCCTGGATGAACATGATACAACAAATCTGTTTTGGTGTCTTTAAAAATCAGAGTTTTGGCTTATTAAAATAGTTAAATATTGGTTGCTCTCTTTAAGGCTTTGGGATTGTTCTTTAGAGATGGAATTATTCTTGTGTTTGCCCTATATGCCAGGGCACTGGTTTCATAACTAACGAAACAGACAGTTTTTCACATAATCAGATGCTGTTTATAAGGAAGGACAATCACATTGCATCCCTGGCCCCTTCAGAACTATTATAGTACAGTCAATGAATTGTTACTAAGGACACTGTCAAATATAATGATTCCAAAGAAGTCACTGGGAACAAGAAAAATAAAGCTATTTTCAATATTGTCAGATATAAATAATTAAGATACTCTCATTTCTGTGGTTATTTTTCATTTATAGTTTATCCAGTGTGAAATATTTTTACTGTGAAACATGCATAATAAAAAGTTTGCTAATCATGCATCATTGACGAGTTACCTGAAGAATTATCATATTTAGCAAATATATGTATATATGTATAAATATATATAAAATCATAATCTATTTTCTATCTTAGAAGCCCTCATTACACACTTACAGACACTGTCAAAAATTTATCTCAGTTCAAATCCATTTATATAGTATTTCTCTCCTTTGAAAATAATTTTACTTACTATTTTCAGTTCCAAGTGTACAAAAATAATGAAGTTGACAGAAGGGAACAGATATGACAGAAATGGCTATTTGGGGAGCAGTGGGGCATATAACACATTGTATTCAAAATTGTAATCTCTTAACACCTTAAAATACTTCTAAAAGTCAGTCACTAGACAGTTTAAAATGAGGCTTAAGGGTTAGAGTTTAACTTTATAAACATTTAAGAGCAAATTACAAATTCTATGTTGGGCTGGGCACAGTGGCTCACGCCTGTCATCCCAGCACTTCGGGAGGCCAAGGTGGGCTGATCACAAAGTCAAGAGTTTGAGACCAACCTGGTCAGCATGGTGAAACCCCATCTCTACTAAAAATACAAAAATTAGCAGGGCATGGTGGTACATGCCTGTAGTCCCAGCTACTTGGGAGGTTGAGGCAGGAAAATTGCATGAACTTGGGAGGCGGAGGTTGCAGTGAGCCAAGATCACGCCACTATACTCCAGCCTGGGTGACAGAGTGAGACGCCATCTCAAAAAAAAAAAAGAAAAAAAACTTTCTATGTTGGTGCTCAGGTGCTCATCAGCATTATATAGTTCAGTCAATTTCAATTTTCTAGAGGGAAATGCATGGAGAAAAAAATTTTTTCAAAATATTCGGTCCTTTTAAAGTAAAGCAAGAACAATGAGAAATAATAATCAGCAAGAATGATAAAAAATGTTCAGTATAGTATTATCATTGTTACTGATAGTGATAAGAACAATATTCTCTTTAGAAATCAGACAAAGCTAGATCTCTATTTGGTAGCTCCCTCCTTTCTGTTACAGTATTGAAAATCTGAGGCTATTACACCATATTATGCACAGATAAACCACAGTAGTAAAATAAGTTGTATGATATCAATATGTTCTGTCAAATAAAAGATATATCATAAGGTAGAGACTACTGGTTCTCACCTTCAATATAATGCGTTATCACTTTAATACAGTCAATGGAATTACTGTGTCTCAAATGTTATTACTCATCATTTACTTAAATTGCTTAAAAATTATCTAAAAATAATTGCAACAATTATCCCATGATATATTGTCTGTCAAATAGTGCACTGTAGACGTGATAGGAAAGAATTTAAGACATGTGTTCCAATATTTTAAGAAAAAGAAGTCAAATTCACAGTTAAATTATTATTCATACATTTAAAGCAGTGCGTCTCTAATTCTCCTTTCTCTCTTAGCACTCTGGTCCTTAATAAAAGCTGATCTTTGTTCTTGGGGATCCTTCTCCTAACTCTTGATTTTATCAAGTGAGTTTCTATTTGTCCTCTCAACTCTCACTTGAAGTTTACCTCTTCCAGGTAAACTTTCTTCATCCTCTCTGGTCATAGGAATTATAAATCTCTGAATATTTTCTTTCTTCCTAATTAGGCTGAATGTTTCCTTAGGAACAGTGTTTGATTTATCTTTGGAAATATAGGGCTCCCCAAGTGCACTAGATCTTGGTAAGAACACAATAAATGCTTGTGTAAAGAGTGTAAAGAGCCTGCAGTAGTTCAGGAAGGCCGCAAAGACCTGGATTATCACCAGGGTTGAATAAACGATTTATTTTTAATGCTGAATGTGATACACATTTAAAAGAATGAGTAGTTTTAATATTTAAATAAGTATAGTATTTTGAGATAAATCATAATAGTTAATAATAGATATGCCACACAATAGGCAATACCTAATTAGATGCCCCAAAAAACCCATGAAGGGCCTACCATTATTATCTCTACTTTGTATTTGAGACACCTAAATTACAGTGAGCTTAAGCAATATATCTAAGGTCAAATACTTAATGACCCATAAAAACTAGACCCCGGGTTCAAATTCAACTCTAGGTTTAATGGTATAACAGGGTATAATAACACTCATGTCTCAACTCTTAACTTTTAATTTTATTTCCTCAAAGGGATAGAGTCCATGACTTCAAGGATTTAAGAATGTATACTTTAGATAATAAAACCAGCAGAAATAAAAAATGTTAGAACAAGAAATGGTTTGATGAATGTATGAAATGTCTATTATTTCATAAATGTTTGCATTACAGTAAGAAACCAATTTCAAATGACACATGTGCTTAAACACGGAGAATGTTAAACATTGTATAAGATGTCTACTTGATAGCTAATCTCTTTAAAGGGGGAAGGAATTTTAAAACTGATTAAAAAATACAGAAGCATAAAACTTAAAATTTAACTACTTCACAATTCAACTGAGAACTAACATTGACTTTTTCTAGACGGGCATCCCCTATACCATAGTCATCACAGTACTAGGAGAATAACAGAAGCCATCTGAAATACTGACAATACAGCTAGATCTTCTAGCACTTCTGAGACACAATATATGATCTCAACAAAATGGCAGAAACAGAAGATGCTTTGATCAAGCAATCCACCTGCCAACTGTTCAAAAATTATATTTGAGTTTCTTGGAAAAGAGCAGACAGAAGAACAATATAAAACTTTTTTTTACTAACATAAAAAATAAAGGTACAAGAGGTTTGTTTATAGTAATACTGTGATTTCTGCTACACATTTTAAAGGGTTACAGTGAAAACTATAATATTAGCAAATAACTATATGTGAACTTTTCATATGAGATTGGGTAATATTTCCCAGAGTAGAAATATGTTTTAGATATTCTGTTATGCCTCCCCAGCCACTGAAATTATATTTGACCTTGAGTAAATCACATAATATTTCCTATGTTTTAGTTCCCCCAGAGAAATGTACCTGTTCCAGAGTGGGCCAATGTTGATAGATTAAAAAATTAAAAGGTGCAAAATAATGGCAAATCATTATTCTTACTTTAATATGTTCAACAACAACAACAACAAAGTCAATTAGAGAAGCAATTCAATTATTGAAATCTTAGGAAAAGACATTATGAACATTATTTTTTCTTCCCATGAGTTTAAACTGACTTGAAACACAACATTTGATTGTATAGAAATTACAGCATCTGTTTTATGAGTTTTATGCTTTGGTTCAAGGTGAAACTAAGTGCTAAAATTCAGAAACTTTTGTCTTTTTGAAGAGCTATTATTTTTAAATATGTGGTTCAAAAATCCACAGCTTTATCCAGCTAGAATTTCTCTTTCCAGCTTCAGAAGATACAATACAAAAAGAACCCTACTGGGCAATGGGAAAGCCAATTTCTTTCCATCTCCTTTTCCAGGTTCCCTGCTGCTTTGAGCCTGATTGTTAGCCATCTGTCTCCAAAACCATGACCTCCACTTGGCATATCTAGTGATTGAAGGCAAAATGGCTATATGGTCAGGCAGTGTATGCAAAGACATCAGAAACCTACATGAATGTTTTTTCCCTGCCTTCTTAATCGGAAGTAGTTTGAGATAAGGAAGAAGAAATTCAGGGGAATTTCAAGAGTCTCATATTTTTGAAAATCTGTGCTTTGATAAAATTAAGATGGGTAAAACTTAAAAGAAATGAATTAAGTTTTTTAGCACTTTTAGTGATCGTTGTCATTATGAATTGGGCACATTTTTGTAAATCATAATTCATGTCTATTATCTTACATTTTTTACAAACTTCAGCTATGTGGAAATCATTGTCATACTATAAAAGAAAAACGGATGCAATATATTTCATAACAACTTGGAAACTTACATCAAATTAATCTGATAGTTAAAAATGATATATAATGTATAGAATTTACCTGTAGACCACATTGCATATTCTGTCATGGGGTTTTATTGGAACCATAAGAACATTCTTTAGTTTTATTTCTTAATCTAGAAACTAGAGATACTATCTGTTCACGTGAAAGCAGGTATGGAATGGTATATTTTAAAGTATTTAAAAAGTAGCAACCTTGTGCAACTGTAAGGTGTAATGGCAATTTTATTATTGCTAGGGTCCTACTCAGATAAAATTTCTAAATCCTGAGTTTATGAAAAGACTATAACATTATATAACATTTGTCTTTTCAAGGCACTGAAATTGTGAGGTAGATTCAAGTCATTTGCCTTATTTCTCATTTGTTAGTTATGTCTACATATAGGTATTTTGTGTCTCCTCTGATGTAAATTCATTACAGTATAAATTATGCAAATGTGTTAAGCTGGTCTTCATGGATTTGTCCAATAATGATACTTATTATTATCTTTGAGCTGATAAAATGGACTATTCTATGTTATGAATGACTGGCAAGACCCAACTCAAGCAGTGTCAGATTTCATGTAGTTTCAGATAGCCTTTACCCATCTAAATCCTTGCTGAGAGGATCCAGCAGAAAGTTGGTACTTGGTAATGAAGTCAGCAAAATATTTTTCTCATCAATGAGTTTTGGGAACCAATTTGGAAAAGACCAAAAAAATGACTTAAAAATTAAGTGAAAACACCCTAAATCAACTGTCAGCTCATGCTCCCAGCCGGAGTATTCATGATTCAATAAAATTAGAATATCAGAAAGAAAACACATTCTACACAAATGTACTTGATTTAAAAGTCAGACTTCACATTTCAAAGTTCCTGATGTTTCAGATGAGCTTCTGCTGTGCATGCCCACAGAGGTACACTTTCAAGTCACAGCAGAGTGCTCTGCTAAATGTACAATCTTTTGTGCTCCATTACACAAAGACAGGAGGACTAAGGGAGCTGTGCTGGAGACCGTGGTGCTTCGTTGCAGTTTGGATGTCTTAGCCAACCTAGTAAACCTTGGAGACTTACTTAAAGTTCCCCCTTTTAACCTACAGAAACCTTAAGAAACTGATAATTTTTCCAATAGTAAAAAACTGGAGAAAATCTATAATCTCCATAAAAATGACTTTAGTAAGTCAATGATCATGCTTATGATATGAATGATGGTGGTGTTGTTATTGATAATGATGATTTGAACAGTTTCCATATACTTCCCACTATGTACTTTATGTGCTTTATTACAATCTCATAACAACTCTATAAGAGGGACCTTATTTTCCCTATTTTACAGATGAGAAGACTGATGGTCACAGTCATTAGGTAACCCCACAAGGTCATAGTTAGCAAATGGCAGAGCCCAGTCAGGAGCTCAGATAAGAGTAAAACAATGTTTTTACTCTTAATACCCTACCATTTGACATAATCAAAGATGTTCAAACTCCACCAAAAAATACTAACTGGTGCTTCTGTAACATGTTTTTTATTTCAGAAGCTTACAGAGCTCTTGATAAATTGTTTGCCTCTAATTGCCTTCACCCACAGGGCAGTCATGGCACCACCTCTGAAATGCAGCTGCCTGTAGGAGGGAAGAGGCTTGGCATAATGCTTGTCCACATAGAAAATAATAATGTTAAAATTGCCTCTCATACTTAAAAAGGCAATAACTACAGTTAGAGGTTGGTCTGGTCATTTAAACCAATACTTTATTTATTACAACGTGTGTAACTGAGAACTTTAATGAGTACAATTGGAGCGGGGAGCTTTCTATTTCTGAAAGCCAAGGGCTATCTCCGGTTTCATGGTGTTCTTTAACAGCACACTAGAATATGCATTCACTCAAGCCCAAGAACACAACTTATTAACACATCTTGTGACAGTCCATTTTTTTGCCTCAAGAGATTTTACATTCAAAGAACATCATTTATTCTCTGTGGATTTGGAAAGTAAAGAAAGACAACACAAATTGGTGTAACTATAAAGCATCTAATTGATTCCATTTTTGTTTAGTTTTTTAAAAAAATCTTAGCTATAAATTTGAGGTTAATTCAGGAATATCTGACACTTCTTTAGATTTGAAAGAGCAAACAGAATTCATAAATTTTAATAAAAGGTAAAAAGAACTAGGATCATTAACCTTTAAGATAGAAAGCATTGATATCAGTTGGTAATGGCCAAATTGACTAATAGATATCATTCTATTTACAACTGGAGGATACGAACTAGATAGTTTCTGTCATAAACTATGTAGCTAGCACTCAGCTGTATCTGAAAAAAATTAACTAAAATAATTTTAAATATGCTTTGAAAGAAATGCTTCATTTTTAATGTCATCATTTGTATAATTTAATTATGTTAAAGAAATATTGATCAAGCACATCTATTGTATCAAAAGAACAAAGGTGGTGTCTGTGAGTGAATAAATACTACTGTAAGGAAGATTAATACTACTGTAAGGAAGATGAAATTCAAATAAGGATGTAGGAAATGTATATAAATAGCTCTGATATAAAGAAGTATTAATATCCTCAAAAAATGCAAGGTAGGGAAGGATACAGTAGAAGTGAAAAAGAGACATCACTGGACACATCTGACATCACCTACTACTACGTTTACCCCATTTGATCAGTTCTGGCCAGACTGACCTCCTGGTGGTTTCTAGAATAAGCAGATACTCTTCAGTCCCAGTGCCTCTGCACTTGCTTTCTTTTCTTCCCAGATATCCATGAAGTCTGCTTCCTCATTTTCATCTAAACTTTATTCAAATATTTCCTTCTCAGTGATTCCTCCCTCTCTGATCTTCTTAAAATTATAACCTCCCCATCTACTTCCCATTTCTCTTGCCTACCCTATTTTTCTTGGTGGCTCTCTTAATTTCCACAGTAAAATATGTTCTTATTTATTTAATAAATTTATCTCCCTTCTACAATGTAATACCCATAGTGACAAAGAATTTTATTTTGTTTACTGTGAATTTTCCAGGCCATGGAATAGTTCTTAGCATATAGTAGGCCCTCAACAATATATTGTCAAATAAACATACAAAATATTGACAAGGTCAGGATGGGAGTCCTTAAGACAAAGGAATGAAAGACTTGAGACAGCAGCTAGATTATTGTTAGGGCCCAGAGAAAGTCTTGGTTTAGTAAAGCTAAGGTGGGTTTATTTGTAGGCCAGGGAATATGAGGTAGGGACTAGAGAAAGAAAAAAGAATTTTTAAAAATGAAAGCATTGAAGATCAAAGTCCCGAAAGTATTGAGGGACACAGGCCTAGAGGTATAAGTAGAGCAATTAGTTTCCTCTCTAGGGGAACACCTCATCTTTTAATACAGGATCAAAGGAGGGAGAGAGATAGGTGAGAATTTTTTACTGTGAGAAGAGTGAAGCTCAGGAAGCTCATCTTCTCTAAGGCCATTTTCTAAGTGAAAGGATTTAGGGGTGAAACGAGGGCTTCTGGGAGGATTAAAGATTGGAATCATTGTTCAATAGAGTGCCAAAGAGAACCACTAGAGATAAGTAGAATGGTTACAAGTAGTGAGAATTTGATGACAAATATATAATGTGCATCTGTAAAGGAATCAACATTACATACACACCCTGTCATCCTGGAGAAAGACTAGAGAAAGAACACTGTAGATGTCATAGAGACGGGGAAAATCAGAGTTGCAGAATACCAGATGACACAGCTATGATGTAGAAAAATTGAATATATCTTTGGAATCACCTAATACTGGTACCAACACATAGTAGAGAAGTACAAGGTAGGCACTCAATAGATGATTGCTCTTATCTTGTTAGTGCTACTATTTAAGGAATTATACAAATGAAAGAATCAAGGTTAGACTTTATGATGGAGAGAAGTGGGGCAGTAGCATGCTGAAGCTCATCATTAAAAAGTTGTTGTAACCCTACTATGCCCTAAGTTTCCAAATATGCTTTAATTTTATCATCTGCAAAATAGAGACGGTATTAGTACCTATCTCCTAGGTTTATCGTGATAATTAAATAAAGTTCATTTTAGTCCTGGAGAAAAAAGATATTTCAAGAGTGATTAAAAACTGAAATTTAAGACAAAGTATTTAAAACTGTTTAGCTCAGAGTAGGCATGATACAAGTATTAGCTTAAGAAAGTATAGAACAATAATGTGACAGTGAAGTGCTGAGAATCTCTAGATCCAGAAGCTCATTCCTTATTTTTGATGATTGAGCAAAACCCTGGAAACCAAACTTCTCAATCCAGTGGGCATTAACAGTTTTCCTTCCCCTAAAATAACTGAAAAATAAGATGGGTGATCATCTATAACAGTGGTTTCATAAGGCAGAAGTTCTTAATTGCTCACATAAGATGGTGGTCTGAGTCTTCTGTAGCTATTTCTTATCTATGTAGAATAAACTTTGAACTTCTAAACTTGGAATTCAAGGTCCACTACATTCTGTCCCTCTCTTCTTTTGTAAAATTTTACTCCAACCAAACAGATCTGTTTATACTTTTCCCAATAACCCAAGGCAAACTCTATCTTTAAGCCTTTGTTTTTCTTACTGTGTTCAGAATTCCTTTCTCCTGACTTGTTAGCCATCATTGCCTCTGCAAATGCTCTACTCAAGCCCTCCCTAAGAACTCTTTATCTTCATTAACCTTTAGAAATACCTTTCCTCCCTGAATATTTGTCAAACTTATAATCTGTACCCTTGCAGACTGCCCAGTATGTACCATGTCCTTAAAATTGTATATTGTCACTGAAATTATGAAGATATACAGCTTGGTAGTTTAACAGTAGATGTTGAAAGGATGAGAGTAGATATTGAAGGGAACCCACCCTTCTGCACATGAATGAGCATCAAACAAGACAGATAAGAAAAAAGAAAAGAACAAGTGGAAGTAAATTAGTTTTCCAGGGTGACAGCCAAAGACTTGCCAATAATGTGAGCAGAGATGGTCAGATGTTAAAATAGCTTTGCTCCATATCGTATGAAATAAATCTGACACCCAAAATTATCTCCAAGACTCAAGAGGGGCTTTGAAAGCCAGTTGCTCAGAATTAGCCAGACAAATCTTTTATAGACCCTGAAGCACTAAAATGAATGTGGGGAATGCCATAACAATTTGAAACAAAACAATGCTAAGCTGTAAACTACAAAACATGCATGTATAATAAAATTAGATAAGCTTATTTTTAGAATTTTTTTTAGAACTTCTATTTTTGTTTCCATTGATCTGCTAATGACCCAAGCCTATTTATTGTTTGTCCTTTGGCACTGGCCCTGCGGAGAAGCTGAGTACACTGTGCAGCAGAATTGCACAATGAGTCATCAGAAACCTGTGTTTACACACACACTCAGAAAGTGCAAGCAAGTTAGCACTATTGTCTATTAATATTTAGGAGAAGACACATTCTAATTTTAGTGTTTGGTTGGAATGAGGATCACAGACTCAAAAGCCTTCGGGGAAAGTTGTATGCATGAATGCAGTGGGAGGACAGTAGGTATATAACACAAGGACTGCGTAAGGATGCAATAAGTATCAAGGATTCCAGGGAACATTGGCCAGAGCTGCCTGCTAGCAGCTGCTGCTACTTAGCTTTGGTTGATTTTTGCTGTTTCTGAATATAGACTTAGTGCAACCAGATCTTCCAAGTTTTCAGGAGAAGCTGGGCACCCTGACTTTTTAATGGGAAATTTATAGATTTTAAAAGTTGACTCAAATTCTTCTAATATATTACAGTTCAAGCAGAACAGATGTGTTATGGCCTACAAACCGCCATTTTGCAATTTTGCTTTGGATTCATATCATGATCCTCTTCAATGTCACTTCAACTCCACAACCACAGAAAAAAAAACTTAACCTATAAGATGTTTAAAATTACCATTATACTTTCTATAATACATTTCCATGTGTCTGAAAAAATATTTGTCTAAAAATAATAGGAAAGTCTTTGAAACGATATGTGAAAACCACAAGGCCAGGGGCCAGAGTTATTAAGGGGAAATGTAGATTACATAATAGTCTTGCCCCTGTTTTATTCAGTGCATGCCCTCTGGGCTGAAAATATTCCTAGAGCAATAATCTAGATGTTATCATCCGGCCTTTGTATCAGCAGAGATTTTGAAAGGTACTGTATTTTTAGAACTCTTTCACTGAGGCTGCTATTACCACCATTAATCTATTAGTCTCTGGCTTTGCCAGGAAGGCACTTGAAAACAGTCTCTGACCAGCAACACCTTGATAAAATATAAATGGGAGAAATGGCTGGTCCTTTGGGAAACAGGTTATACATTTGAAAGACTTCTGCAACGTGCGTTGCTCAACAAAAATCGCAAGTAGTACCCCACCTCCATCTTCATCCTGCATTTTCAGTAATAGATTTCAAAGGAAATTTAGTTCTTATTTTTTTCATTATAAGAATAACTTTGAGCTATTGTGTGCCCGTTCAACCTTGGAGGACGTTTTCCTAATGCCCACAAGTCATGTTACTCTTTAGCAGTTAACATAACTCAAAAGTTGGAAAGGGTAAAATATGCTCTCAACTTAGAAGTTGACAACCAGAGTAAGTTCTGAATGCTTCACACAGTAAACGTTTTCTTGTTCCTCTAAAAAGAGGAGAATGCAGCAGAAGCCTCAGTTCCTACAGTGAAGCAGGTTTATAATAGCTATTACCTTCAGAAGGGCAGGGAAAAAAAGGAAAAGGGAAGGGGCCCAAACAGACAAAACAAACAAAAAAAATGCTAAGGGCAATAGATATGAAAGGATAAAGAGGGAGAAAATGACAAAAGGAGAGCAGTTTCTTGGTCTTCTCTTCCCATCTGTCTTTTTCCCTTTTTCATTGTTATGCGCTTAGGATGTTGCATTTTCTCTTCAAAGCTTCACAACAGGACCCAAGTGCTTTGATCAAAGTGTGCTTTGCCCTCAAGTACAAGACTCTTTACACGGCACTTAAAGTGACTAAATTTTGAAATGTAGCATGGTTTTTCCTCTCATATTTTTAGCCAGTGAATTCTTGGCATCTTTAGAATTGAAAAACAAAGTGAAGAAGTTTAATGTCAGCTGAACAAAAGCAGATTTTTGAGAATCACAGAAAATTGCCCCTGTGATGCACGTTTTTTTTTTCTCTGCAGTTCTGAGCACACCTGTTGGTTCTCTTTGTGAAAATGTCTCCTGTTTTACTTTATCACCAGCTCCAAAGTCCATCTCTACCTAACTCAATAAAGTTGTTCTCTGGCACTGGCAGAGTGCTCTCCAAGAGTCCTACTCTGAAACCCCTTCCACTTTCTCTTCTAGTTTTTCATGAATAAATAGCTGACTTTCTGCTGCATAAGAGGGGAGAATGGTTCAGATACAGTTATTCGTCTAAACTCAGAATGGCTTAAAATAATGAGAGTTTGAAACAGACAGCTCTCAGAGTGATTTTAAAACAAAGGAAGATGACAGATTAAATGAACAATTCGGTCTCAAAATGTTCTTGAAATAGGTTAATGTACACTTTCTAAAATATCTATAGTGTCCTTTTTAGTATATGAATACTTTAATACTGTTATTTTAGCAACTTACTTGCTGTCAGTTTTCAACACGTATCATTTAGATGACCATTTAAAAAGCATAGAAGCCAATTTCAGCTTTCACTTTCCAAGCCACTTGTCAGAGCAGTTCACTGAGCTTTGCTAGGCAGAAGAAAAGTTCTTCTTACTTCATTTAAAGTAAAGGGAAAAAGTGTTTACATTTGATTGTAAAATGCCAATTGGATGCTGTTTTGGAAGTTGTAGCTACCTGGCTGTAATCACTCTCGTTTTTAGTCATGTAGAGGGAAAGATGTGTACAGAGTTCAAATAACTGATTCAGGATGAATCCCTGGGTTTAAATGATTCTCCTGCCTCAGGCTCCCAAGTAGCTGAGATTACAGGCACCCACCACCACACCCAGCTAATTTTTGCATTTTTAGTAGAGACGGGGCTTCCCCAGGCTGGTCTGTTGGCCAGGCTGGTCTCAGGCTCCTGACAATTTCTTATGATTGGAAAAAGCAGACATAGACGACGTATTTACTGCAAGAGACAACAGGGATGTAGATTCTTTATTTCACCAGTTGAGACAGAAAGAGAGAGCATCTCAACTGGGAAGGCAAATTCTGAGACAAAGAAGTGTTAAGAAAACTGCTGTTTGAGCCACAAAATATCTGATGGACAGAGGACATGTCTCGTGGCTTGTACCTATGGCCAAAATTAATAGTATTTTGATCCCAAACTGTACTGAATACCTAGAAATTTATTTTAGCATTAAGAAAGATAAAAAATGAGGCTTATGTTTACACTTGATTATGAAGAATTACATAAAATTGCTCAGGCTAGTTTAGTTACTAGCCATAAAATTAAATATATTGATAACTGAAAGTAGTTCAAAACTGAAAGGTAGTATATATAAGCATAATGGTATGCTTGAGGGTAGATTTTTAATTCTGACATGTTTATTTCGATAAAAAATTATTTAATTTAAAAAATAAAGATGATTTGAAAATGTGAGCTAAACATCTTATGAACCACACATATAGAGTAATGTAGTATTATTGTTGTTGTTTTTCTTTTTTGTTTGTTTGTTTTGTTTTTTCAAACAGAGTTTTGCCCTTGTCACCCAGGCTGGAATACAATAGCATGATCTCAGCTCACTGCAACCTCTGCCTCCCGGGTTCAAGTGATTCTCCTGCCTCAGCCTCCCGGGTAGCTGGGATTACAGGCGCCTGCCACCATGTCCAGCTAATTTTTCTATTTTTAGAAGAGATGGGGTTTTACCATGTTGGCCAGGCTGGTCTCAAACTCCTGAAATCAGGTGATCCACCGCCTCGGCCTCCCAAAGTGCTGGGATTACAGGCATGAGCCACCGTGCCTAGCCAATGTAGTATTATTCTAACAGTTGTAGTTGGAATATCTGAGTTCCGTGCCAGCCTATTCCTTTTACTAGTTATTATCCACTATTTCTGCAGGATTATGTCTAGCTTGAACCTAAATAGTTAGGTCAGAGCCAATAGACTCCAGCCTGGGGGTTATATTAATAGTTTTTGTTGCCTCTGACAGGAAGGAGAATTGACACGTGCTTCCAGGAGTGGACTTTTTCTTTAGGAAAATTTTGCAGGCAACAACTAGCCACTAAGACTCATATCAGTTAATGTTCCAAACCTGGGCTGCAAGGAGTACAGGGATAGCCAGCTAGTGTGAAGTTGAAATATTAAAACAAAAGAGCCGTGAGGGAGGAAAATAAGGTATGTATTAAGCTGACAAAGCAGGTACATTAACAATATTTCTAGTCAAAGTCACATGTAATAGCAGTCCTAACCCTTCCAAATATTCACTGAAGGATCTTAGAGAAGTGACTCAATAACCAGGCTAGACTTCTTTAAAAATGTCTGTTTAAAACCTAAGGAGCTCCACATAAATATTCTGAAACAGGGGGTTGGCAAACTTTCTCTGTAAAGGACCAGATAGTAAATATTTTAGGCAATGCAGTCCACATAGCTCTTCTTGCAACTACTCAGTTCTGCCATTGGTGTGGAAAAGCAGTCTAGACAATATGTAAACTGAGGATGGCTGTGTTCCGGTGAAACTTTATGGACACTGAAATTTAGATTTTATATAATTTCCACATGAAACAAAATATTATCCTTAAATTTTAATTCTTTTTTCAATCGTTTAAAAATGTAAACCTATTCTTACGGGCTATATAAAAAGAGATAGTGGGCCAGGTGTAGCCCAGGGGCCAAACTTTGCTGACCTCTGTCCTAAAGCTATAGGTTAGTAAAAACAGCTTTGTTATAAATGTCATGCTAATAATGAGAATATCATGCTAATATGAGAGTAACAAAATGTGTAAAATGTATTATACGAAGGGCTTTGAAGTACACTATTTCATCCTTACAGCAATGTCATAAGTTGGTATATTAGGCCATTGTGGATTACTATAAAGAAATACCTGAGAATGGGTAATTTATTTTAAAAAAGAGGCTTAATTGGCTGATGGTTCTGCAAGCTGTACAGGAAGCATCTGTTTCTGGGGAAGCCTCAGGGAGCTTACAATCATGGCAGAAAGTGAAGTGGGAATAGGCATTTCACATGGCAAAAGCAGGAGCAAAGAAGTGGGTAAGTGCCACACACTTTTAAATGACCAGATCTTGAGAGAGCTCACTGTCACGAAGACAGTACCAATCTATAAGCGACCCACCCCCATGATTCAAACATCTCCCACCAGGACCCATCTCCAGCATCAGATAATACAATTCATCATGAGATTTGGGTGGGGACAAATATCCAAACTATATCAGTTGGTATGGTGGACTGATCCCATAATGTCCCCAGATCATCAGCTCTCCCTGTAGCTATGCCCTTCACCAGGACTTTGTAGCTTCTTTGAACAAGATGTTGGAGTAAATTATCTTGCCCCATATTCTAAATTGAGCCATGTTATTTGCTGGGCCAATGGTACGTCAGCAATTGTGACAGAAGCAGTGTCTTGGAAAATGATTGTCAAAATCCTGGTTGTGATATTGTACTACAGTTTTGCAAGTTGTTCCCATGGGGGGAATTAGATAAAGGGTACATATATGTCTCTGTCTGATTTCTTAAAGCTGCACATAAAGCTACAATTATCTCAAAATTAAAACTTTACTTAAAAATAAGTGGAAAGTATGGGAAGTATGTTTAGAATTAATTTTGATTAAAATTATGTTAAATGTATAGATTAATTTGGGTTGTTCTGATATGTTTACAGTATAGATCTTTCCATCTGGGAGCATGTCTTTGTGTGTGTGTGTGTGTGTGTGTGTGTGTGTGCACACCACACTTCGGAAGGTCCTTTAACAAATCTTAGTAATTTTTAAAACAAATTAAAAATTTTATTATTCCTTACTTTTCCTTCATTGCTGTGCTTCTTATTCTAAAAGTTTCAAAATAGAATGTCTATCTATATAAAATAGGTTTAAAATAGTGGATTTCCATACTTCAAGTCCTTTTCTATGATATTATCTTACTTACTATCAAAAGAAATCTTCTCAAAGTTCTGATTGGTCATAGCCTTTAGTGAAACAAGGCTCTCGTAGTTCATGGCTGCAGATCAGCACACAAAGAAAACCCCACCTAAAAATTAATGTTCTAAGTTTTTTTGAAGTCTAGTCACGTGATTGTTATTTATTCTATAAAAATTTGTTCTCAAAAACTAAAAAGGCACTGAATTAGGTTTGGTATTTTAAAAATTTACTGTTTTGTCTTCTGTGACTTTTAAACAGATAGCATTTTCTCTGAGTCTCAGGATTCTTGTCTGTTAAACAGAAGATAGATTATATGTGTTCTTTCATCTCTGTTTCCTAGATTGCTGAGTGCTTTACATTAGCACGATCTTGTAATAAAACTTTATCCAGCTAATATAGTATTGTACTTACATGCTACAGTAAAGTGTTTTATATTATTATTTATTAGGGCTTTCTCAATAAGTGAAGATATCATTGACTATTAAGCCCTTTTCAAAAGCTCTTTGGCATTCTTATACCCAGGGTATTTTATGCTATAAGTTTATGTGAAGAAGGAGCACAAGTTTTGGAGCAGACCAATATGATTCAAACTGTGGCCATAAAATATGATCAAACATTTACCACAATATTAAATCACTGGAAATAGTTCAATTCACCAATATGTAATGATCTTGGAAGGTATTCTGTGATTACAGCCATGATGTATATTATTTTCTTATATTTATAATTCTGGTTGTTAAAAATGTCTTTAGGGAACATTTAATACTTCTGTGATTATAGAAAAAATCATTAAACGTTGCCTTTTTTATTATGATCTTGGGTAGAAAGAGTGTTGCTTTAAAGAAAGGCAGCTAAACCTAAATGTAAATAAATGGCAGCTGTTGCAGAGAGGGTTGAAAGAAATAACTGCATGGGAAGCCCTAATTACAAGGTAGAACTAAAAGGTTAAATCTTTATAAGGTTTCCCATTTTAATATGTGAACAGACAATGTTCTTTTTTAAAAAAGATACTACTTCATGTCTCTACTCTTTCTTCACCTAATATGTCATCTTTTATGCAACATGTAAAGTGCCATGCATGTTATTTAATTGGCACATCTATGAGACATTACTACTGCTTTCCCCATTTGGCAGGTGGGGATCCAAAACATGGAGAGGTTAGGTAAATTGTATACAGATAATATTCAATAAAGCTAGCATGTAGATCCAAATGATCTGACTCCAGGTACTGTGCCCTTCATTACTTTCCAAACTCCATGCTAAGGAAAGGTCCATCTCTCTTATCACCAGCCTCCTGCTCACTGCTCTTCAGCCTCAATTTGCACCTTGTCATTCTTCAAAGTCCTCAGAATCTATGCAATTGTTCCTTCTGGTAGGAACACATTTCCACTATCTGCACTTAGATTTATGCTCATTTGTCAGCTTCTCAAAGAGGACTTTCTTGATTAAGTTGGCGTTCCTTAACACATCCTTCTTTTGCTTAATTTTTCCCCATAGCTCTTCTTACCCTGACTTTATATTAGTCACCACGTATTTATTTTCAGTTTCTTTCACTGGAGAATAAGCGCCTGTTTTTCTACAGCTGTATTCCTGACACTTGAGTGAATGAATGAATGAATGAGATAAAGGCTGATTATTGAAATGAATTCAGTATTACTTGAAAAGTACAATTATAAACAGTCCCTAAAGAATAAAATTCCTTAGCTGACATCTAGAAGAAGCCCTAAAAACTCTGGACACCTATATTTTATTTTAAAATCTCATGCCACATTTAACTGACATGATTAACTCCAAACATCCATTTAACTTCTCACATCATGGTTCATCCTTTGGTTCATTGTCTCTCTCCCTTTTTCTCTCTCTCCCTCTCTCTCTCTTTTTTTTTTCTTTAATCACACATCACTAGATGGTGAAGGACAGGAGAGTACCCAGGAAGGAAGGCTTATAAAGAATTTGTGATTTTAGTTGATCTCTTAACACTTGACAGAGAAAGAAATCTGCACCTAAAATGTGACATGATTTTTTTTAACATATCAGATGAGATTGGATGCGTTCAGGGTGGTATGGCCATATACATTTTTTAACATATCAGGCTGTAACTTCCAAGTAGTGTTTTCATCTCAAAATCAACCTACTGGCAGGTGGTGCACTGACTTCAATGACCATCATTGTCTAAACATGTTTCTTGCAACTTTTTATAATTATCTTAAGAGCTTGTGAAAATTTAACATAACATTAATACATTTAACAGTGAATGTGTTTTATCTCTTTGAGAGTAGACTTGGTTTAGGAAATAGCCTGAAATCATTTAAAGCCCACTGTAGAGAACATGGTATGAACAAAGCAGAGCTTATACATTCTTCATCAAAAATGTGTTGGGACTGAAACATAATGAGACTCTCCTTTTCACTGATGGCTCATAAAGTGGCTCTGGAAGAACTTTCAAAATTGGGTTGTGAGTGTCATAGTATAACAAGAGCCATGCTATTGAATGGAACAACACTCATTTTGATATTTATATTATGATATATTTTATGTTTAAAAAGTATCAATCCATGTTTATAGTTAACATACAGAGTTTAGAATAAAACATTTCTTCTCTAGTCTCCACATATCCTTTAATTTCAAATGTCTCTGATTCTGCATATGGATACCTTTTTAGTTGCTCTCTATAAAGTCATGTTCACTAGGTAAGTGAGTAAACTTTATTTTGCCCGGTGGATATGTTTCTGACATGTTGTATGGCTATCCAATTTTAAGAGTCAGAGTTAAAAATTTTCAGATGCAGAAAAGAATTTGGAAACAAAATCTCCCACCTCTCTTCCAATCCACTGATAATTTTATTCTTTCTGAAAGAAGGGAAGTTAGGTGACACAAGCTCTTGTCCCCATTGGGTACGTATGTATATATACTAGCTGTATGTTTCAGACAAGATAACAGAGCCTTAGTTCCTGGTAGTGACAATGTGTATGTAGGCCTACTCACTACAATTCCTTCCATCCTAGCTATTCTTTTATTCAGCTCATTAGTGGGAGCTTGCTATTTCAAAGAACCTTATTGTAAAATATTGTATACAGTGAATATCTATACTTAATCCATTCTTTTAAGGAAAATCTAGTAAATCTGCAAAAAACATGGAATACCAGCATTTATTTTCATTACAGGTATGCTGAATTTATTAGCTGCAGGGTTTTTTCATTTGTTTATTCTTGCTGAATGACATGTAATAAATCCTAACTTGTATTCTAAAAGGTAGAAATGTCAAAATACTAACAATGGGTAACTATGAGAGGATTTGTTCTAAAGTGAACTGGATTATTTTTTCTTTCCAAATCTCCACAGAATAGCTCTGATTTCTTAGTAATAAAGTTTTTGTCATGTTTTAGTGAGAAATATTTTATTTTATGATATTAAAAAAGAACTCCCAGACTAGGAAAACCAGTTTTAAACAGATGGAGTGAAAACCCTAATTTTTGCAACCTTGTTTTTAAATAGGAATATGTGGGCTGGTTACTAAATACAAAAACATGACTTCAACCTACTCGCTATTTCAAATTGTTAGCAATTTTCAATCAACATCCTCAGACTGAAGAAAAAACAAACAAACAAATAAACAAAATAACCTCTCCTAAGACAGAAAAGGTCTACATGAATTTGCCATGCAGACTTACCCCCCATGTTAAGAGTCTTTGTTTAAATAGTTCCCTGCAACCTTATTTAATAATACACTCTTCATTTGTGGTTATGTTTAATCATATTTAAAATACTAGGAGCTGTTAGCTATGGCCAAGAAAAGTCTCCAATCTCAATCTGAGTTTCTGTTATTTTTGCAAGTATTGAGACAATGGTCATACATAGCCTTTATTGCTGCCTTGAGATAGGTCTTATCAGGAAGTCCACGAATCAAGTATTTTTACTTGCACACTTCATGCTGAATCCAACTGGATTTGCATCTCTACAGCAACTGTTTGCTGAAATGCTAGTCTTCATACAGCCCTAGTGAAGAAGATTTGAGGTGCAGATTTCTTTCTCTGTCAAGTGTAAGAGATCAACTAAAATCACAAATTCTTTATAAGCCTTCCTTCCTGGGTACTCTCATGTCCTTCACCATCTAGTGATGTGTGATTAAAAAAAAAAAAAAAAAAAAAAAAGAGAGAGAGAGGGAGAGAGAGAAAAAGGGAGAGAGACAATGAACCAAAGGATGAACCATGATGTGAGAAGTTAAATGGATATTTGGAGTTATCTGAGACTTAATCCACGTGCACAGTGGTAGTGGCGTGCTCACAGGTGTTTAAAAACCAGCTCTATTTTTAAAAAATCTACATATGTATATCCATTTATACATATGCAGGTTTACTATGACTTTTACTGATATAAAGGTTGTATAACACACAATTTAAAAATAATAACAATATATACAATACTCTGTTGTAAGTTTCATATAGTCCATTAATTCTCACATAATTCTTCAGTTGAATTTTGCTGAACCTGGTATCTATAGCCAAAATGGTTGCAATTCATGAATTAGTGTAGTTCTGACCTGATTGTTGGTTGATATTTTCACTTATGATAATGAATAAGATGAAAGTGAAGCAATTGTGGTAGGTGTAGAAACCTCACTTGTTTGTCTTCGACATGAGTGACTCCTTTGTTGAGTTAGATAATAGTTTGTGAATACTAGAAGAATATTTCCTCATTTTTTGTGCTAATCACAACATAACCACTACAGGCTCTACACACTTTTATTTGTAATTTGCCTTATTAGCATTTTCTCTATCATTTTCTTAAATTTAGATTATCTACAAAACAATAAATCAAATCCTGAGGTGCGGTGCTTGCAGATTTCTGAGGTATAGATACTAACGCTACGACTCATTTCAAGCTACCAGCTTCTGATGCTGCAGAATGTGAAACTGAGAAGAGATGCACAGCAGCACATCATTGTGTGGCATTTCTACCATTCAGAAAATAGTTGCAAATAACCTCAAGAGCATAGATGATAGTAAAATTCAGTAAACTAATATTTGTAAGTATATAGAAGTTAATTTTTAATATTGGCTGGCATTTTAAAATGACTTTAATTTTAATAATAGTTTTAAATGATTTTTAACAACTTCATTACAAAATTCCTAAAGATTTAAAAATCAGCTATTGTGGGTCAGCCATGCTGGTAGCAGAATGCCACTACATATGTGGAAAGACATCTGAAATCAGAAAAGAAGACACAAATTTTTATTTTTACCCCAATATCTACATAAGTGAAAGATACTAAAAGATGCAGACACTAAGATTCTTCTTCCAGTCACATTGCAGTCTATTTTGTCCCTCAGGTCACTTCCTCTGATCAGCAGTCTTATATTACTTGATGTCAACGTTCAATACGGAAGGTGAGAAAAATTGTGTAATACATGCATGGTTATGCTTGGATTAACCATTTGGTTGCCTTAGCCATTCTTTCTTACTGGCCAAATACAATAACATGTAATTAGTATGCTTTCATTATTTTGTATCTCAAGTGCTCTAAGTAAATTTTTTACACCAAATTCAAAGACATTTTGAAGGCCTGAGGTCTCATTTACGGAAATTAAAAAATTTCAGGTATTATAAAAAATAATTAAGAATTTCAAATAAGTATCTGATTATCTTTATTTAAAAAAGAAAATCAGAGCTATGTTTAATGTTTCAATGAAGGAAAAATGATGGCGGAATAACTTTAAGTCCTACAAAGTAATTATACATAATTAAAATAAAAGAAACAGTAGAAGGTGATTATGTTAAAATCTTTACAGAAAAATAGTAATATTGAACACTTTTGTTTTTGCCATATATAAATTCTAATCATGACATACTTCTTTATGATGACTCTAGGGGTCAGCATTCAACATTTCACTAGTACGTATTACTAGTGTAATAGTCAATACCACTAAGGGAACATAAGCACACGGGATGAAAGAAACATATAGACACTTTTTACTAAACGAACCAAAATTATTAGAAAAGAAAGTTCAAAACATTAAAAATAGCATAGTAAGTGTACTCAGATAGTTTAAGGTAGATATAGTGATGAAGTAAGAAGAAGAAGTCATTAAAAATATTCAAGAATAACTAGAGAAATAAACAATGTAATGTGAAATGCATATTAAAGTAGATCAGAAAAGTACAAGATGAAAAAATCCAAATAATAATTTACTGAATAAGAAAATAAAATTGATGTACTATAACAGAAGGCAGAAGAAGATAATCAGAAAATAGTAGACTTTTTTTTAAAGAGAAGCAACTTTTGTTGAGAAATCCACTAATAGCCTTATGAGGATGTCTTAATATGTGACAAGTCATTTTTCTCTTGGAGTTTTCAGAATTTTTCATCTGCCTTTTTACAGTTTGATAATAACATGTCTCAGTGTAGACCAGTTGGGTTCATCTTACTTGTGATCTGTTGAACTTCCTAGATGTGAATATCTATTTCCTTCACCAGATGTGGGAAGTTTTCAGTTATTATTTTTTTGAATAAGTTTTTGGCCCTTTCTTTCGCTTATCTTGTTCTGGAACTCACATAATATGTGTGTATATTGGCCCATTGATTGTGTCCCATAAACTCATCATCATGTTTTCTTCAATCCTTTTCATTCATTCTTTTTTTCTTTTTTTTTTTTTTTTTTGCTTCTCTGAGTAATTTCCAATGATCTGTCTTCAAATTTGCTGACTTTTTTTTTAACCTAATCTAGTCTGCTGCTGAAATCTTCTAGTGAATGTTTCAATTCAGTTATTGCATTCTTCAGATCCAAAATTCTGTTTGGTAAATTTTCATAGAATTTCTGTTAAAATCCTCAGTTTATTTATGCTGACCTTGGTATCCTGTTGACCTTGTTGAGCATCTTTATGGAAGATATTTTAATTTATCTGCCATAAAGATGCTATTTTATTTATATATAATTTAGGTAAATTATATATCTCTTTATTAGTGTTAGTTTTTGGAGATGTATCTGTTCCTTTGGGCCATAATTTACCTGTTTCTTCATTTCCCTTAAGTCTCTATATTGTTACATGCATATTAGTAAAAAAAACCACCTTTCCTGGTCTTCATGAACTAGTCTTTTACAGGAGAAAACCCCCACCAATCAGCCCAGACAGAAACTCCACAGGCCTCTCAAATCCTCTCTTGTGCATGTTTCTTCTCTGGAGTTGTGCATGTACATTGCCAATTGAAGGGATATCCAGTAACAGATGAATGAATAAAGAAAATGTGGTATACAAAGAAATATTATTCAGCCAGAAAGAAGAAGGAATCCCTGCCACACATGACAACCAGGATAAATCTTGGAATGTACCACCCAATGATGAAGGCAGGGGGCTACCATATTATTTTTGCTCAGTTTAACTTTAGCAACTTTGCTAACCTATCCTACTAACTCTAATTGTTAATTCTATTCATTTTTCTATAGAGTCACACTGTTTATAAATCCCAATGTTGATCAACTTTTCAATCTTTATACTTCAGTTTCTTTTTTTGTACATATATGAGGGAAATTCAAATATATTTAAAACCCAAATGTAAGAGGTAAAAGTATAGTTATGAAAAAATAATTTTCAAAGAATATCTTGTTACCCACAGGTGGTGAGGAATTCTTTTAAAAAGTATACAGTATATAAAAGCACATTAATACCTTACTTTTGGGGCCAGAACTATGAAGGCTACAATCATAACTAAGGACCAATATACACAGTTTCAAATATAGGTTATTGTTATATTTTCCTGGGAAGATGAATTTGACAATAAAATTATTGGTTGAAAGAGTTAGAATGAAAAGTTTTCTAATACCTGCAGTTTATGTTGTGAATTTGGAAAACGAGTTAGAGCAAAACAACAACTTTGGAGTAACAGGTAATAATGAGGTATAACTTCAGCCTGTCTAATATCTTTTTAGTTTAGAATGATAGTTAATTTTCTAGACCTGTTAACATAATTTAACCTACTCTGTGTATGTGTGTGTTTGTGTGTGCGCACCTCATAGTCTTAACAATGAATACAGTAGCCTCCAATTATCTGCCAGGAATATGTTCTGAGACCCCTAATGAATACTTAAAACCACAGAAAGTGCCAATTATTTCTATATATTTTTTCCTATACATACATACCTATGATAAAGTTGAATTTATAAATTAGGCACAGTAAAATATTAACAATAACAAAATAGAATAAACATAAGAATATACTGTAGGCCGGGCGCGGTGGCTCACGCCTGTAATCCCAGCACTTTGGGAGGCCGAGGCGGGCGGATCACGAGGTCAGGAGATTGAGACCATCCCGGCTAAAAAGGTGAAACCCCGTCTCTACTAAAAATACAAAAAATTAGCCGGGCGTAGTGGCGGGCGCCTGTAGTCCCAGCTACTTGGGAGGCTGAGGCAGGAGAATGGCGTGAACCCGGGAGGCGGAGCTTGCAGTGAGCCGAGATCGCGCCACTGCACTCCAGCCTGGGCGACAGAGCGAGACTCCGTCTCAAAAAAAAAAAAAGAATATACTGTAATAAAATTTATAGAAATGTGATCTCTCTCTTCCTCTCTCTCTCAAAATATCTTGTACTGTACTATACCCACCTATTTTCAAACCATGGTTGACTACGGATAACTGAAACCAGAGGAAAGAAAACCATGGCTAAGAAAGGACTACTGTATAGTCAAATAGATATTATAGCAACTTACTGCATCAAAGGAAAAGGTTACTTCCTTAAATCCTATGCAGTATCCCCGAAAAATACTTTTTCTCATGACTCACTGAAGTGTGTTTTATTTTTGGAATGTCTTCTGAAAAGCTAAGGTCACATCAGCCAACAGCTTGCTGATGAGAATATTTCTGTAATTTGAAAAAGAAAGTTCGTAAGTCAAATTTTAGCTATAACTGTGGTTTTCTCAATTCAATGGTGTTTAGAATCAAAGAAGATTATTTCAAATATTTTGGATAAGATTTAGTTACAACTTTGAATTTGAATAATGCAAACACAAATTTGTTATTCGTAATACTCATTCCTATACTTTATATTCACTTTGATTATATGCAATTAATCATATTCCTATTGTAACTGTTTAATAAACAGTATAAATAGTATCACATTGATAAAAAAGTCTTCCTTAATTTTTTTTTGCAAATTATGTTTAAATTGTAAAAAGAAACATTTATCACCATGTCTGCTTACATTTTATAGTGAATGTTCTTTAGGGCAGAATTTTTCTTTTAAAATACATAATTATAACCAAAAATCTTTAATCATAGGGTAACTGCAAGCATTCTGGAAGATACATTCAGAATATGTTCATACAACTTTCATGCAGTCTTTTTACCAAAGGTACTCTATATTATCTGAAGTTTAATTATCTTGTCTTACTCAATCTCTTCTCACTATACTAGAATAATAGAAGCACTGGGAAGTTATTCATGAACAAGACCATCAAAAGGGAGAAGGCAAGCTTTTGTTTTATTTTGTTTTGTTTCTTTAATCACTCCTATCTAGGTCTTGTCTGTTTTCTTCCACAAGTGATTTTGCCCAGAGGGACATTATGAAACTTTTTTGTTGTGGAAAATTTTGAATCTATTCACAATAAGAGAAAATAGAGTAAAAACACCCCATGTAGAAAACACTCAGCTTACATAATTATCAACTCATGGGTAACTTTCATTTTCACCCTTACCTACATCCCCCATGCTTCAGATTTTTCATAGCAAATTCCAGATACCGTATCATGTCATCTGCACATATTTCAGCATGTATTTCTAAAAGAATATTTTCTTTCAAAACAAATGCACAGTCACGATTTTATTATCATGCTTTTAAATATTAGCCAATCAATACAAAAATTTCTCTGATTTTTAAAAAATTGTTTAAATTGGGACACTAGTCCACTCATTGCATTTAGTAGAAACATACCTTATCTCTTTTGATCTATAGATTTTTACCTATAAATTTTCATCTATAATTTTGATCTATACACTAAGCCTACCTCTATTTTTCTTTCTTTTTATATATTTTAAACAGTATTTTAAACTGGGTCATTTGTTCTGTAGGGTTTTCTGCAGTGTAAGTTTTGCTGATGGTTATCCTCAGATACCAAATAAGGTAAGTGTTTATTTCCCTTTACTTGCCAATTTTAAAAAGAATGAGTTGGTTTCCTTGAAGAGTAACAATGAATTTTTACAAGTATTATTATAAACTCATATACATATTTCAAGGGTTTTAATCTTGGAGGTTATTATTATGACTATTATTATTTTTGAGATGGAGTCTTGCCCTGTCTCCCAGACTGAAGTGCAGTGGCGCCATCTCGGCTCACTGTAACCCCCGCCTCCCGGATTCAAGTGATTCTCCTCCCTCAGCCTCCTGAGAAGCTGGGATTACAGGTGCCTGCCACCACGCCCAGCTAATTTTTGTATTTTTAGTAAAGACAAGGTTTCACCGTGTTGGCCAGTCTGGTCTTGAACTCCTAACCTCAAGTGATCCGCCCACCTCGGCCTTGTCAAGTGCCAGGATAACAGCCGTGAGACATGGCACCCAGCCTATTATTCTTTTTTAATGGTCAAATTGCCCCATTTTTGGTGTGTGGAAGGCTTTTCAATTGGCTTCAGTATCTTTTGACATGTTCTTAATGGCTTTAATAGTTTCCTTACTTTCTGATACGACATTCTGGGCTCTATGTTCATTTGCCACCCTAGACCTGAGTGGTCAGCTATTTTCCCAAGGAACACTGATTCATTCTAATGGGAAGTGGTACATAAGAACTACAATGTAATTATTGGGGAGGGGGCTTATCACTGCAGCTGAATCAGTTTTTACTTTTAGGACTTGTTTTTCAGTAGATAGGGTTGTTTTTCTTTAAAGATCAAAATATCATGCATTCATACAGATACTTTTTATTCAAATTTAGCACTACAGAGTTTTTACTTAAACATACCTATCTATGTCTCTTTCTCCCATAATCTACTCCAAAAGTCCTGGTTTCCAAGGACAGCTTAATAGCTTTTATGCTCTCTACTATGTATACATACAAAATTCTTAGAATAACAAGAGTGATGTTACTGATAAAATATGCTTATATAAAACAGTTTAAGATTTTTTATTAAGATTTTTTTGTCTCAGGGCACAACATAATAGAGATGTATAACAAAATTATTTCTGTTTTTAAATTCATGTTAATAAAATATAATTAACATGGAATAATATTGACCCATTTGTTACAGTTTTGACATAGGTTTAAACTCTACATAATCAATATAAAAATCATCACCATGCAATTTCCCTTACATCTTTTTGTAGTTGATCTTCGTCACCCCACTCTACCCATAGTCCCAGACGTTCATTGATGTACTTTGTTACTACAGTTTTACTTTTTAAAGAATTCCATATACATAGAATACTACTGACTATTATTTACAGAGTAATGTTTTTTCTCCTCTATTCCCTCAGCAGGATGTTTTTAGGATTCATCCATGTTGTTACTGTCTCCTTTTAGTAGCTCAATAGTATTCCATTTTATGGATATAGAACAGTTTGTTTACATACTTTCTTGTTGATGAACACTTGGGCTGTTTCCAAGGTTTTGGCTATTAATATATTCACTATAACAATTCATATATCTATGAATGTAGGTATATGTTGAAACCAAGATCTATTTCCAAATATCAGTTGAACTTCTTAATACCAGGAATGAACAAAAATTGAAATTTTAGCACCAATGTATGAAAGGATTTTTTTAGGATAAGTTTAGCAAAATATATGCAAAAGCTACTCACTGTAAACAACATACATATATTGAATGTGCATATATATATGTTCATGAGTACATATGTTTTCATTTCTCTTGGGAGAATACCCAGGAGAGGAATTTCTGTGTCATATGATATGTGAATAATTAATTTTATTTTAAAAACTCCTTTTTTTTCCATTTTCATCAGCAGTATATGACAGCTCTAGTTGATACACTCACTTTCCAACATTTGGACTTAATCAGCTTTTTTTTTTTTAATTAGGCATTCTAAAACGTAAGTAGTGGTTTATCACTGTGATTTTAAGTTGAATTTCTCTAATGACTAATGATCTTGATAAATTTTTTATGTGCTGTTTTACCATTTGTATTCTTCTTTGGTGAAATGTCTCTACAAAGATTTTGCCTGTAAAATGAAGCTGTTTGAGTGGTGTTTTTTATATTTTCTTTATATATTTTGGGTTCAAGTTTTATTAGAAATATGTTTTCCAAATATTTTTCCCAGTAGGTGTCTTGTCTTTTTATTTTCTTGATAGTGTCTTTCAGAAGAGCAGAAGTTTAAAACTTTGATGAGGCCAGGCGCGGTGGCTCATGCCTGTAATCCCAGCACTTTGGGAGGCCAAGGCAGGCGGATCACCTGAGGTCAGGAGTTCGAGACCAGCCTGACCAACACGGAGAAACCCTGTCTCTACTAAAACTACAAAATTAGCCGGGCTTGGAGGTGCACGCCTGTAATCCTAGCTACTTGCAAGGCTGAGGCAGGAGAATAGCTTGAACCCAGGAGGCAGAGGTTGTGGTGAGCCAAGATTGCGCCATTGTACTCCAGCCTGGGCAACAAGAGTGAAACTCCATCTCAAAACAAAACAAAACAAAAAACTTTGATGAAGCCAAGTTATCAAATATTATTTTAAAATTCATGGTAATTTTGGTCTTATTTTGAACATCTTTGCTTAATGCAAAAGTATGAAAATTTCTCCAAGATTTCATGTAAAATTTATAGTTTTACCTGTCATACTTAGATCAATGATCTATTTTGAGTTAGTGTACATGATGTGAAGTAAGGTTCAAGTTTTTTTTTTATTTTTTTAAACAAAGATATGTAACTGTTACAGCGCCATTTGTTTAAAAGACTGCCCTTCCCCTATTACATTACCTTGGCCCATATATATGTACATCTGTCTCTCGACTCTATACTGTTTCATCGATCTATATGATTGTCATTTTGTCAATATACCCAAATTTTTTTTTTTTTTTTTTTTTGAGACAGAGTCTCGCTCTCTCGCCCAGGCTGGAGTGCAGTGGCGCGATCTCAGCTCACTGCAAGCTCCACCTCCCGGGTTCCCGCCATTCTCCTGCCTCAGCCTCCTGAGTAGCTGGGACTACAGGCGCCCGACACCACGCCCGGCTAATTTTCTCTGAATATACCCTATTTTGACTTTTTAGTCAAATTTGAAATCAAGTAATATATGTCCCCCAATTTTGTTTTTCTTTTTTTCTTTTTCCATAGTTGTTTTAGTTAAGCTACATCTTTTCTATTCCCATATACATCTTAGAATCAGCTTGTCAATTGATATTTGAAAATTGATCTGGTTTCAACAGATTTGGTAACCTCATTAATTAGTTCTAGTAACTTTTTTATCATTTGTGTATACAGACAATCTTACTTCTTACTTTCCAACCTGCATACTTTTAATTTCTTTTTCCATGCTTTTAAAACTAGATAGTGCCTTCAATAAAATGCTGACTATAAGTAATAAGAGTGGACATTCTTGCTTTATTTTCATTTTGGGGGGAAGTATTCAGTCTTTCCTCATGAGATGTGATGTTATTAATAAGCTGTATTTTAAGGTGTCCTAAAGTTTGAGAAAATACTGTTTTATTGGCCGTTTTCTACAAATATGGTTACTGTTCTATTGGTTGGTTTTCATGCTGGGTGTGTGTTGAATTATTTTGTGAAAATTTTTTTTCTTCATCTCCTGAGATGATCATATGGTTTTCCTATTTAGCAATAAAATCAAGTCTATAAAATAAGTAGCTTTAATTATATCACATATAGAATAAGAAATTGAAAACATAAAAAAGCAAGTTAATTTGAACAGGTTGATCTTAAAAAATATGTAAATACAACGTGTGAAAATTATATTACAGTAATAAAAGTAAAAAAAAAAGAATGGTTTAAACATTATATTAGACATGGCCAAATTAGAAAACTAGAAGATGTCGAATGAAAAAAGATGAAAAATATGAAAGAGAAATTAAGAACCATGGATCCAAAATATATCTAGTAAGAATACTAGAAAGAATTAATAGAATGGAAAAGAGTCAATATTGAAAATGCTTATGATTGAGGGTTTCCCAGAATTCTTGTGAAACATGAATTCTCAGGTTTATAAGTAAAAGAAATTTCAAGCAAGATTAATTAAAAATTACATACTAGATACTTTGTTATGAAACTGCATTTCCTAAATGGGAAATCAACAAAACTAGGAAATGCACAAATAGTATTAGAAGTGAAAGACTCAAAACTAAAGACAAGCAATTTAATAAATCATTAAAGAATACTATTATAAATTTCTATATTGACATTTTAATATTACTAACAAGAAAATAGATTACAAATCTGAATAACAAATGACAATTAAGACAATGGAAGTAACAGGTTAAAAACTGTTCCTTTCCAAATATCCTCCCTCCAAAACTGGCCAATAATACTCATGTGGTGTGATAGGCAGTTTTTACCAATCTTACATAAAGCATAGCAGACACTAGAAATCAAGAAACTCACTGATTCACCTAATCATTCTAGTATAAACTTGATATAAAAACAAAACAATATCAGCGGGAAAAAGGAAAATATGTTCCAGTGTCATTCATGAACATGGATACAAAAATCTTCAACAAAATTAAAAGTGATGAGACAACTGGTTATCAAAATAAAGAAGAAAGGAAAGCAGAAAGAAAACAGAAAGGGCAGGCAGGCAAGCTAAACTAAAATTGGATCTATCCTTATAATATACACAAACTTGAATTGCAGTGAATTATTGACCTAATATGAAAATTAAAATATATAACAAAGTATAAGAGAAAAAATCTTTATTTTATCAGAGCAAAAGGATTTCTTAAATGAGATGCAAAATGTAAGAGAAACAGTTGGGGAAAGCTGACAACAGTAGAAACATCTCTATCAGAAAAAGAAAACAAAATCATAAGTAACATGGAAAAAATAAAGTAGAGACTTGAGAAGACCTTCTGCAATGCATTTTGACTCTTAAAGGATTCATGTCCTGCATACATACATATATATATATATGTGTGTGTGTGTGTGTATAATATTATATATAATAATATATAATATTAGTAAAATTTATAGCACAGCAATTCCACTTCTAATTGATATACACAAAAAAATTTTTGCACATGTGCATAAGGAACTGCTTCTATAACTTTGTTTGAAATATTGAACTAAAAGAAAATAAAAGGTAAAAAAGAAAACCTAAATGCCTATAAACAGAATATTGACTAAGCAATCCTTGTATATTCATTCTATTGACTCCTATACAGTAATTAAAATAAATGAACTTGTGCTACAGGTATTAATTTGGGTGAATAAACAAATAGTGATCAAGAAGTTCACAGTGCAGAAAGTAGAGCTATTTTATAATATTTTATAAAACAAGCAATATGATACCTTATTTTTATGGATATTTGCTATGAAATGTCCATGAAAATATTTATGAAAATATAAAATATTTATGAAAGCACATAAATATTTATGAAAATGATCTATACTAAATTTAGGGTTGCAGATACATCTGAAAAGGTTATAACTTTATAGAGGGCAGAGGAATACAATTAGAGGGAGTATATTTAAAAACTGAAATAATTGCAGCAAAAGTTAAATTTAGTAAAGCTGGATGGTAGGTATAGGGATATCAATTATATTACTTTCTGTGTTTGAAATATTTACTAATTACAAAAATATAAATATAAGAAGAAGCCTGTGGGCTTAGAAACTTGAACTGTTAACTCCTGGCAGATAAAGTTGGCAGAATTAAGGCACTTGAGTTTTCAGCTAAATGGCAAAGTAAGTTAACAGTAAGCAACTACAGACACTAGGCAGATGTTGAAGGGGCTTTCTAGGGATACCTTGCTCTCCTCTGTGGCCATAGGGATATCACTGTCCAGAGTGGTGTAGGGAGCAAGATGCACTGGCAGTGGGCAAATTCTAGGACGATTTAGAGGGACTACGTGTGAAGAGGATGGCAATACTCTTCTCCCTTTTCTGTAGCAAAGTATCTCCTGAGCTGATATTAGTAGTTAAGGGGACATTCGACTCATGACGTGACAGCCTCTGATGCAGACTGTGAATGAGAATGCCACCAATGATCAAGGACCTGTGAAACCAAAAGGTTTTATATAGAAAAGGAAACCGAAAGTAAGTTAAGCAGGTACCCAATATATAGATATCTTATTCTTTGATCTCTTTCTTCAAAAGGTATACTACCTTAGAGTTAGTATATTCATATGGATAAGGAGCGTTTCACATTTATCCAGTTACTGGTTAAAGATAGAGTGCTTTAAAAGTCACATTTTAGGGATCTGGTAGGTAGAACTAAACTGAATGCAAGGTACAATGGAAGGAAGATAGAATTGAGAATCCTGTGGTCTGCATTTTCAATTATAAGGTGCACTCACATCAGCAAGTCACTGCTTCTTTGAACCTCAATATCCTCATTTGTAATAGTAAAATTATAATTGTTAATATCTGTCTCAAAGGATTACTGTGAGGTTTGAATAGCATGATGAGATATGGGCAGTAGCTCTTTACAAGTTTTGGGTACTTTTGTTATGCCTGTTAGAAATAGAAATTTCTCCCACTTGTAAGCTGCTGATTCAGGAAAGTGTGGGTATCTCTTTCTACACCTCCATCATTATTCAGAAACTGTGGTCAGTGAGCCAGATTTTGCCTGAAACAATGTTTTGTTAATCTGGCACTTTGTTTTAAAATACTTGAATTCATTGATAACATTTGAAATACAAAGATTTTATATAAAATTCCAGATTCAGAGCTTGTCTCGAAAATTTGGCATATTTAGCAACAGTGGGAGTCCATTCCTTTCAGACCTGATATAAATTCTTATACTACACATGGTATTAGAGCTCTGGGGCCAGGACTTTCCAGGAAGTGGGCTTGGCTCTCAGAGCTATGAATCGACAATCATCAGCTCCCAGCTTCTTTGAAAAAACAGGTTTGGTGACTAGGTTGCCAATCCTGTGTGAAAGCAAATAAACTAGAGCTGAGTAGTTAGCATGGATCGTTCCCAGATTCTCTATTGTCTATATTTTGTCTTCTTTAAACGTATTACTTTAGCCCATGTAGATTACATTATTGTTCAAAATATTTGTTAAACCCCTCCCTATTGCAGGATTGTTTCTGCCCAACTCATTGACATCAAGCTTGGCCACATAACTTGCTTTGGCTAATGAACTGGGAAATATACCACATCTAAGCAGAAGCAGTAAGAGCCATCATGTAAATCTGCCTTCTGTATTTTTCCCTCAGCCAAGGGATCAGGATTTCCCCAGATGGGGGATGATCTTCTAGTCTATTCTCAGAACAAAGATAATACAAAGCAGTGCTGAAACAGACTCATGACGTGCATGTAGCATGAGCCAAAAGTGATTGTTATTGTGAGCCTCTGAGACTTTGGTATCATTTTCCATCACAGCAGAACTTAGCCTAAGCTAACCCATGCATCTTTTCAGCTCCTTTGGCATTTTATTTTGTCAGCCATCAGCAGCAATCTCCTGCCTGCCTAAAAAGAAGGAGCATTTGATCCAGTGATCTGAACCTGATTTTTTTTTAAGAAAGGGAAGTGAATAGAACAAGATAGAAATATCCACTTGTTATGTAAAATGGTATAAATATTTCCTCCTTAGTTTGTCATCTAGAGTAAATTGAATGTAAATTAATATTAACTGAAGTCTCACCATGTACCAGGTATTTTTCATACTTTACCTCATTTAAACCACCAGCATTACTTAAATGTATAGTTACTGCTTTCCCCAGTTTTCAAATAAGTAAATTGAGGCTCAGAAATTTAAATAACTGGCAGTGACTATAATTTGAATGGATATATTTTTTGGTCCAAAATTTATGTTTTTTTTTTCTAAACTCATTCCATTATTAAATTGTGGATTCTAGGAAGTCTTATTCAAAAAGCTCTACATAATAATATGGTAGCATTTTTGAGTAGAAATAGTAATTCCTTCATGAATCTGGGATATCACATGATAAAATTTATTTTTTTCCCTCCTGGAACAAAGATAAATACTATGTATAGGAAAATATGGTGGCTCTCTCTTTTTTTATAATGCTGCATATTATCTGTAAAAGAATTAACAATTTAGAGAACTATGCTTTGTTTTTAGATTATGACCTTTTTATGTTTTTATAACAATTTTTAATGAGAAATTATAGTGATCATAGATGTTAATTTTATGTAATGTCTTCATCTGCAAGCACTAAAGCGACATGGTGTCAGCTCTCACTTTTTGTCGATATTGCGTTTTTCCTGCCCATATATGATGGGATGTATTTTGAAACATTATGCTGTTTTTTTCCACCATGATTCTCTTCAACATGAAAGCCCTTCCTCCCAGAAAGATAGTGTGGCACTCCTTGCCTTAGGTACAGATTTTTAAACAAAAATTGAGTGTTTTGTGTTTCAAAATGGACTTTTCAAACTCATGGCATAAATCATTGGAGAGCATTTTTTTTTTTAATTTCAAAACCATGGCTTTAAATATTAAAAGCCAGAGCTCAGTAGGACTCAATACATGAAGTTTATACCATAAAGCATAGTCATAGAAAAACATCTGATTACTTGACAGTGATTTTTCTTGCCAATCCTTTTAACATATGAAAATAGGGACTGGAGAGAGTGGTGTTAAAGGAAAGGAATCACAAATGAAAGCAACAAACTTAGATGTTGATGGGAGTCTTTGAAAAGAAATTTTGAATCCTGTTTCTTATTCTGCCTTGCATCCAAGCCTAGTAATCTGGTGATCTAAAAGCCAGCAGAACCTGTCTCTTCCTCCCTGGGACACGACAAGGCTTACAGTAAGTTTCACAGGATGTGAAAAAGTAAGCAATGGCTATGATCTGTCTAGACATGCAAGACACACTGCTCACCAATCACTTTGAAACTGCCTTTGGAGAATTATAAGTAATGAGAGAAATCTAATATGAGTGACTCCATCTTGCTTCTAATCTCAGAAGCTGAATTTGTTTTTGGTTACTCTAGTATGAAGGCCAAGAAAGCTATGAGAGGAATTCACTTCATAAACTCTGAGGCAAAGGAAATTGAACCCTCTCCTTGTTCGGAGAGTGAAGCCACATTCACATGACAAGGTTAAAATTATAATAGGAGCTTGAATCCTGCTAAAGAATAAGCATAGTTAAAAAATAACCTGCCATTGCTTTGCTTGCTTTCCTATAAGTTGCTTATGGCACCAGAGTCACATAACCAGAAGTGACAAGATTTATAACTTCCCCAACTACTCCTATAGATAATGTCACTATTGCAAACTTTAAAGAATTGGCCCTTGAGGTATTTTGCAGATTTAGTATTTTGGTAAACCTTCTACCTTGTCCTGAAACCTCCTCCTGGGAAGTGGCTCAAACTGTGCTAAGACAGTTTAGACATTTCTGTGATTTCATCCCCAGCCAAATATTTTAGTTCCCCAGTTCCTCAGCCTTCTGCTCACAAAATTACCCTTAAAAAGCCTAATCTCCAAATTCTTAGGGAGGCAGATTTGAGAAATACCTCTTATCCTTCACTCGGGTGGCCATGCGATTATTAAACTCTTTCTTTATTACAATACTTGCTGTTCTCAGTGCATTGGCTTTTCTGAGCAATGGGCAAGAACAGCCCGTCAAGCTGTGACAATTTTACACACATAATATGCTCCTTGAGAAGGGCTTAGAGTTAGCTGAGAGAAGGCCAGCAGAGCCTCATGGTCAAGATAATTGAATGTTGAAGTACTTGTATGGGCCAATGACTTGACCATGAATGGAATGGACAGTTTAGGTAATGTCTGGTGGAACTGATGTTGATGATGAATAATAATACATATAATAAAAAATCAGTGAATGCTTTTCCTGTTAACTGATGCCAACCTGGCCAGGTGGTGAGGACTCAGGACTAGGTCTTTCTCCCTGAGTCCACTGGCAAACCTGCAAGGAGAAGAGAAGGATTGGCACACTGACTAAAAATCCTGTTTGGACTAAGAAAACTTCTCATGCAATGAGTTGCTTTTTGAATAGAATGGAATCCCATAACCAAAATTAAATGTGATTATAGAAAAATAACTGAAATTAAAGTTATGTTTTTGCATGTATTATTTTAAGAACTCTAAATTTTTCACTCATTACAAAGGAGCTTCAAAAATCTGGAAACCTGTGGATGTTGATGCCTTTGTGATTCCCATCAGATATGATTTACATCAAAATAGTGCCTTTTAAGGAAGAGTGTTTTGTATAAGAAATGACTGAAGGTGATTTGCTTTTATAAAGCAAAAGTGAGAGATTATAGATTGAGGATGATGTTGCTGATTGGAAATTACCCCAAAGGTAAATGATTCATTGTGGCTAAGGGACATTCATACAGCTCACCTATTATAGGTGATGTGATGCCTTCTAATAACAGGGATTGCTGCAATTTATGAGGTGACCAAAGTCACAAAAGGACAAATGGGTGTTGGACTGTTGTAATGGTTAATCAGAGGAAGATAGAGAGCATCAAGCAGTACCCTCAGAATTTGAAGAATGACAGCAAGAGGCAATGGAACTTTCTAAAGAAAATGAACCCACTGTAAGGCCACTTCTGTAAGATTATGTAGTTATCTTTACTGTGGTTCTGCACAATGACTAGCAATTAAACCCTTAAAAAATAACTTTTTTTTTCCTGAGGATTCAGCAACTAAAGTAGCTTTACTGGGGAAGTATATTCTTTTTATTACCCAATTATATTCATAGATCGAGGCACCTAAAATAAACAAAAACAAAGTAAGGACTATGGTTCTGGAAATAACACACTCCAAACTCTAACTAAGAGAGAAAGAAAATCTCAAAAAAGACTGAGATTTTGATCTTCTCCTAAACTCTAAGAGGATCATGTGTACAACTTCTCAGTGAAGCATGAAGCCCATTTCCACCTGCTTACAGAAAGGGTAGTTCCAAGCACCTCTGGGGCTAGTGATCCTGGTCTGTATGAGTTGGCTTTCTCTGCCTTGAGTTAAATGGGGGCCAAGAGCAGTAGGTAAGGGCTCGTAAGCTCTAAGAGAAGCAGCTGCTAATGGGTTCAGAGAGGACCCTGTTCATGCTTATAGATCAGAAGAGAGAGAGTAGCCTTGCAAAACACAAGGCCAGAAGGAGCCTTGTGTTTTCAGAAAGAGGACAGGAGACATGGAGACCAAGGCAGAGTGACAGTGAGAGTATTCCAGTATTCCAAGCATTCTCAGAAATATTTGAGGAAAGAGTCAAGGTTCTGCTATCATTTGGGTGCAAGATAAAATATAGAACTTTAGCTATATATATTGAAATAAATAAGACCCCTCTTAAGGAATATATATGCAAGAAGACTAAAATAAGGCCTTCCAAATCACATATTGTATTTCAGGAAAATTATATTAATGACTAATAGACAAAAATAATAATGTTCAAAGTAAATCACAAACACTTTACTGAGTCCAAAACAATTTTGGTTTCTCCACTATTAAGTACAGTCCCCTGCTGTAAGGTAAAGTGGGCCAAGCACAGGATGATACAGCCTGGCATTTGAAAATAGTTGTGAAAGGCTGGGTGTGGTAGCTCACGCCTGTAATCCCAGCACTTTGGGAGGTAGAGGTGGGTGGATCACTTGAGGTCAGGGGTGGGAGAGCAACCTGGCTAACATGGTGAAATCCCATCTCTACTAAAAATACAAAAATTAGCCACGTATGGTGGCGCATGCCTATAATCCCAGCTACTCTGGAAGCTGAGGCAGGAGAATCACTTGAAACGGGAGGCAGAGGTTGCAGTGAGCTGAGATCACACCACTGCACTCCAGCCTGGGCGGCAGAGAGAGGAAGACTTCATATCAAAAAAAAAAAAAAAAAAAAAAAAGTTGTGAAAAAAGAACAGCTCTACTTTTTGCTACAACAAGATAGAATCTTTCTGTGTAAGTTTCTTTTAAAAATTCTAATCTTAAAAGATAATAGTCAAGTCATTGGTCATGTTCTGATGATATGTGTGTGTGCATATATATATGTGTGTATGTATATACACATGAATGTCCTGTTACTCCTTGCATGCAAAGACCCTACTCCCTCTGTGTATAACTGCCATTGAGTAAGCTCATGACGACCTACCCTTGTTGACTACCAAGAAGTCTCTGCCAGAGTTCTTCAGCACAGAGGAGCATAGCCCTTATACATTAAGATCGTCACTGCCCTAATTTGACATTTTTCAAAAGACAAGTTCACCTTGGTGGTTTCATTTAATCAGGGTTCTCCAGAACTTGCTGACAGAGGCTTTCAGACTCAGTCAGGAGGTACAGCTTCATATTGAATGTTGCCTAATCTGACCTACTTCTTCCCAGAAAACAAGAGACCCACAGGAAACACTGGAACTGAGTTGATGCTGATAGAGCACATTGGACAAAAGCTCAAAAAAAGAAAATCAGTGTGTTTGTCCTTTATTCTGGTATCTGTCTGGCTGTTAAGCAATTTCTTATCCTTACTGAGATTAATCCATAAAATTGGCTAACACCTACTTCATCTGGGCTCCTTGGAGGATAACTAAAAGAAATAAATATAAAACAGCATTTAATACATTGTAATTGGAATCTCTCTCTTGAGAGCTCGACAATAAAGTTGCCTATATGCCTCCACCCATATCCATGCTAAACTCTGTTGCAGTTTATGTTTTTTATAGGCAGGGCATCATTTTCATGAAGTCTAAGTCAGACTCAGCCTAATTTCTAGTTCATGATCCTTCCGCACTGGATCCCCACTCTGACACACCTGCTCTGCTTCTTCTTCAGTGTGCTAATCACAACCTGTGCGGGAGCTCAACTTCTCCTGAGTTCCCCTTGCCTACTGTCATTCAGGCCCTTCTGAAATACTGATGCCCATCTTCTTTGGGAGCCTCAGATGCCCCCTGTGTGCCCCATATCTTATAAATGAGCTTCTGCCTTGGTGCCCATTTTCAATTACTTTTCTCAAAACCTCCCTTGTATGCCTGTTCTACTCTTACTCTAACTTTCCTTCTCACTATATTCACCCTAGTCTTGAGGGCTAGGAACACCATGCTTCAAATTCCTGCTAAATGGCCAAGGACTACCTCCCAGCTGATGTTATTCCTAATGTCAACTGTCTACTCTCATTTCTGATTGTTGTCGCCATGGATTCTTAGATACCTCATCTGACACATTGCCAGCCACCCCACCTGAATGTTCTTTGTTTTTGCCTTATCACTGGGGCACCATGTCTTTTCTACCTGCTGGTTTTGCACCTCTACTAACTGCTTCCATATCCACACCAGTGGGAACCATGCTGAGCTGTTGCTGGCCTCTGGAATACATTGCTCCAGGTCCTACATGGGGCCCAGTCATCAGGTGAACCTCCCCAGGATTTTTCTGTCTCCCTTAGAGGCTGGGACCTGCAGTGAGCCATCCCAGGCCAGGCATGTTCCTGAGTGAGACCTGATCATTGGGAGGGTCTCCTCAAAATATTTCCATGTAGCTTGGTCTGGCCATAGGGGTGGTTAGAGTCCCAGGCCCCATAATATTCCTCCTATCTGATTCTACTATGAGAAATACAAGGTCAATAGCCACATTGAAAGATATGATCATTCAGACCTAGTAAGAAAAGACACATCAATGAGATATGGATATTAGGATGGCAGTACATGAATGAGCAGGGCTGGGTATTGATTGAGTCCAAGTTATTACTCATTAAAGCACTGTAAATGGGGAGAATTAATTGGATTGCAGAAACTAATCCAAATAAGAGGAGCCAAGTAGTTCACAGACCAGTGCCCCAAGAGGCCACTATGTCAGAAGTAACAGACAGGTGTGACATGTCAGTACCTGGGGTGGTTCTAGTTCCATGCCTGGTACTTAAAAGCACTGATGAATCAGTGAAAGATGATAATGTTAAGTTATCATTGCTCAGGTAAAACCATCCTTTTGTGTCAGGACCCGAGCCAGGAGGTGGACACCAGGTATGTATGTGTTGGAATAAGGTGGGGTGAAGAAAAAGTAGGAGTCAAATATTCAAAGGAGGCAAAGACTTAATACAAAAATGGGTCTGGAGCAATGTCCTAGTCTTAGGTAAACCTGAGGCATTAGGCAGCTAATAAAGCAGGTATTGTCTAGGAGTTAGGAAGCATTGTGAGTGAAAGGCCAAAGTGAGCCCACGGCTTCTTCCAGGCACAACAGGCACTGACAAGTTTGGTAACTCAGGTGGCTTCCAATCAGCACCAGATGGGAGTGGGTGGGTAGGCTGACCTGCCTCAAAGACTGGAGGGAAGTGAGTTTGTGTCTGCAGGCAAGATTCAGGAGTACATCGAATTAAAGAGAAAGGCACAGAATACAGAAAACTTTATTACAGTCATACCGTGCTCAACAACGGTAATGATGTTTCAATAGAAATCAAATTTGAATCCTGAGACTGGTGTACTCAGCCTGTCAATCTTACAGCAGGTCCAAGTTCTCTTAATTCCTGGCCAGATCTTCAACAGTTACCTTCCACTCTACATCAGGGAATGCCATCTAATAACACTCCTTGAACTTTCTGCTCTTTCCATCTCTGTGACTTTGCTCTAGTCCCTCAACTGCAATTTCCTTTCCTCTTCCCATTACCATTCCAGGCCCTGCCAAGTCATTGGAAATGCTATGGATCTTATGGTCAGTGTGTACCTCTAAAGTACTTTTTCGGACTTTCTGGGTTTGGTAGTTTTCTCTATGTGGGTTTGTTGTCATCTCAAGGACTTGGATTTTTCCTAGTGTTTATTAGGAGTTCTCTATGAATCTTGATTCAAAAATCTTGCTATGATATAGGCTTCAGAAATACATGATAATTGACTAACTGTTATGCAGATCCAGATACAACTTAACCTAGTCTTCTAAGTATAAAATTAAAGCCATGCTTTGGAGAGGGGTATTTAGTTTCATGTCATGGCATAGTGATATGCTAGCATTATACATATTAATAACATATGTTATTAATTATACATATTAATAACATGTTATTAGTTATACATATTAATAACATATGTTATTAGTTATACATATTAATAACATATGTTATTAGTTATACATATTAATAACATATGTTATTAATTACACATATTAATAACATATGTTATTAATTATACATATTAATAACATGCTATTTTCATGTTAAATTAAAAAGCAAAGCAAAAAATGAGAGCAAAAGCATTTTGTAATAGAGTTGTCATGTATATTTTACATTATTATACTATACAATGTTATATACCATTGTATTATATATGATTTGATGTTACATGCTATGTGCTACATATTAAATATTTTATCCATCTATCACAACTGTTTTACCAGCATGCTCATAAATTTTTGTAATTCCATTTTAGTCAACAGCCTGGTAATTGATTGCAGGTTCTACATGTCAAGTATGAACATGTCAGCTTTTATAATGTTTAATATTTCCCTTTTAAGAAATATGAATAACTAGCAGTTCAAAACATAAACATAATGGTATTTTATGTTTATGTAGAGTTTTATAAAACACTGTATTTCTCAAGGCACTTTCCTACATCATTAGAACCCTTTACAAAATATACAGTCATTTTTATGAAGCAATGTGAGATATACATAAGATACTGAAACTTTTTAAATGTTAAAATGTCTCGTTTTCTTGAAGTTAATATAATTTATTTTCTTTAAAGCAGTCATGTTTCCTGTGAATAGATTTATAGATGCATAGAATGGCTGGATTTCTTCATACTTTGTTTTGAAAATATATTTATTTTATCACTTGATGTGGGATAATCAGTGTTCCAAAGCTTGCATGGAGAATAACAAATGTCTTTAAGAGCAGGAGATGATTTTAGGTACAAATTAAGACATCAAAAGTTCTGCACCTGAAGACCACATCTCTAGATATTTGCCTTGTTGATTCTACCAGAAACACAGTTTTAAGGAATGAAATAACCCAGAAGTAGGAGTGGTATGGATAGTTAAGATCCATGTGACCTGGAAATGATCTAGAGCAATGGGTGTCATAAGAATGACACGAAGAGTTGGTTTAATTTATCTTTTAATTTATTTTTTTCTCTTTGATTTTATATTTGTTAATGGAGTGGTTGTAAAATGGGCTTCCCCTCACTTCCTTTCTTAATTTTTCCTTTTGTTTCTTCATTGGCTATAAAATAAAATACTTTTTCTTATTATTAGAAGTTAAATGTTCACTTGAATCTACTGTTGATATAAATATATTTGGCATATTTAATCCATTCTGATATCTATGTTTTTGCACATTACACTTTTTATATTTCATTCCTTAATAAAAATTGAATGCTTTATATTTTCTTTTTTCTCTTGAGAACTAAAAGTTTTAAAAATATTTATTCAGAGAAAACATAATAATGTTAGGCAAATTATCTGCAATTCAACTAATTGTATGTTTAAAACAGTACAGATATTTTCACTTTAGGCCTTATCCTTTTCACTCTGCATTACAGTATTAACTTTCTACTACAGAAGAGAAGAAGGAAGAGAGCAAGAGACCTCCCTATGATATAGATGGTACTCTTGAAGTTTAGCAAAGATACATATCTTGCTTGTGACATATGTTAACGGCTCTTGTGACAAAAATTAGAGACATGCTCCAATTCAGGTAGTGGAAGGATTTTTTTTGTTTTCTTTTGTTTTAAATCAAGATAAAAAGTACAGAAGAATAAGAACTGTTTCAGAAGTAATACATTCAGGTTTTAGGTAAACTAGAATGTTATTCTTTGCTTTCAGTAACCTGACACAGGTTATGGGGACCCAGCAGAAACTCTAATTGTCAGCCATATTTGGTGCTCAGGCTTCCCTTCTGTGAGTCTCTCACTAGTTGCTGCTGCTTCTTATTTCATTGATTTCCCTCTCAACCCACGCTCTCCCTGTTAGTTGCTATATACCTCTGTATGACAGAGTCTACCATCTGCATCTCTCTCTGTAACTGGTTACCATGTTAACTTCTGGCAAGTGGAACTGAATGGCCAGAGGTGACAGCCTTTTTGCATACCGTTTTTAGCATTTTGAATTGTGTGCCTTGTGCATTTGTTCAAAAAATAAATAAATTATTAATTTTAAAAAAGCTTCAGAAAGAGCAATTTCTAAGTGGTAACAGTAAGTAAAAAAAGGGAGGAAAGAAAGAGAAAGAAAATAAAAGATGAATGCATTTAAGATTAAATAAAAGTGACAAACCAGAGGCTATTTTCAAAGTCAAAATTATATTAAATAATGTAGAATGTTACCAAAGAAAAAATGAAAAAATTACAGAGCACAAACTTACTAACAGAAGTAAAACTTGGTTAAGAACTGGAATCAAAATGTAGGGTCACGGAACATAGAATACCAGATTTATCATATTTCTGGTATTAAAAATTAGAGGTACATAAAATGTTTCAATGCAGTGGCTCTGTAAATCAATGGACATTGTTAAAAGATAAAATTTCAGTAGTCTAGAGCAAATTGTCAACAATGACAACAAATACAATAAAAATAAGAAAGACTGATTGTAAAGATGTCCTTAAAATTTAAATTATGCCACTCTCGAACACCAGTTCCTTGGTTACTCATAAAAACCTTAATCACAGAGTAAGAATTATGACACATTATCAAGAAATGCATCTAAAGAGAAATAATATATTTTAAAATATTTTTTCATATATAATACTAGTGGGTAAAACGGAATAACCACCTTGACAAAATTATCTAGCAAATTTCACATTCATTTAAGTTCTGGTGAAATGGATTTATTTCAAGATATTTTACAGACACCAAGGGAGAGACTAGTTTTCTACTTCAAATCCCACATAATGCACGGATTCGCCATACCCTGAAAATGCTGATGACCCAGAAATCATTAGGGAGGTAGAACAATTAATAAAGAAATAGGAAATAAATCATCCTTGCAAAAATATCCATTTGTCAGATTATGGAAAATCTGACAAACATGCCTGACTACTTATGTCTCAAATCACAGAGGATTTAAAAGACCATAAGGGCCCACCTTGTTAAATGCAATATAAATTGTCCCAAAATACTCATTGTCAAGGAGAACTTGATAGCATTTTTATTGTATGAAACAAATGTTAATTTTTGATAATTTCTCCAAAATGTATAATTGCTGTCAATAAAACCTTTTAAGATTAAGCAACAGCCTTTCTTTTCCCTCATGGTTCTGTTATTTTTCCTTAAATGCACTGTAATTAAGTTCTCCCCAGGTAAACAAGCTTCCCTACCAGGCAGGTATTCACAGTTCCACCTAGTTCTCAAAACCACATTCTCATTAGCTGTGTCCTGACCGTTTAGTTCTACACATACAGTTATATTCTAATTCACAGAACTTTTTTTTTTTTTTTTTTTTTTGATACGGAGTCTCGCTCTGTCGCCCAGGCTGGAATGCAGTGGCGTGATCTCCGCTTACTGCAAGCTTCGCCTCTCGGGTTCACGCCATTCTCCTGCCTCAGCCTCCCGAGTAGCTGGGACTACAAGTGCCCACCACCACGCCTGGCTAATTTTTTGTATTTTTTATTAGAGATGGGGTTTCACCATGTTAGCCAGGATGGTCTCGGTCTCCTGACCTCGTGATCCGCCCGCCTCGGCCTCCCAAAGTGCTGGGATTACAGGCGTGAGCCACCGCGCCCGGCCGACAGAACTTTTAATTACAACTCTAACCTGTGATTCCAGAAACAAGATTGGTGTGTCAGTCCTGCTGATACTCAGACACCACTTAACTTTTTGGCTGGTTCCCACATACAAGTAAACAAACACTTTGCAAGAGAAGTTGGAGACATGCTCATTGGTTTTTGCATATCTACCTACTGATATTCAGGCAGCTAAAATTCTCTAAGATGCTTTGTACCTAGAAGACATTAAAACACTGAAATTTGAGAATATCCTTATATTAATCCTTGACTTTTTGTGAACTTGACTAGTAGAGCTTCTAGCCCATTAGAGACCAGAGAGAGCATACAGAGGGGTCTGGTTGACAATCATGAAATATGAAGCAATTTGACATAGCCATTTGTCGATTCAATCTCAATTCTGTTTTAAGCTTCATTTACCTTAAAAGAGGCTCACTTACCTCTACTCGTTTACTGCATTTGATCTAGGTTTTATAACGGCAGCTTGACAAAATAAATGTCTTTACCTGAAGGCTTTTTTTTTAAACTAAAGAACCCGTTATTTAGAGCAAATAAATGACAAAGAACATTACATAGAGTATCTAGGAAGTGATGTAGGTTAAGCCTTCTAATCTAGATTTTCTTTTAGTTTGAAAATAAAAATCATACCAGATAATTTCAATAACAATTTCCTTTAAACAAGAAATAGTAAGCATGACTTCTATTGCCTTTCTTTAAATAAATTTTCTTGGAAAAATCAATAGTCACCACAGAAGACATTTTCCAGTAGGACAAACTTGATACTAAATATAGTAGTATAAAATATATGGCAGTATACCACTTTCTACTTTTGAAGTGTTTTTGTTTAATCATAATTTAAGACAACCAAAATTTAAAAAAAGGTAATATATAATTTATTCTAAGCATGTATTAGATAAAACATCTCTACAATTCTATATGTCTTAGATTTTTTTCCTTTAAAAAAAATCTTTCTGCTTTTTCCCAGTTGATGTTTAGATTTAAAGAAAAAAAAGTATTAAGGAGCACTTCAGTGTGTTGCATGCTTTTTTTTTCTAAGCCAAAGTTTGCTACCTCCCAGCTCAGCTAACATATTGATACTGAAACTGATGTAACTTTATAAAGACTATTATTTTTACATATGAAGAATTTGCAAAATGAAACTAATAAACTTTATTTATTATAAATCTAAGGTAAAATGTCACTGTTGTAGTCCCTATATTTGAATATCTTTAAAAATAAGTATAAAACAATTATTTTCCTTTAACCTCCCTTTCTTTTGATATATTGGTTTTTAGATTTTCAAGCTGGAACTTTGATATAAATATGGAAATGGATATTGTGGAAAATGGGTTTAATAATTACAAAATTCACTGTGGATTGCAGCAGAATCATTCTTAATAATGCTACGGTAAAATTTAAGATACTCAAATAGTAATTTGTCATTATAGCCTGTAAAAAGATGAATGATTTGGACAGTAATGTTTTGAGTGTTAACATATAAAAAAGAATTTTAGTTAGAGGTCAGAAAGTATTTTTATCTTTAAAATATTTATAGTGAATTCAGCTACAGTTCCTGTGGGTTCTTGTCCCTAGAGGTTTTCTCTGAGATTCTGGCTTAAATGAACCAGAAAACTCAAACTCAAAACTCATCTCACACTGCCAGACTTTACACTTTTTTTTCCCTGACATAATAAATCACACTTGAACAGCCCAGATTTGTTCAAAATTCAAATTTCATGAAATCACTAAGGTTTTGAAAGTTTAATGAAATCTGCTGTAAACCTAAATCAGATATGGAAATTCAAAGTCAGATAAAATATCAATAAATTTACACAGTAAATATGGTGTAAACTATGAGTAAATCATCTTTGCTTATTTTTATTTCTGCAAAGAAAACTTATGGATAGTATAATTATCACAGGAAATTTAAATGACAGCATTGTAAAAATTAAAACTTGAGTTGTCCATGAAGCCTTTCAAAATTGTCAGGATGAAATAAAAGAGGAAAAAAACCAGCAGAGATTCTTTTCTTCCTCTTTCTTGGATTACCATGAAGTTTTAAATGATCCTTTTAGCCACTGATAATTAAAAATCTAGATTTTTATGTCCACATGAAAGTGATAAAGGAGTCAAAGTAGCAAAGAAGAAAAAAAGTATGAAAATTCTTAATCACTTTGTTGGATAAAGATACAAAAACTGCCTATAAAATATTCTTAATGCATTTATTTTCAGAATTTTAAACTTCAACTCCAGACTGTAGCAGACTGAGTATTCCATTGAATGGAGAAGGAGCTGGATGAAGAGATAAGAAAAAAAAGTCTTAAAAATATGGTAGCAAAAAAGCCATCTGGTGTGAACAGCAGTTGAATGAGTAAGAAAACTGTGAATCTTAAAAAGAAGCTTTATTTAAATGGGGGTTAGGTTTTGAGGGTTTAACAACAGTGAGAGTTAAAAATAATAAAAGAAACCATCAAGAACTTTGATCTGTTAGCACTGAAAAGGACAGAAGGCAGCATCTCATTTCTTGGGAATTATTTCCAAGTGTTTTCAGAAGCAAGTACATATTCTATACTTTTACTACTGAGAACAAGTGGTTATGTTTTTATTGCTTCTTGTTGATGTGTTTAAAAAGTGTTGTTTGTACATTCTAGTTGGGTGTGAGTTGAACAGCTGGGATTTTGTGGAGTGACAGCGAATGTGTAGGCAGAACTGAACTCAATATTCCACCCAATAGTCTAGTTCAAGAGGGTATAAGACTGGCTTGCTAATTGAAATCACTCTACCAGATAAATTGAATTTAAAGGCTTCCTGTAAAATGGAGCACACTGCGACTGAAAGCTAGCAAAACTAACCAGGTAGTTTGATGTTATGACTTCTATTATAGAATGGAATCCTCGATACTCATATGCACCCAATACTTATATAACATTTTTAAAGGAAAAATGTTTTATATCATGACCCAGTGTCTCATAAGAACTACTTAAAGTACTTTCTACAGTGGTCCAGAAGGAAGATGCACAAATGTCTATAAAGTGCCTACCTTCACTACGAGCAAATACTTATTCTGATTTTTTATTCTTGGCTTTCTTGGCAGCCCCTTTATGGTTTACAGCCCCTTTATGGTTTACAGAAATGGTTACCTGAGAGCCAAAGCTAATGGTGAACTTTCAAATTATAATCTTTGGAGATAAATAAGAATATTTTACAATGAAAAGTCTTTAAAAAGCACTAAACACTAAACACGGTTTATGTAGACTTACTTGCAGAAGGGAAAGGCAAATACTCTTGGGACCTCATTATTTCATAGCCCTTGGGGAAATCCTGTGGGGTACCCAGAACACAATATAGAACTCTTTGTACCATAGGGTTTTGTTATGGCTTCTGTGTATGTGTCTTAAGTGTCTTCACTGTAGTTTTAAAATTCCATATGCTACCAAGTGATATCCAGGTTGAATTTTTCATGTTTCACATATTTTTCATCTAGAACAATAGTTCTTTCACTGAGATGAGATGGACTAAGTTTTTATGCCCTTATCTAGTTTCATTTAGTTTCTCATTTTTCAGTGCCTAGTCAAGCTGTTTGATGAACAATTTTTTTTTGTGTGTGTACATGTGGAATATAAAATACCTATGCCAAGGCACTAAAGATGAAATGAAAATAGAAGACTCCTCATGCATTACCATTATCTAAATGTAGTAGTCTTATTGATTCAACTGGCTAAACAGACATTCTTTTCCTTCCTTATAAGTGTTTTTCTTCCAAAATTTAAGTTTGCCAGACAGAATGGAATGAATCTTCTGATATTAGTTTACAAGTTGCTGTTCTCTTCTGTGATAACTTTCCAATGACTCTAAAGATTATGGAGATGATGACCACGAACAAAGGAGATATGAAACTAACAAAGCAATATTCCACAGAGCCAAACCTAACAGACATATCTTTAATCCTTCTCCCTCCCCTCCCCTCCTCTCCCCTCCCTCCCCTCCCCTTCCCTCCCCTCCCCCTTCCCCTCCCTCCCTCCCTTCTTTCCTTCCTTCCTTCCTTCCCTTCCCTTTCCTTTCCTTCCTTCCTTCCTTCCTTCCTTCCTTCCTTCCTTCCTTCCTTCCTTCCTTCCTTCCTTCTTTCCTCTCTTTTGCACTGAAAAGCACAGAAGACAATATCTCAGTTCCTGAGAATTTTTCTGAAGAGTTTTCAGAAGCAAGTACATATTCTAAACTTTTAGGACTGAGAACAAAGTGGTTATATTTCTTTCCTTTTTCCCTTCCTTTGCCTCCCCTCCCCTCCCCTCCATTTTCCACCCCTTTCTTCTCTTTTCCTCTGCTTTCCTTTCTTTCTTTCTCTCTCTTTTGCTCTTTCTTTTGACTGGAGATCTACCCAGTTAAGACTTTCGATCACCTTTTTTTTAAACACACTGCACTAAATGTTAAGGAATATGGAAATGGGATACAAAGCAGAAAATAGATACTATTCATTCATTCAGTAACCATTTCTGGAGCGCAAATTAAATATTAGATACTCCTCTAGATTCACAGAATACATTAGTGATCAAAATAAACAAAAATCTCTGCTCTTGTGGGGCTTATGTCCTAATTTAGGCTGAAACAACAACATAATAAAAATAATACATAAGTAAATTATATAACATGTTATGGAAGTAATGTGTAAAACATTCAGCAGACTAAGGGGTTCAGGAATGTAGCAATGACAAGTGCTGGGGGAGGGGTTAACAAATAATTTTAAATTGTAAATTATGTTAAGTAGCTGACGTTTGACCAAAGATTGAAGGAGTCAGCCAATCCTCAAGTTAGTCAATCTCCAAGACACTTGAATTATAGTTGGGCAGGAAGTACATGACAGATAATACCAAAAGCAATACATCTCAAGGGCAAATTCATAGAGTATAGCACGTCTCTATGGGTTTTAAAAGAATGCATAGCATAGAAATGATTAAAATTTAAAGATGATAATAAGAATTGAATGAAAGGAAAAGAACATTCCTGCTGAGAGTTGGGTAAAGCATGAAGGTAAAATGAAATAAATTCTATAATAGAAATAGGTAAATCTTTTTAATAACTAAACAATTTTATTCTACTAACAACCTGGAAAGTGGGGCTTCTCTGATTTCAAACATAAAACTTACACTGGGGACTTAGATAGCCTAGGAAGGTTAATCAGATTAATTAAAAGGAATGACAACTCTGGATTCAACACATTAACATGGAGGAGATAAGGATGAAAACTTTAAAATCATTAGTGACAGAAAATCAGCCTTTGCAAAGCCAAGGAGTCCACAGAACACACATCGGCATTAGCTTCAAGTGGTGCCTATCAAGAAGGTAGCAATGGATTAATGAGTTACAGAGAAAGTCAACAACAGCTTTGCTGTGCCCTGAAGGGAGACAGAAAGCACAGAGAAGGCCCTAGAACTTAACTTTTAATCTCACAGAGAAGAAAAAAATCATGGGAGCAAAAATTTAAAAAATAAAAAAAACTGGATAAATTTTAGCATATACTGTATAGTAAAAGAAATAAAAGACTTAGCAATTCTGGATAGACTTAAAGAATAACATGATTTTAGAACTGCATCAGCTTCATGTTAAAATGAATAAAATGATTTTAGGAGTCAGATAATTAACATAACCCATAAAGTGTGTGCAAAAGAATTAATATAAATTATAAAACATTTTCCAAGTTAAGGTTATATTTAATTAATGAACTTACATGATACACCTATTATAGAGATAATTTACAGAGGTATAAGAATTACATTAAGCCATTTATAAAAGTTAAAGGGTAAGTTAATAGATATGTTTAACATTGTAAGACAGTTTGATTTATTTAATTTTCAAAAGTATTTAAATTGTGTTTGACAGGTTTTTTGGGTGCATGGAAGAATGTCTCACCTTGGAATTATTTTTGTTCAAATTCTCACACGTGGGAACAAGAGGGGAAGAAAGTTATGCCTCTCAATATTTATATGGAAAATACAGTAAATCTGAAGAAACCTCATTGAATATCTGTTCTTCATTTTTCATATTATAATAAATACATATTTTCAATTCTCCAGTTTTAAAATTTAACTGGCTTTTTTCTTCCCCCTCTGAATTTGCCAAGACTAGTTCCCTTATATTCAACTTCTAGGCCAAGTTAAAAAAACCAAGACAACAACAACCGACTATTTCCTGAGCACTCTTACAAGCATAGCATGGTCACAGCATAGGAGTCCATTGGTGTGATACTTAGGCTCATCAGATTTCTGGATGTCTTGGGTTTCTTATCTCATATAACATTATATTTAACCTTTCCCTTAAGAGGAAGTTATTCATGTTTTTCCAAGAATGGATTAAAATAAAAGTAGAAATTCAGGCTGTGCTTTATAAAGCAAAGTTATTTTTCACCAAAGTACTATATTATTATATATTGTTCTACTAGGAGAATGTTGTATAAAAAGGGTAAATACAATAAATTAGAGAAGTAATTTACTAATTTACCTTTTTCTGCTTATATTAAATTCCACACTAGCTTTTCTCCTACTGTCACCTTTTTGCCATAATTTGTATTTTGTACATCACAGTAAACATTATTCTAACTGAACATTATTCTAAATATAACTGATGTTATATTTGCCTAAGATGAAGGTTGATTGTACAAATAATTCATGATATAAAATATTATCTCAAAAATGTTAAAAAGAATTTTTTACAAATTGCTTTCTCTACCTCTTAAAAACTCATAATTGATATGTAGGCAAGTTGTAAAGGACCTATTTGCAGATTTGTAGCCCACATGGTTTATAAGTTGATCATTTATATTTTCCCATTTTAAGCTTGATTAAATATTATAATAAATAACAATATTTTAATATTTACAATCATGTATATGAATTATGAATACAAAAGCATTTTATATTCTAACTAAACATTATTCTAAATATAACTGATGTTATATTTGCCTAAGATGAAGGTTGATTGTACAAATAATTCATGATATAAAATATTATCTCAAAAATGTTAAAAAGAATATACCCCTATAACTCACTGAATTTTCCAGCAGAAAGAAAAAAATAATATTTTTAACACTAGAATAAAATTTCTAGTGATTTTCAAGAAAAAATAATTTGTTTGTTTTCTTAAGTATTTGCTTGTTTTCCACTATGTAGCTTGCATTTTTTAAAAATACAAGGCAGTTAATGACTTCCTTATTTTTGTCTATGATTTTCTCATCAATGTTTAAATAAAAGTAATTTTTCAGGTGAAAACATAAGGATAAAATAAGCAGAAGTCATCTAAATACTTTTTCTATGTTCAGACAGGGTCATACTTTGAAATTAGCCTAGGTCAGAGACTTAACTGTGGTTCAGTGGGTCCATTAATTTGGAAGGAAAAAATTTTTAGCTCAAGGACATTAAAAATTTCTACCACTTTGTTGCCAATAGAAAATAAACATAGCTTTATATCAACTACAATGTTGTAGATATCCCAAACTGTTATTGATACATGTCATTTCTTTGAAATCATTACCTTACATTTTCTTATTTAATGTGTTATTGAAGAAGCAAACTTATTTATGTGTCATAAACTTCATATCATATTTTGAAAATCATTTAACTAATTATTTAATTAAGTCAATTCATTTCCTATGAATTATATTTTTCGGATTTAAAAATTTACTCTCAGTTTGGCTTGAAAGCCTTCACCAGAATGGTCAAAGAGGCACACACACGGCACAACAGAAGATTAAGAACCCCTGCCAGGTGCAGTGGCTCACGTCTGTAATCCCAGCACTTTGGGAGGCCAAGGCAGGCAGATCACTTGAGGTCAGGAGTTCAAGACCAGCCTGGACAACATGGTGAAACCCCATCTCTACTAAAATGACAAAAATTAGCCGGGTGTGATGGTGTGTGCCTTGTAATCCCAGCTATTCAGGAGGCTGAGACAAGGAGAATCACTTGAACCCAGGAGGCAGAGGTTGCAGTGAGCCGAGATTGCGCCATTGCACTCCAGCCTGGGCAAAAGAGCAAGACTACATCTCAGAAAAAGAAAAGAAAAGAAAAGAAAAGAAAAGAAAAGAAAAGAAAAGAAAAGAAAAGAAAAGAAAAGAAAAGAAAAGAAAAGAAAAGAAAAGAAAAGAAAAGAAAAGAAAAGAAAAGAAAAGAAAAGAAACCCTGACTAATAATAATCAATCCTAGTTTGATTCCTAAAGAAAATATTTGAACTTCATCAAAAATAATTTAAAAATCAAGAGGAAACCCTAAATTTTAAAATTGCTTATAATTTGGCCCTGTCTTTGTTTCTTTCTTACTTGTTTGCTCATCGTGAGAATGGATAACATTTGCTGGGGTAGTTTTGATATTTATTATCTTGTGTCATCCCAAATATTCCTCACACTATTTTTTTGCTTGTTTAATTTGGCCTAGTTTGATGTGGAAGATACTCACATATAATTTCAATCTCCTACAGAAATGGACACATACACAATTTTGTCATAATTATTTTATATATTTAAAATATACCTTATAATTTCACAGAAGCTTATGAGATAGATTACGAATTAGGACTTAAACCAGGCCATTCAGATGCCTGCTCCCTGGAATCTGAATCATGAGAAAAAATTCTGAGCAGATGGCAAAGAGGCTGAAAACTCTGGGTGTTCTATTCTATCCTAATGGTGGTGCTAAAGTGAATCCAACAACTCAGGTTGGAGAATGCCTTATATTTTTTTTCAATAATTTGTTGTTTATGTTAGTTGGAGTCAGTTCTGTTGGAACTAAAAACTTTAATTCTGTAATCTCTCGGTTGGGATCCTAGAGGAGTTGCCACAGATGGGATTATTTCATTTTATAGTTTTTAGATTAGGTTGGAACAAGCTGCTCACCCTTCTTTGCTGTAAGATTTCCTAGATGAATGACTTGGGTTCAAGAATCATTTCCCTTTCCTGTTTAATTTCTCTTTTTGCTTTCTCTTTCTCTTAAAAACTCATAATTGATATGTAGTCAAGTTGTAAAGGACCTATTTGCAGATTAGTAGCCCACATGGTTTATAAGTGGATCATTTATATTTTCCCATTTTAAGCTTGATTAAATATTATAATAAATAACAATATTTTAATATTTACAATAATGTATATGAATTATGAATATAAAAGCATTTTGAACAAGATAAAACACTATCCAAATACAAGAGAATAATATAGTTTATTTATCAAATGATGATGATATTTGTTACTTCCACTATAATATCCTTAGAAATAGCCTTTTATTTCCCAGAGTGCATAATGCCAAACTAACACAATGACTTTCATAATAACAAAGGGTGAATTTGAGAAGGAAGAAACTGAAAACAGAGAGGGGAGAAAGGAGATTACTACAATAGATCAAGAGGCAGCAGTCTGAAACTGTACAAGAGTAGTAGAAATGAGAAAAGGAAAAATGGAAAGAGAACGAAAAAGAAAGACATCACAGAGAGTGAATCGACAACTTTGGCAATTACTTTTATAACAAGGGATAGGGAGGGTATAAAAATTGTAAAAAGAAAATTAAGATTTCTAGCAAAAATTAAATTAATGAATGAGCCAGCAAAAGATTTGAAAGAAAATAGTTAAAATAATTAGTGCAGTTTTCAACAGGAAGAGAGACTGAGGTATTAGTAGGATTTCAATGTGGAGACATCCAGGTAGCAGGTAAAAAACCAGGGTTGGATCTGTACATTTATAAATTACAGGAAAAAAATGCAATTGTTGAAACAAGACCATAGGAGCAAGTCCAGGAAAAGAAACTTGGGGAACTTACATTGACTTTTAAGAGAGTACGAGATTTAAGAGATGGATTTTAAAAATCAGCTAGAAAAGGAGATGGAGAAAAGTAAAACCAGCAGGAAGTAATGTCCTTAAATCCAAAGCAATAAAATGCAAAGAAAAAATGAATTATGAAGAAGCCACTGTATTTAGGACTTAGCAAACTTTTGGAGACTGTTGAGAAAGCAGCTCTTGTGGAGTGCTTAGAACAAGAGTCACTTTGCAAGGAATTAATTTTGGTCTAAAATAAATATACGAATTTACTGTCACTAAGTCTACATTGGGCTGGAATCAACTATTCTGTCGTGAATCTAATAAGTGCCACAATAACACTCTTCCCAGAAATACAAAGCTTCCTACTTTATAGCATTTTTCCTATTTAAGATTCTCTGACAGTTTTTTCTCTAGAACAACAGCAACAAAAATTAACACTTTTTCCAAAAGAATTTATTTTATTTCTTTAGAACAGAGGATCTTTTCTATATGGTTGATGTTAAAACATGTACTTATTACATAAAAAAAAAGGCCAGGCACAGTGGCTCATGCCTATAATCCTAGCACTTTGGGAGGCCAAGGCAGGTGGATTACCTGAGGTCAAGGAGATCTAGACCAGCCTGACCAATATGGAGAAACTCCATCTCTACTAAAAATACAAAAAAAATTAGCCAGGTTTGGTGGTGGGCACCTGTAATCCTAGCTACTTGGGAGGCTGAGGCAGGAAAATCACTTGAACCCAGGTGGCAGAGGTTGTGGTGAGCTGAGATCATGTCATTGCACTCCAGACTGGGCAACAGAGCAAGACTCCATCTCAAAAACAAAACAAAACAAAACAAAATCTAAAAGTTTACCAATTTTCTTTATTTAATGTAGTTTGTTTACCCACATGTTTCACTCAGGAGTGTTTAGTTAGAATCCTTGTGTGACACTGTGTGATCGTGGGCTTTATTTTAAAGATGTTCACATTGAATAGCTCTTAGCAAAACAAGTTGAAGGAAGTACAGTATACCTACTTTAAAGTATGATAACAATTTCAATCCAATACAGACATATTTAGACAGATACTATTATTTAATTATTGAATTATGAAAACATTTACCATATTATGTATGTTATGACATGAAATACTAACTATGAGCTGTAGTCAACATATATTTTGGAAAAAAAATCATTGGCATATACTTGGTACATCTAAATTAAAATGAGGAAGAAATCTAGAAGTGGTGTATACTCAACCAGAGTGATAGTCTTATTTATATCTGCTTTATTGTGGTTGAATTAGGTATATTAAGATCTTAGTATTATCAAAACACTAAGTTAAGAGAAATAGAGAGAAACAAGTGATATTTTTAATTTAATGCTTCACATTTCAAGGGTTCTACTCTAATTATGTTGACTAAAATTCTGTTTTTGAGTTTTCATAACTTAATCATCATAAGTGAGTTATAAAATAAACATAAAAAGACATACTAGTTTTATTATTCAGTAAACATCAAGAGACTGATATAATTGTATAAATCTTTCATTCGAAGTAAATCAATATTTTAATAGTATGAGCTAAACCAGAGGTCAATTTTACTTATAGAAACAACCAAAAGAGGTTGAATGATGTACCAATGTTCCAATTCTAGTTAAGGTCATAGGTTTGAATGTAAACTCTACTAATGGAATGGCTGCTATACCCAGGACCTAGGACAAATTCTGCCATATATTAGACTCTTCATTAATGCTGTTGATGTGACACTTCTCCCAATTATTTTATATTACATCTGAGGAAAATTTCAACTCTTTTGCTTCCATTTAAACTTGTTTTTATTTCTACTTTTGAGACAGAATCTCATTCTGTCACCCAGGTTGCAGTGCAGTGGCACATTCAGCTCACTGCAGCCTTGAACTCTCAGGCTCAGGGGATCCTTCCACCTCAGCTTCCTGAATAGCTGGGACTACAGGGACCTGCCACCATGCCTGGTTAATTTTTGTTTATTTTTTAGAAAGATGAGGTCTATGTTGCCCAAGCTAGTCTAAAGCTCCTGGGCTCAAGTCGTCCTCTTGCGTTGGCCTCCCAAAGTGCTAGGATTATAGGTGTGAGCCACTGTGCCTGGCCCTGAAATTGCTAATTAAACTAAATTAAAAGATTTAGAAGATTCGCTTTAAAGGACAATTTAGCTTATACACAGGGTGTTTCTAAAGTGAGATTCGCTTTTAGATGACACAAATTCAAAAACAAACATCAATGAATCCTTTAGCTAAATAATCACAAAATTTAAGTTAATAGGGCCTGAATCAATATCAATTTTTTAAAGCCTAAGTTAGTCATCAAAATATAATATAACCGTGGTAAAATTAAGTCCTGTGTACATTCCACTGTGAAATTTACTTTCCACCATTTGGGAGGTTACAAGGAAAAAGAATCTCTTGGTTTAAAAATATTTTTTCTATGTTTAATTTTAGTTGTGCATTTTTCATTTTTAGATTATTATTTTTTATTTGAATCTGTAAAGCTGTTAAAAAATGTGGAATAAAGTACTGAGGTAATCATCTGCTGTTTTACCATTTCCTTCTGGTGCCAGCTAAAATTAAAATGGGAATATCAGTGTTTAGAGATTTAAATGTTAGGCATGATTGAAATAGTATCATTTGGAAGAAAGGCTCCCAGACAAATCTCCCAACATGTATTGAAAAAGCAGCTGCTTTTACTGACTACCCTTCAGATTCCTCCATTAGTCTATTTAATGAATTTTTCCCTTTTCAAAATTGCAGTCTTAATCAGATTCCTGATGAAATAATATAGCTTTTTTTGCTAAAATTCAAATCTGGTGAGAAATACAAAACAAAACAAAATCTCCCAAGAATGTTTGTAAGGTTAGCCATTTCTCCCTGTAATCCCCACAAAAAAATGTATATATCTTTAGAAACGTTTGACCACAAAGATATCTCAGTTACCAAGATTTCTAGGTAAAGGAACTGCCATGCACAGATACTTATTTCTTCAGGTTCATAATCATGCTATAGAGAATGACATGAAAAAAAAATTTACCCCTCTATCCTGGGAGTACATCATATCAGACCTTGGATTTCTCACAAGACAATAACTAGGGCATGCTTATTGAGTGCAAGTAAATTGCAGATGAATGTCTTGTTTCTTAGGACAATTATGGTCAAGTTATCTAGTTTTTTCAATAAAAACTGCCATTGAGTGCCATATTTTCATATGCACAGCCATCCAATTCATATGAGTCACTACCATGCACAACTGAGATATATTCCTTATTCTCAATAAGCTCACTGTACTTGGGCAGAACCAAAGCTGGAGTGAGTACTATGAGTAATAGTAGGTTTATATCAACTCTTAAAGGAGATTTTATATGCAGATATGGTCTAACACTGGTTACCGGGAGAAAAGTAAAAACAACTTATTTCTTCTCTGTTGTTTCCATGGGATCTGTTGTCGCTAAAACATAGCAAGAGCTGAGTAAATATATGTTGAAGAAAAAGTGGATGTGTTTAATTAGTGTGTTCTAGGAAAAAGATGAGACCTAGACCTTGAACTGAGAGGAAAGTCAGGGAAGGTTCTCTGGAGGGGATGAGAGTTCCCTGAGATCCTGGGCAGATATAAACATTGGGCAGGACCCAGTATAAGCAGCCAGGCTATATCGTTATTGGAGGTTATATTCTTTAGTCAAACTGAGACACCATTTATTTTTTGTATAAACAGCAATCCAAAAATGTTGAAGAAATTCTCGCTTTAAAAAGTAACTTAAAGTTTGTATGTATACATACACACATATATTGTTTATATGTACACACACATATATATACACACACATATTGTTTATATGTATATAAATAACTATGGGTATATATAAACGTATATATATGTATATATGTGGCTACATATACATATATATGTGTATAAGTATCTACATTTACGTATCTACATATACATGTATATATACACATATTTGTATATACCCATAGTTGTATTGTTTTTAGAAACCAGCATATAATCGAGCAAATCTGATAAAGCATTACATTCTGTATAAATTATTTCCTATACCAAAGGCTTTATAATTGAATTCTCTTATAGGTTTGCATTGTCTACTTAAAGTGTGAGTCAATTTACACAAGTTTCAATAAAAATTAAAAGCAAATAAGCAATAACAACTTTACTGCCTTTTAGCTAAGGTTTGAAGTCTCATGATTTGCTATGCACAGGAGAACATTTAAGGGTTCACATTTTGAGGCCAAGGAAATATGAAGGAAAAATCAGTTATTATTTGAGGAAACAAAGGATGACATAAATAATATTCAAATGTAGTGTAATTGGTTGATCTAATGAAAATTCCTTGTTAAAGAATGACCTGAGAAATTTTTGACTCCTCATGAAAGAAGGAGAGGTACTTGCCACTCTTTCCCAGATGGGTAGCTAAAGATTGGGCCTGGGTTTCTTTTACCTCCAGGAGTAACAATTTTTTGTTTATAAAAATGTAGATCTGTGAAGGGAATATTTAACTGTACTCTACGTAAAGAATAGACTAGAGACCTTGGGACTTCTGGATTGAAAGGTAAGAGGCCCAAGTCAGAGGAGTAAATTGGATTGTCCTCTGTTAATGGTAGAGACCTGCAACCTTGCCTCACACAGGTCCTGGGAAGTTGTACCTAGCCTAGGGACTAATAGCTGCATGGTATCATTGGAGTCTGGGGAGAATAGCTCAGCCCAGCACTGAGGGAGTAAACTTGTCAGCAGAAAGGTCATCTTTCAAGTAGATCCCTAGGACAAATCACGGTACATTTTCAGTGGTGATCACAATGGATTAACCCTGTCAAGGTTTCTCAGCCCAATTTCTTGAACAATGTAAGTCCTGGGGTCTCTACAACTCAAGAATAGTAAGGGCATGTCACAATAATTGCTCTTAGATCTATCACTGATGTTGATTGGAAATAAGTTGCAAGCTAGGTGTGATTAGATTGAGGACCAAATGAAGGAGAAAGGGAGGGAGGGAAAGAAGGAAGAACATGACAACAGGCAGGCAGGAAGGAAGGAAGGAAAAAAGAAAGAACAGAGGAAGAGAGGAAAGAGTAGAAAAAGAAAAAATATCCAGAGAACAAAAGCTTTTGGAATTTTTAAAATGAGAGAATTTTGAAACAATGTAAATGTCAAAAATTGATAAATAATTACTTTCTAGATGAGAATGTGTATTTGCTTCCACTAATTGTTCTCAACTTCACAAAAATTGCCAAAAATTGCCTTCAGAGTCCCACTTATTAAAACATTCAAAAGATACAAAGTCCTGAAGAATATGTAATAACTTTGCATAGAGTGTGTACTGAAAATGAAAGATAATAACGTCACTTAAGTGGAAAAGCTTTAGTATTTTCACTATGTTAACCAAGTGTACGGTCATGTGGCACATAATTTCTTAATGCTATGAATTTGTGTAGCTTATGATAGCTAGCTAGAATACTTATTTATCTTCAAAAACACTTTGACATAGTTTGAAACGTGACATGTTCAGTGGAAATCTAACGCAGGGGATTCAAACATTTTCTAGTTTAGTAACCACCTTGCATAATTTTCTAAAAAAAGTCTCAAGTAGAAAAACAAAAAACAATACTTTGCTCTGACATACATTGGTTAAACAGGAAATTAGTTGTCACAAACCATCATTCAGAAAATATTTTAAATTAATTTACATTTTTATAAATCTCAATAAACTCCTCCTTGCATTTGAAAAAAATCACCATGTGTGCAAGACATGTTATTTATTCAATCTTCAGACATGCTTATTTCTCCTGTAAATTTAGGGGACCCATGCAATAATTCTGCGTCCCCTTAATGTCTATGCCTTGTAGGTTTTAAGAGAATAATCACTTAGTTACCATTAAAAGTCCAAAATACTATAAATTTTTATTTTGAGTGAAGTAACATTAATGGTCCCCTTCTCATTACTCCTCTAAATAATATCTTCTGAGCCATATACTAGTATTCTTAATGCGATCAAAAGTAGTGAATCACTTGTCTTTAACCTAATTACACCAGAAATGTTTAGTGTTGGTATGCATACAAATAAGCTTGGCTTCAATATTTTATTTCATTGCAGCATCTGCTCTAAAAGGATTTTCCCTCTAAAATATATGCTTTATTGAATACTTAAATATGGTCTTTTGAACAGCACACGTAAGATTTCTCTAGATAATGCATTCTAACAAAACTTCCTTAGAAAGATCCGCACAAGGTATTATTCTTTCACTTATGAACAATACATTATTTACGTGTAGAATAGCAACTAATTACAATTGCTCTATCATTCTAGTTGCTTGGCTGTGATTTCTAAGTTTATGAATGCCTTTTAAAAATGTTCTACCTAAGAGTCAGGTGGATACATTACAGCAAAAATAAGCTTGTTTTTATAATTCTGTAAAAACTAGTAACACAATTCTCTTCTGGTCATATGACACATATTGAATTTTAACACTTTTGCTTCATCTACATTTCCCCCTACATTTATATCCCTGTCTATATCAAGGAATTGATTAGAAAGCTACTCAAGCAAGCTTAAGTGAGGGAGTTCTACTGTAGGCATTGAATAGATTTTTCTGATATCTATGGTGAGTATCTATTGCTTGGTTGGCTTAGCAACATTTCCACCTTTTCCTCTGGAAATATCTTTCTTCTTCTGACTTCAAGCTTGGAGTTTCAACGTCCCTGTGTCCTTACAACCCGAACATATGATGAGATTATCAGAGGCTTTCTCAAGTTGTTCAAGTTGTTTTCAAACTGTAACTAAAGAAAGAGGGTTTCTGTCTGGTGACAGCACTAAGAAAAAATGTTCCCCAAAGTCAAAATATCTGATTCGATTACAGCAACAACATTCACATTTATTAAGTTCAGACATTCTACTAAGCACTTTGAACATTTAACAGCAACTCTATCATTATACACCACATATTACAGGTAAGGAAACTGTAGGTTAGAGTCGATGTCCAAGTCTTAGTGCAACTAAGTCATAGTGCTCTTATCTAAGTCAGGCAGTCTAATTTTAATCTGGCAATGTTTACCTATCACTTTCTAACAGTGGAAAGAAATCTGCCTGAGTGTGAGGTGCATCATACAAAGAGAAGCACAGATGAGGGATTCGATAAGAGTGGATGGTGGTATTTGAGTCTATAGATCCAGCTGCTTCTCAGCTGTGCCAGAACCTCTCCCCTTCCTAGAGTTTGACTGTTAAACATTCCTTTAATTCTGATATTTCCTATTCTCCTAATAAGTCTCAACTTTTTTCTCCCTTAATGTAATTTGAGTTGAGTTGCTGAATCTCCAAAGAAGGGAAAGATAGTAAAGGTGAGTCCCTCAAGAATGGGCAGAGGAATTGAGAAGCCAACATTCAGCGTTGCTCTCTTTGCCTCTCAAGAATACAAAGGCTCCCTTTCTTTCTGCTTCCCTCTCTTTTCTTTAGATCTTATCTTTCTCTCCACTGCTTTTCTCCAACTACTCATTTTATTTTCCCTGACTAGAGATCTCCTTTCCTTTTTCATGGCTTTTTTGTTTGTTTGTTTTTTTTCTACACAATGTACAATTTATTTCAAAGGGATCAAGAAATAACATATATATGTATATATACATATGTGTGTGTGTGTATATATATATACATATAGGCTTTTGTTATAACATCTTGTCAGCAAATAACTTGAGCTAATGAAAGATCTTGTTGGAAGGAAAGAGAGACTAACACTGGGACAGGGAGGGTGAATGAAGGAGATGTGGAGAGAAGAATTATGCTTTTGGGAGCAGTGGGAAGAAAGACTATGGATTTTAGATCCATTCTGATACAATTACCAGATGTGAAATTGATAAAGACCACCCTATGGCACAAACTTTAGCTGGTGACTGGGGGTGTTCCTCTCAACACTAGCAGCATTGTACACTTCACTCATTTAGAACTCAGTCTATATGTCTCAGGTGTTTGTGTTTTGAAAGTCTGAGCTCCTTAATGGGAGAATCTGAAGAATGTTTGGAAGAGCCATAAAAATTGGATTTTAGTCATAGTGTCAGTATATGCCTCATATTCATTTTTATATGATAGTTATAATAACTCCTGTCTGCCCACCTTATAAAATTGTCATGAGACATAAAGTTATATAAATAATGTAAATATGCTTAGGAAACTGTAAAGGTATAGGTAAACATGGGAGGTATGAGTCTTAATCTGTGTTTTATCTAGAATAAGCAATCAATATATTCTATGAAATTAAGGAACAATTATTTAAGCAGTTCTTTAAAATTGAAGAGGAAGAACCTTCAGCCAGTAAAATAACACATTCATCATGTCATCTTGAAAGTATTTTATAATACAATGGATAGAACAGAGATAATGAGATCCATCACTGCTACTATGATTCTCTCTTCTAATTTTTGTCCACTTTTCTATAAGAATTTCAGGAATCATGCCCTAAGATTCCATCCAACTGACTAATTTCTTGAAATTTCTATAACTTTGTCTCAACTGTACAAATTTAGTTTCATAAATGAATGTATGCTCCTTTAAGACAGGAGCCATGATTCATTAAGCACCATTCTGAGTACTCAGTAAACACTACAAATATTATTGAAACATTTTTAAAATCATTCAATTGATGAGTTTTGAACCCAAAAGCCCTGTATCTATATCCATTTTTATCAGTTATTACTATGCCATTTGCTTTCCACTTAACGATATACCAAGTAGATATAGTTTGTTAATTGCAAATAGCACCCACACACAGTTGACTTTCACTATCTGAAACTGCCAATTACTCACTGCAAGTTACACAGTGTGCTTCTTTCTAGTTTCTGTCACCATGCTGATACTTAAAAGGATCCGTAAAGTTCCAAAATTGTTAGAAAATACGATGGCCAGAGCTTGATGCATCCATAGAGAGTAAACATTCAACCAAATTGCAGGGAGAGAAATGGGGTATAGGAATTGTGTTAAGAGAAATGAATGACCAGGGGAAGTTAGAGGGCTAGTAATGCTGTCTTAGTTGGGTGGAATACCTAGTAGAAAATTAATCTGGAAGGAAGGCATTTGCAGTGTGTGTGTGTGTGTGTGTGTGTGTGTGTGTGTGTGTGTGTGTTTTGCTTTTGTTTTTTTTTACTACTTATGCTTATTGGTTCTTTCATTTGCTGCCTACTATGTGTCAACTACTATAGTAGTCTCCGGAGATTAAAAAATTTAGCTATTTTGCCTTTGTGTAAACAATGTGACAAATACCATAACAAATTGATGTGAGGAATTTAATAAAGATGCTACAGGAGTCTATGTGTGTGAAATGTGTGTTTGTGAGGGTTTTTTTTCCTCTGTCCTAAGGAAAGATTTTACATCAGTAGGCAATGTTTATAAAGTTCCTCTTTAGTATTTCTTTCTTTCCAAATATTTGGCTTTTCTCTTGCTATTTCACGTAAAAATAGGTAAATATTTCCCAATAGTATATTACTGCAACTGTACGATTCCTTAAGGTTTCATGGAAAACTCATGTCAGAGTACTGCAAATCAGGAAGTAGAAAATGAACAGTCAGTATGATGTCTCTGAAAGTTTCATTTTATAAAAGAGAAATAGCAGCAGCTACAAGAAGCCATCATGCTTTGATTTTATGGCTAGCATGATCATAAAAATTCAAAGCACAATGTGGTCATATTTTATATATGTATTAAGAAGGAAATCATTTCCAAGGAGATATGCCTTCTCTCCATGTAGCCTCCTTCATAATATTTTATAGACAGTATAATTTCCCAATTATCTAAATATTGTTAAAGATGGTCAAATCTAGTGTAATCTAGCAAGTTGTTCTAGGTCATTATTAGAAACTACTAGAAATGCAAAATGATACATAAATCCTCTTTAAAATGTATAGAATAGACTTATTTTTCCAGTAGAATTATGTCCAAGCATAAATAATCACTCTCTTTACAGATTACTGCAAGTACAAAAGCCAGATCGAAACTGACAGGGAATAAACAATGTAAGCTTAGATACAGATGCCTTAAAAAATCAATTCATGAGTTATTTTTAAAAAGCTAAAGACATTTGTAAAAATGTCCAATGTAAACATAAATATCTTTAAGCAGATGCAGTTTCAACTTTAAATTTATTTTCCCAAATTCATGATATTTTAGTATGTTATGAAGCATCATACATACATTTACTCTAGCCAAAATAAATTTACTTTAAATAGGCAAAGAGAGCTCAGCCAACATATTTTGGTTAGCCAACATAATTTTTTAAAGCTGTTATATTTTTAAATTGTTAGACATATATAGCCATATAAACATCAGAGCTATAAAACCAAATTTAAAAAATATTAAAATGTCACAATGCTGACATGAATATCTACACTGACTTTATTGTATTGGATATAACCAGGAGAAGGGTAAGGAAGGAGGAAAAAGAATACAAGAAGGCACAAAACAGAAGATCAAGCTGCTACTAACACCAACATTCAACATAAACCTACTCTTCAGGGAACAAGGTGGAAGAAAAAGAAAGCCTGATTGCAGGGTGCAGAAAAAGGAAAATGAAATGAAGATGTTAATTTCAAAACTCCACTAATAGATGATACTTTATTGAATCCTGGTATGTGTACAAGTCCAAAAATGCATACACATATATCTTCTTGCCTAAATATTAAATATAACCATCAGCTTACTTCTGACATTGTGTTTAAGAATGAGAACCCTGATTGACAAGGATGAGTGTTCACACTTTGAATCTCGCTCTCTGCAACAACTCTTCTCGATGGGTTTCAATTCTTTCAATTCTGTGGGGCTTCTAATATAGGTAGGTCCTTTGCTGTGTGCTGGAAGGTTTTCTTCATAGGGACTAGAGGTGCATATGTCTTACTTTGTTGACACCACACTGTTCTCCTAACAAGCAGTGTTTGTAAAAGATAACAAAAAATGTTTATTGAATTTAATAGAGGGGGTGATAACGACAAATTTAAGTGGTCATATTACTGTCTTTCATGGAGCTGGCTCAATACATAGTGAAGAATGAATATGATCAAAATACAATAAATGAATGAATTTTACTTCACCTTGATGACAAAATTCTGAATATTTTTCTTTTCTTTTTTCTTTTTGAAATAGGGTCTCACTCTTTTACCCGGGCTGCTGCAGTGCAGTGGTACAATCATAGCTCACAGCAGCCTTGTGCTCTTGGGCTCAAATGATCCTCCGGCCTCAGCCTCCCAAGTGTCGGGGACCATGCCCCACCAAGCCAGTTAATTTTTACATAATTTATTTTTAGACATGGGGTCTCACTATGTTGCCCAGGCTGGTCTCAAACCCCTAGCCTAAAGCCATCCTCCTGCCTCAGCTTCCTCAGTAGCTGGGATTGCAGAACTTTTTTTTTTCTTTTATAACAAATGCTCTGCTATTCATACTTATTTTCTCCCTTCCTCCATTTTAACTACTAAAAACTACTAAAAAGCATTTAATGTTTTTGCTTTCCTGTATACTTCATTTTCTTTTTAAATGTGTGTGTGTGTTTTGTGTGTGTGTGTGTCAAAGGAAGGAAGGCTTGAAATTACCCGTGCCCCTTATTGATCAGGAAAGTTCAATTTCAGCACTAGTCAGCGTTGCTCACATTTGGCACATGCGCCTTGACGTGAAACAACAGGTTAAGCAAAAGCAAACAAAACAAAAATCCAACTACAAGAAAGGGCTTGTGAATTTGTGAAAGACCTAGTTATCAGTGAAAAGAAGGTCTAAAACATGGCAATAGAGTCCCTTTTGTTAACATTTCAAGTCTGTCTAGCACCCCTTTGTTGTCACAATAATTTCTGACAAGTCTAAATTCCAGAAGTGATCAGAAGATCAAGGAGTTCCTCAACAACAAAACAAAACAAAAAAAGCTTGATTAGTGGAGAACTGTTTGTTTGATTCCTATTTATTTTAGTCGTCGTTTTTCTTTACATCTATGCTATTGTCTTCCAGTTTTCTGCCAAACATTTGAGCAGCAGAGATTAGAAAGCAATCATTTTCAGACCATTTTACGTCCAGGGATTTTCATATGGGCAATATCTTAAAAATTCAACATACACAAAAGTTATAAAATGAAGTCTCTTTCCCAGCTGTAATGCAGAAACTGAGCTACTTCTCCAGAGAAGATTTGATGCTTCTAGTGAATCTGTGCTCTGTGTGTCCTTCCAAAGATGTTCTAAGCACATTACACACACACACACACACACACACACACACACACACACACATAAACACACATCATTTTTATTTCTACACAAAGAGTAGAATGCTCTGTACATTGTTCTTTTCTGGCTTTAAAAAAATTTAACAATTTATCTTTGAGATTATTCCATATAAGTTTATAAAGAGTTTATGAAGAGCATCCTTTCTCTCTGTCTCAATCTCTCACTCATAATGGCAGCATATTTTCCCATAATATGAATGTAAAATAATTTATTTAACCCATATCATATTCATGGGCATAAATGGTATTTCTAATATTTTGCTGCAATGAATAACCATGTACATACTCTTGTCATTCCTAGTATGTTTAATTGTACATGTAGGACACCTTTCTAGAAGTGAATTTACTCAGTTAAAGAGTATGGCACATTTAAAAAAATAAAAAAATAAGCAGTATATACATTTGAAAATTTTAAAGTTATATCGGAATTTCCCTTCATAGAAATTTTACCAATTTACATTTCCACAAACAATAAATGAAAGCTTGGTCCTCACATCCTTATCAACACCAAATATAATCACACATATTTTTCCTGAACTTGAGAGGTGGAAAGAGGTTTTTCAGTGCTCTCATCATCTTTCTCCCATAGTTTTACTGCTATTGGAGTTTCATTGTTTATATTTAACTCATCTATTTGGAATTAATTATGATGTAAATTTTAAAGTATACATCCGTTTTTTCCCCCAGATTCTGCTAAAATGGTACCCACATCATTAATAATTAACTCACCTTTTCCCCACAGATACAGAAGGCTGTTTTTATTATATACTATAACTGCATAAATAAGTGGGCCGTTTTCTCAGTTTTATCATATCCCACTGACCTGTATATTCATGGGTGAATACTTCATAGTCTTTTTAATGAAAGTATTAAAACACTTTTAATAACCAATAGGACAATTACCCATGTCTTAGTTTTTAATTCAGGATTTTAAATTAATATGAACAAATTTTACCAGGGTTAGCCCCAGTTAGAAAGCATCATTCAAGTTATTGTTGAATCACAAGGCTATTTATAAAGTCCTATGCTGTAAATTGAAAAACTCAAATAGTATCCTACAACATTTTAATCTGCCTGTGATGCTTTTGAAATTAAACAATTTCATCACAAGCAAAGAAAATATTTAAGAGAAATATGAAATAAATTGATTTGTGTTAGCAAGATAGTCAGCCATGTTTTGGGTTAGCAGAGTAGTTAGTAGATAGTATCTACAACAAAATATGTCCCACGTTTTAAATTACTGACTTAAAACAAATTTAAGTTCCTAAATGATTGACTTAAAGACTAATTTGGCAGTACAAGCAATTAGTAAATTGAAGGCTGACTATCAAAGGACATAAAAAAGTAAGTGAAAGATGTTATTGATTAATCAAAACACAACTTTGGAGAAAGGCCTCAAATTGTAATCGTTTTGGACAGATTTTCTGAAGCTGGGTTTTTTTTTATAAATTGTGCCTTTATGTTTTACCACATGGAGGGAAAAAACCCAACAGCATCGATCATCTAGCATCATCCATTTACCTCTGAAGTCAAAAGTGCCCTATCTTCCATCCAATTCAACACCAACTCTGGAATCAGCAAAATCCACAGACTTAATTAAGCAATGCCACATTTGGATCATGAACATGGATATAGGATAGAGAAAAACTGACAACGGAGAGGTAAAAGAGATATCATTACTTCATCAAGTCATGAATGAGAGAGGCCAGTAGGATTTTTTTAAAGGAGGATGAAGGAAGGTTTGGGAAACAAGGAACAAAGAGCTTCATAAGTGTTGTCAGGTTCTGCAGCCTTTTCATAGGATTTAGCCAGGAGCAAGTCTTCCAGCTCTTGGAAAGTGTGAATGCAGGCTGTAGTGTTTACTCTGGTTCCCCATGTCGAATCGCCAAGTATCATTTCTGTCCAAGGGCAGTCTGTGCTGGCGCAGGAAAGGAAAGGAAGGAGGGGTGAAGAGGAGAGGTTGGCTAGTGTTAAAGGGAGAGCTTTTCCACAGGGTTCTATGGTTGCTATAGTAACAGCTTCTTTTGTTTGTACATATTCAGAACAGCTGCTTCTTTTTGGTTGCTGGTGGCAGGGATATTATGGAGGTAACAGAGGCAAAGAAGCACCACTCTGACATGGAAAATAATTTCCGTTGTCAGATTATTCTTGTTTAACTTGGTTTAACTTTATAGTAGGGTTAAATGTGGCATTTGAAGGTTGGTGAGTAACAACATCTTTTAAAACATGGTGAATTCCAACAAGAAAAGACCAAGGTATTCTGTGATCTACAAAGTATCTTGTGCTAGCTTGAACAACAGACCTCCGCTCTCTTGCGGCCTTAAAACTGGAAACGCTCCAGTTTATTTCTACCTGATATGCACACAAATTGTATTGCAAGCTCCCTAGAAGGTATTTTTCTCAACAGGAGGAAAAAATACCTCTTCAAAATGCCCACTTATCCCTGTATACCTTTCCAAATACTAATTAATTCCTCTAATTAGAGCTTTTTTTGGCTGCAACCATTTACAAAGTTGAGTTGCTGCATACAAACAAATTTAATGAATATTCATAAACTAATAATATTCACTGAATTTACAGTCCTCTTGCCCACATACTGCTATTGCAACCGGCTTATAACAGCCTTCTATAGACTATACTAAGGAAAGGCCATCTCCAAGGAAAAGGTAGAGAAAAATACAGTTTTATTTTAAGGAACAGACCACCTACCAACTGAATTGTATATACTATAGCTTATGTATATACATATTCTATATATAGTTTATATATATTATGCATACATATATATGTTAGGTTATAAAATACATGCATATGTGCACATATATGCATATGTATATATATAAATGACATGGAATAAAATAGAAACTCAAGGGGTTAAAAGTTTTGAAGCAAAACATTAAAAACGGCATCTGCAGGTTGAACAGTCAAATTTTGTAAACACACAAACTTAGGATGCAAATAAGCAAATCAGAAGGCACAGCTGTCCTTATAAACAAATTAATCTTGAACATAGGTGTATAATCATGTTTTTAACCCTTTGGGATTTTTAGAATGGTACAATACAAAAGCAAAGTGATGCTCTTGATTTAAAATTTAAATTAATTCACCATTTGTCCAACTAGGAGCTTTTAAACTTTAAATTTTTAGTAACATTAATGAAACAATTGGCTGGTTTAATTTGGAAACTGCAGCTATTCACAGATGCTACATCGTAAGACTGAGTACATGGGAATTTGATTACATATTTGCCTGATAATTCTCACATCAATCCACTCATCCCTTTACTTTATAAAATCTGAATGAACTTATTTTGATGATTCAAAATTTGAAGGAATTTAGAGAACAGTAGAGATGTTTAAATTATTTAATTAAAATATAGAGTTCCTGAACATTACTCTTGGATATAATATATATACATATTTACATATATATATATACATTCATATATATACATATTTTCTTTAATATTTCAAATACAAAGCTTTTATATTTATACTTATTTCAGTTAACTATAAACTATTAAAGATGAGATTTACAGTCTAAAGCCAAGCACAAGTGTTCCAATATCTCTGCTTTCAGATTGTACGCTTTGGGTCAAACGTCTAACCTCTTTGAGCATCCGTTTCATAAACTGTAAAACAATGATACTAACGTCTTTGAGATAACGGCTTTGAGAAATCAATTAAGATGGCAGAAATTCATCCTGAAACTGTGACTATTATATGATTCGGATAGAATAATACACATTATGAGAAAGTAATGTTTTGTTTTTCATCTCATGAATCTTTATTTATTTTCACCTTTTCTCTTCCTCTTATGTTCTTGTGTATTATCAATATGTTGAAGACATCTATATTTCTAAATATACTCTTGAATTTTCTTCCAGGCTCCAGACTTGAATTTCCCAAATATTTGCAACTAACGTCCCACTAGTTATCTCAATTGCACTGGACCCAGATCTGAACAATTCATCACATCTTCCTAAAAAATTTCTCCTCACTGTCATACTTTTGGTAAAGGCATTACCTTTCTTCTAGTTTCTATGGTCTGGTCCAAAAATCTTAGACTTGCCTTTTCTTCCTATCCAGGTGATGGTTATGTTTTATGCCTCTACAACTTGGTACAATCTCATGGATTTGAGCTCTCATTTTCATTCTCATTCACCTCTGGTTGAGATAATCATGAATTCTTGCTTAGACTATTGTAGTGTCTACAGATCTCCAATTTCCCCAACATTCTGCAGACCATTTCCATTTTCTGAAGCACATTACTGGCTCCTTGAAATATGTTATGGTTTCCGGCTTCTAAATGCAAAACTAAAACTTCTTAGCTTGACTCTCAGGGAACTTCATGATCAAAATCCACTCTACATGTTATTGTTATTTTCATTGCTCTTATGAAATGAAATTTCTCATGATTCCATAATATTATTCATGTATTTGCAACTTGGCTTTTGTGAGTCTATATTTACTCTGTTTCCCTCCTTTGTGTAGGTTTCCTCTATCCCAACTTCTAGATGTCAAATATCACTTTAGCCATGAAACTTTCCTCAGTTTCCTCCCTCCATGTTAAGGTACACCTGGTTGCCCCTTTCTCTGAAGTTTACATTTGGATTTGCATCATTCTTATTTGTATACATTTTTATTGCCTCTACTAGATTTTTTGGTATGTTATTTATTTAATTTAGAATTACTATAACAGCTATTATAATAAACTTTAATATGAAAAGTATTCCAAATGAATAAAATTTCTACAAATTTAAACAATTTACATGTGACTGCCTATAACTTTTTGATCTATTAATAGTCTCAGAGTGAAAGTTGGATTTTTTTCCTAGCCTTTTATCTGATCTCGTATTTTTATATCTTTAGACTATCTCCATTTGAAAGCTTTATAAATAGCTTTAAATTATTGTTATAATACTATGTAGTTCACAAATAAAATTATTGCCAGAGTACACCTAATGGATAGTATTTGCTCTTAAAAAGAAATGTGCGTGAAAGAACACAATCCCTTTCTCTTTCTCAAGGCAACAGACGCATGAGAGTGAGGTATTTATCTGAGGGCGATTGAAGTCACCAGCTTAACAGGTAAGCCTACAGGCTAAGGCAGAAAAGTATAAAGATAAGAAGAACCTAGATCCATCATGCCATAGTTGATCTGTTGAATTACCACTGCTGAATCTGTTCTACCTCCAAACATTTTGTTATATAAGATGATGAATCTCATGTTGTATAACCCTCTTGTAGTTAGATTTTCTGTTATCCTAGGCCAAAAATATCATAAAGAATGGCACAGACATTTAGAGAAATGAGTTGAGGACAGACCATGAGGTCCCAGGGAGAGAGAAAGAGATAAAGAGAGTAATGTAGACTTTTTAATTTTTTATGAGGTAAGCTATACTTTTTTATTTTTGATTACTCATTAAGGAATTTTCCTGTACCCTCTAAAATGTATCCCTATTTATTTGTATTAGTAAACAGTTTTCAGGTTCTTGTATCCAAATGATCTCTAAAAAAGACAACATATATTATCACATTCAATCCCCATGACAATAACTCTGTAAGTTAAACATTTCTTTTTGCTCCAATTAATTCAGTATTGTACATTTTCTCCTGTTGGAGTATTTATTGAATCTCTTCCTTTTTCTCCCTTTTTCCATTGGCCACAAGTATTAAAGTCAAGTGACCACCAGATCAGCCAGCTCAGATATATTTGGAAACACATCAATCTATTTTAAACTTAAGATACTGAAAGCCCCATTTGAACACACAGAATCAATAGTGGAAGCCAATTAGGAATACAGTTCAAGTAAATATAACTAGCTTTTACATCTCTAGCATTTTGCTCCCTCTTTCTTTCTCCCACTTCAACAAATTCAATGCATTAAACATTCATTTAATGTGTACCAATGTGAATATGATATCATCCCTGTGTTTGAGAATCTTATACAGCGGAGGAAATAGACATATATAACTCAGAGAAGAAAAACAAAAAGGTCTAGTTTCCACTTTTTCCGTAAAAAGGAAAAATCCTACACATGGCTAACCTAATCGCTCTCCTTGAAGCTTTGCACCCATCTTTTCCCAAGTACCCAATTGTTGCAAAGTTTCACCTCAAATGATAAGTTCACCTCAATCATGACAGTGATCTTTAAACATATTTTGTAGAACGGTAGTTGTTTAATTTTTATACCATGTCAGAATTCTTCCTAGAGCAAAACATGGCTGTATTTCCTTAAACAAGATAATTTGTAACTGTCAAATGATAGACATAATCTGTCCTCCAATATCAAAGGAATAGAGGCCGGGCATAGTAGTTCATGCCTGTAATCTCAGCACTTTGGGAGGCCGAGGCAGGCTGATAACTTGAGGCCAAGAGTTCGAGACCAGCCTGGCCAATATGGTGAAACCCTGTCTCTACTAAAAATACAAAAATTAGCTGGGCATGGTGGCATGCACCTGCAGTCCTAACTACTTGGGAGGCTGAGGCATGAGAATCGCTCGAACCCAGGAGGTGGAGGTTGCAGTGAGCCGAGATCACGCCGCTGCACTCCAGCCTCCTCGGCAACAGAGTGAGACTGTCTAAAAAAACAAAACACAGAAAACTTATGTCTTGCCAACTTGAAATAAATGTGTCAGCAAATGACAACGAAAGAAGAGCAAATAAAAATAGTGTTAACTTATGACTCACAAAATGAAACAAAAAGCACATCAAGAAACAAAAACAAAAACCTACAAAAGCAAAAACAAAAGAAAAAAAGTGTAAAACTCAACATTTTTAAAACCTATGAAATAGCCTGTCATTTTGTAGCTGGCATCAAACTTTAGCTTATCATAAGCAGTGTTATCAAAAAACAGTACTTAGGATAAACCTTTTCTGAGGAAGATCAGTATTTCATAAATGTTTACAACCTTATTATTATCCATTGTTTAAAATAAAAATAAAATGATATGATAAACGGGATTGTCTTTCTCTTAAAATTACAAACACAAAAAATATTTTTATCACTGCTTTCACCAATTGTGACAATTTATTTTCAACACTCATACTTAGTATTTTATGATTTTTTTTCTGGTAATAAAATCATTGTTTGTTAAAGAAAATAATTTGAGGTGCTATTTTAATTGAACTTCAGAGCTCCAGTGTCATGGATTAGTGATTTCTTTTTTGGGAGAGTAAGTTCAAGGGATATACCATGAAATACAAATCTATGAAAATTCATATAAAGCCTTTCAGATCAGGAAAAGAAACTTTCTACACTTATGTCAATGTCCTTATTATAAATTATTATTTAAAATATATTCTTAGGTCTATTTTCACTTTAAGCTTATTTTAAACTTGAGTCATTTAAACTTGTATTATTTAAACATTTTATTTTCTTTACCTCATTGATTTTATTACTTGCTTTTATAATGATTAGCAAAACATGGGTCAGAAGTGGAGAGATCTTATATCCTCAACAGGGAAGGGAGAGAAAGAAGGAATTGGATAGAAACATTCATTTCTGTGTTGCTTATGCAAAGAATTTCATTCTGGGAGTGGGATTATCAGAATGGTAGTATTTGATTGTATTTTACAACTCTTATCCTGTGTGGAGGGTGGGTAACTGTAGGTTTCTTCTAACTTAGAGCCATAAGATTTTGGGCCAAATGTACCAAGAGCAAGTCTGTTCCCAAGATGAACTGGCATGTGGATGCTCTGGGCTTGTGTGTGGTAAGAAGTCATCAGTAAATATATTTCTTTAACTATAAATTCAGTGGAAGAATATTGCCCTCAAAACAAACTTTTTATCACAGAAAATTCTGAATATCAAAATTTATAAAAAAGAAAACTAGTGTATAATTCTACCCCACTGAAATAATGATTATAAATATTTTGGTGTCTTTCGAGTCTCCTTTGTTTACGAATGTGTATGCATCCACACTTGTTTCCTGGAATAATTTTATAGGCATCACTTCAAGGGCAATTAATAATGATATTAATTTTCTATAGACACTTTAATAGTAGCACAATATTTTATATGTACAATCTGTAACTTAATATTCTCTCATGGATCATTTAAATTACAAGATGTTAATTTGTATAAATAAAACAGTGATGAGCAGCATTGTACACAAATTTATGTGACCCTTGAAATAATTTTTTTGAATATAATTTTTGAAAGAGGAGTGAATGAACATTCGAAAGCTCTTAATACATATAACCATATTGTTTGCTAGAAATACACTACTCTCCTACTGCATGCCTTCTCTATATCAGGGAATATTATCTTTTCAAAAAAATGAACTAGTTTAGTAAAAAAAAATTATCTGATTGTGTTAGTCTGTGTTTCTTTAACAGTGAGTCTAGTTTTAATTTGAACTATATTGTACTTTTCATTTCATTATCTTTGTATTATACATAATGTATTTGAATTTTAGAAATTACACTGCCATTGTGACTTGTTCTTTGTTGCACAAAATACTTTCCTCTTATTGTCTACCATGCTTCTCTTTCTACTCACATGTTACCCTTTGAGGAGGCATTGATGAGTTGTGGTTTGGGGCTACGGAATAGAAATTGAGTGTAAATGATGCTTTTAAAAGAGTAGCCATCACATTTAAAAGTCAAATGGATATGGATAAAATGAATAATCAAAGTAAAAAACTGATTATAAAAGGAAAGAATGTAGAGCTATATAACCAGAGAATGCAAAGAAAAGGAAAAAAACTAATAGATTTTTAGGACCAAGATGATTATACTTTTTAGGCATTCATTTGCATTGTGTACCAGAAAACTCTTTGACCTCCTTGATGTCCATTAAGTTGCTGCTATACAATTTCATTTTCTTGTTTTTAATAATAACTACTACAAAATGCTAAAATATCCATAGTGGCATAAGTGAATATAGACTTGCTCTATACTGTGTAGAATAAAGTGCATGTTGAGAGTGGATTCAGCATACAGATCAACAGTGTGGATGCCAGTTTTAAAGTACCTAGGCACATGCCTTGGCTCTGCTCTTTACTAGCTATGTAAACTTGGGCAAGTTATTTAAGCAATCTATGCCTGGTTTTCTCATAGGAATATTGTGAGGATTACAGAGTGAATACATGGACTGTGCATGAAACAACATCTGGCTCATAAGCAGTCCACACATATTGGCTGTCAATTATTAGTAAAGCTAGTAAAGTATGAAAAGAGTACACATTTACAAAAATAAGCTACGAATATACCGTTCTCTCATTTATTTAGCAGGTATTTATCAAGTACATACTACATTCCACATCCATTGTGTGGTGCTAGGAATATAAATGATCCCTTCCTAGTGAACCTTCTCTACCTACATGTAGCCTCTGGATGGGAGGCTTCATGTAAGTATTACATGTACACAACCCCATGTGCTCATCTTCAAGTCGAGGGAGGCCAATCATTGGCCAATACAAACGATCTGGGCCAAATCAGTTTCTCTCTGTTAAGTGTAGTTAAAATAGTGCAAGACTGAATTGGTTATCTTTTGGGTGTTCAGCTGAAAAGACATATTGATTTGAAGACTGTATTTTGGGCCAAATATAAGTCAAAAAATAGTGGTAGAGACAGACAAAAAGAGAGGAGAAAGATGCATTGGAGAAAGGAAGGGAAGGGAGAGGACAAGAGAAAGAAAGAGAAGGAGAGAAAGGAGAAAGAGGAGCTATTAAGGAGATGCATTGGGAGAGGGAAGAGAGGAAAGAGCTTCAGATCATGTAGTCTCTAAAAGAGACAGTAGCTCAGTCTAGGACTTTATGATTCCTAATTTCCCTTCCAGGGGACCTGACTGTACTGCATTCCATAATCTTAAAAGGCAATGGGATTTTCTCTCATATCTTTATAATATCTGCTCTTCTCCCACTCATTTTTACCTGAGATATTAGGTATATTTCTGCTTCTCATTCCCCATGGAGCTTTAACTGGAGTAATGTAGAGAAGATGAACATGAAGTAACTTTCTGGCTTGGGTAGAGATTGGTCATGAGACCAGTGTTCTTAGACTATAAGAAGTTTCATATATAAGCCCTCTAACAACTTTTAGTTCTTCTTCACTCTTTCCCTGTTCTCAATTCTTTGTTACTAGAGTTGGTACTTGGAGTTCAGTGCCCATTCACCATCTTTGACTAGTACATAAAGGCTGTGATTTAACATCAATAGAAACTCTGAGAGAAGTGTTCCAAAATTCCTAAAGGGTTTCCTGGAATCCCTAGGATTATTCTGCTGTTTGACAAGTACCACCAGTATAGTACAGACATAACTCGGTATCCATGGAAGATTGGTTCCAGGAACCCCCACAGATAACCAAAATCCAAGCATACTCAAGTTCTTTATTAAATGACAAAATATTTACACATGACCTAGGCATATCCTGCTGTTTACTTCACATCATCTCTACATTACTTATAATACTGAATACAATGTAAATGCCATATCAATAATTGTTATATGGTATTGCTTAGGGAATGATGACAAGAGCAAAAGTCTGTACATGTTTAGTACAGACACATTCTTTTTATTGTCAATATTTTTGATCTGCAGTTGGTTGAATCCATGGATGCAGAACCCACTGATACAGAGTGCTGACTGTACTTTCTACTTATGGTAGTAAAAGTGTAAGAGTAAATATTGAAGTTGAGGAGACGAATATATGTTGAGCATCTCCTATATAAGCCAAGCACTATGCTAAGTGCTTTACATATACTCACTGTATTACAGTATCTCATTTTATTCTCCTAACAACCTTGTGAGGTTTTAATCATCCTCATTATACAAAGAAGAAAACAGAAAGACCCAGCAAAGTGAAGCACTTACCAACAGCCTTATGGCAAGTAACAGGGCCAAGATTTCAATCAAGGTTAAAATACATGACTCTGACTATGCCATAAGAAAGAGAATACTATGTATTTTATTTGGTCCCTTGTGTGAAACAAGGCAAACTATTGATATAAATTGAACTAACAGTAATTGCATTATCACATTGAATGTAATAAGTTGAAGCAGATTTTATATAATTTATAAGACTGGTTATTATCATTTGTTTTTTTAAAAAGGCTAACTTTGTCCAATATGGTGACACTTTTTGGCATGCGTGTGGTAAATGAATGATTCTCCAAATAATAGCAATTCAATAAAATTTAAGTTCCTATCTTGAATACAAAGATGGGAAAAACAGAGATCCTTCTTTCTAAAAAAATGAGGCTTTGTAGAAAAAATTGTCTAAAGAGCCATAAATCAAAGGAAAATGGGAATTTCTCTTTATTGGAAGTCAATTTATTTTCTAGAACTAATCTCAGTGCTCTATATATACATTTTTTCATTTCATCTTTGTTACAATGAAGTTGATATTATATTATTTATCTGATAAAGAAATTGATATGTCAGTCTCTTAAGGTTAAGGATTTTTACCTGTTTTATTCATTTCTGTTTGTCCACCATCTTAAATTGTAGTAGGCAGATGGGAGAGTCTCCATAAATATATTTTGAATAAATGGAGAATTAGAGAAGCTCATTAAACTGTCAAGTAATGCAATCTATAAACAGCGTCTTGGGTTACCAGACAAGTCTAAATTCAAATCCTTTATCTTCTCATTACTCTACACTGTGAGGGGCAGAACTATGTATATTTTTCCTGATCTTATTATCAGTGCCTGCACAGAACCTGGCACACGGTAGATAAGCATTGAATGTTCTTGAATAAATAATCTCACAAGGTTCTTCACTATATGCAATAAATATCAAAAGTATATTTTATCATGTGATTTTAATACTTTTTACAATTATTAAATCACACAAAAAGAGATGATAGAGAATAAATGGGTGTGATTCACATTTACCTCATTATGAAACTGATATTTTAGATATTTTCATTTTAAACTAATGTACATACTATCAGACATCACTGCATAGCATGATATTCTGAAATAGAACTGACCTGTGTCTACTTACAGTAAATTTATTCATTGAGTTATACGCATTTACTACTTGGCCAATTATTGACCCATTGAGTCTACACCCTTTAGTGGAGAGGAACAAATTCTTTTTTTTTTTTTTTGTCTTTCTGAGGGGTTCATCTGCCTAGGTCATTCAAACGCAATTTTAGTGAAATCCAAAAAAAACTTTATTGTAATTTTAATTACTTATCAACTGTTATAATATTCAGTTTAATTTGTTTTGTTTTGTTGGCAAAAATTATGGCAAAAAGTATTTTTTCCAAAAGTTGTAGGAGAGCTTTCACCTTAAGAAAAACGACAGCATTTAAGCCAGTCTTAATTTTTTTTGTTTTTTTTGTTTGTTTGTTTGTTTGTTTTTGAGACAGAGTCTTGCTCTGTTGCCCAGGCTGGAGTACAGTGGCGTAATCTCGGCTCACTGCAACCTCCACCTCCCAGGTTCAAGTGATTCTCTCACCTCAGCCTCCTGAGTAGTTGGGACTACAGGCATGTGCCACCAAGCCCAGCTAATTTTTGTATTTTTAGTAGAGACGGGGTTTCACCATGTTGGCCAGGATGGTCTCGATCTCTTGACCTCATGATCCACCTGCCTCAGCCTCCCAAAGTGCTGGAATTACAGGCGTGAGCCACCATGTCCAGCCCTTAAAAATTTATATACATCTTTTTATACGCGTGCACACAATATTATACTCTTTCCTATCCTGTAAGAGCTAAGTTGTTATATGTACTTCTTGTTATAACTTCTGAATAGTTGCTCACACACTTCTTTCCACTTTTTAATCCAAATGCCATTTCATTTTTATCCCCCTTTTGGTACCCCACTTATAACAGCATCCAAACTGTCTTGGGTTGATAACGTCACCTGGTGGTAGTACACTGTCTGAGCCAACCACGCTCCCTCATGGTCTCTTCCCTCTCAGAATAATTTTGCTCAACTCCGTGTCATTGTACATAACCACTGGACACAGTAATTATCTCACTTTAATTAATCTCTCTCTTGCATGTGTTCAGACATCCTTTTAAATCCTCTTACTTTTCCCCCTCTCAATTGCCTCCACTTCCTCAAGGTACATGTGTGTTTTCTCCCTTAGTCTGCTGCAATTGAGTTTTAACAAAAACTTTCTAATGCATGATCAATTGGTATAGCAAGAATGTTAGTGGTGCAAATGGATTCAAGGAGGTGGAAAATACAAAGTTAAATCATTTGCTTATGAATTATGAATTTGATAAAGAAGAACAAAATTCTTCTTGTCTCTCTTCCTTGTTGCCAGAAAAGTAATTCCCTTCCTTAAAGGTAAAAATAGTCAGTAGTAATCCACAGACACAGGCATAAAGATGTTATTTTCCTCCACAAAAAAACTGTAGCCTATTACTCAAAGCTTTCTGCATCTCCTTTCATTTCCTCGATGATATATCTTAGTGATGTTTTCAGGTAAGTACACAAAAGTATATCTCATTCTTTTTTAAGGGCTGCATTGTATTTTACTGCATGATTGTGTCATTTATGCAACACATTCTCTACTGAAGCATTTGTAGGGATTTTTTCCTAATCATTTACTACCACTACAAAAAGTGATGCACTGAATAACAGCGTGCCAGCCAGTGCTAGGGTAGTTGTACAATCAATATCTAGAAACAGAATCCTTGAGTTCTAAGGGTAGGGGCAGAAAATATTATTAAAGATAACAACCCAGTGCCCTACGTTTTGTGACAATGTCCAAACACAACTTTTAGACTCTGCAAAATCGTTTTTATTTACCCTCTTATATTTTCCTAATTGAACTAATTTTTTCTCAAGCATGGAGACACACAGCCCCCATGTCTAACCTTATGTAAAGTTAGTTACGTGTAAAATGTGTTAGAGTTCCAAACAATCGACTCAACAACTTTTAGGATAGAATGTACTTATAAGTATGAGATTTCTTGCAGTAGACATTATTTTGACTGGTTTCTAAACAAAAATTACTCAATTCGAAAAGTATACTGTTTAGAGTATGATTTGATCCCTTTTAAGGTTGGAACAGCTGTCACATAAAAAGACTGTAATAAACTGGTAAAATGATATAACGTTAAATTGCCATCATTGTTTAATTTAAGAGATAATTCACTAGAGATTATATCCTATTGTATATATCCAAATATGGCCATTTACATATCCAATCTATATTGTATAGAATCAGAATTTTATAGCTGAAATGGAGATTAAAGATACTCTATTTTAATTTTTAATTATATTTCTGAGGAAACTGAGAACCAGAGGTTTGAAGTATTATATACCAAGTGTATATTCACACTTATAAATAATGATATTGATAATAACATGAATTCAGTTTGCATTTTGTCTTCAGCATTGTGCTAAATGTTTTGTATGTATTAGCTCATCTCATCCCCATAAAAGCCTCATTTGATAGCATCTATTATTATTAATTTTTTTTTTAGTTTAACAGATGAAACTAAGAGAAATAAAAAAAAATTCACAATGTCAGGCTGCAGTAAGCAATAAGGCCAGAGACTGAATTCTTCAGGTTGTTTATTAACATTCATTTACATGTTTATTAAATCCCTATGTTTATTAACCAAATCCCTATGTTTATTGGCTTTCAACTTTATTTATGCATATTCTGATAATCTAAGAGAATGAAAACAAATACACCTAGTGGAAGAGAATGAGGAAGGTAAAAATTAGATTGAAAGTTGAAAAAAAATGAAAGTAGTAACAGGGGAGACAGCAGTGATGTGGTAAGTAAGTAAAGGTGTTTTTGGATTTCATTACATATATTATACTTTTTTGAGCATGGGGTCCTTAAAGATTAGTGTCTACATATTGACATGTAAGAAATTAGCAAATAAATCTAGATACTTGGTTTTAAACTGTCTTTCCCTCAAGTCACTAAGCTCAATCCTTAATGTTTCAGGGGGTCAGTTAGAAAATGATTAATTCAAGACTTCAAGCAGAGAACACATTGCTTAAAATGTCTGAGAAAATTTGCTTTAGTGACTGACTATTTCAATACCCTGCACAAAAGAAATTATGAAGCTGGATAAATTCAATGAATATTTCTTCACATTGCAGGTCTCCTCACTGGTGAGATGAAAATCACGATGAAAAACTGACTGGAATTTAGGTTTTTCTAGTGTTATTAATTTTGAAATATGGCATTTAAAATTAGACCTTGCATTCATGACACAAAACCCATGCATAATTCTTATAAATAGATCAAATGATTTTGTAACTCTATTTTATTAAATACATTCAACACATACTTGTAACATTGCTACTGGCTTTTGTCCACCCTCATATGCCATACATGGCAGTAAACAAAACAGATGAAATTCTCTCTGCTTACTGAACTTATGTCCTAGTATGCGAGAAAAGATAGCACACAAAATACATATGTAATATATTGTTCATAGATAATGAAAAGGACAATGGAAAAAAATAAAACAGGAAGGGTGAAGAGGAAGTAAGGGGCACAGTTTTAAATAAAATTGTCATGAAAGGCTTTTCTGAGAAGTCGACATTTGAAGAAAGACCAGAAAAAGGTGATGGAATGAGTCATGTGGCTATTTTGGAGAAAGGCATTCCAGGAACAGCAAGTGCACAGGCACTACAGCAGAGCATGTCTGACATTTTCAAGGAACAATGAGAAGGCCAGTGTGGCTGGAGCTGAGGGAAGGAGAGAGAAAAGTTTGGGAGACAAGACCAGAGACCAAATAAAGAGTCCAACCTTCAAACTTCGTGGGTCATTGTAAGAACTTTGGCTTTAATAATGAGGATAGAAACAGAGCCACCAGAGAGATTTAATGAAGAAGAGAAAACATCTGAGTATCAAGAAAAGCAATGATTCTGAGCATGTTTCTGTTGCACTATTCTGAAAATAAAGTTAAATAGCTTCAAAGGGACGCTGAAGCATCCTCACCAAGGCCATCCATGGAACAGGCATCAATAGCCTGTAGGATGGAGCACTGTATATCTGGTTAAGCTGGAAATCATGTTTCTCGAAATCTCCTCCCCTTCAAATTATTATAAGTTGACAATAAGAGCAGCATATGTGAGATTGGGGAGGTGAAAGTGGAGTAGTTGAGTAGCAATTAGTCTCTGAGGGTCATCACAGTCAGATGCTGTGATGGACAGATGCAGAGACACCTGGTGGGTCCTAGCCTGTCCTAACTCTTCACTATGCATCCAGCATCTTTCTGTTATCCAACAGTGGCTAGGCCCACCACAAAGTCCTTCACTGTGGAGCCACAAAGGTAATAACATATCAGAAGCAACAGTTTCCTACAGACATCTCTACAAGCTTTCCTTGGCAGACCCATCTGGTAGCTGGATCTGCTTGGTTTCTTAGACTGCTTTTCTGACAATCCAACTATGATAATAGTTGGGCTTCATTTTCATGTCCCCTTCCACAGTTGTGTAAGATATAATTGTGATAATAAATTCCTTATCCCATGACACTCATTAGTGACTCCCCCTGCTTGGACCTGCCTGAAATAGTGCATTTGCAGAAAAACATCCATTTGCTTCAACATTTGATAAACTTGGAAAATATTGGCAAGCCTGGAAAATTGGAAAACAAACTTACATCCTTTGTAGGACATGTTTGGCTCAGGCCAACAATGTTTTGAGATGTTTTCAGGAAGGCTTTTCTGTAGCAGACGGAATGTGGTTTTATAGCTTGATCCAAGGTTTAAGAATAACATTTAATCCCAACTTCTGCTTCCGAATGCTGTCAATTTGGAAAATGAGAGCAGATGTTGACAAAGATATATTTGCTAGTCTGATGCCTCAGCAAACACTCGCTGAAGGAAAGACAATGTGAGACTAGACTGATTAAATATTCTCTCTTAAATTTATTTTGCCAATCCTTTTAGCAGTATCCTCTAGAGACAACATCTCTAAGATGATGAATACAAAAAGATGTCATTAAAACTCAACATAGTTTCCATCTTTAATACCTGAGCTTCGAACATAAGAAACCTATATTAAAGAGAATATTTCTGGATGTTTCCATTTGAAATGTAAAAAAATGTCTGCTTATTCTCTGGTGATTCCTGACTTCAAGATTTCTCCTTTATAAATGTATTGAGTCCACTCTAGTTGCAGTTCAAAGAGCTAATTACTAGATGTCTGAATAAAATATATGTTGATATCCTTTAAAAAAACAAGTTTCAGGAATTCTCATGACTTTCATTTATGCAGAACTCCCATTTAGTCTGAATTTATATATTTTTTATAATATAGTATTTGGATTTTGTAAAATACAGACTGCCTGTAGAAGAGCAGTGGAAGTCTTCAGCAAACTAAAAATGAAAAAAAAATATGCTACTTAATACTATTGTTTCAAAATCAGCAATGATTTATTGAGCTGATGTATGTTCAACATTCCCTATCACATTGTTTTATTTAATCTTCATGACCATCCTGTGGGCTGCTTTTATATAACATGGAGGCTCCAATGGGTTAAATAATTTGACCACTTCCTCAGAGACAGTAGCTGGCTGATTTACAGTGTGGACCCTGGCATATTGACCACTACTGTTCCTTCCTTCAACCTCTGTCATGTTAGGTATAGAAATAATAATATTGACCCCAATATTTTATTATTTAATCCTTACCAGAGATGTATTAATTCACCTATAACTAACTATATAGTCATTGATATGAGCACTGAAGAATTAACTTCGTGTTAAGTGGTTTTATGTTAAATTTTCTTTTTTTTCCCTAATTTCATCAAGTAGTGGAAAGACCTTAAGCCAGAGAACTCCAGGTTCAAGAACCACCACCTGCAAACTTGGCAAATTTGGACAAATGTCTCTCTGAGTTTCATTGTCTTCATCCACAAATAAAGCAAGATTACTTCGCCTACAGAATTGCGGTAAGGATCAAATGGAGTAAGATATTACATGAGTGTTAGATTCCCTTCCTTTCCTAAAGATCTTAGAAGGTAGCACTACTTTGGATACACTATTGTTTTGGAAAATTTCAGCAAATATTTAATGGTAAAAGGAATCTTTGACAAAATTATCCCATACTAGCCACAATAATATTTTAGAAACATTTAATTTATGATAGAGTTAATTCTACACTAGCAGGGGTTGTAATGCTTTTTAACTCCTGGTTAACCTCCACAGAAATTATGACCAGACCATGAGGGTATGAAGGATGAGGAAAAGGGAGCAGTCATGGAGCTGTTTTGGAGGGAGTCATAATTCCTTAGACCTCTGACAACTGGAACTCTCAATCTGCCAGTGAAAGCTGACATGAGCCCAATAAGGATGGTCTTTTCTATTCAAAGATAGGTCCGTACTATTTCCAATTTAGTTTTAAGAATCAACTTAAAATGTTGTTAACTATACATATATTTCACTTTTGAAAGAAAATATTAGCTTGTCATCAAACAGGATAAACCAAGAGACATCAGTCTTTTTGACTGATATGAATCACATTTAGCTAAATACACCAGTTAGCAATATCTGTCCTTAAGATTGACAGTCTTAAATATAACAGTTTAATAAAGCTCTTACTTTTCTATTTGTTTCTTTCTATTCTATCATTATAGTTCTTGCTAAGTATTAGTGTTACTATATCATGACCACTTAATATTTTACATCGGAAGTTTTACAACATTTCACTGACTTTACTTTTTTATAATAATTTGCGACTATTGGGCTGTCTTGATTTTCTTCACTGTATTTTTTTTTTGCAGTCACTCAAATCTAACTTGCTTTAAATATTCAAATGAGTGAATTAAAAAGGAAGGCTTTCTGTGTTTTGGATTTTATTTTCTCCTGTTTTGCACTATTACTCCATATCAGGCTGCCTGTGGAATAGTTTTTTGTTTTTTGTTTTTTGTTTGTTTGCAGTTGGGGTGCATTTTTGTTTTGTTTTTGTTGTTGTTGCTTGTTGGCTGTTTTGACTGTGTGGTTTTTAGGGGCAACTTTTTCAGGCAAGAGTCTATGACCAGTGCTACTTAGCATCTCCTGAGAATGGACACTGAATTGTAACTGTACCACTCTTATTAGACAATTAATTTTTCAAATTATTTAATAAACTCTCCCTTTCAATGGTTTGACAAACTTGAGTTAAAACTAGTAGTATGGGCTGGGCGCGGTGGCTCATGCCTGTAATCCCAGTACTTTGGGAGGCCAAGCTGGGCAGATCACAAGGTTAGCAGTTCAAGACCAGCCTGACCAACATTGTGAAACCCCATCTCTAATAAAAATGCAAAAAAATCACCTGAGCATGGTGGTGTGTGCCTGTAATCCCAGCTACTCAGGGGGCTGAGGCAGGGGAATTGCTTGAACCAGGGAGGTGGAAGCTGCAGTGAGCCGAGATCACACCAGTGCACTCCAGCCTGGGCAATAGAGTGAGAATCCGTCTCAAAAAAAAAAAAAAAAAAAAAGCTAGTAGTATGAGCCAACATTCTTGGAACACTTACTGTGTGCCAGCTACTGTTTCATGAGCTTGACCTATGTCAACCCCTCCTTACTTAAACTCCATTATGTAGCTACAATTACCCCTATCCTACAGATAAGAGAACATGCACAGAGGTAAGCCAATTGTCCAAAGCCACACAATAAGCAAGTCACCAAGCCAGATATTGGACCCTGGGAATGCGACTTTTTGAGCTTGTACTTCTATTATAAACCAAACAAATTTTAAAATGCATATGATTTTTATAGATTCTGTTTAAATAAATGTTGGTGTAATATCTTTGAAAATGTTTCAAAAAGTTTCAATGTATTTAAAGCAAAGTATTTTAAAATTATGTCTTCAATTAAAAAAAATTCTAAATGTAAGCTGCTGTCTAACACAAGCATGCTTAAATTTACTGAACATGACCTATGTTGATTTGGGGAGGTATCCAGATGTTCAGTATTTTAAGCTGCATGATTTAAAAATAAATAAATAAGAAGAGGGGTATCATCAGCAACATGGTGGAATAGGAGTTTCCCTTCACAAAAATATCCATTTGAACAACCATCCGCACCAGAAAATACCTTACCATGCTCTAAGGAATGCAGGTGAAAGATTACAGCACTTGAGCGAAGCACGAGAATAAGAAAAGATGCACAGCAGATGGTAAGGAGGACAGTTTTATATTACCTGCATCAACCTTCCCCGAAAACCATGCAGCACAACATGGAGAATGATACCTTTAGCATGTGGGGAGAAGAATGGATCGAGCAATGAGTTCATAGTGAACCCCAGTATCAGGCCTTCTCCAGTTAACCCTGGTGCCAGGCTAGGCCCTGCAGACCCAAGCAGTAGGCCTGCCCTAGTTTCAAGCTGGCCTGGGCAGTCCCAGTCTCCAGGCTGGCACATGTGGATTTAGGATCCATGTGTAGGATATCCTCCATGGATTCAGATCCCAGGTCAGTGCCCACAGACCCAGAACTCAAGCTCACTCCCCAGACTCAGGCTCCAGACTCACCTTAGTGTCAAGCTGGCTCCTGCAGACCCAGGTTCTAGGCTGGCACCATGAACCCAGGCTCTAGGCCCACTCCAGTGCAACACCAGACTCAGTGGCTCCAGGCTCTAGGCTGGCTCCTATAGCCCCAGGATCCAGGACCAACCCGGTGCCAGGCCAGCCTCTGTGGCCCTGAGCACCAGGCTGGCATCCACGAATTCAGGCTTGAGGCTGCTACTCATGGATCTTGGACCCAGGTCCACACACATAATCACAGACATCAGGCCCATCCCTCTGTATTCAGGTGCCAGCACTACCGCAGTAGACTGCAGTGCCTGGCTAGTTCCACAGACTCATGATCAAGTCTTTCCCATGGATCAAGGCAGCAGGCCTGGCCCAGGACCAGCCCGGCCCCCACTGACTCAGACTCAAGGCCCAGATAACATCAGTTCAGATGCTATATACTCAGTTTCCAGGTCCATCTCAGTAGACCCTGGTGTCAGGCTGGCATCCACAGACCCACAGACTCACAGGCTCCAGGACCACCCACAATGACCCTAGTTCCAGGCCTACTCCAGTGAACCAAGGCTCCAGGCCCACGTGCTTGCTGACCTTGGCACCAGGCCAGCCACCTAAGGACTCCAGCAGCAAGGTTATCTGCAGATACTTCAGCCTATCTACCTAGACTCTTTGGAAAGGCTGACTGGTGAAGTGCTTTCTTTGCCAAATACAATATGTAAAGAGTAGAGGAGGACCCTAATTCTTCAAATGATAAGATACCAAGGGGAGACCAAAAGGATTGCTTATAATCATGGAATCATGACACCAACAAAGAAAAAAAAATAAAGCATCCATAGCCTATCCTAAAGAAATGAAAATCCATGAACTGTGTGGCAATAATTAAAAATACAAACAGTCTCTGATTTATGATGGTTGACTTATGACTTTTTTACTTTACAATTGATTGAGATATTAAATGCAGTTTTGACTTATGATAGTTTTACCAGGACATAACCCCATCATAAGTTGAGAACCATCTGTAATCATTTTGAAGAAGTTCAATAAGCTACAAGAGAACACCACTACCTGAAATAAAAATCAGGAGAACAATAAAAAACAAAATTAAAAGTTCAACAAAGAGACAGGAACCATATAAAAGAACCAATCAAAAATTCTGGAGCTGAAGAACACAATAGATAAGATTTAAAATTCTTTAAAGAGCTTCAGTAGGAGACTTGATAAAGCAGAAGAAAGAATTAGCAAACTCAAAGACAGGTCATTTGAAATGACCTAATTGGAGAAACAAAAATAAAAAGAAATAAAGAAAAAGAGGGAAGAAAGCCTGCAGGGCTATGGGAGACCATCAAGTGAACCAATTATGTATTATTTAAGTCCAAGAAGAAACAAACTAAAAAAAAGAAATAGGCAGAGGGATTCTTAAAAGAAATAATGACAGAAAACTCTAAATATGGAGAAGGAGATGAATATCTACATTCATAAAATGTAAATTACCCCAAATAGATCAAACATAAAGAGATCGTCACTGAGACATATTACAGTCAAATTCTCAAAAGTCAAAGACAAACAGAGGATTATAAATTAGCAATAGAAAAGCAACCTATAACATACAAGGAAACCACAATAAGACTATCAGAAGATTTCTCAGCAGAAACCTTGATGCCAGAAGATGATGGGATGATATAGTCAGGTACTGGTTAAAAAAAAAAAAAAAAAAAAAAAAATCCAAAACTGTCAACTGAGAATACTGTACCTAGCAAAGGTTTCCTCAAAAATGAGAGATACTTTCCCAAACAAAGACTGAGGGAGTTAATCACTATAGTTGCCTTATAAAAATGCTAAAGTGACTTCTTCAAGTTAAAACAAAAGCAAACTAACAACATGAAAATATTAAACTCACAGTAAATAAGAACATAATCAAATTCAGAATATTCTAATACTGTGATGGTGGTGTGTAGATCATGTTTGACTTTAATATAAAAGTTAAAAGACAAGACTATTAAAATTAATATGGCCATCATCATTTGCTAATAGATATACAATATCTATTGAAGCATCTAAGTATATAAAGCAAAAATTGATATAACTGAAGGGAGAAGTAAACAGCAATACAATAATAGTAGAAGACTTTAATAACCCACTTTCAACAATAAACAGATCATCCAGGTAGAAAAATCAATAAGTAAACATTGGACTTGAACAACACTATAGACCAAATGAACCTAACGGACGTATATAAACCATTCCATTCAACCACAGCGGAATACATGTTCTTCTCTAGCACACATAGAATGTTATCCAGGATCATAGATTAGGCCACAAAACAAGATTTACCAAATTCAAGAAGGTTGAAATCATGTCTAGGATCTTTCATGAACAGAATGGTATGAAATTAGAAAACAATAACAGGAAGAAAATTAGAAAACTTAAAAAAAATGTTGGAATTAAACAACATACCCCTGAATATCCAATAAATCAGAGAAGAAAGCAAAAGAGAAAAATATCTTGAGACAAAAATGAAACACAACATATCAAATCTTATGGGATATAGCAAAACCAGTTCTAAGAGGTAATTTTATAGCAATGAACACCTATATTAAGAAAAGATCTCAAATAAGCAACCTAACTTTACACCTTAAGGAACTAGAAGAAAACACCAAAACAAAATTAAGCCAAACATTAACAGAAAAAAATCAAACTATATTAGAACAGAGATAAAATAAAGACTAGAGAACAATAGATAAGATCAATAAAAATAGGAGTTGTTTTTTTAAGAAGATAAACAACATTGACAAAACTTTAACTAGATTATCTAAGAAAAAAGAGATGACTTAAATAAAATCATAAATGAAAAAGGAAGCATAACCACTGATATCACAGGAATATAAAGAATTACAGGATACTATTTGTATAATAATTCACCAACAAATTGGATAACCGAGAAGAAATGGATAAGTTTCTAGAAAGACACACCTACTAAGACTGAATCATAAAGAAAAAGAAAATTAAAACAGAATAATAACTAATCAGAAGAAATAAAGTTGAAGCAGTAATCACAAATCTCTCATCAAAGAAAAATGCAGACACTAATGGCTTCTCTGGTGAATTCTACCAAACCTCTGAAAAAAATTAATACTAATTCTTCTCAAACTCTTCCAAAAAATTAAAGAGAAAACACTTACAAACTCATTTTACAAGGTCAGCACTATCCTGATACCAAAGCCAGGCAAGGACACTACAAGAAAAAGATTATAAGCCAATATCCCCAATAAACATAGATGCAAAAATCCTCACCAAAATACTAGCAAACTGAATGGAACAGCACATTAAGAGGATCATTCATCATAGGAAAGTGAGATTTACACTTGGGAGGAAAGGACGGCTCAACATACACAAATCAAAAATTGTGATACACTTCATTAACAGAATGAAGGATAAAAATCATATGATCATCTTAATATATGCATAAAAGGCATTTGACACAATTCACAACTCTTTCATAATAAAAACTCAACAAATTAGATAAAGAAAAAATGTATTTCAACATTAAAAAGGCCATATATAACATATCCACAGTTGAAATCATACTCAATGGCGAAATGCTGAAAACTTTTTCTCTAAGACCAGGATGCCCATTCTCACCACTTGGTATTCAACATAGTACTTGAAATCTTAGCTGAAAATATTAGGCAAGGAAAAGAAATAAAAAGCATCTTCATTTGAAGGGAAGAAGTTAAATTGTCTCTACTCGCAGATGGCATTATCTTATATAAAGAACACCCTAAAGACTATACCAACAAATCTGTTAAAACCTAATTTAGTGAAGTTTCAGAATAAAAAAGTCAACAGACAAAAATCAGTTGCATTTCAATACACTAACAACAAACTATCCAGAAAAGAAATTAAGTCAGGTAGCATGATGCCTCCAGCTTTGTTCTTTTTGCTTAGGATTGCCTTGTCTATTTGGGCTTTTTGTTGTTGTTGTTTCTTATGAATTTTAAAAATAGGTTTTTTTTCCTAGTTCTGTGAAGAATGTCAATGGTAGTTTAATAGGAATACTATTGAATTTCTAAATTGCTTTGGGCAGTATGGCCATTTTTACAATATTGTTTCTTCTTATCCATGAGCACAAAATGTTTTTCTATCTGTTTGTGTCACCTCTGATTTCTTTGAGCAGTGTTTTGTGGTTCTCCTTGTAGGGATCTTTAACCTCCCTACTTATCTGTATTCCTAGTATTTTATTCTTTTTGTGGCAATTGTGAATGAGATTACATTCCTGATTTGGCTCTCAGCTTGATTGTTGGTGTATAGGAATGCTAGTGATTTTTGCACATTGATTTTGTATCCCGAGACCTTGCTGAAGTTGCTTATCAGCTTAAGAAGCTTTTGGGCTGAGACTATGGGGTTTTCTAGATATTGGATCATGTCATCTGCAAAGAGGGATAGTTTGAATTCTTCTCTTCCTATTTGGATGTCCTTTACTTCTTTCCCTTGGCTGATTGCCCTAGCCAGGACTTCCAATGCTATGTTGAATAGGATTAGTGAGAGAGGGCATCCTTGTCTTGTGCCAGTTTTCAGGGGGAATACTTCCAGTTTTTGCCCATTCAGTATGATGCTGAATGTGGGTTTGCCATAGATGGCTCTTATTATATTGAAGTATATTCCTTCAATACCTAATTTATCGAGTTTTTTTTTTAACATGAAGGGGTGCTGAATTTTACTGAAAGTCTTTTCTGCATCTATTGAGATAATCATGTGGTTTGTGTCTTCAGTTCTGTTTATGTTATGTATCACATTTATTGATTTAGTTATGTTGAACCAAACTTGCATCCCAGGGATAAAGCCTATTTGATCATGGTGGATAAGCTTTTTGATGTGCTGCTGGATTTGGTTTGCCAGTATTTTGTTGAGGATTTTTGCATCAATGTTCATCAAGGATATTGGCCTGAAGTTTTCTTTTTTGTTGTATTTATGCAAGGTTTTGGTATCACAATGATACTGGGTCATAGAATGAGTTAGGGAGGAGTCCCTCCTCCTCAATTTTTTTGGAATAGTTTCAGCAGGAATATTGCCAGCTCTTCTTCATACATCTGGCAGAATTCATTTGTGAATCCATCTGGCCCTGGCTTTTTTTGGTTAGTAAGCTATTTAATACTGACTCAATTTCAGAGCTTATTATTGGTCTGTTCAGGGATTCGAATTCTTCCTGGCTCAGTCTTAGAGTGTATGTGTGTCCAGGAAATTATCCATTTCTTCTAAATTTTCTAGTTTATGTGCATAGAGGTGTTTATAATATTATCTGGTGGTTGTTTATATTTCTATAGGGTCAGTGGTAATGTCCCCTTTGTTGTTTCTGATCCCCTTTGCGTTTATTTGAATCTTCTCTCTTTTCTTCTTTATTAGTCTAACAAGCAGCTTATTTTTTTTTTTTTCAAAAAAAACCCAGCTCCTGGATTTGTTGATCTTTTGAATGGTGTGTGTGTGTGTGTGTGTGTGTGTGTGTGTGTGTGTGTGTGTGTCTCAATCTCCTTCAGTTCAGCTCTGATTTTGGTTATTTCTTGTGGTCTACTAGCTTGGGATTTGTTTGCTCTTAGTTGTCTAGTTCTTTCAGTTGTGATGTTAGGTTGTTAACTTGAGAGCTTTCTAACTTTTTGATATGGGAATTTAATCTTATAAATTTCCCTCTTAATACTGCCTTAGCTGTGTCCCAGAGATTCTGGTATGTTGTATCTTTGTTCTTACTAGTTTTGAACAACTTTTTGATTCTGCCTTAATTTTATTATTTACCCAATGTGGTACATATACACCATGGAATACTATGCAGCCATAAAAAGGAATGAGATCACGTACGTTGCAAGGACATAGGTGGAGCTGGAGGCCATTATCCTTAGCAAACTAGCACAGGGACAGAAAACTAAATACCATATGTTCTCACTTAGAAGTGGGAGCTAAATTATGGGAACACATGGACACCTAGAGGGGAACAACACACACTGGGACCTATTGGAGGGTGTGGTGTAGGAGGAGGGAGGGGATCAGCAAAAATTACTAATGTGTACTAGGCTTAATACCTGGGTGATGAAATAATTTGTACAATAAACCCCGATGAAACAAGTTTACCTATATAGCAAACCTGCACATGTACCCCTCAACTTAAAATAAAAGTTAAAAAAAAAGATTAAGAAATCAATTCATTTTATAATAACATAAACAAAATTTAGAAATAAATTTAACCAAAGAGGTAAAAAGATCTATATACTGAAAACTATAAAACACAGATAAATGGAAAGATATCCCACATTCATGGATTGGAAAGTTAATATTGTTAAAATGTCCATTCTACTCAAAGCTATCTACAGATTCAATGTAATAATTATCTAAAAAAAAATCAAGTTCATAGAAGTAGAGAGTAGAATAGTGGTTGCCAGGGAACAGGGATTGGGAGGAATGGAGTGATGTTGGTCAAATGGTAGAAAGTTTCAGTTATTCAGGAGAGAAAAGCTCTGGAGATCTATTTTTTATTTTCTGTTTATTTTTTAACTTAGAGTTCATTTTGCCTTACATGTAAATATAATGTACAGGATGGAACTGTTGTTAACAGTGTTGTGTTGTGTACTTGAAATTTGCTAAGAGAATAGATCCTAAATGTTCTCACCACAAAAAAAGGTAACTATGTGAGGTAGTAGGTATGTTAATTGATTGTGGTGATTACTTCACAATGTATACATGTATCAATACATCACATCTCACAACTTAAATATATACAATATTTACTTGTCAATTATTCCTCAGGAAAGCTGAAAAAAATAAATAAAATTTACCTGTTTCTCATTTAGAAATTTGCAAGAATATTTTCAGAACTTAAAAAAAATAGTCTGCATACTGGCTAGAACTTGATAGTAAAGTCAAAACATGAAAGGAAAACAAAGAAGGAAGGAAGGAAGGGCAGGAGGGAGAGAAGGAAGGAAGGAAGGAAGAGGAAAAGGAAAAGGAAAGGGAAAGAGGGAGTTGATCATTTACATGCCAGGAACTAACTCAGATGTATCGTATACCTGATAACTGAGCATGCAATCTACTTCTTGTTCTTGCCTATGATCTATAGGTGTGCTGCAGATGGCATCAACGCTTTTCTCCTAAAAAGAACTCAACTCAGTCCTGGGCTAGAAAAAGATGCTAAAACATTGGAGAAACTATTAGAGCTGTGGCTTCTGTATATTCACTTAGTACTTATACATTAACTACCAGAAAAACTTCTGCAAATATTTAACAATCACTGTCCTTTTAATGTTTACTCTTTCTCTTTTTCTCTTATACATGTTCTTAAAGACACTTATACTCTAAAACCTATTCCTATTGCTCATATAGTAAAAGAAAGTCTCAGACAAGTTTTACTTGATTGAATTACCTGAAGTTGCTCTATTAATTAGGCTTACTAAGCCAATTTTTATTGTATAATTTATGCATTCCCATTAGTAATATACGACAATGCCTTCCAAAAAAGCCTAACTTCAAACTATAACATAGTTTAAGACTCAGAAGAATTTGACATGGAAAAATGACCTTATTAATATGCATAGAAACACATCAATTATATTTCTTGATATCCTTCAATTTTAATAGTTTTAAAAGTTCTGATTCATGACCTTGAGTAAAATACATATCAGAGCTAATGAAATTATACTACATTTTTTTAATTTCAAGCTATTCATTGCAGTCTTAACTATTTGACCAGTTGGTCAGTAGTTAAGAATATGCTTTAGTTTTTAATATCTTTAAAATGAATAAGTATCCACAAAATCTATATTTTTAGGTATCTCATTTCATAGATACAAGCAGACTCATTAATTAATTGTATATTGAGGTTTGCCTTGTGTATTGTCAATGATTTAATGTTCTATGATTCAGTAATTAGGCAATGCAATTGCTATTAAAATCTTTTTTATCATTACCAAATTCAGCGGATAAATTGGAATAAAATTGTTGAAGACTTTATACTTTCAGGGAGTGTTATGGTGAAAGGGGAGAGAAAATGGTATGGAAGGAAGGGTCAGCAACAAATGAGGAATCTAGGCTATAATGGTGTTCAAATTTTTTTTTCCATTTCAGGGACACCCTCTTTTTAAAGGACATTCAATTCAAATGTATCTTCTCTGGTTAAAGTATGGTGAAGTCTGTCCTGTGGGCACTCCCCATTGACTCCTAGCAGCTCTTGAGCCCCATCTTCAGGATCCGTACTTTGATAGTCACTGACAATTAGCTTTGAAAATCTATAGTTCCAATCCTGTGAAATGAGAAGAATGTTGAAGCTATAAAGGAGGTCTTTGCCTGCATTCAGATTCTGACACCAAAGACTCCTCTGATTATACTGAAGTATGTAAGAAAACCTTCTCTTGAAATCAAGGACCATTTCTCTTCATCTTATCTTGAGCTACATACCAAATATGAGTACACATAGTTAGGATTCAATAAATAATTTAAGATACTTGTGAACACCTTGCTCTGACTGGTTCTATTTTTACATTCAGAGAGGAAAGCATCCTGTATTCTCCCTATAAACAAATCTAGGAGAATAGGGTCATGGACATCCTATGTACACAGAATTACAGTCCGATGTTGGGTATCTTACTCCTGTGAAGTGAAGGGAAATAGAAAAGTAAACAAAGAAGACCACAGTATAAGATGTCACCTTAAAATATAAACCTGAAGACAAGAAAAACCAGGCTCAAGGAACAAATGAGCAGGAAAGTTGAAATTCTAGAATACATTTGTTTTATACCAATATTATTTGCATCTTGTTTAAATGAAAAGTTGTTTACATACACAATGGATGACTACAAAGAAACAGCATGGAAACTGGAATCAGAGGCCTGTGTCTGAATTTCATGTCTACCACTGAACAACTGCATGACACTGGGAAATTTACTTAGTTTCTATAGACCTCATTTTTCTTATCTGTAAAATGGCTTCCACAATCTGAAACTCAAAGGTCTCTTGACAAGATTGAATGTGATAATGCATGTAAGGGATCAGGACGAAACCCAGCACAAAAAAAGACTGCAAGCCACACTGTTTACAAACACCGTTTCCAAGTAAAAAAAAAACCTGCTCATTGAAACTGAAGGCACCAGTGTCTGTTGGGTTCAGCACGTAGTGAGACGCTCAACTACCTGCCTCAGGTAAGCTTAGTGTGCTTACGTACTTCACTAACGATAGCTAGTTTAGAGGTTCTTTCCTCGTAATTCAGGTGATATAATTGCTCTATGGTTATGCCCTACCCACCTTGTCTTAAACAGTGCAAAATATGTGATATCATTACACATTTCTTATCAGGAAAATATTTCAAAGGGCAGGCACTCTCTGTGTTTCCTTAGTAACAGCAGCTATGTGGAGCATCTTCTGTATTATGTTTAACATGGTGCAAATATGAACAAGTAATCACAACTCCTGTGCACCAGCAACTAGAGAAATGTAGCTACAATAAAATAGGTGGCATTCATATTTGTTTGTTGGCCATACCTGGGACTTTTTAAGAACCTGTTTTTGGTTAATCTTGTTTTTTTTTTTAAATTCTAAACCCTTTTTTGTGTAATGTTGCAGCAGAAGCGAGGGTCTCAGAAAACATCTCCTGTTCTGATCTGGCACAGTTCCAATTATATGGATAACCTTCCATTTGTAAAGCTCTGAAATAAGTGTCACAAGGATACGTAGATTTAAGATGCAGGTCCATCTAGAAGAAGTACAATCTGGTTGAAGGATGGTGGGGCAATACAACAAGTACATAACTCACTTTGTTGCAAGGCATAATTGGTAAATCCTCATCTACTGGGACTACAGAAGTTTGACAACCCCTGTCTCTCGTGTCTTATGGCCACCAATGACTGCAGTCTTTCATTGTGAATTTGGGTTTCGTCTCAGAAATCTTCTCAACATGATGCTCTGTCAAGCCAACAATGTTTGAGCAGTCAGCCATTTGTTTAATATCTCTGGATTATTGCATTGGTAATTCTTGCTGAAAACACTCAAGTCACCTGGGAGAACTGATCTGTTTATTAATAGCTTTTAGGATTTCAACATTTCATATTTAAACAGAGAAATCTAACATTACTTGACAGAAAACAGGAGTGGTCATAGGAATGAAAAATTCACATATCTTTGGGAACCAAGTTATTATTATCAATGAGTGTCATGGACTGGATAAGAAAACAAGGACTGGTTGGACCAGAATTATAGCAGGATACAGACACAAAGGCATTTAAATTTTAAAATTCTAAGAATGAAATATAACTATAGTAAATACATCTTTGGACTACTTTTGGCTTATGGATCATGGTTTGCAAACCCTTGATCTGTGACATAGATGTTAAAGGTGGGGTAATGAGGTTGTGTGTGCAGATCTCCAAACACCAGAGCATCATGGGCAGCACTAACCTGCATGGTGCCCTTAGGAGGGCTGTAAGCCAGAAGCAAGTTCTCCATTCTGCCCTAGTCAGGCGTGACTATACCAAGGCTTATAACTGGAGATACAAGCCAAGCCATATACCTGGCAATTCAGCAAAGTTCAGAGAAATATGGCATGAATTCATACAAATTAATCAAGTGCATAACATTAAGAAACTGCAATTTTGAGTTGTGCGTATGCTTATAGTGGCCCATTTCTAAATTAAAAGGAAGACTATTTCTGTTTTTCTCTTTCCACACTTGATAAAATTAAGAAAAATGTGGACAATGACAAGAATAGTAATAGAAGTTGTAACATGACTTCAAGCCATCCTTAAGTAAATATACATTTATCTGCTTACAGTGAATGAAAAACAAAGGTAAAAATCTATCTCCTTCTGTGTCCCATGTAAACTATACATAGTTATAGATCACTTATACCACTTTCCTGTTTTCCTTAGTAGAAGCATCCTTCCTAGAAGCAGAGTATTTTAAGAAAACGAAAGTAGTTTGCCCTAAGGCTTTTTAAAATTTACATTTTATTCCTTGTGAATTGGCCGTCCCAGAGAATTTCTGAAAGAATTACAGAGCTAATACTTTTGAAAAAAATTCATATAAGAAAATATTTGCCACATCTTTGACCTACATTACAACTGGTATTAATATGGTAGGATTCTTAGGAGATACACATGAATTTTAGAAAATTATACACAGATATTTCAAAATCTTCAATACATTTTCTACATATTAGGTGACAGAATCTTGAACAAACTTCTAGGATTCATTTTCTAAGAGCTTTGTTTTCCTAATCCAAGAATATTAGTTACACACTCAGTCCAAATGCATTATTGGTGAAATTTTGGCTCAAATCAATATAGTCAGCAATATTTATTGAACACCTCATGTTTGTGTTTGATTCTGTCACCTTCTAAAAAGAAGCAGTATTCATAAATCCACCTTTCAAAATGTTTTTTAAAATATTGCCTTAAAACTGTATCTTAAAAAGATTGAGTTATCATGAAATGCCCCTTAGACTGTTCTGATAGAGACCTTTAACAATTTTTACACTAATTTTTTTCCTTATCAAGTGCGTAGTGCAAACTTGGCACAACACTATGAATGAAAAGCGACCCCCACCTATAAAGAGTTCCCAATTCAATAAGGGAGATAGACAATAAAAAGCAATTACAAATCTGCTGCAAAAGACCAGACATCCAGTGTCATCTCACATACTGTACATTTTGGATTGGCTAATTACTGTGCAACACTTCTAGACAAACTCTAAATGGCCATTTATGATTAATTCTAGTATATTCTTGGTGAGCAGTGTTTGAATAGGGTCAGTTTTGTGTCTATTACCAAAAACCCACTGTGGGAAGCCCCACTTGAGAAATATATTTTATTTTTTTAAGTAGTAGGCAAAGCTTTGCTTCCCTTGAGAAACAAGATGTTTTCTCCTTTTTAACTGGCCCTTTCTACATTTTCCTTAATCTGTGAAAAAATTCAATGCCAAATTCAATGCTCAAATATAGCAATGATGGGGTCTGAATGGTCCCTATATTGTGTTTAATTTTTTCTCCCTAAATTTTCTATTTAATTTAAATTTCTTCTTTAAATTTTTGCAAAAATATTTTACTATCGAACTGCATACATCTTTGTTAAAACAGTAATATATTCCTTGTGGAACCACATGAAGCATAGGTAATAATCAAGCAATATTTTTTAAAGATAAGGTAAATATTAATATATCAATCTTTACAACTCAGATCTTTAATATTTAGAATACTGTTTCATGATCATTATAAATATTTATAAGTAATCCTCATTTTCTCAAATTGTCCTGTTCAAAAAACAATATTCATAAAATTAGAATTTATCTAAAATCAGATTTAACAGTACATATATGATCAAGCTCCCCTCCACACTTTTCAAATTGTAGAACATTTTGAGGCTAAAAGAATACCAAGGGCAAAATTCCAATCAATTTGCAAATCATAGCAAAACACAGGTGCAACTGGAACAGACTGCTGTCATGCGAAAGGACATTTTCATTTTTGGTAAAACAATTTGCGTTCCTGGTTCGCATTTCAAAGCCTTAGAAAGTCCAGGGCATCATGAATTATACACTTGTCTTTTCTGTATTTCTGTATTGCTGTCTTACCAGTGCTTATGGAAGTGTAAGAAAGGGACTTTGCATTATAAAGTACTTTGTTTTACACACATACACACACACACACACACACACACAGAGCTACTCAGAATTGGGTGCACCAATTCAAAGCTGTTGAATACAAGAAAATATAAATATATACATTTTATCTTTTATAAGATAAAAGATTTCTTATCAACCTTCCACCACAACAAACAATGAGTATTCCAGGGGCAGATCATAGGGCATCCACTGAGCCTTCCAAAAAAGGAAGAAGGACTTATGGTGAAGGAACTTAAACCCGGATAGAAAAATAACCAGATGTAGCATTGTAGAAAATGAATGTAAGTGAGAATTGTTATTGCTGCCGTGATTTCAGCACCTTAAATATTTAAGTGTAAATATTTAAATAGAGACGGGAAATATTTATGTTAAAAAAGAAAGCTTTTCTTTTTCATATTTTAAATCCCCACTAATACCTGGGGATTTGCCAGGTCTTTTTACTGAAAGTCTTGTACAACGGCAGTATTTTTACATTTTTATTGAGTATACTATTATCACCTATGGTAATTTTTCTGTTTTTTTCATCCACCATCTCCAACTTAAAAGCTTTGATTAAAACAGTAACGTCACAATACCTCAAGCTCTAATTCCAAATGTTTCATGAAGGGTCCTTTGAAGTGTTTAGCCCACTCTCATGGTAAAGAATATTGTTTCCTTATTACCCACTCATATGATGCATGATTACTAAGTTTTTAAAAAGGCATTATTCAGGCATGTGTACAAGAATATCACATGTTAAAACTAATGAAAATAAAAACTTGTATGGCTTTTATTATTCCTTGTGCTTTGAATGCTAAAACACAATGATCATCAATGTCGACCATGAATGGCAAATGCCAATGTGCTAGGCCTTTGACACCCTTATGATGTTGCAGAACTCCCACCTTTAGAGCACTAAAAGTAATCCTGTGTTCTTGTAGTCTTATCCTATTTGTTTCATAGTTTTTTTATTGGGTGTCAAGGGGTAGTATTTAGAAAAACAGACTTTAAGGTGATGGTAGTTATCAGAAATCTCTTGCTGGCTTTTCTCTCCTTGTAAGAAAGGATAAATGCTACATACAAATATTGACATTTATTTCACATTTTACATAAAATTCATGTTTTTTAAAGCCATGTTTATATTTATGGAAAGGTAAACACAAGGGTTCTCTATTTTTAAAAGAAGAAAAAATTATTTGATGTATTCCGAACTAATGCGAAGAGGGTAGAACTACTTAGAAAACAAGTGCATATTTGATAAAGTAAAATAATGCTATTCTAAAAAATAAATAATAATGGAACAAAGATATTAGTGGGGATTTAAAGTATGAAAAAGACAAGCTTTTTCAAGCATAAATATTTCCCTCTTAACCTAAATATTTACACTTAAATATTTAGGGTGCTGAAATTAACTGCAGGAATAGCAATTCTCAACAATTGTCTATTTTTAATTTACACAAGCAAAAGTTGGAATAAAAAAATTAGTAAGATTCTGAAGTAATTTCTTTTTTCTCAAATTCCTTTTTACCATTTTTGGAAGTAATTTCTTGAAGCACCATTTTTTTTCCTTACTAAGAATGTCATATCTAAAATAATTCAGCACCACAAAAATGTTACATAATCATTCTGATGTTCTCAAAAGGCAACAGAATCATTTTTCATTACAAATAGATGAAGGATAGTGGGATACATTTAAGCTAATATCACATTCAGCAACTCTTCTGTGCCATTATGAAAAGTAAAATCATTGTGGCGGATTAGACTTTCTTGTATCACAATAAAACAGAAGTTATTTGAGAATGCTAAGCAATAAACTCCATTAAGAACTCAATTAATAATAATGAAACCCTACACAAGGAAAATCCCCATCTAGAGTCCTGCCTGAATACTAATGATTTAATGCAAGAAGTTGTTGGAAGAGGGAGCCATGCTTGTGCTTCAATGAGTTCCTTACAGCCTCAGTACATCATTATGGCCCTGGAGTTTGTTATTAACTAAATACCTGTTCACTTACTAAAATCTCAGTCTATTAGAACAAATCTTATCCATCAGTTAACAAGAATATGATATATTCCAATATAGTGGTTCACAAACTTTAGTGTGCATCAGAATCACCTAGGAATCTTAAGCCACAGATTCCTGGACCTTGTCCCCAGAGTTTCAGATTCAGTAGGTCTTGTGTGAGGTTGGAAAATTTGCATTTGTAGTAAGTTTAGTAGGTGTTGCAGATGGTGTTGGTTCTGGAACTAGTTTGAGAACATCCCTGTTATTTTAATAACTCTAGTTTCTTTTCAAAGAAAAGACTGATAATTTCCCAATATTATCAAATATGATCAAAGTTTCCAATACTCAAATGGGCTGGGAAAAACCTAAGCTATTAATCAAAGTGGTTAGTAGTACTCTAGCTGATGAACAGTTTTAAATACTAGTTGTTAGGATTAAACTCCACATTAGCTTCTGAATTAGAATCTTTAAGAGCAGACGACTTTTGTTAAACTTCTGCCAAAAGCTACCTTCTCTCTCGGGTCATATTCTAAGTCTGACTTGACTTACATGAGGCCTGCAATTAATTCTCAGTGGGGTATTTCAACTCAGAATTGAGTACATTTACTCCAGCAATATCTCTATACCAGTGTTATCCAATAAAAATGGAATGTATGCTGTAAGTACAATTTTAATTTTCTGGTAGCTATAGCAAAAATGTAAAAATAAACAAAATAAATTATGACAATATATTTTATCTAATCCAATAAACCCACAAGAATAACATTGCAACATGTAACAATATACAGTAATTATTAATGGGATATATTACATTTTTGTACTAAATCTTTAAAATGCAATGTCCATTTGATACATAAAGAACATCTCAATTCAGAAGCCAAATTTTTAGTGGTTCAAATTAAGATGTCTAAGAAAAATAATAATTTTTAACACAAACATATTTTATGCTTCAGATTTTTTATTTAATTTTAATTTAGATAATAGAAAATTTAAAAATTCAGCTTCTCAGTGATACTAATCGGATATTCATTTCAAGTGTCTCATAGCTACATATGGGTAGGAGGCCATCCCAAAAGGCAGCCCAACTCTATACATTTAACCATAGCATTAATCCATTTCTTTTGTCCGGAGGTTTCCCCAAGATTTCTATTTTGAGAACAAAATGCTATCCTAGCTCTGCTAAAAATAATTGTTACAATTCAATCACCAGTGAGATCGCCAATTTATTCACAGACAAAATTATTTACTCTAAACTTCTCGATAGACTCCTTCAGAAGGGGAATATTTTAATTATTTAAAATGTATTCCAATTTAGTTCAATTTCCATAAGTGAGGAATTAACTTTGATTAAACTAGCAATAGACAAAAGAAAAAGTATTAGTTTGAAAGTAATTCTGGATTAGCTGCCAATGATAAACTAATCATGTCTACAATAAACTTGTAGGCATTTTTGTTGATCTATTAAATACTTGTGTGAAATATTTTAATGTATTATAACATTGGATTTAACTCTCCAGTCACAGAACTTTATCATCCCTATTTTACAGATGAGGAAAGTGACACTTAGAGTGTATAATCTCCCCAAGGTAACACAGCCCCTAAATGATTCATTTTTGCCTGTGGAGTAGCCTAAATGCTTTTTACTGTATCATGAGATAATATAGAACTTTACTTTGTAAAAGTCATTATTCATAGGCTAATGATCTGGCAGTCAAAATTATTGGCACATATTTCATTCTAATGAAAGAATCACCCCTGGAATCTGAGTGACTGTAGCAAACAGTTTTTACTTTGGTATATAATTCGCAGTACAATATTTAGCATAAAAAAGGAACAGGAACATTTATTGAAACTTGGAGTTTGGCTGAAACTTCACTTCAGATGATCAGTGCCCCCTTTTCTTGTGTTTGCATTTTTTACTTACAGGATCTGTGGACAATGACACATTCTGTACACTATTCCTGTTCATTATGACATGCCTGAGTGTTTCCAATTGTCTAAAAAAAAAATCAAGAAATGTACTCCAAAGTATTTTAAAATCATATTAACTTAATTTCACTTTTGAAAGTAAAAGTATATCTGACACCATTAGTAAAATTAGAATAATGTTATTTCTATGAACTTGAGAATAGGTAGTTGATGAGCAAAAACATTAAGTATATCTAAATTCACAAATATGAAATTTTCTAATTCACTGTCTCAAGGAACTATACAGATGTATAAAATCATTCTAAGCATTCTCCCTAAGAACAGAAACAAGACAAGGATGCCCACTTTCACCACTTCTATTCAACATAGTACTGGAAGTCCTAGAGAGCAGTCAGGCAAGAGAAATTAAGGGCATCCAAATAAGAAGAGAAGTCGTCAAACTATCACTGTTTGCTGATGATATACCTAGAAAACCCTACAAACGCCTCCAAAAGACTTCTAGATTTGATAAATGAATTTCAGTAAAGTCTCAGGTTAAAAAAATCAATATACACAAATCAACAGCACTGCTATATACCAACAATGACCAAGCTGAGAATCAAATGAAGAACTTAATCTCTTTTACGATAGCTGCAACAAAACAAAACAAAATAAACAAACAAAAAACAACCTAGGAATGTATTTAACCAAAGAGATGAAAGATCTGTACAAGTAGAACTACAAAGCACTGCTGAAAGAATTCATAGATGACACAAACAAATGGAAACACAACCCATGCTCATGGATTGGAAGAATCAATATTGTGAAAATGGCCATACTGCCCAAAACCATCCACAGAGTCAATGCAATTCCCATCAAAATACAAACATCATTTTTCATAGATTTAGAAGAAAAGCCTTAAAATTCATATGGAACCAAAAAAAAAAAAGAGACAAATAGCCAAAATAATCCTAAGCAAAAAGAACACATCTGGAAGCACCTCATTACTGGACTTCAAGTTATACTACAAGGCCGTATTTACCAAAATAACATCTTAATGATATAGACACATAAACCAATGGAACAGAATAGAGAACCCAGAAATAAAGCCAAATTCTTATAACCAACTTATCTTCGACAAACATAAGTTGGGGAAAGGACATCCTATTTAATAAATGGTGCTGGGAAAACTGGCTAGCTACACGAAGAAGAATGAAACTGGATCCCTATCTCTCACCCTAAACAAAAATCAACTCAAGGTTGATCAAAGACTTAAATCTAAGTCTTGAAACTAAAAAATTATAGAGGACAACCCTGGAAAAACTCTCCTGGACACTGACCTAGGCAAAGAAATCATGACTAAAGCCCCAAAAGCAAATGCAACAAAAATAAAAATAAATAAATGGTACCTAATTAAACTAAAAAGTTCCTGCACAGCAAAAGAAATAATTATCAGAGTAAACAGACAACCCAAGAATGGGAGAAAATATTTGCAAACTATGCATCTGACAAAGGACTAGTATCCAGAATCTATAAGGAACTCAAAAAAAATCAGCAAGAAAAAAATATAATCCCATCAAAAAGTGAGCAAAGGACATGAATAGACATTTCTCAAAAGAGGATATACAGATGGCCAACAAACATATGAAAAAATGCTCAATATCACTTATCATCAGGGAAATGCAAATTAAAACCACAATGAGATACCACCTTCCTGCTACAAGAATGGCCATTATTAAGAAGTCAAAAAACAATAGATGTTGGTGTAGATATGGTAAAAGGAGAATGCTTATACATTGCTGGTGGGAATATAAATTAGGATAACCTCTATGGAAAACAGTATGGAGATTCCTCAAAGATCTAAAAGTAGATTTACCATTCAATCCAGCAATTCCACTACTGGATATCTATCCAAATGAAAATAAGAAATTATAAGAAAAAGACATATACATGTATGTTTGTTGCAGCACAATTCAAAATTGCAAAGATATGGAACCAAGTTCAGTGCCCATTCACCAATGAGTGGAAAAAGAAAATGTGGTATATATACAGCACAGAATACTACTCAGACATAAAAAAGGAATGAAATAATGTCTTTTACGGCAACTTGGATGGAGCTGGAGGCCATTACTCTACGTGAAGTAACTCAGGAATGGAAAACCAAATACCGTATGTTCTCACTTATAAGTGGGAGTTAAGTTATGAGTACACAAAGACATACAGAGTGATATAATGGACTTTGGAGACTAAGGAGGGGGCACGGTGGGAGGGAGATGTGGGGTAAAAAACTATATATTGGATACAGTATGCACTACTTGGGTAATAGGTGCACTAAAATCTCAGATTCACCACTATGTAATTCATCCATGTAACTGAAAACCACTTGTACCTCAAAAGCTATCGAAATTTTAAAAATTGAAAAATAAAATAAAATAAATTTTAAGCTTAGCTTAGCTAACTCAATTTTGGGAATAACAGCTTTTCTCTCCATACGTCACCTTCAAAGAGGAGCTTTTGGATGAAGATAATAAAATACTATTTATAAATTACAATTTATTGAGTTTTTACTATGTGCTCTGTTCTGTTATGCCAGAAAATAGTAAATGCCTTTGAATGATAACTAACACACACTATTACTATAATTCATAGATTTCCTTATCTCCATAATTTCTGGGTAGAGAGCAGGCAGTTACCAATAGCTGTCATTACAGTTAAAAAAACAGAAAATGATTTGGCCTTCTAGCCCTCAAATTCTGCTACTCAGTGTTACAATTTACATTGTGCTTTAGGGTATTCTCTTAAATTCAGCAACAGAAGGAATATTAGTAGTCTCAGACAATAAAAATTGTTCTAATCTGGCAATGATAACTCAGTATTACATCAGGCATCCACACCACTAGCAATACTGGAAATTTAAATGGAATTTGTGGTTTCGGTAAATCTGAAGTTGTGGAATTAAGGAGTAGTGATTTTTTGTTTTTGTTTTTGTTTTTTTATTAGGTCAAATGGAATTTTTTTTTAAAAAAAGATAATTTGTAACTAGATTAACTCAAAGTATAACAGAAACTAGCTGGTTTGACCATTATATAGATTACTACATAATCTATGCATTTAAACAGTTATGTTGGAAATCATTAAAATAAGGAAATCCAACAATAGAAATAGAAACTATAGTATAGAAATAGAAAGTAGAGTAATAAAAATACTACTGAAATAGAAAATAAGAAATTATAATATCAAAATGCAATCGATGACCACTAGATACTCTTTTGCAAAAAACAAAAACAAACAAAAAACAAGGCTAGGTGTGGTGGCTCAAGCCTATAATCCCAGCACTTTGGGAGGCCAAGGCGGGTGGATCACTTGAGATCAGGAGTTCAAGACCAGCCTGGCCAACATGGTGAAAACCCATCTCCACTAAAAATACAAAAAAAAAAAAAAAAAAAAAAAAAAACAAATTAGCCAGGTGTGGTGCTGTGCAACTGTAGTCCCAGCTACTGGAGAGGCTGAGGTACGAGAATCACTTGAACTCAGGAGGCGGAGGTTGCAATGAGCCGATATGGTGCCACTGCCCTCCAGCCTAGGCAATAGAGCAAGACTCTGTCTCAAAAAACAAGAAAACAACCCAACAAGACAAAACTCTAAAAATATTTACCTCTAGGGCTTAATTTCAATAGGAAGTAGAGATTCTGATACAAGTTTGTGGCTTTTTTGTATTTGAAAAACAGTCTAACATCCCTCTGCACGCTGAAAAATAATGACATGAAGTGGAAAAGTGATTTTTCAATAGTTTATAAACCATGAGCCTTGAAACTACATACTATTTATAATCTTTTCATCCATTTTTTGTTTTGTTTTGTTTTGTTTTTTTGAGACGGAGTCTTGCTCTGTCGCCCAGACTGGAGTGCAGTGGCGCAATCTCGGCTCACTGCAACCTCCGCCTCCCAGGTTCAAGCGATTCTCCTGCCTCAGCCTCCCAAGCAGCTGGGACTACAGGCATGCGCCACCACACCCAGCTAATTTTTGTATTTTTAGTAGAGACGGGTGTTTCACTATATTGGCCAGGCTGGTCTCGAACTCCTGACCTCATGATCCACCCACCTCGGCCTCCCAAAGTGCTGGGATTACAGGCGTGAGCCACCGCTCCCAGCCATCTTTTCATCCATTTATCTGTTCTTTTTTTCTGCAAATATTCCTTGAATGCCTGGTACAGGGATTGGAGCCCCTATGGATACCAAAATCCATGGATGCTCAAGTCTGATATATAAAATGGCATGATATTTGCATATAACCTACACACATCTCCTGTATTCTTTAAGTCATGCCTAGATTACTTATGAAACCTAATGCAATGTAATGCTATGTAAATAGTTGTTACACTGTATTTTTCAATTTGTATTAATTTTTATTGTTTTTAAAACATATTTTTGATCCATAGTTAGTTGACTCTGTGGAGGCAGAACCAGGGGATAGGAAGGCCAACCGTTCCATAAATGCCAGACACTGCACAAGGCTCTGGATCTATGGGTACAGTCTTTACCCCACAAAATTTTTAGTATGAAGGAAATTCACCAGGAGTTATCACAAAGGAGTTCATCTCTGTGGAGCAGGACTGAGCTTCAAAGGGACAGAAGAAAGCGTTACTTTTGACTACATACTATATAGTCTGTTCAAATTTTGTTTTTACTAAATTTGTATTAACTTTTAAGTGATTTTTAAATTTAAAAACTGTCAATTCACATGTTAAGACTAGGTAAAGATGAAATTCAACAATGGAGTACAAACTTTAAGGGAGTTTGAAAATATGAATCACCATCTTGATACTCTATTTGTTCAGTTTACTTCCATTTTGGAATGCACCATACACACACATGCATATGCAACCTGTGTGTGCATATATATATTAAAGATATATATACATATAATAAAAGAATACTAATTATATTTTTCATAAAGAAATTTTGGAATTAGTTTTCAGTCTCTAAATACAAGAAGCTACACAATAGAAAACAAAAGGGAGAAGGGTTCCAGGTGCAAAACAGTCAGCTGCTGCTGAATTTTGGATGGGATAAGTAATCATGTTAGCACTAACTTGTACAGTCCAGTGTTTCTCTGCAAGCTTCAGGGTTTGGAGGGTGAAGACTGTTCCATACCCATTTGTGATTAGACAGTATCCACTGATAGACTTTTCTAACCTATTAAAAATTGAATTTTACAGACAGAAATCTGAGTCACAATTTAGATGGAGTCATTTTCAAGATTCTTCAACTGAGAGTTGGTTTGACTTAAGATAATTATTTTCATTGACAACATAACATTAAATATATACTGTGATATAGAATTAAGACATTATTAAACCCTGTATTGTAGAAGACAGAAAGTTGAAGACAAAAATTTACCCAGCAACTGTCCCCACACTTTTCTTGAGGGAATCTGAATAAAAACATTAAAATTGTATATCAGTTTAAGTCATAGGTCTGTTAACATTCTTCAGCTTCTTGTTTCTTTTGATGTGAATTTATGAAGAATTAGATTATTCAGAAGATGCCATTTTTTAACTTGCAACACTAATAAATATCAGAATGACATTTTAGAAATTATTGTTCTGCCTCTTCCTCCTAGAGTAATATCCAAGCTCTATTGATATGTAACCTAACCTCACTGAAGGTAAAGCTTTATTCAGTACTTTTGATTCCTGTAATAACTATCATTGTGCATTTTAGTAAAAAATAAATGTCAGACTTGAAATATCAGAAATACATTTTGCTAGAAATATATTTGGGGAGAGTAAGACCATTGGATCTTGCAAGAATTAAAGTTTTAAAAAATATTTTTCTTTTAGGACAAGGATAACACAAGTATAACTTTTTCATCTCATGTAAACATTTCTAGATATTCTAAAGGTAGTAAATATATAAGCAAGAGATAATTTTCAAATTTTCCGTATTACTGATAGAAGCAGAAGTACTCTGACACTAGAATAACATTAACTCATTGATTTGTAAAAGTTTTTATAATTTTAGTTGCTATCGATTTAAAGATTACAGAATTCTTTTGTAATCATATGTTCTCACCTATTCTTTTTTTTTTTTTTTTTTTTTTTTGAGACGGAGTCTCGCTCTGTCGCCCAGGCTGGAGTGCAGTGGCGCAATCTCAGCTCACTGCAAGCTCCGCCTCCCGGGTTCACGCCATTCTCCTGCCTCAGCCTCCCGAGTAGCTGGGACTACAGGCGCCCGCCACCACGCCCAGCTAATTTTTTGTATTTTTAGTAGAGACAGGGTTTCACCATGTTAGCCAGGATGGTCTGGATCTCCTGACCTCGTGATCCGCCCGCCTCGGCCTCCCAAAGTGCTGGGATTACAGGCGTGAGCCACCGCGCCCGGCCTCACCTATTCTTAATATAATATACATTTATGATCAAATAACATCTATAATATGATATTCATTTTACAATCAAATAAATTGAAAACAATAGAAGTTATACTTTACACATACAAAATAAGTTTATTACACTGGGGATACACTTCTGAAGTGGAGAGAAAAGTGAACAAGTGAATGAAGATAAGGACTGGGTGTCAGCAGAAATTCCGTCAGGAATTTGGCATCACATCATAGGATACATGCAACACACATAATAGAAACCAAATGAAATAGGAAAGAGAAATGTTTTATACTGCATTTGGTTTGAGTAGAGGTCAGCTAATATTAATAGGAAAGGTATGTTTATATTTGCATTTCTCACCTATCTTTAGCCTTTAGATCTGCTCTCAGTCCGCATTACCTTATGCCATCTAACTGATGTTAGATAATTTATGCCAGAAAGTACCCCTCTTGGGAGACTTGGTGAGTAAAAAACTATTTTTTAAATTTTAAAATGCTTAACAGACATGATTTTATGTGTGTCACTTTCTTTTTAATCTGCATATATCACAGTGCAGAATGTTAAAAGTGAATTTAAATTTAGTTCTAAAATCTGATGCAATATGTGCCTCTAAAACTTAGTGTCCTAGTTTATCTTAAAATACAAACCTTCTTTTCGTAAATTAAATAAAAAAGCATATCACATTATAATTGTTCAGAAAACTAATTATGGTAAAGGCCGCTCCCCTCAAAAATGAGAAGTTAGCACAAAATATTTCCCTTTTTATTTCAGAAATTTTTCTATTTTTAAATAACACATTTTAAATGAATTCAATTTGACATAATGAGCCTTGAGATTTGGTGGCAGCAACTCTTATGATGAATGGCTTTTCTACAAAGTAAATACATTATAGATGCTGGTCTTATGTCCCTTTGCCCTCTAGAACATTAGAGTCATGAATTGAATACTATGAAGTGAGATAGGAACCCGAAGGCGTGCATACTTTTCCATTTATTCTTCATTAGATTTTATTTAAACATAAATTTTAAAAAATCTGTCTAGCAAGTAATTGGAGTAATCAGAAAAGTGCAATAAAGATGACTGGAGAAAGGATTGTATTTGAAAATATTATAAACAAATAGAAAGCTAAACAACATTATGAAAAGGTTAAATGCCAGAGAAAGTATATTTAACACCAAACACTCATTAGGTATCGTGTTTGCCAAAGGTTTCCATGAGCCATCTAGTTTCCTCCTTCTGGCAATTTTTTGATACAAGTTTTAGGGTCCCTATTTTACAACTGAGGATTTTACCCAACATCACATGACTCAAAAATATTAAAGCGAGGGTTTGTATCTAGGCCTCGGAAACTAAGTTATTTTTGTTTCGTCACATAAATCTGGCAGTTTGAAAAATAGGAAACATAGGGCTATTCTCAATGAGTTTATAAACTAGATAGAAAAGACACAATTTACTATTACAAAACCATTTCAAAATCAGCAGAGGATTAGGGGTCATCTTGCATAGCACAATTATCCTTTGGAGGAATTGGGTATTTTTAAGAGCTAAAGTTGGCAAAGAAGACTTCATGATTAGAAGAAACTTGAACTAGAAAAATATGACTGAAAACTCAGAAACTAGCACTGCATGATTAAAGGGCAGGCGTAGACTCTTCTGAACAAAGTGGATGGGGTGAAGTATAAAGGGATAAAAAAATTAGATAAATTGGGCCTCTTCAAACCATAGGGTCATGACAGGAATTCAATATGGGGGCTCATGTACTTTATCTTTTCAAAGAAATAGAATAAATTATAGTGTAAAGATTGCTTTAGAAAAATTGTTTAAATTATGTGAGTGTACAGCACACGTGTGTGTGTGTGAGCACATGTGCACACACACTAAATTGAAATATAAAATATATTTTATCTAGTCATGTTTTCAAAAGCTTGATAAGTATCAGGGTGCAGACTAGAGGTAATGTATGGGATATCTGGAAACTTAACACCACAGCAGAGAATTTAGACAGGAAGCAGAAAGAAAAGAGAGGCCCCTAAATATTTGAGGAAAAGTGACACAGTGAAAAAACACAGCCAAAGTGAGATATTAGACTAGCAGTTAAATATTAATACAAGATAACTGAGGGATGCAGAGACTGGCATCTGCAGGGACAACCAGGAGGCTAGTGCAGTAATCTAGTGAGTGATGAGGATCTAGATCAAGGGTTGTGGACAGAAAGAAAGCAAAAGTAGAGACTGGCTTTTCAGAGCACAAACCCACAGGATGATAATTACCTAAGTAAAGGAGGAAGGCAAGGAATAAATTAGAAAGGACATGAAGCCCCTGATCCTATATGCCAAGAGGAATGGGACTTTTTGGGACTAGTTTAAGGTGAGGATTATTCCAAGGAGAAGACAAATTTGGTTTTAGCCATGTTAATCTTGCAGTGAAGCTGAAATAACCTTTAGACATTAGGATATAAAGTACTTCACTATGAGTGAAGAAACAGTTCTACAGGTAAGGTTTGAGAAGTTAAAGTACAGATGAGAAATCAATAATAATAAAAGAATTGAGATTCAAAGACAGCAGGAAGTGAGAATCCAAAAAGCAATGGAGAAAAAAGACATTGCGTTATCAAGAAAGCTAAGAAGAGAGAGTTGACCGGAGTGTATTTCAGGAAGGACTAGATGACCTTGGAGTAACTGGTGACCTTTCAAAGTGCAGTTTCACTGGGATGGCTAGAACTCAAAGATTCCTGGAACTTGAGGATGAAGAATGGTGAGCAAATGCAAGGAGAAGATGAAAAAAGTTGTTAAGAATTTTTACATGGAAAGGAGGGGACAGGAATCAGAGTAACCATCAGGAAGATAATAAACCTCTCTATTCTCCCTCTGAAATTTAGGAAATATATTTGCATGTTCAAAGTCAGATAGAACAAAGACTAGGGAGACAGGAAGTTGGAAATGTTGAAGGTGAGAGGCTAAGTCAGAAAATGTGTGTGTCTAGTTAACATTAGATTACTTCTCTCCAGAACCCAAGCAGGCCCAGGAATGGTCAACCCACTTTAACCTTCAGTTCAAAGAAAGGTGAGACAATCATGGATAAAAAGGAATGCCAAATGTGTACTCTTCCACCTGCCAGAATCAGATACATTCCTCGATCAGGTACACTCCTCTATATTTGTGTACACAATGGTGGTCACTGAAAACTAGGGAAGAAAACTTTATTAGAGGAGGTGTAAAATACCAGACTGCCATCAGGGGTGATTGGTGAGGCTCATTAAAACTTGGTGAAACTTCTAAAATCTTTGGGTTAGCACTTTACCTTCATCATTCATTCTCTCCCAATTATTGCTGGGGAAACTATAAAACCACTGATGGATTTAATGATTTTTTATCCACTATCAACCACTGTTCACACAGCTTTAAAAATTTAACAATTCACTCAAATTTCTACTAAGTCTGTCATTAGGAAAACTTCCTTTTAATATTTGTATTCTCTTTTACATTTTTACACACTAAATATCACAGAAATATTTAATAAACCATGCCCTAGCTTTATTTAGGATTAGAAGAAATGAGTTCCAGTGAATTGTACTGTCAGTTATATTGACACTTACTTCCAAGACTACTAACTTCTAAACTTCATTTCCTAAGAAACCTCTAAGTGAACATGATACAATAGTTCATAAAAATGTCAAAGCTTTTTTCTTTGACTAGCTGATATTGAGACAAATAAACTAAGGTCTGCTGTAATAATATGTCTACAGTAAAAAAAAGTGAATCATTCCATTAAACACATTCTGACTTTTAATAAAGAATTTGAAATGCAGAAACCTGGAAATTGGACAATGTGGATCCTGGTTCTGATGCCAAGCGACCTTGGGCAATTGCTTGGCCTTGGTTTCAGCATTTACAAAATAAAGGCTGTTGAAAGAAAAGAAGGAGAAGAGGAAGTAGGAGGTAGAAAAGGGAGGGAAAGTGGCAGATATACAAGTAGGTTTGCAGGAAAGTTGGTTAGTCAGGTGGCATTTGGGAGGCAGCTACTCTGGGCCAGAATCCATTGGCACACTTCCTAGAAAACATAATAGATGATTCTAATTCCTTATCATCTTAAAATTTTGTGATTCTGCAGCATTTCATCTTTAGATAATATTGTTTTCAATTGACTCAAGGATGGAAATGCCATTATTGTTATCTTGTTTTCCATGAGGCTTAATCTAGTTACTTCATCAATGAGACAAGGTGTGGAAGGCAAAATAGGCCTCAAGTCTTCGCTTCTACTTCTGGAAAAGTAAATCTGTCGTTTGGAACAAAGACTTGTTATCTACAGAGTGGGAGCTCTTTCATCTGTGTAACTGTCAATATATGATTCTCACACAATAAGATGTAATGAATTCCAGCACTTCTGCCTTTGTTACAGAGACTATTAGGGTGTCCTGCTATCAATTATTCATCACTCTCGCCTCAGCTCCAAATAGAACAGTAAACAGATCCAAGGAATAAATATTCTTCACACCGAAGAACTCATCCTTCTACGATCATGGTGTCTAGCTTCAGATAACCCTCTTGAACTTATGCTTGTCAGAGATTTCACTGGCATGCTCTCTTTTGGAGGGGGTGAGCAGCAGTCTTTTTGTTGTTGTTGTTGTTACTGCTTTTTAAATATTCTTCTATTATTCCAAGCCTTCTACTAAGTCTGTCATTAGGAAAATTTGAAGCAGTTTTCCTATCTACTCACTCTCCACTCTAAGACCACATACTTATTTTCCTTACACCTCAGGGTTTTGTTTTCCTACATTTGAATTCCTCCTCCCCTTTTTTCTGCCTCTGCATTTGTCTGTTACTTTGCCTCCCCCAATAACTAAGTAACAAATATGAACTTTGTCTTTTTACTCCAAGAGTCATATTTTTTTCATAAAATAAGTAACCTCTTCAAATATTTCAAATTTAAAGACCACACATCTTAATCTAATGTTCAGTATAAAGGAGAAGATATATTTACCCCTCAACTTATTCTAAACATTCTGGCTGTTTATAATAGGAGGAAAAGAATTATTAAAACTTAGCCTTCTATTGAAACTAGGGAAGCTTTAAAGATTACAAATAGATATAAGTAATCAGAGTAATATTAAAAAATGAGACATGTTTTTTCCCACAAAAACATAAATATGTGTTCAATAAGCTATAATGGCTTATCACATAACACAATAATTAGGATGCAGTTCAAGCACTCCTTATGAGTAAACATTCTGTCATTATAAAAATCTTATGAAGTAATGCAACTGTATGTGCAGTAGGTTTTAGATGTGATTTTGAATTGATTTTGAAGCTATTAAACATAAAGAATAAAAGAAAGTGAGAAACAATAAAACCTGGGTCAGGAAGCCCTGATGGGTTACACAGACTGGAAGGCAAGGGGCAGACAAACACTGAGGAAGACAGTTTATGTCAGTCTCAAAAGTCAATAAAATGTTAATTGTGCATCTCAGATATGCTTGTCTCAGCTCTAGCAGCCACAAATCAACTTTTCTTTTAAAACGTATTTATAAATACAACCAGTACCACCTCTTGGGCACAGCCATATTAATCCCAGTTTAACCATACACTTAAACATGCTTTCTTTCAGTCTTCCAACAAAGTTCTGACATCTAAATTTCAGGATTATGGTGAAGAAGAGATCCATCTGACCACATAAGTAGCACACATGTATCTTTTGGATTACATAATTAGATTTCCTCATAACCTCATCCTCCAGTTTAAAAAAATTTACTTAGAAATCTGCCTTACGGCAGGGTGCAGTGGCCCACACCTATAATCCCAGCACTTTGGGAGGCCAAGGCGGGCAGATCACCTGAGGTCGGGAGTTCGAGACCAGCCTGGCCAACATGGAGAAACCCATCTCTACTAAAAACCCAAAATTAGCCGGTTGTGGTGGCGCATGCCTGTAATCCCAGCTACTCAGGAGGCTGAGGCAGGAGAATCACTTGAATCCAGGAGGCAGAGATTGAGGTGAGCCGAGATCGTGCCATTGCACTCCAGCCTGGGCAACAAGAGTGAAACTCCATCTCAAAAAAAAAAAAAAAAAAAAAAAAAAGACAAAGAAAGAAAGAAATCTGCCTTACATTCCTATCATTTCAGTTTCCTTTCTTCACTGACTATGTGTTTTGTTTTAGTTTGAAATCTGTATCAAAGAAAAATTGACTTTCATTAAAATGGTCATTTCTGCCCTTTCCCATAATAGAAAGTGGAAAAGTACAAACAGAAATCAATAGAAAGTACCCTACCCTGAAGGGCTCAGAGACTATTGAAGATCTATTTGCCACTTAAGAATAAAAATAATGCCCCTAATCAAAACTTGATACATCACCTCCTAATATAGGAAAGAATTAAATGCAATTAGTTTAGATATAGTTTTAAGAGGATGAAATACTTGATTAAAAATTCTGATTCACCACTGCTATAAGAAATAAGTGTGGATAGTAAATATGCCAACGTGTAACAATAGATTTAGTTTGTTTGAGATGTTGCTAAAATATGAAAGGAAAGTGGGAAAAATAAACTAAACCAATGGCTTATCAGTATGAGTAGCCCTGATTTCCTAAATCATGAAAATAAATCCTGTCTACTATATCAGGATATTTCTAGTATCTTTCAATGTTGAAAATTTTTTTTAAAAATACAGAAATGAATTGTAAACTGCTATAATGAAAATTCAACTAACAGAATATTAAATACAAGCCAATTTTCCTATATATAAAAGTAAAAGCCCAGAATTTCAAGAATGTATTTTCCTTTATACGCATTTATTTGTCTTACTAGGTCTGGGTAATGATCATGTGGTTATAGAAGAAAAAATCTGGCCCTGAAAGTAAACAGTGATCTTATGGAGTGAAAGTTCACAGACAGTGAAATGCAAATTTATACAATGTGTTAGATTTGAACCAATGCATAGACTCAAGTAATCAATACCCAATCAAGATGTAGAATATGCCTTCATTCCCCAAAATTCTTGTGTGTTCTCTTCTAGTCAATCCTTAACCCCCCGTCCTAGAGGCAACTACTGTTTTGATTTATATCACCATAGTTTAGTTTTGCCTAATCTTGAGCTTTATGTAATTAGAGATATGCAATGCGCATTCTTTTGTTTCTGGCATTTTTTGCTCAACATGTTTTTGGAAATCATGCATTTTTTATATCAATAGTTTATTTTTCTTTATTATTGATTGGTGTACCATTGTCTGGCTACACCACAACTTAATTTATCTATTAACCTGCTGATGATAGACTTTTAGGTTGTTTCCAGATTTAGGCTATTATAAATGAAAACCACTATAAATATTTCATATAAATCATTTGTGGACATATATTTTCATTTTTCTTAGATACAGACCTAGAAGAGAAATTGCTGGGCCATATAGATGTATATTTACCTTTATAATGAAACAGTATACAGTATTTCAAATGTTTATGTCATTTTTTAATCTCACTGGCAATACATGAGTCTCCGTTGCTCCACATCTTCACCAACATTTGGTGTTCTCAGTCTTTTCAATTTTACCTATTCTAGTGGGTGCTAATAGCATCTTAACTTTAAATTATACTTCCAGTTTCATATGCTTATTGCCCATTGTGTATCTTTCCTTGGTGGAGTGTCTACATAAGCCTCTTACATCTGTTTTTATTTGGGTTGTCTTTTCATTACTGATTGTAGACACACACATATATGTATATACAGAGAGATATGGACATATTTAATATATATGTACATACCTGTAGAAAACAATTTCTTTGTCAAATAAATGTATTAAATATTATCTGTCAGTCTGTATCAGTTTTTATTTTCTTAATGGAAACTGTGTATATACATATATACAGTTTTTATTTTCTTAATGGAATGCTTTGCAGTGTATCAGTTTTTAATTTTGATGATGTCATATTCATTATTTTTTATTCTTATAGTTAGTGCCTTTTGTATTCTTTCTTTGTAATATTTACTTGCTCACAGTTACAAAGATATTTTTGTTTATATCTCAAAAATTTATAATTTTAGCTTTTATATTTAAGTATGTAATCTAAATCAAATTAATTTTTGTACACAGTATAATGCAGGGGTCAATATTTATTTATTCTCATATATTTTTCCAGTTAATCTAGCTCATTTGTTGAAAAGACTTACTTTGGTGCTTTGTCAAAAATTAAATCATATATGTGTGGATCTATTTTTGGACTTATCCTGTCCCATTGATTATTATTTATTTATATTATGCTGATATCAAACTGTTATCATTACTATGGCTTTACAGTAATTCTTAAAATGAGGTGCCTTGAGTCTTCAAATTGTGTTCTTTTCCATGTTTCTTTGGGTTATTCTAGATTCTTTCCATTTTTATACAAATTTTTGAATGACTTTTAGTCTGCTATAATTTTGGTAAAGATTGCAGATCAATTTGGGAAGACTGGACATCTTTTCAATATTTCAAGTTCCAATTCATGAATATGGACTATTTCTCCTTTAACTTCTCTTAGCCATGTTTATGATTATTTTATGATATAAGTCTTGCACATTTTTGTCCAACTTATTCTATTGGTGCTATTTACAGGGTATTGTTAAATTTCATTTTTCAAGTTTTTTTCACAACATGTAAAACATGGCACGGCAAGTGACCAAAGTTAACCCCACCAATTATGGGGCAAACCAGCATCAAGTGCTTCTAGTGATGCTCAAAGTAGGACACATGACTTATTTATTAAACCTGATGAAAATCTACAACTTAAATCACATCAAGAGGATTCATCAAACAAATCAAAATTGAACATTCTACAAAACAATGAACCTGTACCCTTAAAGAATATCAATGTCATGAAAGACAAGAAGAGCTGCATAAGTAATCCAGATTAAAGGAGACTAAAGAGACATGCCAACAAACTACAGTATGATACTGCTTTAATCCTGAACTGTTAAAAACAAATGATCTAAAGGACAATATGAGGAAATTGGAAAAATTTATAGAGTCTATTAGATAATAGTATTGTATCCTTGTAACATTGCCTGAATAATTAAGTTGTGGTTATATTAAAGAATTTCCTTATTATTAGAAAATAAAATATTGAAGCATTTAAAAATGAAGGGTCTGTAACTGTGCAAATAAATTCAAATGGCCCAGCAAAATAAATAAGTAGATATAAAATAGCAATGTGTATACACATAGATGACACAGACAAAATGTGCAGCACCCTAAAGCAAATGAGGCAACTTATAAACAATAGCTGAATCTACTCGAAGGTTATAGGAGGGTTCATTGTAATATGTTTGCAACTCTTCTGTAGGTCAGAGTATTTTTTGAAATAGAAATTTTAATTAAAATGATACTAGTAAATTTAGGTATATGGATCATTCCTTCCTGTAATTTAGGAAGAACCATGCTAATCTGGTTGCCACTTGAAAGACAGATTTTCTTTTGAGTTGCTAAGGATTTCTACACTCCTTGGCTTGTTATGCTTAGTTTGGAGGCAGGACAATATTTCCCTAGAATAAAGAGTTGGGGGAAAAGGCAGAGTAGTGAACAAGAATAAATGGCTCCTAAACTAAGAGTATAATGTGCTATTCTTTTCTAATAATATTCACAAAGGCTAAACTGAAAATAATTCCGAATGAAAGCCTATTTGCTGTTTTTTGGATTTTGTTTATTTTGTTTTGGTTTTTGTATCATCTTAGTTCATCAAAAGGAAAAATACAATATTTTTCAGCTGCAAATATAAGCACCCACAATAATGCAATGTCCATCCCCACACATTACATAAATTCTACAGTGTGTTTGTTCGGGTATTTCTTTATTCCATAAACTTTTTTTTTTTTTTTTTTTTTTTTGAGGTGGAGTCTCGCCCTGTCGCCCAGGCTGGAGTGCAGTGGCGCTATCTCAGCTCACTGCAAATTCCGCCTCCTGGGTTCACGCCATTCTCCTGCCTCAGCCTCAGGAGTAGCTGGGATTACAGGCGCCCAGCACCACGCCCGGCTAATTTTGTGTGTGTGTGTGTGTGTGTGTGTGTGTGTGTGTGTGTGTGTGTTTAGTAGAGACGGGGTTTCACTGTGTTAGCCAGGATGGTCTCCATCTCCTGACCTCGTGATCCGCCTGCCTCAGCCTCCCAAAACTGCTGGGATTACAGGCGTGAGCCACCACGCACAGCCTATTCCATAAACTTTCACTGAACAAATACAAAATGAAGGGTACACCATAAGTCAACAGGAAAATAGGCAATTAGGTGTGAAAGGTATAATTCCTTATACCTCCATTGACTTTGCCTGCATCTTCTTGGTACTATTTCATCACATACAATGACCTCAACATTCAAGGGTAATTTAAAAGAAAAAGTTAGTTGAATCTGCAAGGGAAGGGAAGGGAGAAGATATATAGTGGCTAACTTGTGTTTTCTTTCTTTCTTTCTTTTTCTTTCTTGGATTGTAACTCTGCAAAAGCTAAATTTGCTTACAAACTCAATTTTCACAAAGATAATTTCCCTTATGTTTGTATTAGATCTGCAAAAATACAAATATGAGTATACCAGCTATATCACTTTCCTTTAACTTTCCTCTGAGAAATAATTTCTTATTCCTTAATTTTGATTTTTTGATATCTGCACTTTTCTCTTGAAATTTGAAGACATCATTTTCTACTTAAATACATGAGAACTAATGAATTTACTTTATATTACAAATCTGAATTAATTCATTATTTTTTATTGTTTTTATTAGAATGTTAATAACTTGCTGCTTTAATGCTAGCAGCCCCAGCTTTTTCAGGGGTGTCCCTCCTACTTAATAAACACCTTTTAGACAACAAAGGTTACACACAATACAAGGCTAATTTTATCACTGGATTACAAATAGACTAACACATATAACTAAGGCCTAATGGAGAGTCCAGAAAGAAAAAAATGGTTCTACACATACCCTATCCACACCCACACTTTAACAGATTCCAAGATAAACATCCTTTACAAAGTCAAAGATACCTTGTAAGGGACTGTTGCCATTCAACAATGAATTCAATCTTTTTACCTTTAGTCCATTGCTGTGCTCATGACTTACTATGGTTCACAAAACGGTTAAGGTTAATTCTCTTTACTAAGAACCTTCAACATGGAATTTACAGAGGGATTGGTTGGCAGTCTTATTTGAAAGAGGTCAGAAGGTGCCATTTATTCTTTAGAGGAATTCTGACTCATTTCTCCAGATTGCAAGATACTGTCTTTGTCTACACAGTAAACATTTTAGGCATCACAAGAATGAGTGGCTACATTTTTAAACTCACTGGTTTGGAAAGCCTAAAAAATGTTCATGAAAACTCTGTACTGTAGAATGGCATACATTTTGAAAAATGTCAGATATAGTTTGTATTCAGAGTGTCTACATATCCAGTTTGCCTGGAACAGTCCTGGTTTTTTCCTATCCCCTTGGTACAATTTGTAAAAACTTTCTTCTTTCACTTTAAAAAGAATCTTGCTTTGGATAATAAATCATACGATCACCTTAACTGTGGTGCTTATATTTGGACATTTACATCTACATACTTTCTTCAAAAGATAGGTTTACAATTATTTTTACATCTTTACTTTCAATACAATTTATCTTGGTTCTCACTAAATCCTGGGGAGTGGAGGGTTGGACTGAGTTTACACCTCACTGTGTGAATTGAGGAACTTTTACTTTCAGACACAGTGGTTTCTGAAACACCATACTGAAATTGTTTTAATATAGCTGAAAGACAGCTGTACACAGAGAAACTGGGAGTCCAAGTTGTCCAAACTGCTGATATTTTCAATATAGCCACACCTAAATTGAGTTTCAGTGTTCAAAATTAAAAACAAATTAAATTGTCCAGAATTTGATTGAGGCCATAATCTCCACAATAAAGCCCCTAAAATTTTACATTTTAAATTTTCAAAAACCGCTGCTAATTTCTTCTTTGACCTATGATGTAAAAATTTGTTTTACATTATTTTACTCAGCCACAGATGTGGGTGCAAACTTCATTTTGAGCACGACACTCAATAGGCATATCAACTTAATATGTATTTTAAACCCAATTCCTTATCACATTTTTAAATTATTTTATTTAGCACTTCTATTGCATTTACTGGGTACCTGGAGCTGTTTTAAGTGCTTTTACAAATGTAAACACGGTCCTCACAAAGCTGAATAAGATAGGTTCTATTATAATCATATTTCCATTTCCACTGATGAAGAAAGTGAGGACAGGGCAGAAAGGTAACATATCACACAATGTGTATGTTCCAGATTTGGACCTAGGCAACATGACTCCAGTGTTCACAATATGAAACATTAGACTATGCTCCCTCCTTATCATCCCTTTCAAACAGGTAAGGAACTACTTTCACTTTATCAAAGAAGTAACTAATAGATCAAACGGAAACTTGGTTAAGAGAATGTGTCTAATGTTTCAATTCATTCAATTATTTAAAGAAACTATTTATTGAGCAGCTACTCTGTGCAAGGAATTGTGGGAAACAGAGGTGAATTTAAATTATTTCTAAAACCCTCCAGAAGCCATGTTAATCAGATCATCCTATAGCAATGGTTTTTAAACCTTACAGTGCATGGGAAACACAGGTATTATAATGCCTGTTGCTTCTAAAGGAGAATAGGATTGAGGTGTCAAAGGCACAAGCCCGCACTCCTGTACAGCTGGAGGCAGATGTTTAATTGCATTTAAGGAAAGAAGATTACAAGCCTCCAAGATTAAAACATTTAAATGCCTAAAATCCAGAAACATTTCACACTTTGCATCAAGGGGAGACCTGACTCCACATATGTGTGTAGTGAGTGTGTCATTGTATCTACGTGAACAGGAGATGGGTGAGGTGGTACAGTAGAGTGCTGAGCACACAGGCTCTAAAAGAAGACAGTCTGCACTCAGATGGTAGCTGCTATGTACTACTTTTGCAGTGTTGAGGAAGTTATTGAACTTCATCTTTTCAATTTGTAAATGAGAACAATAAAATATCTATGTCTTCGGATATGCTAAAAATTGAAAAAAAAAGATTTTAGAAGAGTATAGTCACATTGTAAGTGCTCAATGATACTTATTAGTACTATTATTTAAAATGTTCAAACCACACTCTATTATTTAATTATCTCTAATTACAGAATTTCATATGTTGCCACAGAATAATTTAGCCCAATCCTTGAAATAATTAGCAAGATACTAGTGTTCATGAATGTAAAATAAAGAAACTAAAATCAACAAAAATTTAAAAATTCCAGGATCTGATTTCTGCCTTGAGTTATAGTTAAAGTGGGTGTGGTAATGAGGAGGGGTTGATTATTCCATTTCTAGAACAACAAGATTAGTGGCAAGAAGGCCCTGCCTGGTTATACTATAACATAGTCTTTATTACACTTCATAGTATAATAATGTCATTACTTTTAGAAAAAGTCTCTGGTCTTTTTTAGTCCATGTTTCTTGGAATCTTTAACAGAAGTTAGCACACATAACTTCTGCTGGAATGAAAATTCAATGCCTGAGATTTCTTTTGTCTTTTCCAGGAATTTCACCATCCAACTAAAGTGGTTAAAAGAGCAGGCTTCATCTTCATTCTTTATATTTTAAATTTATAGATTTTTAAATGCTGACAGTCTAACTAAAATCTCTAATTACCTTCTGGAAAAGAAAATTTAGATGTTACCAGTTATTTTTTAATTGCCATATAAGAAGTACCTATGAAAATACTTTATTCTTTTACACTCGAAATTAATTTTCATTTCTGTAGCAGAGCATTAGCTCTGCCAACATTTAGTTTTATTTTCTAATATTGAAGAAAAATCACGAATGATATTATAAAATCTTACTTGGTAAAGATTTAAAGGCTGTAATCGGCATTCTTGATATTTTCAAAAAGTTTAGATTAATAACAAAAAGTATTAACTCTTTGAGATGAAGTATTCTTCAGAGAAAAATTCATCATTGAAGTTATTGGGGCAGCCAGTAATTAAGACAAAATATTGTGTAACTCACACTATACACAGTGAGTATATTTAAAATAAAGAATGTTGGTGGGTATGACATTTCACTAGGACACCTTCTGCTTACTCTGGAAACATGACCTGCAAAGAAACAAGTTCTGCAATTTTCGAATGAATAGATGCCAGCTAATAGGACAGTTGAGGTTGTGCATCATTAATGGCATTTTTGTGTAGTCCTTCATTGGGGGGCAAATTCTGAGAACAGCAATCTGGGAATCCATAAATCCTACTGAGCCTTGGTTAAGTGACATTCATTATAAAGAACACCTGGAGGGAAGACCTGACAATTGAGTCACAGCTAGAAAGATCAGATTACCAGAGCTCTGCAGGTCTTGGTTAAATAAGGCAGCCTAGGAAGAGAATAATCTTTCCCTACATTCATTTCAATACTATTATATTGGAATAAATTTAGCAGTTTATCTGATACTGTGTTATAATTCTGTTGCTTATATCTTTCCTCACGTATCATATGTAATTTTGAGCATTTGATGTCACTATAAGTGGCATTTCATAAGTGAATTTCACTTCTGTTACATGATATCCTAGAAGATTGTTTATTTATTATGACTTTGCTAACTTTCCTGGCCATCAGTTTGCATCTCAGCAAAACTATATATATATATGTAGAGAGAGAGGGAGAGAGTATATTTTAATCTCAATGTATATATGTATATTCAAATAAAAACTACTGAAGAAAAGCTCTTTCATTAGTTATAATTTTCATTATGGTATATTTAGATAATAAATAAGAAATATTGAAATATATAAGAAATACTGAAAATAACTTAAAATCCAACTTATTCCACATAGAAAGGAGGAAAAGTTCAAGGAGTGTTTGAACTTTTAAATAGTAAATTATTTAAATAGTAAAGACTTGGTATCAGTTTCTGAATCTGAGGTTTGGAAAAATGCCAGCAAATTACTGAAATGAAAATGTGAATGTGAAGATCAGTTTTTAAAATACTGAAGCTGGTGTGAAGTGGGGCATCCAGCGAGGATACTCAGCTATTCAAGAGATCCTCATTGCTCCCTAGGTTTCAAAATACTTAGCATGTTTTTTTAATGGGAAAATAAATTGCCTCAAATATTTTCTACATGTGTTTTTCAATAAAATTTGAATTACAAAATTCAACAAATTTCAACAAAAATTGAATTGGATCACATTTAGTGATCAGACAATAAGGTACTCTTTCTACTAGATCAACAAAAATTAAAAAGAATGCTAAGTTTTATTGGACACATAAAATGTGCAGTTAAATATATACCTTTTTGCTGTTATAATTTGACAAGAGATTTCAAAAGTTTTAAGATAGACATACTGTTATGCAGTAATTATACTTCTAGGACTATTTAGTAAGGAAAAAAGTACAGGTGGTCAAGATGGTTGAACAGACTTTTGGTACATTTGTACAACAGTAAAAAGTTAGAAATAGTCAAGTGCTCAATTATTATTAAGTAATAATTGTTGGTAATATTCTGTGGATATTAAAACAATTATGGTCTGTGTAAAAATTTTATGTAATCATTAAAAAAATATGCATGTTCAGCAGAAATTTCTCAGTGAGGAAAACAAGCTACAAGCTGTGATACATATAGTGCTGCCCTGGTCTTGTTAAAAACATGCATGAATGCTCACATGTGTGTATTTGTGTAGAAAAATTATAGCTGCACTACAAGCCATCATTGTAACAGTGGATATCTGTTAGTATTAAGATTATGGTTTTTTTTCTATTTTCTCTCTGTATTTTCTAATGTTTCAACAGTGAGGTTAAATCACTTTGACAGAGACAGAGAGTAGAGATATAAGTCCTTGTTGAAGTGGTGAAATCCTGTATCAGCATGTGACTGATGAAGTGTCTTCTGATATCATACAGGCCTTACAATCTCAACCCATGACCCAAGGTTTGGAAAAAAGAATTAAATGTGCTGTGGGACCAGTGTAAGTATGAAGCTGCTTCCAATGTGTAGAGAAAGATAGCAGAAAAATACATCAGCATAATTGCAAGGTTTTATAAGTATTTTGTCATGTGTATTTAACTGAGGAGATCCAGGGAGGGCTGGGATGGTTTGTAAACATGCTTATATTATTATGAGAACATGTAGAGATATTTTTCCTTTTATTGAACTTGTGGATGTTCCATCAGAATCAGTCAACTGTGTTGGCATCAGGGATCTATCTGAACTCTTCTGACCATTCACCTTTTCCCTTCTAGGCTAACTAAGAAGAGTGATTTGTTATGTCTTTTTATAATGAGTTACAGGTTATTAAGTATTAGAATACATTGCTTTATAATATGTAAACCATATGGCAGCAAGTTAATAATTAATTTCTCAGTTAATAAACAATGTTAGAGATTGATTTTCACCATTCTCATAGCAGCAAAATGACAAACACAAGATGGTGAATGCATGAATGAATGATATCTTTCCAGACTCTGACACCTTTCACAGATATTCATCTGTAAATGGGTGTATTGCTGGGTTCTCGTAAGTCTGTTCTTTGCTCTCCCATTTCTTCTACTTTTTAATAACTGCCTTAATAAGTCCCTTCAAAATGTTCAACATGGAGTGGGAAAGACAGACATAGAAACAAATTACTACAACACAATTTCATAAGTGTTCCAATAGAGAAAAGGAAAACACATGAGAAATGTGGAGAAGGCTGCCTGAGGGACTTAGAGACCTTAGAAATGAGCTGAGATTGAAGCCATACAGAATTTGCTTAAAAGTGGAGGAGAGTTGATGAAGGGTTCAGGGAGGGGACATTAAGGCTATCTCAGGAAGAAGAAACCCAGTGGTTAAAGGGAGGAGTCCTGAGGATGACAGCCTTTAGGAGGAGCTCAGGGAAATAAGATAGTAGGCTGTGTAACAGGAAGTGAGTCTGACATTTGGCTCAAGATGTAGAAAATTGGAGGCATTTTAAATAAACCAGACGCTCTCCACACAGTATATTTATGCTTTCCCTTTAAAATACTAGTGGTGAATTTTGTTACATCACATAATCTTGCCAGGAAATAAAACTTTCTTGTGGGAAGGAGAGGGGAAAAGGACACCATGTATGTCCCTGCTACTGAATCAAAATACTCCATGAATTTTCTACCTGACTATGTGGATAAAGACTAGACATATAGTAACTGAGGGGCCCTTAACCAAAAATGCCCCCAAAATCTAAGTCAGTCATACAATATATAGTCCAAAACTGGGACATTTTAAGAGTAAAAGAGAATGCCATTTAAAATGATGCAGATTATAAGCATATACTAGCTATCCTCATTCTACTAAAATCTAACACTCTGCCTGATATTCATTTTGATTGATAAAGTTCTGTTAAAAATGCAAAATGCCATGCTTTATTCACTCTTTGATGTGAATTAAGTTAACCAGATTTAAACCTTGGATAATCAATAGAATCTATGTTTAAGAACTGGAACTAGGAAATACAGAATAGAGTAGGTTGAGGTTTAAGAGGTGTATCATTTGGAGGCAATGTGGTAGAGTTTGCAAGTATAGATAAATGTAAATTGTAAACCACATTTCCACATTGCTCTGTGATCATTAGTACTTAACTTCTCTGAACCTCAATTTAACTTATCTGTAAAATGGGATAACGTCTGCTCCCAAAGCTGTCATGAAAATCACTGAAAGCAATTTATATGAAGAACCAGTCACTGAGTTGGAACTCAATGTTAGACCTTTGGGAGAAGAGCTATCCTGAGTAGAGGGCTGGTGTCCATTGCATACAACCACAAAAATTAAAATCTGAAGAGCACATCTGTTGCATGTAAACCCCTTGAATAAATGTACGGCTAAAGATCAAATGATTACTATTATTATTAAAGAAAACAGATAGTGTATATAGACTTTTTAGCAAACCCAGAAGAAATTTTAATGGATTTAGCTAAGAGGTAAACAGAAACTTCATTAAAAAATATTCACACACCATGCAACCTTGCATAGCTCTAACATTGATTTTGTCCAATTGATATAATCTTAGTATATGCAAATACCTTAAGATTATGTTACAACATGTGATCTTTTTTAGCACAAATGGATTTTTATTTATTACTTGTTCTTTGTTACTTGTTATAAAACCACCACTAGTTTGTATTTTAATTTTTATCATCATGCTCATCATCTTAAGTCATTGATACAGACTTCACTAAATATAAGTAAGAAGAGTGTTTTGAGGCTAAAGGACAATAATCTACATGATGGGCAACAGACATTTTAACTTGTCTTGAACTCATGCAGTTATTACATTTTTCTCAAAATCAATATTTCAAAAAATGCAAAAGAATTAATGTCCTATCAAAATTAAGAAAGAATGATACATAAAAACACTCCTAAAGATCTCAAAAAAAGAGAGAAGGAACAAAATAAAAACAGAAAAAGGAAACAATAAAACCCACAATGGTGAAAGTCCACTTGCTGTTACACTGTATTCTGACTCATCTGGAAAGAAAGTGCAGGTAAGCAAAAGCCACGTGGCTCAGGGAACCTCACACATTCTGCCCGGCAGAGTCTAGTTTGAGATCATTTTACAAAATGAGCCAACTAAAGGCAGAAATGTACCCACAGTCCTCTCTCACTCCTCCCTTGAATTCCTGCCCACTGAGCACCAGCCACAGCTGTTTTTACCCATTTTCTGAGTAAAAAGTAGTGTGAGACATTCTACAAAACAGTGGGAATCATGAAAAGGACAAGTTTGCACACAAGCAGGCCTACTTTAACTTGGGAAAAGTCATAGAAGACGCCTCAGCCATGATTCAGGCTATCATGGAAAGAGCCCATTGCTTTTCTTAATTAGATATTTCATGTAAATTAAAGGAGGATGAGGCAGAGATTATGGAATATTCAGTCACAGCCATGAGAACCTGGAATTCTGTTTTCTCATAACCCATTAACTTTCTTAATTGTTCAGTAATAAGACGTATTTCCTCACTACTATAATTAGTGCCTTATAGCTACCTGACTCTGTTGCTTCTTGGTAGTTCAGTACTATTGCTAAATGCAGACAGCACAGTAAAGAGAGAGAAAATATTCACTTGGCAATTATAATAATTAATGATTAATCAGCTAACTTTATCATTTTACATTTTCAATTGCCATTATTGTATAACTCTGAAATCAAGCTTCATTACTGATTAAGAATTTTCAAGAAAACATGGAGGGATAAATAGTTGCACTAGATATAAAATGCCAATAGAGTGTGTAACATATTCAGTTGGTTGTATAATTGTGCCAACCACAGCAATGAAATCAAGTTAGAAAAGAACAGAAGAAAACTCTGGTTTGGGCTATTAGAGATTGTTGGAGACACTGGTAAGTCATTGGTGGGGTAGCAAGTGAGTGACACTTAGGTAACAGGTTAATAATTTCTGGTGAGTAGATTCCAACTGTTCACTAAATATTTTTCTAGCTATTCATATTCATATAGTTTCAGGCTATGAAGATGATTTAATATCTTAGATTACTAAACAAAACATATAGCCATTAATAAAATTATGGTAAAAATTGTTTTTAATATTTTAGAAGTGTTCTTAAGAAAATGAAAAAAAAAACAAAGCATTACACTTTTCCTATAACACACTTTCCCCCAGATCTTGTTAACTTTATCTGTTTTTTTTTTTTTTCTAACTGCATGGTACCATTTTTCATCTTCTCTTCATTCTTTAAGTAAATACTAACAGTGCACTCACTTCGTACTAGTTACCCTTCCATATATCCTGGACACAGAAATTAATAAGACTTGGTGTTTTCTCTGAATAAGCTAAAAATAGACTAAATTAACTACAATAATGCGTAATAACAAGGAGCACTCTTCAGAGGCTACCCTGGAGCCTAGAACCAAGTGCTATGAGGAGACAGAAGTGCAGATAGTGGGAACATCAGGAAGGATTTCACAGAGAAGTCTTTTGATCTGTCTTTGAAAGGACGATGATGGTTTCTTTCGGGTGAGAAGCTGAGAGAAGGGCAATCCATTTAGAAAGTCTTTGAAATATTCATTATAGGTAAAGAAAAACTTCTAAAGACTAAACAGAGCCTCAGTAGAAGAAAAATATGTTACTTCTTTAAGAAACTCTGAGCAATCAAGTATGACTGGATCATAAGATTTGTGGGAGAAATGAAGGTGGCAATATATTCAACTAATTGATATTTATTGAACACATTATGGAAACCATGCCAGAAATAATGCTGCGTTCTTTATTGCATGCAACACACTCAATAAGCCTAACAACATAGATTATATTCTCCAAATAGTTATCAGTAAAGAAAAGTGAGGCATGAAGAAGGTAAACTCCAACAAGTTCATCTAGTTGTTATCAGAGCTGGGAATCCAGCTGGATTTCTCTAAACATACCTATAATGGTTTGAATGTAGTGTTCCTTCAACATTCATACATTCGAACTTCAACCCCAACATGAGAGTAGTAAGAAGTGTAGACTTTTGGGATGTGATTAAGTCATATGGGCTCCACTCTCCTGAATGGGATTAATGCCTTTAAGAGGCTTCAGAGAGCTGACTGCCCCTTTTAGCCTTCTGCATTCTGCCATGTGAGACCACAGCAACAAAGTGCCATCTTGAAAGCAAAGAGCCAGCCTTCACCAGTCCCAGAACCTGCTGATGCCTTGATCTTGGGCTTCCCAGCCTCCAAAACTGTGAGAAATAAATCTCTATTTTTTATAAGTTACCCGCTCTAAGGTATTTTGTTATCACAGTAGGAAAAGACTAAGACAACACAATACTTGAAATCCCAAGTGAATTCAATTCTGAAGCCAGCCAGTATCCTGGTTTAATGACTGAAAACAAGTTTTCAAGCTGAGGTCTGATATAGGTACATCGAGTAGCAGTAAGACAAAGTTGTTAAGGGCTCAGACTCCACTGTGTATGAGCTATGTGCAATTTGGCAAATTATTCAGTCTCTCTGGGCTTCAGTGTTATTTCCACAAAACGGAGATAATAAGAATATATATTTTATGAGATGGTTGTACCCACTATTTAATATATAAAATTTACTTTCAGTGATTCTTGGCGCTAATAAGCCATCAGCATAGGTGATTCATGTTTTGGGAATAGCTCTCTCCCAGTATGTAGAGGATGGATCGGGGGAGAGAAACTAGATACTTGAATACTTCGGAAGGACAGCAGGCTTTAATCAGACCACTTCGAATATCTCTCAATGCTATTTGAGAAATATTTCTGATGTAAAGATTGAAAGGATTTGGTGACCAGTTGGCTTTAGGGAGCTGAGGGATGAAGAAAAATGGAAAATGACACCAAAGTTTCTAGTATAGATCCCAGATGAATGGTGACACCTCAAAACTTAATACACCAACTGTTACTTCCCTGTGGCTCAACTAACCGGGTACTCTCCTGGCAGGCCAGATTGCCAGCAATGGATTCAGAGATTATTTATACCAAACAACAACAGCAACAAAACCAAAACCAACCAACAAACCAACCAAAAACCTTTGGAAGCCAGTAAAAGCAAGTTTCTCCTGTTAAACTTATCCTGTTCATTCAGTCCTAAACTGACCTGTTCTCAAGCACCTTGGGTGTGAAAATAACTAAGAATTTCTCTCTCAAGCTGGCAGACAACATGGCTTCTTGTTGGTACCAGAGCTTCTTAGAGGTGTGATGTTGGTGAATGGTGAAAAGTAACTGATAAACAAAGCTCAGCCACAGTTTTAGGACATTTGGTTTCACTTAGGACAATACTGAAATAGTTTTCAAATTGTGGGGAAGAGCATTTCTTAAGAATGCCTATTTTATCAACAATTACAACTGATCAAATTTGAATTCTGGATAACATTCAAAGTCCATGAGATGATATAAAATTTGGGCACATAAGAGAAAATGAATTTTAGGATTACTGTTGTTGCAATAGTCTATTGAATAGAATGTAAAAATGTATAAACAGAAAGTTAAAATGAACACCCAAGCAAACTCTAGGCAAGATACGCTCTGAAAATCTTTCTCATTGCTTGAATTACACACACATAAAATATATTTTTGTTCTTGTCTAAAAAGCTACCATCTGTATCTCTTCTACACAATCCAAGAATTAAGAGAGCTGAATGTTTTACATGCCATATAACTTATATAAAGCTATTATGAAATTTTGTGAAATTTCTGTTTGTACTAATAAAATTTTAACTAAACTTCATTGCTTCTTTAATACATTATTATGTATACATGACAATGGTGAAAAGAAGATACACATAAGCATGTTTATTTTAAATTTGGGGAATAGAAGGAAAATAGCAATTAATAATAAATTTTGCAGGTTCTCTATGCAATTAACAACCCCATAGTCCAAATACTCTTTTTCCATTAAAAATAATTTTATAAAAACAGCTGAGATTTAGAGGATGGAAATGAATATTAGTCACTCTGTAATACAAATGTCCTGGAAGCAGAGATCAGGTTGCATCTTCCTTTGTATCTCTTCCTACTGTTCTTACAGTGCCTGGTACATTACATGAGAGAGAGAGGAGGCACTCAATATACATCTTCACCTTGATTCACAAAAACACAGCTGTTTCTAGAAGGTCTTTCCACATAATTTTCAGACATAGTAAATTCAATGCTATCAAACCAAGACCTCTTCTGAGTTTACTTAATCAAAATCTACCTCTGAAACTTTCTACTGATATCTGACTGGATTAGGCAAGGACTTCCCTCAGTCCCTTATCATTCTTCAGTTCTTTAAAAGCAGCATGAAGATAAGAAAAGTAGCACCATACATTTCTGATCTGTTAGTAAAATTGCTACCATAGTGTGTATGAAAGCATAATGGCAAAATACAGGAACGCTCTGACCTCAAAAAATAATATATTTTAAGTCATCCTTTCCTACTGAGTAAAGACGTTTATTTTTCCTGGAGAAATTTACTTTGTTTTTTCAAATGTTTAAAGTTGCTTGATAATTTAAGGTCAAAGTCACATTTGTAAATATGCCTGAAGGGGTTTAGCACTTAAACTAGCTAGCTCTCTTCCGTGATGTACTCCAAACCAGATGAGGGATAAACTTAGTTGTGGGGGCTAACTAAAATATTTTTTTTTTCTGTTTCCTTTCCACTTGCATCATCTAAAACTATGAACTAGTTAATAACTGAAGTCCTTGCTATTTTTTAATCTTTGTTGCTGAAAAGTGTTTTTAAATGAATGTATTATGCTATTAAAATACATGCCCATCCTTATATAAGTCATAGCATAATTATAGTTTTGTATAATTAGAGTTTTATGTCAAAAGATTTACAGCTTTATCACCTCAAGCAATACTTCACAGCTGCCAAGGATGATTTATGCAATAATGACTTAAACTGTAAAATAGAATCCTCAAAGGAAGAGCTGTCAAATATTCCTACTGCAAATAACTAGGTTTTTAAAAATTGATATTCTGATAAACAGCAAGTTTAATTGTGCCTAGCACAATCACATACAGAAGCATAGTAGGAAGTGGTGTTTCAAAATGACGATCATGCAGTTCACCATGAACTGCATCAATGTGAACTCATTGCATAGATCACGGGTTTAAATTGCTTATAAAGCCTCTGGGCCACTTTAGCGAACAAGCTTTCCAAAATAATGCCTCGGTCGTATTTTTACTCCTCCAGTAAGAGCAAATGGAAGAAATGGAAACAGAATATATCAACTTTTTGTTAATTTGTTCATTGGGCTTATTACATCACTCTTCATATTCTTGTGAAATGCTAAATAAAGAATAAGCAAAAGAAGCATTTACTGTATACAGTTAAGAAATCAAGAAACTCAAAAGTCAATGGCATCAATAATAACGAATTACGGAAACTTTGAGAAACAAACCAACAAATATGTTGGTGATTTTGATTTTCCTCCTTCCAGCTTTTATAAATGTAGAGTAGCTGGCAGTAGTCTTATCTCTAAGAGATGAGACTATCCAAGAATTTGTATCTCATAAGCTCTAACTGATTTTGTAGTTGTCATATAAATAAAACCAAGACACACTGAAGATTCTATCCAAGTTATCTGAACTAGCAGCCAAAACACAAGTTTATTACTTTCAAAGCAAACAAGTATGACTGTGTCATCACTGTTTAAAAAGGTCATTCAAACTAATATATTTCTTAAAATATTAAATAAAAAGAAAATGCTTGACCCATTTTCTCATGTTTTCCATATCAATTAAAGCAAAATAGGTAGATTTTATAGTTAACGCTAAAGATATTCAAATCCTTGAAGACTGAGTTACATCTGAAAATGAAGTCAACAGAATCAAAATTTTTACTAAAGGTTAATTTCTTTATACCCAAACAATCCTCTAAATCAAAAGTCCCTTTCTGAAAACAGGGGAGTTTTAATGCATATAACCAAGAAAATCCTTCAAATAGAAAGATTTGTATTTGTCAATATACTAATATGTTCAATACAGAAAATTCAATAATTTAATAGGAATTAATCATATCTGTGATTCTTATTAAATTTGTTTTAAAGTGTTTTGAGATCATTTTACACACCCACATTGCACAACTTTCAAAACATCATCACGCCACTTGCGGTGTAATAGATAACTCCTACTTGAAAACACTCTGAAAGATATACCTAGTATTTGAGCAATTTGGGCAATCCAGATTAATGTCATACTTAAATTCTATGAGTTGGAAAAATCCCTGAAATGGTCTAGAAAACATAATGACCAAAGATGGACCAACATTCACTGAAGTTACCACAATATAGACTGTGTTGGCATCATAATAAATATTCAATAGGAAAAAAATGTCAGACATTCAAATTATTCCAAACGTCCAGATTGTTGGCATCAGATACTCAAAAGACATGAGTTACATTTGGGTAGTGAGAGCTCAATCCAATAAATGTTTTCAAGACAACAGAACAATTAGGCTATTTCTAGTATGCCAACACTACTGATTGAAAAGTAAGAGAAACATGGGAAGAACTTTAAAAACAATTTCTATCTGTTTGATACGTATACTATTGCTTTCATTCCAGATTACTACAAAGTTATACAAACCTGTTTTTAGTAATGTTTTGTAACCACTCAACTTCATGTTAAGGAAAATGTAGTAATTAAGAATTGTACATTGTACATTGAATTATAAGAAAATAAGAGTAAGACTGAAACCTTTTTCCTGCTGTCTTTTTTTCTCTCTAGTATACCAAATGATGAGTCATTATATGATATAGGCTATGGCACACTACATATTTATCAAAAGCTTAAGAGTTTTCTAAAAATCTGAACAGCTACCCCTCTGCCTCAGTAATTTCTGTTAGTGGAATAAAAAGAAATAGATGATGATGAAATATCAACAAAATTAACTATAACATTCAATTTTTTAAAGTAATTTTACCTTTAAGCCCTAGACAAATATCATTTTGTATAGATATATAGATATATATAGATATAGATTTATAGATATTCAGGAATATATATCTATATATACACCTTAAAATGGGCATATCTGAGTATTTATATATGTGAGTTCATTTACATATATATTGTGTATTTAAGGCATGCCTATCTATTACATGTGTAATTTTTTAAGAGAACTATTATGTCTAACTCTTACGGCTCTCATAGCAAGTTTGACAGGAGGTGTTGCCCTCGAAGTTGAGGTATGACCTTAAGTTTAAGATGCCAGATTTGCTGTAGTTATAAAAATCAATACTAATAACTCCACAGTATCATAATTTTTTCTACATTTCTTATTTCAGGACAAATCTTGACTACATAAACAGCCTTTATTGTTTGAATATGCACAGGTTAACTGGATCAAGGTAAAAGTTCCTATTTATCATCCTTAATGTTGTAAGAAGGAGCAAAAGAAACAAGAGGTGTTGCCTATCAACTAAAGCTAAAGAGCCAAGAGACATAACTGTAATAGTTTTAGTTTTAGATATAGTTTTCAACATAAATTTGCTTTGTGGAGTATTTTAAAGTTCAAACAAGTAACACTGTATCTGTATTTCTCGCCTACCAAATGCATACCAATGCAAGCAGTACATTGTTCATCTTTCTCTAATTCCTTAAAGAAAGGAGCATCTAAGACTGATTTGTAGCATTTTAACCTCAGTGACATTATGTTACTGTACTTTTGAAGAGATTACAGTACCCTTATTCAAAGAAAAAATTGTTTCTACCAGACCACTAATCAGAATACCCATATATGTTGGATCCCAAAATACTATATGCAAAGCATATATCTACAATTGAACATTTTGGGCTTCTTTGCATATGAACTTTTAATAGTCAAAATTTCTTTTCAATGGGATCAAATAGAAGGAATCCTAAATAGAGGAATTTTACCATTTTTGTGATAGTAGGTGACCTCCACTTTCCTCTCTTCTGACCCCAGCAATGCCTGGGCAATTTGGGCAATATCATGCCTCTTGGTCTCGGGTCCATGGAGAAAGTCGCAGGTGCATGGCTTTTGCATGACATCTGGCCTGGAGAAACCAGTCATCTCACAGAACCCATCGTTGCAATAAATGATGGCACAGTTCTGCACTCTGGCATTTGCAATGATAAATTTTTTATCTGTAATAAGAAGACAGTATGGCATCTTTGAAAAAGCTTCCACAATATTCTCCGTAACACTGAAGCAATTTGTTGCATAATAAGAGCTCTGAAATGCAGGTGCCTCCCCAAATTACTAATCTCTCCAGCCCTTATGAAAAAAGAAAACACAAGAAACCCCACAAACTTTAAATGTGAGATTAATGATCCTAAGTAATTTTAACAGAAAGTATTAAGAAACCACTCTTAAAATTGCAAGAATAGAATTTCCCAAATAGACTAGTTCTCAAGCCCTGCAACTGCGGGGGTTCCTAGTGGACACTCAGACAAGCAGCTGCCCATTGATATTTTCAGAATGTCATTTAATTGTAATGTAAATATTTTCAAAGTCAAACAGTGAAACATTCTGTAGTTGTCAGATTTCTCATTTCAACCTTGGCCCTTTGAATACAACTTTCTCAAAGTAGTTATTATTCTTTGGCTTCTCCCTATCTCTCTTAGGCATGTTACACACATCATGTTAAAAACAAAGGCAACTAGCTTTAGTAATGAAACTACTTCATATTTAATAGCAATTCAACAAGGCAAAGATTCACATTTTCATAATATATATTTCCCAAAAGAAAAATATTTACACACACACAGTAAATATCATGACAACCTTTTTACTTTTACTTTGGGAGATCCTTGAAGTTTTCTGTAGTAGCAGGAATTCTTAATATAAAGAGCTTATTAATTTACATCACAGATTGTATTTACTATTTCCACATAGATTGTGAAGCAGGATATACAAGTTTAGTTTGTACGCAAGGTACCAGATCCTCACATCACTAAATGCAGTGCTGAAATAACCGCAAAATATATGGCATACAAATGTATTAATATAGTTTTAAGAAAAGACCGAAGATAAGTTAACAAATACAGGATTTTAAATTAATATATTTATATAGCAACAATTTATTCCCTATATTTAGTCCACATGAGAACATTAAATTTCTGTGCATTCAGTCTTTGTGGGATTTACTTATTACACTTCAATTTTTAAATTTCTAGATGGAAATTTTAAGGGGATAATAAAAGAATAGAAATATTATTTTGAATAATGAGCCATTTGCATCGGGAACCAGCACAGATGAGATACTGCTTTTCCAAATTACCCTGCTTAGGATATATTTGCATTGATTCAATACAAAATTTAGCTTCTATAAATTAATAGCAAGCAAGCATCCGTGTCATACCACTGCTTTGCAGTTTAACCAAGGTAAAATATAGTTTGCATAGTCATTTACATCGCTACTACCATTTACATTCTCTTGTTCGAATAGTATGGTCTGCTCTGCTTCCGACTTTCAGAAAGTCTACAGTAAAACAGCCTCAAAATATAAACCCATGTTATCCTAGCACGTTCCCTTTAAGATAGTAGAATAGTAGGAAATTAAGTAGCAAGGCAGATAATGGAGCAGTGGTAGAGGAGGATCAAATTGCCTCCTATAATGGAGACCGTAATCTAAAATGTAAATCAAAATTAATATCAGAAGAACACTCCCGCTGCCATTCGAACCTCCTGGCTCGGTTTCACAGCCTCTTAAGTTGACAGAGCCTGGAGTTGCCGGTCTCCCCACCTTGGAAGCGGTGGACGCCAAGTGCACTAACAAGGCAGAAAGCGAGGGCGAGAGAAGAGAACAAACGAACTTACTTTGCCCTTCAAATTTCCGAATGATGGTCCCCAGAAATGTATTTTGTGGTGCCACATGCCCCCTGCGCACAGGCATGTTGGCCCCGGTCTTCCGAGGAGCGCTCCCCCGGAGCTCTGGAGTTCTCCCGGGATCTCTCCTCGGCTAGAGCCCAGGCCAGCGCGCGAGCCGCTCTTTGTGGCAGAGCATCCTCTTTTGAAACCAGAATTCTCTTCCCATTAGCACCACTTCTAGACACCCGCTTTCCCCACCGGAGTCCAATCCATTCCCCTCACCTTCCGGAGGGGGCCTCGCACCGGACTGCCGCGGGTGAGAGGGTTTGGGGGTGGGGAACGGGAAGGAGGCGGGGTGAGGGGAGGTGGCGGGGGAGGGAAAGAGGGAGGGAGCTGTGGGGGTGGGGTGGGAAGGGGGCGGGGAGTCACAAGGGCAATCGATCTGTTTCTCTTCTCCCAAACAGCGCCAATTTCCCAGTGCAAATGGGCTTAACCTGGCGGTTGCCCAGAGCAGTAAGGAATGGCTGAGGGGGGATGGAAGACTTGTGCCGGTTTTGCTGGAAGGAGAGAGAGAAAAGGAGGCTGGGGGTCGGCGGGGTTGACGTTTCTATCCCCGCCCTCTCCCCCTAACACACACACACACACACACACACACACACACACACACACACACACACACACACACGCTCTCTTTATCTTGGTAGCTTGGGCGCCGCCACAGCTCGGATTACTCAAGCGTGCTTTAGCGGAAGCCAGCCAAGAAATCTCCAAAACTCAGTGACAAACAGCTACTCTGGGAAGGTGATCTCTACGGCCACCGGCCACAGGGCTCCGTCCCTGAGCTCCTCACGCCGCAGTAGCTAAAGCACCCTTAGCTGCAAGGAAAACACAGGTGGGAAAACAGTTTCTTAATGAGGAATATTTGTAAGCTCTGTTGGCGCTCAGCAGGTTGAAGATTGACAATGAACCACCTAAGGGTGCAGATTTAGCCTCAGGGTGCAGCTCGGATCCCTGGGTTCAGCGGAGGTGGGTGCCGAAGCCCGAACTGAATTGGCACGCAGGTCCCTGCCCAGCGCTGAGCCGCGCCTCGGGAAAGACTGAAAGCTGCCCGTGCCGCTGAGCATGCCCAGTTTCTGCCTGAGTCCCTGGAGGGTTGCAAGATTGGGGGTTGATTTGGTCTCCAGGTGCCGTAGGCTGCGAGGAAGATGAGACGGCCAAAGATGAGAAGGCCAAAGATTGCGAGCGACTAGTACAAAAGAAGGAAAGAGTTTGAAATAGGTGAGGCTGAGCGCCAGGGGGAAGGAACAAAAGGTGGGTGGGGCTAAGAGTTACCAGCCTTGGCTGTGACCTCCGATGCCACTCATCTCCGGAACACACTAGCCACATTCTGCTCTCCTCCACCATCTCTAAGGAGCCATCTCATATAGGATAGAAAAGGGTTCAAGGGGCGGAATAGAGTCCTCTTCCTTCTCGCTTCTCAAAGGCTGCCAGCGTGGGAATCTCAGGGTATACAGACACTTCTGTTCAAATAGTCCTCCTGGAGACTTAGGAAAATAAATGTGACAAGCTGTGCCAGGAAAGCGTGTTTTTGAAGCTGTTTTTCTAGTTTTTCTTGGTTCTTTTCCCTTCATTTTTGTTATCTTCCCCCCACCCACCCCCTTGAACCTAATAGCCCCTCTCCACGCCCCTTTCTCTAAATGGAATTTGCTAAGATTTCAATCTACTCAAGCAGAACACAGATGAATCTCTCATTTCCTGCTGGAGATAAAGGTCCAGAGATTCCTGTCAACACATGCAGTTGCATGATAGAATTTGGGGGGGTTCTTGCAGCTCATTAGCCTGCTATGCCTGTGCCTTGAGTCAGCTGGGTTCTTATTTTCTCAGTTACAGCTTCAAATCTGAAGTGAAATAATGAGAGTAGAACTGAGAAGGGCTGAGAAGCAGGGTTAGTTTAGGAAGGTGAATCAGGTGGGTTGCAATAACCAGGAAGTAAGCATAACAACTTTTATGTTCCAAAACCACAACCCCCCAAATCTAAACAAAATCAAGAACCGAAGTAATTCTTCCTCTTTAATATCAGAGTAATGAAAATGAATCAAACGGAAGACGTTCCTAGGAATGTTGAATTTTATGGCTAATAAGGTTTACTTTAAAAGTAAGCAGCCAATGAAAACCTCTAGGCTCTTCTAGTAGCTTGAGCTTCCCTGAGTCTTTACGGTTGCCTCTGTGGGAATATAAAAAGCCATACATCGCTAGTGTATGGTTTTATTTTCTTCTGAAAAAATATATAAGTAGATCATTCTGTCATACTGTTCGCTAGCTGCAGCTGTGCTTGGGAGACGACAAGAGTTTCTCTCCCAGGTGCTGAACGTGTGGAGCTATCCATGGTTCTGAATCCGACTCAGCAGTTGGCAACTCTTCTCTGCCTACAACCAACCAGGGACAATAGAACTACAAACTCAGGCAAGTGGCCCTAATGTATCCACATGCACCACTCTTCTTCACCAAATACCCAAAGAAATACAGAGTGCTTTTTACACCCATTTCTAAAACACATTTCTTCTCTACTTAGAGTCTTAACGAAACCCAAGTTCACCTTCCTCCCAAAATATATCAAGAACTCCAGAAAAAAAATGAAGAAACTGCATATTCTGTAGATTGTAATTAAAGTTTAACATATAAAGTTGTATTTTAATTAGGATTTCACGCCATAATAATGTAACAATAAGTTATATAAAGGTCATATAGCTAAACTTTTAAAAAATTACACATAAATTCAGTGAATGAATACTGCTTTAAAGTAAAAGGCATTTTCAAATACAGCTGGAAACACAAAGTTTATCTGTCACATGACAAGATATATTGGCACGCAGAAGGTAATTGTGCATAATGTCTCTAATTATAAGTCTGAAACTAACTTTCAAAGGATATTGATTCTGGAAACCCTTGAATTCCACTTTCCTTCTGGCTTTCTGCTCCCTGAAGTATTCTCTCTTTCTTTACAACTTTCAGAGTGGTCTCTGTTTGTTTGGGTTGGTTAATTAAATATGCGATGGTTAAAGTTCCATTGTCTTTGTTACACAAGTGTGAGCTCTGTGGGCTTTACGCTTTTCCCAATCTCATTTAACTCCAAAATTAGTTCTATTAAGGATTCAGTGTAAAATCATAGAACATTTTATAACCTATGTATTGTAACTGATTGACTGAGCAGAAGATTAAAGGCATCCTGTTTCTAAATTATCCCAGTAATCATGTTCATACATTATACATTGGAACAGTGGAGAAAGTACATTAATCTATATTTGGCCAATAATAGAATAAAACCAGTGGATGGTAATCATGACTACTTGTTGGCTGGAAAATTATCCTCCCCCACTCCACTCTCTATAAAAGCTAACTTTATATTTTGTGTGAAGACCCAGTTTGACAACTTTTTAATATTTTGGGGCCCTTTTGGAAGTCCAAATATTGAACCAAGCACATAAAATTCAACGTTGAAATCCTATCATGTATACAGCTTAACACTCAATACAATCTACTTATAGGCAAGGATGCAGGATAGATTGATATATTCTTAAAATTACCTAATTATCCATATTTCTTTAAAATTAAGTCATTTAGTATTTACATATGGAAAAATATTTTAAATGCCTACCACATAATAACAACTCAATAAATTTTACACACACAAAATTTTCCATAGAAGCTCACAGAATTAATGAAACTCTGCTTAAGAAACCTACATTAGAAATCATTCAAGCAGCATATATTATTGCAGCCATGACTATGGGATATTTAAGTGGCATAGAATAGAAACTTTTTAATATCAAATTAAATAATGTGATATGTTTCACATTTTTGAGATGCTGCAGAATATAAATCAATGAAATTAATGTAAAGTTCTCTCAATTTAGCAAAACTAGTTTAATGATCTGATGACCACAGTGCACATTTTTATTTTTCTCATTTATTTAATTTTTTTTTTTTCTTTGAGGCAGAGTCTCGCTCTGTCACCCAGGCTAGAGTGCAGTGGCGTGATCTCGGCTCACTGCAAGCTCCGCCTCCCGGGTTCACGCCATTCTCCTGCCTCAGCCTCCTGAGTAGCTGGGACTGCAGGCGCCCGCCACCACGCACGGCTAATTTTTTGTATTTTTAGTAGAGACGGGGTTTCACCGTGTTAGCCAGGATGGTCTCGATCTCCTGACCTCGTGATCCGCCCGCCGGGGTCCCCCAAAGTGCTGGGATTACAAGCGTAAGCCACCGCGCCCAGACTATTTAAGCTTTTTCTATAGATGGGGTCTGGTTCTGTCGTCCAAGCTGTATTGCAGTGGCGTGATATAGCTCACTACAGCCTCACACCCCTTGGTGACCAAGTGATCCTCCCACCTCACCCTCTTGATTAGCTGAGACTATAGGTACAGGTCACTGTGCCCGGCTAATTAAAAAAAAAAAAAATTAGAGATGGGCTTCTGCCTAGTTGCATAGGCTGGTCTCAAACTCCTGGATTCAAGTGATCTGTCCCTCTTGGCCTCTCAAAATGCTAGAATTATAGGCATGAACCATTACGCCAGGCCTAATGCAGCATTTTAATGGCAGTTTTAATGTAGCCTTGTATGGGGATCCTGGGTATTATTCTACTAACTGGGTCACATTTAACTGAAGAAACATCTGACTTTACAGTTACAAGTCAGGAAAATTTCAGCTTGTATTATCATAATGTAGCTTTAGAATCTCAGAAGAGGCAGAAATTTTTAGGCCATTTATTAAAACAACAGTATTTCTGTGCAGCACAGAATAGTGGCAAGCGCAAGAAAGAAACCTGGTGTTAAGATTGCCATTTTTAGGAGAAAATAATGAAGATAATTCAGCTATTTTGCTCATAGCTTTATTTCTAAAATCAGCATAAAAATTCCCAACATTCAATTTTGTGTGAAGTAGGAAAATAGATATACAGTGATTAGGACAAAATCTTGTATATAGTGAATATTTAAGTAACATGTATCCTACAATATAAACGTTCTACATTTTGAAAATCAGTAAATTAATAACATTTACAGTAACATATAGTATTTAACTAATTTGGATTAAGGATATCCTAGTGTTTTGTAGGGGAGGGGGCATGAGACTAAGATATAGAACAGTCGGTGAATCATGCTCATCCAGGCAACATAAACTAATACCAATGACTGTTCCTAATATATTAACATAAGCATATGTAGTTAGAAAATTGAATTTTACTCCAGAGAAGTTAAATACCTTTCTTATGCCTTACTTTATATGTTAGTTTTAATCCAACTAGTCACTTTACCTCAGATACTTTGCGACAACATATTCTACATATAAATTTTTATCCAAATGTATCAGATTTGGCTAATCTTATTGATAATATGTGAATCTTAGTAGAAGAATAAATTCTTCCCTGTAAGGAATAAGTTATTGGCAGTCCTTTTCCTAAAAATGAATATTCCTGCAGAAAATAGTCTGTCCATATGTGTGTTGTTAATATCATACATTCATCAATAATTGATACATAAGATAGCTAGGAACCTAACAAAACTATTATATTTTATGAAAAAATACACATATATACCTATAAATATATGTTTGTTAAAACAAAAAAATATAGGTATTCTAGGTGAAGATTTCATAGAGTGCATGAGTAAAGCTGTTTTATAAGATGATTTATTTACCAACTTTAGTAAGTAATTTAGCACATGGGTCAAAAATGAACTTTGTTGCATATAGCTTTATTGAAGGCTAAGAGGGTGTACGAAACACTTTTATATCGGTAGACCTTAAAATTGTTGTATTGTTTTGGCTGGCATATCTACTTTTGCAATTATGCAAATTAATGAATTTATGGTATTAAGTCTAACTTGATTGGTCTTTGCACCTTGTGGAAATATGTATATGTGTATATAGAGAAATAGATACATATAGATATAGGTAATATAGATATTGAGATTTCAAGTTACACCAAATTGCATTGTTTCTTTTCTGGACAAAATGCACAGTTGCTTTTTTTTTTTAATGTGATGGTTAAATTGCCTCTATCTGTGGATAGGTTTAATTTCATTACAGAAAGTCTACATTTAGTATTCAGATAATTCTCTATACAGAGAATTAGCTTTTTTCCAAACTTAAATAATTTGGAAGTCATATTTTGGGGCTCTACATTTATCTGCTCATGATAAAATAATGGAGTCAGGGTTTAATGGCTCACCTTTAACAATTGTATAATTGGACAAAATAGAGAAATCAAAGTGCTCAGATATTGAATAACAAGAAGTACAGGAGAATATTTCCTGAAAGAAGAGCAAAACCAAGATATAGCCTACTATTTACACATATTACTGGCTAAAAAGTTCTTCCAGACCACAGTGCATGGAGTAAGAAACTAAACAGAACTCAAAATGGACTGAATTGAGGAGACAAAGACTCAACAGAGGGAGCTGCACAGAAACAGAGGTCTAGATATCTTCATAGGGTCAGTGCAAGTCTGTCTGAGTATTGATTTGCACAAGTGTGCAAGGAAACCACGCAAGACTAGGGGAAGAAACTAAGGAAAATATTGTCAGAACAATTAGCAAAGCTCACACATATCTGGAATTAGTTGCTATTCTCACCACCTAAAGTGAATAACCTATGTATACATAGGACACTGTTTAGGGTCTTCAGAAACATATTGCATTAATGGAGGCGTGAAATGATTACTTAAGTAAAGCTTCTCTGTCAAACTCAAAAACAAGTCTAAAAAGAATTATACTGGTATGCTAATTTTGTCCTAGAGAAAAGATCAACAATATTTAAAAGAATATAACAAAAGCAAGCATCACATGACATATAATTAACAAAGTCCAGCAACCAATTAAACATTATCAGGCATGTGATAAAGTAGCAAAGCCTAATCCGTAACCAGGAGAAAAATCAATCAATAGAAACAGACCAGAAAGGACACAGATGTTTTTGAACTAGTAGACAAGGACATTACAAAGTTATTGTAAGTATACTACATATGTACAAAAAAGTAGAGGAAAACACAAATGTGATAAAGAAAAAATGGAAGATATAAAAAAGATTCAAATCAAACATGTAGATATCATAAATATAGAATCCAAGAAAAAAATACATTGTATGAGAGTAAGAGTAACTAGACACTAAAACAAAAATTCAGTGAAACTGAAGACATAGCAATAGAAAATCTTCAAAACAAAACACAGAGAGAAAAGAACTGGTCAAAGAAAGAACAGCATTTGTCACCTGTGGGACAATATCAAGTGGTCAAACAAACATATAATTGGGGCTCCAGGGGAAAAAATGAGTCAGAATGGGAAATTGTTTCAAAAGAAATTCTAAATACTTTCAAACTATAATAGAAAATTTGAATTCAGAGATCCACAAAGTTCAACAAAGCCCAAGCAGAAGAAAAATGAAGTCACAACAAGACATATCATAATCAAATTAATGATGACTTGTAATAGACATAAAAAGTCTTAAAAACAACAAGTTAAAAAGAGGACATAGTCCATATAATGAAGAATTTTTACCAGAATCTATTACAGTAATAATATAAGTCAGCAACATGCGTGGAATAATAAAACAAAAATAAAACAAAAGAAATACCTATCAGCTGTCAATCTAGAATTTACTATGCAGTAAAATTTATCATTCACAAATCAAGGTGAAATAAAGAATTTTTCAGACAAACAAAACCAAGAGAATTAATTTACAATAGACCTATAATAAAATTAGTGTTAATTTAGAAAAAGAAGGAAAATCAAACCAAAAGAAAAATTGGATTAACCCAAAGCAATGAAGACCACAAAAAAAAATGGTATATCTGTGGGCAAAATAAATTTTTTTCCCAAAATTTTAAAGGTATTTTAAAAGGTATTTGAATGTTTAAGATATAAGATAAAACTGACAGTAGTGAATTGTGAGTTGTGTAATAATATTGAGGGGGAACTAAAAGTATACACTTGCAAGTTTCTTATAATAGATGTGAAGCAGTATATTATTTGAACTTATAGTGTAATATTCTAAAATGTATTTTACAAACTAAGGAAACCATGATACAAATCAATAAAGATGTATCACTAATGGACTAATAGTAGAGTTAAAAAAGGATCATAAAAAATCCAAACAAATGCAAAAGAAGAGAAAAGAAATCAAGAACAGATAAGACAAAAAAAAACCTATGTAGTAGATTTAACTCAACCATAATTGTATTGAGAAATAATAATTATATTAAAGGTAACTAATCTAAATGTTCCTTTTAAAAGGCAGAGTTTGTCACCCTAAAATCAAGACCCTCTATCAGTTGTCCATAAGAAATCAATTTTAAATCAAAGATGAAAATAAGTTTAAAGTCAAATTATGAGAAAAAGTTTAACATGCAAAGTCTTATTTTTTAAAAAACTGGAGTTGTTATATTAATATTAGACAAAGTAGATTGAAGAACTAGAACAATTACCAGGGATAATGAGGGGCATTTTGTAATGATAGAGACATTAATCTTTCAAGAGGATATGACAGTCATAAATGTGTATTCTCTTCTAATGGAATTTTAACACACATGAATCAATAACTAATAGAATGTTATATATTCATACAGTGGATATTACTAGGACATAGAAAGAAAAAAATACTAATACATACTACAACATGAATGAACATTGAAACCATTATAGTATGTGAAAGAAACTAGACACATAAAACCACATATTGTATGATTCAATTTTGGTGACATGCCCAGAATAGGCAAATCCCTATAGACATAAAATAGATTAGCAGTCTCCAGGGGCTAATAGAGGGAGGAATGGGGAGTAACCTCTAATGAGTATGAGGCTTATTTTTGGAGTGATGGAAATGTTCTAATATTAGATTGTGGTAATATTGCTCAAATCTGTGAATGTATACAGTCGTGCCTCATAACTACATTTTGGTCAGTGAAGGACTACATATATGCCTGTGTTCACAAAATAATATAATATTATATTTTTACTGTACCTTTTCATGCTTAGATACACAAATATTAATACTTACCATTGTGCTACAATTTCCTACAGTATTCAAAAAAATAACATGCTGTATAGATTTGTAGCCTAAAAGCAATAGTCTATACCATATAGCCTATGTTGTCATAGGCTATACCATCTCGGTTTGTGTAAGTATATCCTATGATGTTCACACAATTATGAAATCACCTAACAATGTATTTTTCACAATACATTTGTATTGTTAAGCGATGCATAACTACTAATAAAACCCACTGAGTTGTACAACTTAAAAAGATAACTTTTATGATATGCAAATTAGGTCTCATTAAAACGGGTCATTAAAAAATTTTTAAACAAAAAAATTGAGAGAAGGAAAAAGATAATAAACAAATCTATCATTATAGTTAGAAATTTTAACACTTCTTTGTCAATAAAAATAGAATATTGTATTAGTCTGTTGTCACATGGCTATATAGATACTACTGAGACTGGCTAATTTATAAAGGAAAGAGGTTTAATTGACTCACAATTCCACATGGCTGGGAAGGCCTCAGAACACAATCATGGCAGAAGGTGAAGGGGAAGCAAGTTCCTTCTTCATATGGTAGCAGGAGAGAGAAGAACAAGGAACAAAGGAGGAAGAGCCCCTTAAAAAACCATCAGATCTCATGACATAAGGGGCTCTCTCTTTTCTCTCTCTTTCCCTTCCACACCACCCAAGCAGAGGTTCTCCATGAGGGTTACACCACTGCAGCAGATTTCTGCGTGGACATCCAGACATTTCCATACATCCTCTGAAATCTAGGTGGTTTACTAAACTTCATTTCTTGAATTCTGTGCACCCATAGGCCCAGCACCACATGTTAGGCACCGAGGCTTGGAGCCTGCACCATGTGAAGCAACAACCCAAGCTATACCTGGGTCCTTTTTGCCCCAGCTTCTGGGATGCAGGGGACCAAGTCTCTAGGCTGCACACAGCAACTGGGTCCCTGTGCCAGGCCCAGGAAACCAATTTTTTCTCCTAGGCCTCCGGGCCTGTAGTGGGAGGGGTTTCCATGAAGGTCTCTGACATGCTCTGGAGACATTTTTCCCATTGTCTTGGCTATTAACATTTGGTTCCTTGTTACTTATGCAAATTTCTGCAGCAGGCTTGATTTTCTCTCCAGAAAATGGGTTTTTCTTTCTATCACATGGTCAGGCTGCAAATTTTTCAAACTTTTATGATCTGTCACCTCCTGGATGCTTTGCTGCTTAGAAATTTCTTCTGCCAGATATCCTAAATCATCTCTCTCAAGTCAAAGTTCCACAGATCTCTAGGGCAGGGGCAGAATGTCACCAGTCTCTTTGCTAAAGCATAGCAAGAGTGACCTTTGCTCCAGTTCCCAATAAGTTCCTCATTTCCATCTGAGAGATCTCAGCCTGGACTTTGTTGTTTATATCACTCCAAGATTTCCCCCATCTTCCTGCCTTCTTCTGAACCCTCCAAACTGTTCCAACCTCTGCCTGATACCCAGTTCCAACATTGCTTTCACATTTTCAAGTATCTTTATAGCAGTGCCCCACTCCTGGTACCAATTTACTGTATTAGTATGTTCTCACACTGCTCTAAAAATACTACCTGAGACTGAGTAACTTATTAAGGAAAGAGGTGTAAGTTTCCTGAGGTCTTCCCAGTTCCATGTGGCAGAAGGTGAAGAGGCAGCAAGGACCTTCACAAGGTGGTAGGGGAGAAAATAATGAGGAGCGAAGGGGGAAGAACACCTTATAAAGCCATCAGATCTTGTGACAACTCACTCACTATCATGAGGGCAGCATAGGAGTAACAACCCCCATGATCCAATCACCTCCTACCAGGTCTCTCTCTAGACATGTGGGGATTATGGGGATTACAATTCCAGGCACAAGATGAGATTTGGGTGGGGATACAGCCAAGCCATATCAAACGTGTAGACCAGATTTCAGTGAGGATATAGAAACTTAACAAAAAATTAAAGCTATTTTACATTTATAGAACACCCCACCAAAGGATAACAGAAATCACATCTGTTTTTAGTAGTTATGGAAAAATTACCAAGATAAAAAATCAATAAGATAAGATCTATAAATGTAAAAAAAATCATAAAAAGTATGTTCTCCTACTAAATGGAATTAAATTAGAAAGCAAAAAGAAAGATACATAAAAATCCCCAAATATTGAGAAATTTTAAAATGTACTTCTATCTTAAAACTGAGTCAATGTGATGACCAGTGGTTTGAATGTTTGTGTCCCTTCCAAAATTCATGTTGGAATTTAATTCTCAATGTGAGGTGGGGCCTTGAGGATGTGATTAAGCCATAAGGGCTCTGCCATTATGGATTTGATTAGAACCTTATAAAAGTGTGGAGGGCAACTAGGTAGTCCCTTTTGTGCTTCCTTTCCTTCCACCATGTCAGAATACAGCATTCAAGGCACCATCTTGAAAACAGAGATTAGGCCATCACCAGACGTCGAACCTGCTGTCACCTCGATCTTGGACTTCCCAGCCTCATAATTGTGAGCAATAAATCTATACTCTTTATAAATTATTGTCTGTGGTATTTTGTTATAGCAGCATAAATGGACTAAGGCAGCCTGTTCGTATATTAACTTGGCTAGGCTATAGTTCCAAGTTATTCAATCAAATACTAATCAAGGTATTGCTGTGAAGATATTTGGTACCTGTAATTAAAGTCTATAGTCAGTTTAAGTAAGGAAAATCATTCTATATAACAAAGATGGACCTTCGGGTGAAAATCTCTAAAAGTAGAATTAGGCTTCTCTGGAAAAAAAAATCATTTTGTGGACTACAGCTTCAGCCTGTGCTTAAGAGTTCCAGCCTATCTTCTTGACTGCCTGCGCTACAGAAGTAGGAGTTGCTAAGCCAGCCATCACAATCATGTAAACCAATTCCTTTTTCTTGCAATAGATTTATACATATATTGATATATAAATCTCTCTCTCTCTCTGTATTTCTGGTAGAAATAACAAGTAAAATTAGAAGATAATTTAAACTTTTTGAAAAAGAAAAATGTGACATATGAGAGTTGGTGAGATGAAAATAAAACAGAACTAAACAGGACATTTATAGCATTAAATGCTTTAAAAAATGCAAATCTGCCAAATCAATAATCTAAGCTTCCCATTTAGGGAACTTAAAAAAAAAGAACAGCAAAACGAAATTCCCAAAAAATGTGCACAAAGAGGACAATATCAAATAATAAAGAAATATTAAACAAAAACTACAGAGAAAGTCAGTGAAAACAGTAACTGGCTCATTGAAAGAATCAATACAATTAATAAACCTCTAGCCAGATAGATTAGGGAGAAAAAGAGGAGAAACACAAATTAACTATATCAGCAGTAAAACAGGCATCAATGGTTCAGATCCTACAGTCATTTGAAAAATAATTTTAAAATTTATGAAAAACTTATGCCAACAAATTTGCCAAATTAGATAAAGTACATGTCCTTGAAATACATAAATTAAGACAATTTCCTCAAGAAGTAGGTAGCCTGAATAGCCCTATAATTATTGAAGAAACATAACTTGTCATTAAAACATTCCTAAAAATATATTCTAGTTGCAGATGTCTTTATTCCAGAAATTTAAAGAATAATACTAATTCTAAGCAAACTAATTATGATGGAAAATACACAATCACAAGAATAGTAATCAGACACTAAAACCAGATGAATAAATTATAAGAAAATAAATCTTATAGTAATATTTTTATAAACATAGATGCATCCCTCTTCTCCCTAAAATTTAGAAAACTGAATGGAGTTTGAAGAATGTAAAGATGGTTTAACATTTAAAAATCAATGTAATTCACCATATTGACAGAAAAAGATGTATATGTATACATACACACCACACATATATATATTCACAAACACGTATAAATATATATACACACACATATGATCTTCTTAATACATGCCAAAATAAAAGTAATATTGAATACAAATTTATCATTTTAAAAATGCTCTGTTAAGCTAGAAGTGCCAGGGAATTTTCCTCAATGTGACAAAGGGCACCTATGAAAAGTTGCTTTCAAAATCATACTTAACTATAAAAAAACTAAATTTTTCCTCTCTAAGATCAGGAACAAAGCAAAAATATCCACAGACAACTTTTATTCAGTATTCCATTGGAGGTTGTTACCACTGTAATAAGGTAGGAAAAATAAAACATACACATTGAATATTAAGAAGTAAAACTGTCCTTATTAATGGATTAAATGATTGTTATTACAGGAATTTCTAATGAATTCACACAAAACAACATTATAACTAATAATTAGCTTTTTCAACCTTATACAGGGAGAATTTTAAAAATCAGTTGTATTTTTATATGCTAGCAATTAATATTTAGAAATACAAATTTAAATACAACACGATTTAAAATAGTGTAAAATTGTAGAAATCCACAGGGATGCATTTAAGAAATAATAAATAAAGCTTATATACCAAATGTTATTAAACATTGCTGAGAGAAATTAGAGACATAAACAAATAGAAAGATATATAATGTTCACAGATCTAAAGACTTAATATTGTTAAAATTTCAATTATCCCTATAACTGGTCTATGGATTCAATATAATTATAATGAAAATCCAAAGAGTTTTATTAAAGAAATTAACCGGCCAGTTACAAAATTTATATAAAATTTATAAAAAATTTATATAAAATTAAATGGTCCAAAAAATTAATGTGTACTTAACAGTGAATGTTAAAAGAGAAGTGAGAGGACTTACATTATCTGATTTCAATACTCAGCATAGAGCTACATTAATCAAGACCATGTGGCATTGTGCAAAAACAGAAATATAGATAATGGAAGCAAAGGAAGAGTTCAAAAGTAGACCCAGACATATATGAGTAATAAATAATGATTTTCAATAAATGAGCCTAGGTAATTCAATGGAGAAGTAATGCTCTTTAATAATAATTGGTGCTAGAGCAATTGGAAGCCATATGAAATAAAATGAGACACCTCAACCCTTATGTTACCGCCATATACAAATTTATCTCAAAATACATGATAACCCTAAATATAAGAACTAAAAGTATAAAATTTCTAGAAGAAAGCATAATCGAATCAAAAGACTACACAAAAATATCCCATATTATAAAAGAAAGAATGATAATTTGGAATTCAATATAATTAAATTTTTTATTCTGTTAAGAAAATACAACAGCAAGGCAAAGATTGTGGGAAACTATTTGCAAAGCATCTGTCCAATAAAGAACCTATATTCAGAAAACTAAGCCTGCTTGAAAGTCAATAATAAGACAACAAAAATTAATTTCATGAGTGATATATTGGAATAGACATTACATTAAAGAAGATTTGCTAAGAGGATAGATCTTAAGAGTTCTCAGGAAAGAAGGATGGAAGGAAAGAGGGAAGATAGAAAGAAATAACTATGTGAGGTGATGGATATATCAATTGGCTTGCTTGTGCTAATCATATGACAATGTACACATATGTCAAAACATCAAGCTGTAGACTTTATACAATTCCTATTCATCAATTATATCTTAATAAAGCCCAAAAATAATTAAGAAGATATAAGAATGGTAATAAGTACTTGAAAATATGGTCAACATTTTTTTCTCACTAGGAAAACACTAATCAAAACCACAAAGCAGAATCACTTTACCACCAATAGAATGACTAATACAAAATATGTTTGACTATACCAAGTGTTGATGAGGATGTGGAACAGCTGAAATTTTCATAAATTGCTGGTAGCAATAAAGAATGGTACAGCCACTATTGAAAGAAGTTTCTTACAACATTTACAAAGTTTCTTACAAAGATTTATAAGGTTAAGTATATATTTTGTCATATGACCCAGCATATGTCTATAGAAAGACTTGTATGTTAATCTTTGTGGAAACTTTGTTCATAATAATCCCAAATTGGAAATTATCCAAACATCCAACAACTAGCAAATGAATAAAAGAATTGTGGTTTATTCACACAATTGAATAAAATGGAAAATCTATTCTGATACACTTGACAATGTGTGTGAACCTCTAAGGCGTTACGCTAAGTAGGTTAGCCACAAGAAAGTATGAACTATATGATTCCATTTAAATAACATTCCTTTTAAAAAGGCAAAAGTATACTAGTAGAAAGTAGGTTGGTGGTTGTCAACAGCTAGAGAATGAAGAAGTAAATTAAATACAGAAAAGGCAGGAAATATTTGGGGATGGTGGAAGTGTTTTATATCAGAACTGTGGTGGTCACATTTATCTGGATGTAGAAATGAAACTGAAAACAGGAGATATATTGAAGCTTTGCAACTCATAAAATATCATCTTATATATAAAACTTTGCATGTTTCATAAACCTAAAACAGTATGTATTTTTCATTGGCTAAATGGTGAGCAGTCTGAAAATTATTATGTAACAAATTTAGTAAAAAATAACAATGTACATTTAATATATTGTCACTAATAATTCCTGAGGAAAAAAAACCATTAAAGTTGAGGAGAAATAATACGTACAATAGAGCCTATTAATTAATCATTAAATCAACATATACTCCCTTCATTAAAGAAAGCATCACCAGATCATATTGTTGCCATTCATTCAATAATGTGTTAGGTTAAATTATTCTACTAAATGACATATTTAGTTTATCTGCCTTCACTGTATTTTTTGGATCCAAACTTTAAGGTTTCAGACTTTTATTGCCTCATTTCTGGATCATCAAAGTAGTCTCCTAAATTCTTTCCCTTTTTTCTAAAGAATATTATCACTCTAAAGCATCCTACTCATTAATATCACACTCATAATCTTGAAAACATCAAATTTTAATTGTACCCATATTGGAAACTATTTATAGTTTTTATTACTTCTTGAATAAAATCTAAGTTCTACTTATTATTCAAAGTCTCTACAATGGCATACTTCACCTATCCATCCTCAACTCCCACCACAACTATATATTAACAGATTCACTTCCTTATAAACTCCAGTGCCAAATATCCTCCCTTGTTATTCACGTTTTTTATTTCCTTTACCACCTCATTTCTCCACATGTAACTCAAATCCTACCATCTTTATAATTCTGGGACTCCTTTAATCATTCTTTCACTATCTTCTCATGAATCCCCAGGTATATTTACTTTTTGCCAGTCATGAGGTCATTTTCTTTGCATTGCTATATAAAACTTTAAAAATCATTTAAGCTTTATAACTTATGAGGTAAGTAGTTTTATTTTCTCTATTTTACAGATGTGAAAACTAAAGGTGAAAAGGGTTAAGAAACTTAACCAAGATTTCATAGCTAGCATGTGGCAGAACTATGGTAAGGTCTGCAAAAGCATGGATGTTGTTTTGTAATAATTTATTAGTTTCTGCAATTCCTGGCACACATTAAAAAAGTACTTGATAAATACATTTTGAGTTGGTTGAGTAGGGGTTATTAAATTTATCTTTTATTTTGAAGGAGGCATTCTAGTTTGTGTCTGACCGATTTTACTGCATGTTCAGGTACTTCTTACAAAATAGTGGGGCTACCTTACAAAAGACTATTTGTGAGAGAGACTGAGGAGCCTTGCTGGGGAAAACATTCAACTTAAGTGGAAAATCATGAAAAGTTTATTTAGTTGTACAAAATCTTATCATGATGAGATACATAAATATTTCAGACTACTATAAAAAGGTCAAGGACTAGGGTCTTATAATAAAGTAATTTAGAACTTTTGAAAAATCAATTCTATTGAGGTATAATTCATATGAAATAAAATGTACTCACTTTAAGGGTACAATTAAAATAACGGTTTAAAAAATGTTTTATCCTTTGGGTATATACACAGTAATGGGATTGCTGGGTCAGATGGTATTTCTAGTTCTATATCCTTGAGGAATCACCACACTGTCTTCCACAATCGTTGAACTAATTTACACTCCCACCAACAGTGTAAAAGCATTCCTATTTCTCCATGTCCTCTCCAGCATCTGCTGTTTCCTGACTTTTTAATGATCGCCATTCTAACTGGTGTGAGATGGTATCTCATTGTGGTTTTGATTTGCATTTCTCTGATGACCAGTGATGATGAGCATTTTTTCATGTGTCTGTTGGCTGCAAAAATGTCTTCTTTTGAAGAGTGTCTGTTCGTATCCTTTGCCCACTTTTTGATAGAGTTGTTTGTTTTTTTCTTTTAAATTTGTTTATTTGTAGATTCTGTATATAAGCCCTTTGTCAGATTGGTAGATTGCAAAAATTTTCTCCCTTTCTGTAGGTTGCCTGTTCACTCTGATGGTAGTTTATTTTCCTGTGCAGAAGCTCTTTAGTTTAATTAGATCCCATTTGTCTATGTTGGCTTCTGTTGCCATTGCTTTTGGTGTTTTAGTCATGAAGTCTTTGCCCATGCCTATGTCCTGAATGGTATTATTTAAGTTTTCTTCTGGGTTTTTTACGGTTTTAGGTCTAACATTTAAGTCTTTAATCCATCTTCAATTAATTTTTATATAAGGTGTAAGGAAAGGATCCAGTTTCAGCTTTCTACATATGGCTAGCCAGTTTTCCCAGCAGCATTTATTAAATAGAGAATCCTTTCCCCATTTCTTGTTTTTGTCAGGTTTGTCAAAGATCAGATGGTTGTAGATGTGTGGTGTTATTTCTGAGGCCTCTGTTCTACTCACAATAGCAAAGACTTGGAACCAACCCAAATGTCCATCAACAATAGACTGGATTAAGAAAATGTGGCACCATGGAATACTATGCAGCCATAAAAAAGGATGAGTTCATGTCCTTTGCACGGACATAGATGAGGCTGGAAACCATCCTTCTCAACAAACTATCACAAAGACAGAAAACCAAACACCACATGTTCTCACTCATAGGTGGGAACTGAGCAATGAGAGCACTTGGACAAAGGGTGGGGAACATCACACACTGGGGCCTGTCGGTGTGTGCGGGCTGGAGGAGGGATAGCATTAGGAGAAATACCTAATGTAAATGACGAGTTGATGGGTGCAGCACACCAACATGGCACATGGCACCTATGTATCAAACCTGCACGTTGTACACATGTACCCTAGAACTTAAAGTATAATAAAAAATAAAATAAAATTATCTTGAGATCATTATCGGCCCACATGTAGTTATAAGAAACAATACATAGTGATCTTTTATACTTTCACTGGTTTCTCCCAATGGTGTCACATTTATAACTATAGTACAATGTGTGGACTCTAAAAAGTACAGGAAAATGGGTGGGCATCTCTTGGTATGTTGGGGGTCCCCAATAACACCCTCAGGCTTATTGATCACTAGAATGACTCACAGGACTCATAACATTGTTATAGTTTATTACAGTGAAGAGTAAAGACTAATATCATCAAAAGGAAAGGTACACAAGTGAAGTTCAGGAGAATCCAGGTGTAAGATTCCAGATGTTATCTCCCAGTGAAGCCATATTTAGACAGGATTGATTTTCCCAGAAATGATGTATTATCACACATGTGAAATTTTGCCTGCCAGGGAAGCTTACCCGAGACTTGGTGCTTAAGATTTTAATTGGAGATGAGTAAGAGAGGTGTGCAGTACCTGTGTGACTGACATCAGCTCTTCAGACTCTAGATCCCCAGATGTCAAACTGATACAGAATCATCAAAGGCCTCAGGCACAAAAAACACTCTTATCAAGCAGGATGTTCCAAGGACTCAGAGATCAATTCCCAGGATCCAAACCAAGGGCTAGTCCTGCCAATAGGTCTTTTTGGGGGTGGAGTTGGGGGGAAGAGCAGGCATTGGGAAACCCAGGCAGGTAATCTCTGGTGCTTGTCTAATCCAAGGGTTCTTTGGAATGAATTTTCTTATGACATTATTTTGGACTATTATTGAAAGAAAAAACGGAGATCTGCTGACACTCTGTGTCAGAGAGAGAGAGCAGTTTTTAATGGTTGTGTTAACTTCTATCACAATGTATCACTATGGAGGAGAGGGCTTATTGGCTGCACTAGACACCAGAAGTGGTCTTCAAAAGTTAGGCTAGAGGGTAGAATTGAAGATTGTGCACAAACCTCATTATTCCAAGCCATACCTCTTTCTCCATAGTCCTCTGTATGATTTTACTAAGATGTTTTAGATTTTCTCTTTCTTTCGTTTAGACACACTTTCAGTTCCTTGGAGACCATGTGTTATTTATTTCAATATTCCTAATATTGAATTGCCATCTGGCACACAGCAGGGTCCAATAAATGTTGTTTAATGAAAGAAGAAAGAGAAGCAAACCTCGTGAATATATGAATGGATGGATGGAAGGGAGGCAAGGTGGATGCAAAGAAGGAAGAAAACTAAGCAGGATGGATGATTGGAAGGAAGTTATGGCAGATGAGAGGAAAGGAAAAGTAGGAGGCTATGGGGATGAATTAGAGAAAATGAAAAGAGAGAAAAATAGAAAGAGGAAGGATGAAATGAAGGAAGCAAGGGAAGAAAGATGGAATGGAAGGAGGAAGAGAAGAAGGCAGAAATAAAGGGAAAGATAAAGATAAAGAAAAAAGTAAAGGAAGTTTGAATAAAAGGAAAAAAGAAATAGTGGAAAGAAGGAAAGATCAAAATGAAGGAAGGAAGTAGAAAGAAGGAAAGAGAAAGGAAGGAAGAAATTAAGGTAACCATGAGCCCACCATAACTTTTGTGGAAGATGGCCATTCCTACTACTACACACTCTAATAACCAATTAAAACAGCACCACCCCAAATCCACACCAACACCCCCATCTCACATGAAAGGAAATAACTACCTAATTTCCGAAAGGAAATAACTACCTAATTTCCAAGAACCATTAAAAAAGCTACTCCTAAATAAACATAGATATGCTTCATTCAAGTTGATTACAATCACACCATATGCTTGGTAGTGTAAAGGAGTCAGAAATAATTTCCTACAAACTGACATCCATTTTAATGACATTACAAAGAATAAATATGTATATAGAGTAAAGCAGCATGCTTATTTTCAATACAAAACAAATCCCATCTTGAAACTGCTAAATGGAAATATGTATTTGCAATTAAATACTTTGTGCTTGACTATATATCAAAGATAATCATATTGGCAAGTGGTTGTTATTGATGGTAACAGCAAAACCCAGGACTTATACATGCAACTCCATGTGCGTTCCTATTTGTTTTCAGTGTCTTTTCCTCTTCAACCTTCTCTGTACTGACTTTAAAGGGGACTTTGTTCACAGAGGGAGACAGGTGAGGGAACAACACTGTTGTCTCTCTCAGCTCTGTTTTATATCTAAGAAAATTGAGATCCAGAGGAGATTTGCTTTAGGTCACAAAAATGAGTTCAGCTCAGTTCATTTCCCAGCCTTGTAACTAATACATAAATCTCATGCCCTTCCTAACTGCTAAAACATACTCCTTCTTCTAAATCTGTTAAATTTCTAAATTGGATCACTAATTTGAATGTTTCTTTTTAACCAGCACTGCATATCTAAGCCATACTGCACTTTCAAGCACATTTTAGCAATGGTTTACAGCACTTGGATCTTGAAATTCTTTGAGATGTTTTTACCCGATGAGGACATATTTAATCTTTTCAAAGATAAATTTTCACTTATTTTTCTGTAATTTGTGCTAACTAAATATTCTGCCTCTTCTTGGTCAAAATATAATTATAAAATGGTATCACCCTAATATTTTATTTCAAGCCTTCTGCATTAAATTCTTTTGCTGAATATTCTCAATGTGTTTTATAAATGGAATTAATCTGAATAACAAAACTGTGGTGTCTGCCCTCCCTTGAATTAGTCGTTAACATTATTAGCTCTGGATAGAATTAAGCATTAGAAATAATGCTGATCAACGACACACATTCTTCCTATTGTACTTTTGAAGATTTAATTTCTTACCATGTTTTATCTGAATTAGTATTTCATAGCATAATGTCACATAGCAGCAAATAATACTGGATCATTTTCCCTGGCAGATCATTTGTCACTATCATTTCTTGTTATGCTATCAACTATAATCTAAAAAATGAATTCAGGTCAGAAATTCCTCTTTCAATTCTTTTCACTTTTGTTTCATGACATTTTGTCATTCACCATTATGGCTCAAAATGGGTTTTCTTATACCTTCGCCTGGCAGACACTACATTATGAAACATGCTGAAAATAAGACTAAGAGAAAAGAGACATTTTACCAATAGAAATCCTTTGTTCTAAACTAAGCTGGTTCAACCAGTGGCTCATGGGCCACATGTGGCCCAGGAAGGCTTTGAATGTGGCCCAACACAAATCTGTACACTTTCTTAAAACATTATGAGACTTTTTGGCAATTTTTTAAGCTCTTCAGTTATCGTTAGTGTTAGTGTATGTTATGTGTGGCCCAAGACAATTCTTCCAATGTGGCCCAGGGAAGCCAAAAAATTGAACACCCCTGTCTAAACAATTGCTTAAATAGTCAGTGAAACAAACCACCTTGGGCATTGGGTTCATGTGTGGTATTTTTAAGTCAGTTTCTGTAATAATAATTCAGCATAGTTCCAGAATCTAGCACCATTATAAAGACTTTCAACATTGGTGCCTGTATTAAGCAATTAATATTGGCATTGTCAGCTGAGATAAATTAGAAAAGTTCAGGTTATCTCATCAGCTTTGGCACTGATACAAGATTAAGTGGTAGAGGAGGGAGTTCCTTTCATGGTGTACTTGGAAGCGTATCTTTTAGTATTGTACTTGACTGCAAGCAACCCAAAACTCTACACTAACATACTTGACTCAGAAAGTCTGTCAGTCTTAAGCCATAAGAGTCTTCGTTACTCCTGGACCAGACAGCTCAAGCATATGCCATTAGAGACACAGAGTTGTTCTATCTTCTGCTTGACTCTCTTGCTCATGTTTGTTGCTTCCTGGCTGCAAAATAGCTACTGTATTTCCAGGCTTCCAATTCCAGACAAGGTGATATAAGGCAAGAAGAAAAAAAAAGGGGGCAAAAGGGCAGAAAAGGATGTACATGCTGAATCTGTCTCCTTTTTTTAAATTCAGGAAAACCTTCATATTCTCAGAATTCCCACCTAGCAAACGTTCTTTTATGACTCTTGGTCAGAACAATGCATCACAGCCACCCTCAACTGGAAAGTGGCTAGTTACTTTAACAAGGTTTACTTGATATCTGAAATTGTTCCACAGAGTTTTCTTCCTCTCTCAAATGCAAAGTTCTTAAGAAAATGTACACATGCTCAGGCAATAAAATATCCTCATTCCATACTCTTCCTCACATAATTCCTCCCCAAAATACTTTGACAGAAACAAAGATGTTTAGTAACCCAATGTTCTGACCATTAGATTTCCAATGTTTAAATCAAAAACATGACTGCTAAAAGCAAAATTTAAGAAATATACTAGGAAATCATTTGGAGAAAACTCTATTTTTCTAATGCCTCTCAAATCATACTACACCCAACACATACAAATAAGACTACTTCTTAACTAGATTATGATTTCCAAAGAGTTTCACTTTCTTTCATTCTTTCTATGTCATACCAGCATAGCAGAATGACTCCCTACTATTCTCAACAAAACTCAGCATCAAAAGTTTATCAGTCAAGGGTCCGTCATATGGTGGCTCAGTTGATATGACCAACATTTTGCTACTTTTTCAATCATGCTGAGTTGAACATAGGCCATGATTCTCTAATCAGGAAATGTAACTATAACTTGGGAACAGAAAAATATATATAATTATATATATATGTAATGCTATATAATTTTATTATTGATACATATATACTGATGCAAACGTTTGGCCATCTGTAATTATACATAAGCCTCTTTTATTGTTTAGCTGTGTAGCATTAAGAGCCATTACTTTTCAGTGATAAAGATTCCATTAAACTTATAAAACATTTGCATATCTCTATGGCAGATTGCTGGAAGAGAATAAGTCGGTAGCATATTACTATATTTTTAAAATAATTTTTACAAAGCTCTTCATTCTAACAAATAGCTTGCTCTGCTTCAACTTCTTTGTTTTAATAGTTTATTTAGTAGAGTCATAAGTTTTAACTGCATTATTTGGGAACAAGTAGTTCATAAATGTGCACAGATTATTAATGGGAGACATTCTTGTATTAGGATATTTCACATGAAGCAGTATATTTTAAAATATAAATAAAATTTTAAGTAACTTGTTATTTATATTTTCTGACATGTTTGAAGAAAGACTCCATTAAATAGAGTAATAGTGTTAAAATATATGCTGCATGTAAATACATATTATAACATCTGTACAGTTTACAAATGTGAATCTAAATGAAAGGGGACTTCATTTAATAGACATTATTTAGCTTAACGTAGTACCTATGATTGATCATTAAAATTCACTCTATGTTTTTGGGTATTCAAGGGGTAAAGGAAAATGAAATTGTTATATAATTGTATTGCTTGATACATAATTTATTATTTCAAGATAAACCAATATCATTTGGGTATTAAATTCTAAAATTAATATATGGTTATTTGTCCCAGGAACATACACAAATGGCTATAAAAACACAAAATAAGAAGAAGAAAATTGTGACATAAAGATAGAGAAATAAGTCCATGAAGAATTAATAGAATTCTGATGAGTAGAGAGGGGCGAAGGTTTTACAATTTTTTAAATAGTTGCTATTTCATATTTCATCAAACTATCAATTACATTTATTTATTTGAAATCATTGATCTTTTAACCTATGATCTTTTAAGAAGATTCAACTAAATGTAATTACCCTGGCTGCAAATGATATAAAAATCTTCAGATGCAGTAGAAGGAAGTGGTTATGGAAATGTTCCTCAAAGTCTTTTGCCAATGGATAAAACCAAACATTTATTTGTCTACACAAAAACTTGGATGATCAAAGGCCCCTATACATTATAATATCTGCCTTTCTGTTGTGCTATTTTTCCCTCCTGAAATGTTATCTTCTCCCATCTTAGACAAAGAAACAAAAACAAACCAAACTTCATTATATAGGGATCAGCTTAAATATTTGTTACTTCCCGTTGAAGCATTTATTGTTTATGTATGGTTGGTTATCTTCTTAAATTTCAATGTTTAGATGCCTCAGAATTCCATTTTGTCTTGAGTTATAGTTATTTCACCTATGTTTCTTCTAGAATTGGATTAGAAACTTCTTAAGGACATTTTCTGTTACCTATATATCTCCCCGCTGCCCACAATACCCAACATAGTTCTATGTATGTAGTTGATATATGATAATAATAAGCTATCTGAAAATAATTGATAATAAATGTCTATGCCTGAGATCTTGTCCATTAAGACTCATTCTAAGCCCTTAAGTATCTTTTAATTCTGAATGTTGAATATTTTGAATAGTAACTATCTACTGACCTTGGATATCTTGATGAAAAGGATTTAGGGAAACTTACAGGGAAATTGAGAGTTAATTAGGTTTGATAAAAGAAGCCTTTGGAGATACTGTTTATGGCACTGAAAATTAGTGCTTTGAAATGAGAATGAAATTAATGCACTTCTCATATTTAACCCTTAAAAAATGTTACAACCCCTGTTAAAGCCTTTGGTCTGTCACAGAACTACCTGAAGAGTATGTTGAGAATTAAAATTGAAAGATTTAGTACCTAATTTTCCCAGCCTTCCCCACCCCCAAAAAATACTTACTAATGATGTAATGCAGGGGGCTAAACTAAGCTGGAAGTTCACTGAAAACTGGAGTACTCTGCATCTTTGGAATTTATTTGCATGAAAATTCACTCACATCCATTTGGGCTTTATGGCCAAGGGCTCTCATATATAGACAGAAATCTATACATGTTCACCTACTATTAAGAAAACACAATGGGGATTTAGACAAACATGAAACAACATTTTAAACAATTTACTACATGTGTTTTTACATTAAACTTTTAAAATTCCATATATAACTTTTAAAGAAATTTATTATTTATTTTTTTCAAGTGACCTTTGTAAATTAATAAACACATAAAGGATTTTGTTATTAGATTTGAAATCTATTTAAATGAATCTTTCACATATAACAAATTCTTTTACAACTCTGTCATATATGCTTGCTATATGACATGTGTAATCTTCGCAAAGCAGGGTTTTTTTTCATTGTTTGTATTGTTTACCACTATATCCTCAGGACTTGAATAAGCATGCTTATCACATGGTAGGTGGTAATAAATATTTATTTAATTAACTAACACAATCACATTGCTTCTTTTTAAATATTAAACTAAATATCATTACCAAGTATTTATAAAGTGTATGTTTATATAGTATTCATATAATCCTGCCAGGACCTATGAGTGCTATGAATGATACTAAAGTCCTTACTCTGTTTGTCCCTATGAATCCATTATCCAATATTTTCCACCCTGTACTTTGCCCTAGGAGGCTGAACCACATGGACTGCATGATCAGCATTCCCTTGCCCTATGATTCTGATTAAGTTTATCAATGAGTGAACCAACCAGAGAGTGAGACCAAAGTATTTATTCTCTTGCAAGGTCAACCAGGGCTGGCTGTATCTCTCCACCAATGGTCACTGCTCTTCTCAAAGTGGTTGATAAGCAACTGTATTGGTCCATTCTCATGCTGCTATGAAGAAATACCAGCCTATATTTAAAAAGAAAAGAGGCTTAATTGACTCACACTTCCACATGGCTGGGAAGGCCTCAGGAAACTTACAACCATGGCACAAGGGGAAGCAAACATGTCCTTCTTCACCTCGCAGCAAGAGTGAGAAGTGCCATCAGGGGAAATGCCAGATGCTTATAAAATCATCATATCCTGTCAGAACTCACTCACTATCAGGAGAACAGCATGGAGGAAAACACACCAAAGGTTCAATTACCTCCATCTGGTCCTGCCCTTGACATGTGGGGATTATTATAATTCAAGGTAAGATTTGAGTGGGGACACAGAGCCAAGCCTTATCATTCCATCCTTGGCTACTCCCAAATCTCAAGTCTTTACATTTCAAAACACAATCATGCCCTTCTAACAGTTCCCCAAAGCCTTAATTAATTCCAGCGTTAACCCAAAAGTCCAAGTCCAAAGTCTCATCTGAGACAAGGCAAGTTCCTTCCACCTATGAGCCTGTAAAATCAAAAACAAGTTAGTTACTTCCTAGATACAATGGGGGTACAGGCATTGGGTAATATAGCCATTCCAAATGGGAGAAATTGGCCAAAACAAAGGGGCTACAGGCCCCATGCAAGTCTGAAATCCAATAGGGCAGTCATTAAACCTTAGAGTTCCAAAATGATCTCCTTCGACTCCATGTCTCACATCTAGGTCACGCTGATGCAAGTGGTGGGCTCCCATGGCCTTGGGCAGCTCTGCCCCTGTGGCTCTGCAGAGCACAGCCCCACTCCTGGCTGCTTTTACGAGCTGGCATTGAGCATCTGTGGCTTTTCCAGGTACACAGTGCAAGAAGTCAGTGGATCTACTATTCTGGGGTCTGGAGGATGGTGGCCCTCTTCTCACAGCTCCTCTAGGCAGTGCCCCAGTGGGGTGTCTGTGTGGGGGTTCTGACCCCATATTTCCCCTTTGCACTGCCCTAGCAGAGGTTGTCCAGGAGAACCTCTCCATGAGAATCTCTGCTCTGCCCCTGCAGCAAACTTCTGCCTGGACATCCAGGCATTTCCTTACATCCTCTGAAATCTAGGCAGAGGTTCCCAAACCTCAATTCTTGGCTTCTGTGCACCTGCAGGACCAACACCATGTGTGCCAAGGCTTGGGGCTTCCACCCTCTGATGCAATAGCCTGAGCTGTACCTTGGCCCCTTTTAGCCATGGTTGGAGTGGCTGGGACACAGGGCACCAAGTCCTGAGGCTACACACAGCAGGGAGACCCTGGACCCAGCCCAGGAAGCCATTTTTCCCTTCTAGGCCTCCAGGCCTTTGATGGGAGGGGCTGCCATGAAGGTCTCTGACATACCCAGGAGACATTCTCGCCATTGTCTTGGTGATTAGCATTTGGCTACTCGTTAATTATGCAAATTTCTGCAGCAGCTTGAATTTCTTCCAAGAAAATGGGTTTTTCTTTTTTATCATATGGTCAGGCTGCAAATTTTCCAAACTTTTATATTCTGTCACCTCCTGAATGTTTTGCTGCTTAGAAATTTCTTCTGCCATATACCCTAAATCATCTCTCCTAAGTTCAAAGTTCCACAGATCTCTAGGGCAGGGGTAAAACACTGCCATTCTCATTGCTAAAACATAGCAAGAGTGACCTTTACTCCAGTTCCCAAAAAGTTCCTCATCTCCATTTGGGTCCAGCTCAGCCTTGACTTCATTGTCCATATCACTATTAGTATTTTGGTCAAAACCATTCAACAAGTCTCTAGGAAGTTCCAAACTTTCTCACATCTTCCTGTCTTCTTCTGAGCCCTTCAAACTGTTCCAACCTCTACCGGTTACCCACTTCCAAAGTTGTTGCTTCCGCATTTTCGGTTATCTTTATCCCACTCTCTGCAGTATCAATTTACTGTATTAATCCATTCTCATGCTGCTATGAAAAAATACCCAAGACCGGATAATTCATAAATAAAAGAGGTTTAATTGACTCATGGCTCTGCATGGCTGGGGAGGCTGCAGGAAACTTACAATCATGGCAAAAGGCATCTCTTCACAGGGAAGCAGGAGAGAGAATGAGTGCCAAGCAAAGGGGGAAAATCTCCTTATAAAACCATCAGATCTCATAAGAATTCACTATCACGAGAACAGCATGGGAGTAACCGCCCCCATGATTCAATTACCTCCCACTGGGTTCCTCTCACAAAACATCGGTATTATGGGAACTACAAGTAAAGATGAGATTTGGGTGGGGATACAGCCAAATCATATCAAGTGGTATAAGGCATGATAGTCTGGGTCCCCTGCTAGTGTAGTTTCTCTGCTTCTGTAAGATTGTGAACCCAGAAAATCTGAGATAGGTCTCAGTTCATTTAGAAAGTTTATTTTGCCAAGGTTGAGGACACACCCATGACCCAGCCTCAGGAAATCCTGAAAACATGTGCCCAAGGTGGTTGGGGCACAACTTGGTTTTATACATTTTAGGGAGACATAAGACACCAATTGATATATGTAAGAAATACATTAGCTCCATCCAGACAGGTAGAGACAACTCAAAGAAACTTCCTCCAACCTCCCTGGGGGCTTTCATGTCACAGGTAGGTGAGAGACAGATAGTTGCATTCTTTTGAGATTCTGATAAGTCTTTCCAAAGGAGGCAATCAGAATACACGTCTATCTCTGTGAGCAGAGGGATGACTTTGAATAGAATGGGAGGCCAATTTTGTCCGGAGTGGTTCCCAGCTTGAAGGGGCCCAAGATATATTTCCTTCCACAAGATTCATTATGTATAACTTCCACCTTATGATGAATTGATGCTGGGTGCACCTGATTTTATGACTTGATGTGTCTGACATGAGTCAGTTCAAGATGAGTTGCATGGTTGTTTGATGGCCCCTGGTCAGGCACTCCATCTCTATGAAAGCCCAGTATCACATCAGGGGCTGCTTTTTAATTGATGTGTAGTTTTCAGAAACACGTATCATTAACTTTTCTGCAGAACCTCAGGGGTCTATGTAATTTTCCTACTGGAACTTGCCACAAACTCTACATAGTATTTTTTTCTCAACACAGATAGCTCTACTATCAGAGGATCTGCTAGGTCATATGTCCAAAGGGGCAGAACCTCATGTATTGTACCAAAGCCCCCAATGTATTTTTTTACTATTTATTCATTTGATCTGAGTAATCAATATTATTAATATGGTATACCCAATATCATGTGTAATATATAAGTAATTCAGGTCTCTCGGTACTATATTATGACAGAGATTGAGGGAATTAACATAATGCTTGTGAGATAATAAATATATACTTTATCCATTTTATGTTAATGTGAAGTATTTCTGATTCTTATACCCCACTGACATAAAAAAGAATACATTTGCCAGATCACTGGCTGTGTACCTAAAACTATGTTACTCTATTCTAGATAAGATACCACATAGGACACCAGAGTTGCAAATAGGCTACTAATTGGTCAAGTTGGAAGTAGCCTATTATATCACCCTGGATCTGTCTGGTTTTATAGGAGTCAGATTGATAAATTAAATGGTAGAGGATGGGTGCCATTATCATTGCTTCCTTTAGGTCTTTAAAAGTGACACTAGGAGGTAGAGAAAGATGTTGGAATAGAAGGCGCCACAGATTGTCTTCCCTGCTAGGATACCAATTTAACAACTATCTAAACAAATAAAACATCTTCATAAGCACCAAAAATTAGGTGAGTACTCATAGTGCCCTGGTTTTAACTTCATATCACTTAAAGAGGCACTGAAGAGATATAAAAAAATACAGTCTTGACTCACTGATAACACTCCTCCCCCACCCCTTGGAAGCGGTGGCTGTGGCGTGGAAAGCATCTCTGGGCACTGAGGGAGGGAGAGCACAGTCATTGTGAGGCATTGATTTCAGCACTGTCCTGTTAGGGTAGAAAAGGAAATCAGATCAAACTCAGCTGATGTCCACCCTAGCCAGAGGGGAATCACAGATCCCAGCAGTGGGAACTTGAGTTCCTGTAAACCTCACCACTGAGGGCTAGGGTGCCATGGGTCTCTAAGTAAACTTGAAAGGCAGTCTAGGCTGTAAGGACTGCAACTCTTAGGTAAGTCCTAGTGCTGAACTGGGCCAAAAGACAGTGGACTGTAGGGGCATGTGACCTACTGAGACATCAGTTGGGGTGGCTAATGGAGTGCCGGCATCACCCCTTCCCTAAGCCCAGGCTGAATATCTCAAGGCTCCAAAAGAGACCCCTTCCTTCCTCTTGAGGAGAGGAAAGGCAAGAGTGATGAGGACTTTGTCTTGCATTTTGGATACTAGCTCAGCCACAGCAGGATACACCAGTCAGAGCTGTGAGGCCCCTGTTACAGGGCTTAGCTCCCAGACAACATTTCTAAACACACCCTGGGCCAGATGGAAACTTGCTGCCTTTAAGAAAATTATCCAGTCTTGGCAGCATTCATCACTTGGTAACTGAAGAACCCTTGGGTCCTGAATAACCAGCAGTGATACCCAGGTACTACGTCAGGGGCCTCGGGTAAGCCTCTGAGACTTGCTGTCTTCAGGAGAGATTCAAAACATTATCAGCTTTAGTGGCTTAGAGGCAAAACTGATCATGCTTCAGAAAAGCACAGGGAAAAGTAAATGATATTTTGTCTTGCATCTTAGGTACCAACAAGGTCACAGGAGGGTAGAGGCCTAAGTGGGCTCTTAGGGCCCTTAATTCCAGGACTTGACTCTTGGATAGTATTTCCGGATCTTCCCTGGGTCAGAGGGGAGCCTATTGCCCTGAAGGGTGAGTCTCAGGCTAGGCAGCATTCACCACAAGCTGACTTAAAAGCCCTTAGAACTTAAAAGAACATTGGTGGTAGTCTGGCAGTACTCCTCATGGCCTGTGGTAAAGGTGGCTATGGAGTGAGACTCTTCTGTTTTTGTAAAGGGGAGGGAAGAGTGAGAAGGTTTGCCTCCTGTGGTTTGAGTGCAGCCCACCCACAGTACAATGGAACACCAGGTAGATTTCTAAGGTTTTTCCCTCTAGTCCCTGACTTCCAGATGGTGCCTCTGGACCCATCTGGGGCCTGGGAGGAACTTATTGCCTTGAAGGAAAGAACATAGTCTGGCTGGCTTTTCTACCTGCAGATTGTAGAGTCCCAGGACCTTGAGCAGACATAGGCAGAAGCCAGGGAGTGAATACAGCAGGACTTAGGTGAGACCAATGCTGTGCAGCTGAATGTCTGACTCAGTACAGTCATAGTGGTGGTGGCCACAGGGATACTTGTGTTAATTCACTCTCAGCTTTAGGTGGCTCAGAACAAAGGGAGAGATTCCATTTGGTTGGGAGAAAGTAAGGGAAGAGAACAAGAGTCTCTGCCTGGTAATCCAGAGAATTCTCCCAGATCTTGTCCAAGACCATCAAGGCAGTACTCAATGACTCTGCAAAAAATACAACATTACTGGGTTTGGGGTGCCCCTTAAATCAGACACAGCTTAGGTCACAACACTCAAGTCCTTTCAAATATCTGGAATGTCTTCCTAAGAAGGATGGGTACAAACAAGCACAGACCATGAAGACTACAATAAATATCTATCTTCAATGGCCAGACACTGAAGAACATCTACTAGTACCAGCAATATCCAAGAAAACATGACCTTACCAAATGAACTAAATAAGGCACCAGAAACCAATTCTCAGGAAACAGAGATATGTGAACTTTCAGACAGAGAATTCAAAATATCTGTGTTGAAGAAACTCAAAGAAATTCAAGATAACACAGAGAAGGAAATCAGAATTATATAAGATAAATTTAATGAAGAGATTGAAATAATTAAAAAGGATTAAGCAGAAATTCTGGAGCTCAAAAATGCAAGTGGCATACTGAAGACTCTATCAGAGTACTTTAATAGCAGAATTGATCAAGCAGAAGAAAGAATTAGTGAGCTTGAAGACAGGTTATTTGAAAATACACAGAGGAGACAAGTGAAAAAATAAAAGAAAAGAAACAATGACCCATGCCTACAGTATCTAGAAAACAGTCTTGGAAGGACAAATCTAAGAATTATTGGCCCTGAAGAGGATGTAAATAAAGGGGTAAGGGTAGAAAGTTTATTCAGAGAGATAATAACAGAGAACTTCCCAAACCTAGAGAAAGAGATCAATATCCATGTACAAGAAAGTTATAGAACACCACGCAGGTTTAACCCAAAAAAGACTACCTCAAGGCATTTAATAATCAAACCCCCAAAGATCAAGGAAAAGGAAAGGATTCTAAAACAGCAAGATAAAAGAAACTAATAACATACAATGAAACTCCATTATGTCTGCCAGCAGACTTTTCAGTGGAAATCTTATCGGTCATGAGAGAGGGGCATAACATATTTAAAGTGCTAAGGGAAAAAACTCTTTTACCCTAGAATTGTATATCTGATGAAAATATCCTTCAAAGATGAAGAAGATATACTTTCCAAGACAAACAAATGCTGAAGGATTTCAACACCAGACCTGTCCTATAAGAAATGCTAACAGGAGTACTTAAATTAGAAAGAATAGGATGTTAGTGAGTGTATTAGTCCATTTTCACGCTGCTGATAAAGACATACCCGAGACTGGGAAGAGAAAAGGTTTAATTGGACTTAACAGTTCCACACGGCTGGAAGGCCTCAAAATCATGGCAGGAGACAAAAGGCACATCTTACATGGCAGCAGCAAGAGAAAATGAGAAAGATGCAAAAGCAGAAACCCCTGATAAAACCATCAGCTCTCGTGAGACTTATTCACTACCACAAGAACAGTATGGAGAAAACTGCCCCCAGGATTCAAATTATCTCCCACCAGGTCCCTCCCACAACACCTGGGAATTATGGGAGTACAACTCAAGATGAGATTTGGCTGAGGACACAGTCAAACCATATCAGTGAGCAATAAGAAATCATCATAAGTTATAAAACTGGTAATAGTATGTACACAGAAAAACACAAAATATAATAACTATCATGTGTAACCTACTCTTATCCTAAATAGAAAGACTAAACAGTGAACCAATCAGAATAATAACTATAACAACTTTTCAAGACATAGTAGAAACAACAAAAAGTTAAGAAGCAGAGGGAAACAGTTAAGGCATAGAGTGTTTATTAGTTTTCTTTTTGCTGGTTTCTTTGTTTATGCAAAGAGTGTTAAGTTGCTATCAGGTTAAAATAATGAGCTATAAGACAGTACTTGCAAGCTGCACAGTAACCTCAAACCAAAATTATACAACAAATATACAAAAAATAAAAAGCAAGAAACTAAATATTATCAACAGAAAAAATCATCTTTACTAAAGGAAGACAGGAAGAAAGAAGGAAGAGAAGATCACAAAACAACCAGAAAACAAACAAACAACAAAAAATGGCAGTATCACCAACACGAGTAAGGTGAGTCCTTACTCATCGATAATAACATTGAATGTAAATAAACCAAATTATCCAATCAAAAGACATAGAGTGACTGAATGGATGAAAAAAAACCTATTGATTTGTTCCCTACAGGAAACAAATTTCACCTCTGAAGACAGAAGTAAACTGAAAATAAAGAGATGATAAAAGGTATTCCATACTAACGGAAACCAAAAAAGAGTAGGAGTAGCTATAATTACAGAAAATAGATTTCAAGACAAAAACTGTAAGAAGAGACTAAGAAGGTCACTATACAATGATAAAGGAGTCAATTAAGCAAGATTATATAGTTTTAAATATATATGCACCCAACACTGGAGCACCCAGAAATATAAAGCAAATATTATTGAGTTAAAGAGACAGACAGATGCCAATACAATAATAGCTAGAGACTTCAACACCCCATTTTCAGCATTGGACAGGATCTTCCAGATATCAAATCCACAACAAAAAAATCAGACTTAATCTGCACTATAGACCAAATAGAGCTGAAAGATATTCACAGAACATTTCATTCAACAGCTGCAGAATACATATTTTTTTTTCCTAAGCACATGAATAATTCTCAAGGATAGACTATATAGACCATATGTTAGGTCACAAGACAAGTCTTAACACATTCAAAATACTGAAATAATATCAAGTATCTTCTCTAAACACAATGGAATACAGCTAGAAATTAATAATAAGCAATTTTGGAAACTATACAAATACAGGGAAATTAAACAATATGCTTCTGAATGTCCAGTAGCTCAAGGATGAAATTAAGAATTTAAAAATTTCTTGAAACAAATGATAATGGAAACAAAATATACCAAAACCTATGGGAAACAGTAAAAGCAGTACTCAAAGGGAATTTTATAGCTGTAAGTGCCTACATCGAAAAGAGGAAAAACTTCAAATAAGCAATCTAATGATGCATTCTAAAGAACTAGGAAAGCAAGAGCAAACCCCAAAATTAATAGAAGAAAAGAAATAATAAAGTTCAGAGCAGAAATAAATGAAATTGAAATGAAGAAAACAATACAAAAGATCAATAAAACAAAAAGTTGATTTTTTGAAAAGTTAAACAAAATTGACAAACCTTTAGCCAGACTAAGAAAAAAAGAGAGAAGACACAAACAAATAAAATCAGAAATGAAAAAGGAGACATTACAACTGATACTGCAGAAATTCTAAGGATCATTAGTGACTGCTATGAGCAACTGTATGTCAATACACTGGAACATCTAGAAGAAATGAACAAATTCCTAGACACATACAATCTACCAAGATTGAACCAGGAATAAATCCAAAACCTGAGCAGACCAGTAACAAGTAGCAAGATTAGAGCTGTAATAAAAGTCTCCCAGAAAAAAAAAAAAAAAAAAAAAAAAGCCCAGGATGGTTTCAGCACTGAATTCTACCAAACATTTAAAGAAGAGTTAATACCAATCCTACTCAAACTATTTTGAAAAATAGAGGAGGTAACACTTCCAAATTCATTATACAAGGCCAGTATTACCCTGATACCAAAACCAGATAAGCACACATCAACAAAAGAAAACTACAGGCCAATATCTATTTTGAATATTGATGCAAAAAACCTCAACAAAATACTAGCAAACCAAATTCAACAATAGAATAGAAAGATCATTCATCATGACCAGGTGGTATTTACCCCGGGATGAAAGGATGATTCAACATATACAAATCAATCAATATGATACAACATATCAACAGAATGAAGGATAAAACTATATGACTTTTTCAATTGATGTTGAAAAGAACTAGATAAAATTCAACATCTCTTCATGACAAAAGCCCTAAAAATACTGGGTATAGACATAACATACTGCAACATGGTAAAAGTCATATAAGACAGACCCACAGCTAGTATACTAAATGGGAAAAAACTGAGAGCCTTTCCTCTAAGATCTGGAATATGACAAGGATATACACTGTCATCACTGTTATTCAACATAATACTGGAAGTCCTAGCTAGAGCAATCAGGCAAGAGAAAGAAATAAAGGGCATCCAAATTGGAATGGAAGAAGTCAAATTATCCTTGTTTGCAGATCAAATGATTTTATATTTGGAAAATCCTAAAGACTTCACAAAAAGCTATTAGAACTGACAAACAAATTCAGCAAAGTTGCGGGATACAAAATCAACATTCAAAAATTAGTAGCACTTCTAATGCCAATAGTGAACAATGTGAAAAAGAATAAAAAAGTAATCCCATTTACAATAGCCATAAATTAAATTAAATACTTAGAAATTAACCAAGAAGTGAAAGATCTCTATAATGAAAATTATAAAACACTGATGAAAGAAATTGAAGAGAACACCAAAAAAGGAAAAGTATTCCACATTCATGGATTTAAAGAATCAATATTGTTAAAATGTTCACACTACCCAAAACAATCTATAAATTTTATGCAATCCCTATGAAAATACCAATAACATTCTTCACTGAAATAGAAAATAACTACCCCCAAATTTATATGGAACCACAAAAGACCCAGAATAGGCAAAGCTGTCTGTCCTAAGCAATAAGAAAAAAACTGGAAGAATTATATTATCTGACTTCAAATTATAATACAGAGCTACAGTCATCAAAACAGCATGCATGGTACAGTCATAAAAACAGACACATAGATCAATGAAACTGAAGAGGGAACCCAGGAACAAATCCACACACCTACAATGAACTGATTTTTACAAAGGTGCCAAGAACATACACCAGGGACAAGACAGTCTTCTCAATAAATCGTGCTGGGAAAGCTGGATATCCATAGGCAGAAGAATAAAACTAGACTCCTCTCGCCATACACAAAAACCAAATCAAAATGGATTAAAGGCTTCAATCTAAGACCTAAAGACTTAAATCTAAGACAAAACTATGAAATGACTACAAGAAAATCTTAGGGAAAATCTCAGGACGTTTGTCTGGCAAAAATTTCTTGAGCAATACCCTACAAACACAGGTAACCAAAGCATAAATGGACAAATGGGACCACTTCATGTTAAAAAGCTTCTGCACAGCAAATGATACAGTTAACAAAGTGAAGAGACAACCCACAAAATGGGAGAAAATATTTGCAAACTACCCATCTGACATTGAATTAATAACCAGAATATATTAGGAGCTCAAATAAATTAGACATTTTATTAGATAAAATAATAAAATCTAATTTATTAGATAAATTCAAATTTTATTAGATAAAAATCTAATAACCTGATCAAAAATGGGCAAAAGATTTGAGTAGACATTTCTCAAAGGAAGACATACAAATGGCAAACAGACCTATGCAAAAGTGGTCAACATCATTGATCATCAGAGAAATGCAAATCAAAACTAAAATGAGATATCATCTCACCCCAATTAAGGTGGCTTATATCCAAAAGACAGGTAATAACAAATACTGGTGAGGATATGGAGAAATGGGAACTGTTGTATACTGTTGGTGGGAATGTAAATTAGTACAACCACTATGGAGAACAGTTTGGAGGTTCTGCAAAAAACGAAAAATAGAGCTACCACATGATCCAGCAATCCCACTGCTAAGTGTGTAACCAAAACAAAGGAAATCAGTTCATTGAAGAGGTATCTGTACTCCCATGTTTGTTGCAGCACTACTCACAAAAGCTACGATTTGGAAGCAGCCCAAGTGTCCATCAACAGATGAATGGATTAAAAACAATGTGGTAAACACAATGGAGTACTATTTAGCCATAAAAAGAATGGGATCCTGTCATTTGCGACAACATGTATAGAACTGGAAATCATTATGTTAAATGAAATAAGCCAGGCACAGAAAGACAAACATCACATGTTCTCACTTATTTATGGGATCTAAAAATCAAAACAACTTAACTCATGGAAATGGAGTAGAACGATAGCTATCAGAGGCTGGGAAAGGTAGTGGGGGGCTGGCAGGGAGGTGGGGAAGATTAATGTGTACAAAAAATAGAGAGAATGAATAAGACCTAATATTTGATAGCACAGCAGGGTGACTATAGTAAATAATAACTTAATGGTACATTATAAAATAACTAAAAAAGTATAATTTGATTGTTTGTAACACAAAAGGGTAAATGCTTGAGGGGATAGATACCCCATTCTACACAATGTGATTATTTCCCATTGCATGTCTGTGTCAAAACATCTCATGTACCCCATAAATATATACACCTACTATGTACCCACAAAATCAAAAGAAAAAATTAAAAATATATAAATGAATGAAAAATAAAAAAGGTGACATTAATCTCTCATTCTTTCTGGAATGGATAGTGTTTTGATTCATTATTTTAACAGGGGAGGGGTGTTGGTAGTTTCAGGAGCTTCTGCTTTGAATTTGTTACTTATAACCACTCTCATACCCCATAGGCCAAGAAACTACTGTTATGGCTCTGCCAATTATCATGTGAAGTGGTTTATGATTATACACTCAGAAACCCAGGAAATGATCTGCAGTTCAGTCTCTGAACACAATTAAACCACTGTAAGCTGAGTCTGGGTTAGGACAGTACAGTCAGCCCTCTATATTCATGAGTTCCACATCCATGTATTCGATCAACTTCAGATTGAAAATATTCAGGGAGAAAAAAATGGCCAGGTGTGGTCGCATCTGCCTGCAATCCCAGCTACTCAAGAGGCTGACATGGGAGGATTGCTTGAGGCCAGCCTAGTAAACAGTGAGATTCTGGTCTCAAAAAATGGGTGTTTGAGTCTATACTGAACATGTACAGTACCGAACATGTACAGACTTTCTTTGTCATTACTCCCTAAACAATACAGTATAACAACTATTTACATAGCATTTACATTGTATTAGGTACTAAAAGTAATCTAGAGATGATTTAAAATATACAGGAAGACATATACACATTATATACAAATACTACAGCATTTTATACATGGGACTTGAGCATCCGTGAATTTTGAAATCCACAGGGCATCCTGGAACCAATCCCCTTGGATACTGAGTGATGACTGTACTTATTAACTGCTCCATATAAACCTCTAATCAGTGGACCATGATGATGCTTCAGGCCCCTGAGAACCAATGTCAACTTTGAACCTGTGTCCAAAACTTCTCAAAATGTTTGAGAATGACTCTTTTTCCAATGGATGGTAACCTGAGTAAATTTATATATGTTCCTTTGAGAAAGGACTCAGGTAATTTTTACTAAATATACTTGCCATTGTATTACTGGGGTCCATCTCATGAGGACCCAGCTTTTCTTCTGGCCAATGAATTTGGCTTCTGAGAACTAGCTGACGTGCAGAAACAGGGTAAGAAATGAGGACTTCTCATTTATAGGAGCTGTTCTCAGTCTCCTGGACATTCATTCTTATATAAATTAAGTGATATTTTTGTTAGCTGCCCATCGATTAGTCATCTTAATAGCTTCCTAAGTGTCAGCCCCCTCAACTGTCACATCAACCCCCATTGGATGCTCTAAAAGTCATGTAAAGAATGTTCATAGGTGTCTTATTTATTATATTCTCAAACTAAAAACAATCCAAATATGTATTAAGGGTAAAATAGATAAATAAAATGTGGCATATTACCAAAATGGAATCATATATACCATCAATACCAAATGAACTACACCTATAGGAAATCATATGAATGAATCTCACAAACATAATGTAGAGTGAAAGAGACTGGACCTCAAAGAACACCTATTTTATAGTTTTACTTATATAAAATTTACATACATTTATAGAAATTATAAATATATAATAAATTTTGTAAGTCAGAAAGAACTAATTTCAGTGCTTATGGATACATGCATAATTAATTAATCTATAAAGAAAAGTAAAGAAATATTTACTCTAAACTTCAGGCTCATGGTTGCCTTTTGCAGGAGGGATGGGCAGAGATTGAGAATTGGCATGAAGGGGCTTTAGGTTCTGACAGTATTCTTTTTTCTTAACCTGTAAGGATGATAACATGGATGTCGATGTTTCTTTTTTTATAAATCATGGGACTATACAAACTCACTTAATTCACTTTCTATAAGGATTTCCCAAGAAAAAGTTAAAAATGTATTTACAACCCAGTTAAAGGAATATCACTCTTGACCTAGTTAAACAAAAATATTTGTGCTCAATTTTCAAATTCCATTTTCTATTATTAAGGCTGAACCACTTCCAAACTTATTTGACATCAGCAATTGGGTATATTTAATGCTTTCTTTTAAATCCTAGATCATAATATACACTTGGGGTAAGCACTAATATGGTTTCTGTGTACATGTGCTCCTTGACTACAGTGAAGTTTTATCCCAATAAACCCATTGTGAGTGGACAACATTGTAAGTTAAAAATGCCTTTAATACACCTAACCTCCTGAACATCACAGCTTAGCCTAGCCTACCTTAAGTGTGTGCAGAATCACTTACCTTAACTTACGGTGGGGCAAAATCACCTATCATGAAGGCTATTTTATAATAAGGTTGACTATATCATTTATTTAATTTAATTAATTCATTGAATACTATAGTGAAAGTGAATAACAGAATGGTTTTATGGGTACTTGAAGTATGGTTTTTACTAAATGCATATTGCTTTCACACCATCATAAAGTATGAATGTTTTGAGTCAAATCATGTAAGTTGGGGATTGTATTATAAAACCAACTTCCATGCATAAACGTTGAATTTTTGTTACAAACTGTACTGTATTTTTTAAAAATCACTAGATATTTCTCAATATCTTTTTCTTGTTGAGAAAATTATTTATCAAAATAGTACACCATCTCCTTGAAAACTCAACTTGCTAAAAAAAAAAAAGCGTATTATCCCTTTATTCTTTATGGCTTTATTTCATCCTGTAACTTGTTATAGGTCAGTTTTCAAGGTACATAAAAATGGCAATTTCATTTTGTTCTTTGTTTCCCTATCTGCCCTTCAGTTTAGTGTGCAAAAACATAACCACTGCTCAAGGAAATAAGAGAGGACACAAACAAATGGAAAAACATTCCATGCTCATAGATAGGAAGAATCAATATCATGAAAATGGCCTAAATGCCCAAAGTAATTTATAGATTCAATGCTATCCCCATCAAGCTACCACTGACTTTCTTCACAGAATTGGAAAAAAATACTTTACACTTTCATATGGAACCAAAAAAGAGCCAGCATAGCCAAGACAATCCCGGGCAAGAAGAACAAAGCTGGAGGCATCATACTACCTGACTTCAAACTTTACTACAAGGCTACAATAACCAAAACAGCGTGGTACTGGTACCAAAACAGATATAAAGAAAAATGGAATGGAATGGAGGCCTCAGAAATAACACCACACATCTACCACCATCTGATCTTTGACAAACCTGACACACACAAGCAATGGGGAAAAGATTCCCTATTTAATAAATGGTGTTGGGAAAACTGGCTAGCCTTATGCAGAAAACTGAAACTGTACCCCTTCCTTACACCTTATACAAAAATCAGCTCAGGATGGATCAAAGACTTAAACGTAAGACCTAGGACCATAAAAATCCTAGAAGAAAACCTGGACAATACCATTCAGGACATAGGCATGGGCAAAGACTTTATGTCTAAAACATCAAAAGCAATGGCAACAAAAGCCAAAATCGACAAATGGGATCAAATTAAACTAAAAAGCTTCTGCACAGCAAAATAAACTATCATCAGAGTGAACAGGCAACCTACAGAATGGGAGAAAATTTTTGCAATCTATCCATCTGACAAAGGTCTAATATCCAGAATCTACAAAGAACTTAAACAATTTTACAAGAAAAAAGCCAACAACCCCATCAAAAAATGGACAAAGGATATGAACAGACACTTCTCAAAAGAAGACATTTATGCAGCCAACAGACATATGAAAAAATGCTCATCAGCACTGATCATTACAGAAATGCAAATCAAAACCACAATGAGATACCATCTCATGCCAGTTAGAATGGCAATTATTAAAAAGTCAGAAAACAACAGATGCTGCAGAGGTTGTGGAAAAATAGGAATGCTTTTACACTGTTGGTGGGAGTGTAAATTAGATCAACCATTTTGGAAGACAGTGTGGTGATTCCTCAAGTATCTAGAATTAGAAATACCATTTGACCCAGCAATCCAATTACTGGGCATATACCCAAAGGATTATAAATCATTCTATGAAAAAGACACATGCAAATGCATGTTTATTGCAGCACTATTTACAATAGCAAAGACTTGGAACCAACCCAAATGTCCATCAATGATAGACTGGATTAAGCAAATGTGGCACATATATACTATGGAATACTATGCAGTCATAAAAAAGGATGAATTCATGTCCTTTGCAAGGACATGGATGAAGCTGGGAATCATAATTCTGAGCAAACTATCATAAGATCAGAAGACCAAACACTGCATGTTCTCACTAATAAGTGGGAGCTGAACAATGAGAACACATGGTCACAGGGAGGGGATCATCACACACTGGGGCCTGTGGGGAGTGGGGGGCTACGGGAGCGATGAGAAATAACTAACGTAGGTGACGGGTTGATGGGTGCAGCAAACCACCATGTATACCTATGTAACAAAACTGCACATTCTGCACATGTAACGTAACACTTAAAGTATATATAAAAAAAAGAGGTGAGAAGGGTATAAAAAAATTTAAAATGAAAAACATTGCTTAGAATAGAATAAAATCCCATTGTGGATTCAGCAATATACCTTGCTCTTAAAAATTTATTCTGCCATTGTTCCGTGACATTAGAATTTTCCTCAGCAATAAACTTACATTTTTTTGTGTGTATTAAAAAAAATTAGGGGTGATGACAATGTTTAATGCTAAAGATAAGAAAGGCAATGGGTCAAAATTCAAGGCAATTGTGACTAAAAATGTCAGAGGAAGTCACTCTAATGCCAAGTCATTCTGATATTCTCCTCTTTTCAACTGTTACCTGGAAGGCTCATATATAATTTTTTAAGATTAAATGGTAAATCCCTTTTCTACTTTAGAATTGCCAATAAATGACTGATAAAAATGAGAAAAAAATCAGAAGAGAAGAATATGATGAAAAAAAAAGAGGAAAATCTAGTTATTTTGGTAAGTGCTCAGGCAACCTGGTGAGCTAGTTTGCTCATCCATTTCCAATGCCAGCCCCCTTGTCTCTGACAACTATAGCAAGCAGTAAAAAAGTGGCTGTTCTTACTGTTGTTTAAAGCAGTGATTCTCAAACTCTGCTGTGAATTTTGATTAACCAGGGAGCTCTAAAAATTCTAAATGTTTAGGCTGTGCCCCATAATAATTAAATCAGAATCTCTTGGAGTGGTCCAGAAGCATCTATAAGTTTTAAAATATCATTGGTGATGCCAATAGGCATTCAGATTTCAGATATAAGTTTTGGTTTTAATATCATATTTAATATGACACAGAAGAAGATAGGTAAGTCAAACATATGTTTCATTCCTAGACTCCCAAATGAGATATTTTCAAGACTTTTAGAATCCTTTCCTTCGATGATAGGAATGCTAAATGAAGACATTCTCAAATCTAATGATAATCACAATTTTTATAATTATCCTCATGACTGTAGCAACACCCATCACACAGGCAATGTCTTGGGTGTTTTGTATACATTAGCCCTGATCCAACCATACTCTCACAAGGTATATACCGTCTTTAACATATAACAAAAAATACTTTGACAATTTATAAACTTTAAATACAGCCATGTATGAGTAAATATTGAAATAGTACAAATTATTGTTAAGCAAACTTTGAAAAAGCTTTGTAGAATTAGAATGAACTATGTATTAACTAGAGGTAGACTGTGTTCCCGTGTGTCAGGAAACCTGAAATAAAAGTGGTGTATTTTTTTTTTAAGTTGAACTCTTAAGGGAGGCAATTCTGAAGTAATATGGCAGATCCTCTGTTTCAGGGACCCAGACTTCTAATTTGTGTTCCTCTATTTTTAGTGAATTGTCTCAGGATGGCTGCCAGCACTCCAATCATTACATTCAAATTTCAGGTAGCAGGAAGCAAAAAAGAACTGAATATTTGTAAGCCCTTTCTTTAATGGCACTTTCTAATGTTTTACATAGCACCCCCACTCATATATCATTGGCCAACACCTATCCACATATTCTCATTGGCCACAATCAGCTGGGGAACATAACATTTTATTGGTATGGCAATGTCCTAATTAATATTAATGTTATTACTATTAAGGCAGAATAGCCAAAAAGTTACTGGGACACACCTAACACTTTTTGTCATAAAGAAAGAGAATTCTTACAGCTAGATGTACAGAAATATGTGACAAGACAAAAATGAACCCTTGTGAATTACTTTCTAGCAGACATTTGTTATTTTGAAACATTTGTTATAGTGTACTACTCTTTCTCTTTGAGCATGGATAGGAAAAATAGCCTAAGATGGAGGCTCTCTGTTGGGAAGATTTTGTTGTACGATCTTCCCCTGCTAGAAAATTTGACATTGTCTGGAGTCATTTTTCATTGTCACAACTATGGAAGGTGCTTCTGGCATCTAGTGAGAAGAAGCCTGAGATGCTACTAATTATTATACAAGGCATAGGACAATCCTTCAAATAAAGAATTATCTAGTACAAAATATCAATATCTAGGTGAAAACATAGGTATTTATCTCCTTTTTACTCAAGATGAAATCAATTTCCAAAATGCTAACAACTACACAAAGAAAAGCAGCAGTAGCAAATGACATTGTTGAGAGTAGTATTAAACAAAACACAAAACTGAAAAAAATGAATGTATTAATATACAAATAGTAAAATATTACAAACTGAAAGTCTTACAGGGACCAAAGATATAATGTGAGTGAGGGAGATTGGCTGAGTGGCAGAAGACAAATGGCAAATGACATTTAGCTTTGATGACTAAGAAACTGTAGGGGTGACAAAGAGTATCTTGAGCTCCCTGAACTGTAGATCACAAGCCCCTTCTAAAGGGGGCAGACTACAATTATTTTTAGCCCATTGTTACTATGTTAGTATCCTAGGGCTGACCTAATAAAGTATTATAAATTAGGTTGCTTAAGACAGTAGAAAATTGTTGTCTCACTGTTCTGGAGGCTGAAATTTCTAAATTGATATGTTGGCAAGGCCATTTGCTCTTTGAAGGAGAAGGGAGCATCCTTTGCTACCTATTCCTAGCTTCTGGTGGTCACCAGCAATTCTTGGCATTCCTTGGCTTGTAGACACATCACTCCCATCTCTTCCACAGTGATGATCTCACTTTGTGTATACTTACATGGCATTCTGCTCCCTGTGTGTCTATGTCTCTATGTCCACATTTTTCTCTTCTTATAAGGAGACCAGTAATTAGGTTAAGACCCATCCTAATCCAATATTACATTGTGTTAACGTGATTATATCTGCAAAGTGTCTGTTTCCAAATAAAGTTACATTTATAGCTACTGGGGGTTAAGACTTCAATGAATCCTCATGGGGAGCACCATGTAACCCACAATAGTTGGAAAAACTGGTGCTCTAGATCTGTTAGAAATTGTTTTTTAAAAGGAAGCTGAAAATTCAGCTTTTATGTTAAATTCTCAAATTATTATAAGTTGGCTGGTGAAAAATAAATCTGTGGGCTGGAGGAAGTTAGAGATTTTGCCAACTTGCCACCTCTGCGTTGATGGGTAAAGAATGTGAAGAGCTGAGGTATTCCCTGATTTTTTTTTTTCCAAGAGCTGGCACCACAGAGAAGGAGAAGGAAAGTGATGGTGGATATAAGAAACATAAGAAGGAGAGGCGATGTGAAATACCTGGGACATCTCAGAGGAAGGATTTCGTGACTGAGACAACGAAAGAATTTCAACATATACGATGTGCATAAAGATAATGTAGACATAATTCAAGGAAGTTTTTACAAACAGAATGTAAACTTGAATTCAAGGACTTATTTGCATGGTTAAATGAGTTTAAGCGTCATTTAAATTAATGCTTTCATTCTTAGATTAGACTCCTGAGATATAACCCTGCTGGATAGTTAGTAGACATCTTAGCATTGTTGTTATGTATGCTAAAGGTGTACTTAACTTCTAATATAACATATTTTTGGAAAACATGCATAAAATATTTTCTATCTCTGAGATATTTGAGCTTTCAGAGTATCTGCATTCAGAATTGGCAGGCCATGTTAATATGTATATTTTCAAAATCCGTATGGCACCCTTGAAGCCAAGTGTGAAATTAACTCTACCTGAATCACATGTACTGAGTAGGAAAGGGTGGTCCCTAAGAAAACTACTACAAGAAGGTTGGATGAATGGACGGATGGATGGATGGATGGATGCTATTCTGGCATAGTAATATATATGTCTATTCCTCCCTCTTTTCCTCCCTTCCTTTCTTTCTCTCCTCCTCCATTCCTTTCTTCTAACTTGATATTAGTGACTAATATGTAGCACTGTTATAAATACTGAAGAATACATTAATTAAAAACATGGTTCATTACTGGAAGATGAGTCTAGTGCCAAAATACAGACCACAGCAAAACAGTACAATAAGTGACTATGGAGGCATACACAGGGTACAATGAAAGTAATGAAGAGCGGGAGGTTGGGCTATTTGCATATGGTGTCTGGGTTGATTTTCTAAGGAGATAAGATTTAAAATATTTCATGAAATATGGGTAGGAGTTAGCCAGATAAAAGAGTGGAATAAGGACTTTACCAAAACATGGAATAGAATATTTAGCAAACAATTTGGTATGGCTTCTTATCTGTGGATGAGAGTCAGAGGAAGCTGGGGAGTCATTAACAGGACATATGATAGGAAGTTTGGGTTTATTCTAATGACCATTGTGAGGTTCTAATGAGGCAAGGGAGAATAAATGAGTGTTATTACAAAGCGTTAAGACAGGAAACAAAAAGAAATAATTATTGAAAGTTCAGCAAACCAGTGAAAAGGTACTTTTGAAATAATATGATAAGGTCCTGCATTAACATCACACTGTGGGGATGAGAAGAAAGGATGGACTTGAGGCACTGGGAAGAAGAGACCATAGAGGTTGAAGGGAAACCAGAAAAGAATATTAAAGAGGCAGTGAATATGGCCCGGTTAAAAAAAAAAAGGAATAGTAAAATATTAGTAAAGCAGAGAGTATAATAGCTAAAATGTGTGCGTTGTATTGGGGATGTTCCAGTTCAATGGAATACTGGGAAGAGAAGAGGAAGATTGCAGTGATCTGAGGTGCTGATGAGAAGTGAGGAAGTGGATTTTCAAAGCCATAATGATGAAGGTAAGGAGAGATATAATACAATAGCTGAGCAGAGGCCTGAAGTGACCTGATGGATATATTTTCTTTAAAGATGGAAGGAATTATAGTTTGTTAATATACCTAGGGAAAAGAGCCAATGTACCAAGAGGTTAAAGATCTATAATCCAGAGGCAGAGCAACAATGAAGAAATTAGTCTTGATTTTAAGCACTCTCTCAATGTAAATGCTTGCCTCTCCTTCCTCTCATTGTACTATAAACCACAGTCTTACAGCTAAGAAATAAATTTTCTGAATGCTTTTAGGGCCATACTACTAGTAAAATCTATTGCTTTCCAGGTTTGTTCTTTATCCAAAGCACCCACTGTTGGATCAGAAGGGAAATATTTGTGGTAAGACTCCAAATTTGCATGTGTTTTTCTTTCTTTTCTCTTTTTTTCTAACAATTTTCTTCCACACTCCAGAATTAGGAGAAATGGCTCAATGAAGCTATGTTCCCCTATTTCTAAGGTAACTAGTAAATGCAGCATTACTGGCATAAAGTTCCTCATCCAGCCATACCTTAGTACAGCAAGTCACAAGTGTCCTTTCTCCTAATAATCATAATGGAAAAGGCAAATGTAAATAACACCAGGGGAGATGGATCTACATATGGTGCGTGATTCGATTTTTCTTTAATTTCTTTATGGAAAATGTAATTAGATAGCAATTGGTGCTATGAAGGTACAGATGGTGAGTTTCGGGCAGATCTTATTACCTGCAACGACAGAGTCCAGCTTGCCTTCGACAGCTATAATTGGCCTCCTCCAGCCTCTTTGGAGTTGGAGTAAAAACATTACCTCTGCCCTTGGTGTTTTTGCAAAAAGAATGGAATGGTTTATTTTTTATTTATTACTTGTGACAGGAAACTGAAAGAGGAAATGCTGGTCTGAATTCAAGAGAGAGATCAATTCTGGAAGAAAGTCTCCTCATGTCCCAGGAGAATGAGCAGTCATAAAGGTGTGCATAATTCAAAGATCATTTTGTAGTCATGTCAAATGTTTGGCAGGAGTCAAGTGATACATTCTTTTAACTGGTCAGTTAATGTCCACACCAGCTGCAATTATTTCAAATAGTTCTGTGAATATAGAACAACTCCATGAACACATGGCACCTCTAAAGCCTGTTTTCCTCCAAAGCCTTCTTTCCTGGCATGGGGACTTAATTAAAATTGAATGTGCTGGCCGGTTCATTGCTGATTAAGGCTTGTGGCCAGCCCTTGCTATCAGATCTGAGAGTTCTGACAGCTTTTCACCAATGACACAAGCTGCTCAAAAAAGGTATGCACAAATAAGAATAGATTAGATTATATTTTTTATCCTTTACTCACGTCTTGCTTTGTAAAAACCAAAATGGTCATTTTTATGCAAATATGAAAGGTTAAGTTTCCTCTTAGACTCGTTTCCCCCCTGGATTCTAGGGAAGATGACATAAAAAGTACTGCTTTATGAAAGGGAGATTATTCTCTTTCAGTTTTTGTTTGTTTGGAGAGAATGCCTCACTGATAGTTCTCGACAGATCTCAAAATTTGGCATTTGAATCCCAAGAGTTCGTGCACCATTCTGTGGGGATACATTTATCCTCTTACACCAGAGATTTGACTATGATTTTTTCTATTCCAAAGTTTAAAGTGTCCATTGCCCAAAGTCTTTCCTGTAATTGTATATATAATCCTTAAGGTACAAAACCTCGACCACCAAATGATGGCCTTGCTTAGTTTAATTTTGTGGAATCAGTTTAATGTTTAATTCCATTAATAACTGCTTTATATTCAATGAAGGATTCAGGAGGGTACATGGCACTCTCATAAGCCTCTCATCCCAGCAAATTTTCAAATGTGGATCAAATCAGGAGACTAAATAGATCCCAGCAGAGGACATAAAAGAAGCATGTCATTTTTCTAAATAAGGCCTTTACCTATCAAGAATTTAAAAGATAAAATTATTTTAATGAGTTACTTAAATGCATCAGAATACCTAGGTCTAGTAGTCTAGTACCATTATCATAAGTCTGGGAATAGAATGTTTAAGCCTATTAAAAGAAAAAAGGAGAGATCTAAAACTATGAATCTTTTAGTAGCTCGGATTGGTATCTCGAGGTATAATTCCAAGTCAACTTGATTTACTTCAATTAAATAAAATTATTTATTATTTATTATATGCTAGGTAATAACTGTGCCAGGTACTGTGGATATAAATGTTAGCAAATATGTCCAAGAGACAGGTACCAAATATCCTTTTTTTGGAAGGGCAATTAACGCATTAAACCCCAACTTTGTATTAGCTATTGGCCAGCCCACTGTAGTTTTGGAATTACAAGGTCCAAATAGAGAATGCAGCACATACACCAGTTTAAAATTCCTTTGTACAACTGCTGTAAAATTTCAATCTGAAGAGCTGCTAAATACAGATGGGAAAAATATACAAGAGAGGCATAAGGACACCAGTCATCTCAGCTACATTCCAGGCATAAAAGCTAGGAATATTCTAGGAATGAATTCCCCCAAAGATGTAGGCCACGTTCTATTTGTCTATATTTCCAAATTCTATTACATGATAAGTACTCAATACATGATTGTGCAATAAATGAACAGTTGAAAGAATAATTGAATGAATTTGTAGATTTGGTAATAGAAGTAGACTGCGAGCTCCTAAAATCAGATAATCCCTTTTTTTCTCTTTTCCAATCACCGTAACTTTAGAAAGTTACTTAACCTCTCTAAAATGTCAGTTTGCTCATTTGTAAATGGAAATAAAGCATACTAGCTCAATAGCGTTGTTATGAGGATTAAAAGAGAGAATATTAATGAATCACGTAAAGAGTACCTGGCACATATAGGCTGATTTAGTGTTAATTATTGTGAATATTGGTGATCGTTAATTGTGGCTGCACCATGTTTTCATCTGGAGAACTTTTAAAAAATGGCCACGTCCTACTTCCAGATACTCAAATTAATTGTTTTAGAACAAGGCACAAACATCTCTCTTTATAAAAAGCTTCTCAAGTGACCCGTGATTATAATGTGAAGCCAAGGCAGAAAATCACAGTTATAGAAGAAATGCACACACATACATACATGCACGCTTTGTCCTTAAAAATATGAACCATTCATTACAGTCATACAGCTATTCTATGAGTTAATTTTTAGTTGTACATTCTGTCATTCTTCAAGTAGTTCTGGGGTGTTACAATTAGGTGTCCTTTTTTCTCACAGATTTGTTCACTTCCTGTCTGAATGTTTTGTTCACTATAACTAGACTATAGAAATCACCATTCAATCTTCTGGTGGTTTGTTTTTCTGTGAAAATCAATTTTGAGTAAGAACTGAGTACTCCCATCTCTTTATTGTGGAACCATAGAAGAGTCATAGTTCGAAAATTCAATATTTGATGACTCAGGTTCCTAAAGACTGAATCTTTTCACTTTATTCATTTTTCTATTATCCTTGAGATACATTATATTCTCTTTTTAGTAAGTCAATTTCCTTGCTTAACTTATAGACTATCCATTATAATACTTGAATTTCTGTGATACTTAAAACCACAGTCTGAGTGTACAGTTTTATTTTATTATACTTTTCCTGCCTAAGACTATGCTATACCATTTACTGTAGACCATAACCCTAGTTGTTTATCATCTTTTAAAAATTAAATCATAACTTAAATGCATAAGTGGAATCTTCTTTGTAGAGGAAATACTCAGTGATTTATTTTGTTAAAAAAAGACATCTCCAAAATTATTTCTTGTAAATTCTATATATTTGCTTAAAGTTAGTTATATCTGTTTATGAGAGTTATAAATGTACTGAATAAAATATATACCATTTTGTTATTTGCATAGAAATATATAGTTTATTTTCATTATATTAAACTGTGCCTAGATTTTCAAAAACGACTTTTACTTATTTTTATAAGATTCTTTTACATCTGTGAGGTACGTGCTTCTTTTTACTCTGAAACCTTTCTTCTAAAACGTTGTCTCCCAGCATAGCGGCCTTTTCTTCCAAGCCTCTTTCCCATATTTTTGCATAAGGCATTGCTATCTTGAGGACATTTTGGCCTCATCATGCTACTGTAAAGTGGTTACTAGGTGACACTTCCTGTTTTTCTCTCCAGGCCATTTATTGTCCTCTCTAACATGCTTTTCTTAGACACTGAAATGGTTAGATTCTCTTGGCACATAGCAGTGTCTTCTCACTTCTGAGTCCTGGCCAAACCCACTCACTTTACTTGTCTGTAGAGATATGGGTTACATAGCATTTTTTTTGCTTGTATGATCAGGGCATTTATGCTTTGTTTCATTAAAACACACACACACATACACACATATGTGCACACATACACACACCCCATATTTATATGATTATGTAAGGTTGAATTTTTATTTGTTGTATGTGCAATTTCTTTTCTCCTATATTAGCTAGATATATTCATTTTGGTATGGTTGTGGCTTTTATTTCCCTGTTTATGAAACCTCTCTTGCACAGTGCTAGGAATAAGATAGGCCCTCATGGACAGGGTTAGTTAGGACAAACTAACTAACCATATGTGGCTCTAGATAAGTGAAGTAGCTTTGCAATCATTGATAACATTTATGCATTCTTACCAGTCAGTGTTAGTATGGCAGCAAAATAGTCATTGCTAGGCATCAAACAGAACTATGGGGTAACCTTACAATGTAGGAGTAATATCTAGCAGTACATTTCAGGTATTGAAATGCCAGTTTAGTTTATCAAAGAAGACCTATCTTCAGCCTAAGTCTGATGATCCACAATAATCTTGTTAGCTTCATGTTTTCTCTTTAATGATAATAGCTATTTTTAACATCTACAATATTCCAGAATTGTGCTAGGAGCTTTGCATAAATTAACTCTAATCTTCTTATGAAACTGAAGAGAAATGTGTTATAATTCTAATTTTTCAGCTGAGGCCATGCCACACACCTAGTAAAACTGAAGGTGAGGCTTCTTCACTCTATCACACCACCTTGGGAGTGTGTGTTTAGAAGTATGCCAAATTCCCTTAAGTGTGTGAGATTTTGGTGGACATTCAAAAAGAAAGAAAGGATTGTCCCATTGTTGTGATGTAGTGAAAAAAGTGCTGGTGTTGGAACCAGAATTCTTAGGTTCAATTACTCCTCCTTCAGTCAATTTCTGTTTTTATTTTCTTATTCATGAGATAGGAATAATTAGTCCTGTTTTCCTCCCTTCTTTCTTCACAATATTTTTTTGAGAGCCAGATGCAGTATAACATATGAAGAAACTTAGTATAAATGTAAAGCACTAATTTGATACTAAATATATACACATGGACTCAACTAGTTCCAGTGTAGAAATACATTATAATATATATGAATAACTTAAATAAGATAACTTAAATAGACACATATGCATAACTTTGACATACCTGGAAGCCTGAAATGAGAAATCCCTCAAATAGAAAAAGTAGATGACAGAAGTCAGCACTGTTATTCCATGAGATTCATTCACTAAATGCATAATGAATTAGAAAAACTTGAACAGCAAGAGTGAAAGTGATATTCAGCATTATTATTTTCTTAAATACGTATTATTTGAGAGGATACAATAAAATTTCTAGACTTTGAAAAATACTTGGCTGTATCATGATGTAGAGAATTATATAAATAGAGTAGCTAGAAATAAAAACCAGACACTTAAGCTAGAAACAGATACTTCTGTCTTGGAGATTTTAGTTTGAAAAATCACTTAAACCAGAAGTGAGGTCATGAGTCATATCTATTTGATAGCGAAAATTTATTTATTATATTTTCGAAGATTAGTCTGCTTGATTTCCTTTAATTGACAAGATTAAAGCCACAGATAATGACAGTTTTAAAGAAAGTCTATCCATAAAATTAAAAAAAATTCTTAAAGCATTTCAAAGTTATACTTCGATAATTAAGCAGATCTTTTTAGCATCTCACTATTTTCACATTTTCCTCGCTAACGATATACTGATTAATCATTGATAATTTCATTTCTTGTAATTTTTAGGGCTTTCCCTATAGTTTATTGAAAGAGCCAAGACATAGATATGAAAAATGCTTCCCCGAGGTGTTTGAAAGAAGTCTGGGTAATGTGATTTGCACGCTATGGGAAATGACTTTCACTTGGTCAGTCATCCATCTTTGCTTTGCTGCCTTTTCTACACTCTTGCCACCAGGTGGCAGTGAGACAACACACAAGGTTACCATGTAATTTCTCACATTTTAGTATGAAATGGCAAAATAAATAAATAAATAGGATTCAGGATATCACTGAATGAATCACTAAGGTCCAGTTTGTTAATAAGAGGATGGTCATTTAATATATGAAATGTCAATTGACAATATATGCAAGAAATGCGTGTATGAACACATGAAAAAACATGACAGGGTAGTTTACTCCTCTTTAGACAGTAGAATCACCATCAATGAACATATTTGCAATGAATGCAAGCACAGTATTCAAAAGAATAAACCACTTTTGAATTTAAAAGGAAAGAGAAATAGCCAGAAATTGCTGATTATCAAAACGATTGCAATAACACTCATAGCTAAAAAGAATCTTGGCAATAAAAGACTCAGGCTTGTAAAGGTTCCCACATGCTCAGAAGATGTGTAGGTGGCCACGCCATTCATTGTCTAAACATACACACTTTTGAGAATAAAAGGGATACTAATAATTAATAACACATCAGTGTTATATACATACAGTGTTATACTTATATATGCAGTGCATATATATATATATGTATCTGTTTTTAGCTTAAGTATCCGATAATTTCTAGCTGCTCTACTTATCTAATTCTTTACATCATGATAAAGCCAAGTATTTACTGGTATTTTTTAAAGTCTAGAAATTTTATACTTATATAAGTATACATATATGTATATGTATACACACATACATCTATGTGTGTGCATATGTATACTCATACACACAAGAGAGAAGAAATACGTATAACATGAACATATGTATATGAGAGAGCAGGGAATATATGTAATATAGGAAACATTTCAGTTTCATATTTCTTCCAGCCATATAATATTCATATGATAATTTGCTTCTTGTGAAATATGTTTTCCTTCCCCATTCACCTATGTAGCTTCTCTATTTTTCGTATCACAGCTGAATTGCTACTTTTCTTTTCAAAAGGATGTCGTTCTTGAATTCTCAGATTATGTCAAGTTTCCCCATTATAGGTTCTTCTTATAGCATCATGCTTCTTCAATTCAGTTATTATTTGAACAAGCTTTTGATTAATATCTATTTCTATCACTATATTTTAAGCTCCAAGAGACAGAAGATAATTCTAGTTTTAATCAGCATTTATTTCCCCACCTCATCTAATCTAGCATGGTTTTATATATGTAAATATATATATATGTATATATTATATATACATATATTTATATATTATATATACATATATTTATATATTATATATAATAATATGTATATATTATACATATATTTATGTATTTTATATATGCACACATACACAAACATGTACACACACATATATTTTATAAATTTATGAATATTCCAATCATTGGGTATACAAATTATACTAGTTTTGTGGGTTTTTTGCAACAAATGTGTTTTTTTTTTTTTTTGATGGAGTCTTGCTCTGTCACCAGGCTGGTGTGCAGTGGCATGATCTCGGCTCACCACAACCTCCACCTCCTGGGTTCAAGCGATTCTCCTGCCTCAGCCTCCCGAGTAGCTGGGACTACAGGTGTGCGCCACCATGCCCAGCTAATTTTTGTATTTTTAGTAGAGACGGGGTTTCACCATGTTGGCCAGGGTGGTCTTGATCTCTTGACCTCGTGATCCACCCGCCTTGGCCCCCCAGAGTGCTGGGATTACAGGTGTGCGCCACTGTGCCCGGCCAACATATACGTTTGATAGTAACTGCCTTGACAGTTCAAGATGAAAAACTGCAATTTTTCTTCATCTCTACATAATAAAATTGTGAAAAGTTTTTTTGTAAATATAAAAATATCATTTTGAAATAAAACCAAATTTGTCTTTAGAGGTAAAGTATTATGTATAGTTTATAAAAATTGAGAACACTTGTCTTCAGTTATAAAGCTGACTTTGTGTGCAGGGTAATTCACATCATACATAGTAGCTGTTTCATTTCTATATGGTTTTAACTTTTAGATTCTTAATCTGAAGTCCAAGGGTAGGCTTCAGTGTTTGCTGCTCACTCTGAAATTATGTGAAGATTTCGTGTTCAGGGGTGTGTGTGTGTGTGTGTGTGTGTGTGTTTTAACTAAAAGAGTGCATAATTTTCATTAAATTATTTTTTTCTTTTTAGATGGAGTTTTGCTCTTGTTGCCCAGGCTGGAGTGCAATGGCGCAATCTTGGCTCACTGCAAACTCTGCCTGCCGGGTTCAACGAATCCTCCTCCCTCAGCCTCCCGAGTAGCTGGGATTACAGGTGTGCGCCCCTATGCCCAACTAATTTTTGTATTTTTGGTAGGGACAGGGTTTCACCATGTTGTCCAGGCTGTTCTCGAACTCTTGACATCAAGCGATCTGCCTGCCTCGGCCTCCTAAAGTGCTGGGATTACAGGCATGAGCCACTGTGCCCGGCCAATTTTCACTAAATTTTTAAATAACTATGCTATATAAGCATTATAGAAGAATTATAATTAGGAGAGAAAATGTTAGCATGGTTCTCATTTAATTAAATTGCCCCAAAGTAATATTGATTGTTTGTGTGGTCAGTATATGCCTGAATAGCTCATTCTGTTGCTATTATTTGTTTTAATTTTGTTTAAAAACCATTTTTAAAATTTTGTTAATTTTTGCCAGGCTGGAGTGCAGTGGTGTGATCTCAGCTCACTGCAACCTCCGCCTCCTGGGTTCAAGCGATTCTCCTGCCTCAGCCGCTCGAGTAGCTGGGACTACACGCGTGCACCATCATGCCCAGCTAATTTTTGTATTTTTAGTAGAGACAGGGTTTCACCATATTTGCCAGGATGGTCTCAATCTCTTGACCTCATGATCCACCCACCTCAGCCTCCCAAAGTGCTGGGATTACAGACGTGAGCAGCCATGCCAGGCCACTATTGTTATTTTTTTAAAGACCAAAGACAACATGGGAAGATGCATGCATCTCTTCAAACATCAAAACAATTTGAAATATTTTATGACCATCATAAAGCGTTTACACTTTGGTCAAATTCAACTATGGCAGAAAGAAAAATTACCTCAGTTTTGTTTAGAACCAACTCTAAAAACACATTTATTCAGGCTTTCTTAACTTTGAAACTTGGATTATTTGATTAAGGACCCAGGTTATATTCAGACAGCTGTTTCTTCACATTTAGTTAAAGTGCAAGCTTTGTAATAACAAAGACCATATTTCCCTATTTATCTTCTGCTTAAATGTTCTATCTATTATTAAAAGTGGAGTATTAAGGTTTCCAACTATTATTATTGAATTATCAATTTCTCAATTGTTATCAATTGATGATTGTTGAATTATCAATTTTTAAATTCTGTCAGTTTTTGCTTTATGTATTTTTGGGCTCAGTTTTGAGGTGCACATATGTTTATAATTGTTTCATATTTCTAATGGATTAATCCTTTTTCTTTACTCTCTTTATCTCTAGCATTATTCTCTGTTTGCAAGTCTCTTTGGTATGTTATTAGTGTAGCCATCACAGCTATCTTTTGATTGTTGCTGCATCATATACTTTTTTGTATCTTTTTACTTTCCCTGTATTTGCATCTTTGAATCCTAAATGTGACTCTTGTAGATAATATATAGTAGAATATTTTTTTTTAAATCTAGTCTGTCAATCTTTGCATTTTAATTAAATGTTTTAATCTTTTCACATTTGAAATTATTATTCATATATTTGTATTTATAACTGTCATTTTAATTTTGTTTTCTATGTGTTTTACATCTATTGTTTATCTGTTCTTCATTTACTGCTTTCTTTTGCATTAAGTAAATATTTTCCAGTGTAACATTTTAATTCCTTTAATTATTTTTTTCACTACATAAAAAAAAATTGTCTTAGGGCTTACCATAGCCATCATAACTTACTAAAATTTACTTCAGATTTTGAATGACTTCTTTCCAGTGAGATATAGGAATGTTACTCCTATACAGCACTTTTCCTTCTTCCTAATTTGGTGCTGTTATTGTCATACATACTATGTTGACATATTTTGAAACTAGTGCATTATTGTAATTATTACTTTATATTATTTTATATCTTTTTTATACTTTAAAAAAGTTTCTATTTTTTAAATTTGATACATAATAATTGTACATATTCATGGGGTACATAATGATGTTGCCATACATATAACGTATAGAAATCAGATCAGGGAATTAGCATATTCATTTTCTCAAATATTATTATCATATTATTATTTCTTTCTGTTGGAAACATTCAACATCATCCTTCTAGCTATTTGAAATTATGTATTTCTGTTAACCACAGTCATCATACCATACTATAGAACACTAGAACTCATTTCTCCTATCTAACAGCAATTTTGTAAACTTTAACAAAATAATTTTATATATTTTATAAAGAGACTGAAAAGGAGATTGAGTATATATCTTAGAATTTTTGTAAGTTACATTCTTATTTAACATTTATAATTCTTCTAATTTGTTCATATGGATTCAAGTTACAATCTGATGTTATTTAATTCACCTCCCCATCTCCTCCTTGTGCATTTATTTTCAAACATATTACATTGCTATATGTTATAGGCCCTGAAATTCAATTATATGCATATTGTTTTATACACTTGCTTTAAAACTTAGTTAACAGAATAAAAAATAAGAAATATAAATTTTTACTATGAAGTTATCCTGGGATGACAGTACTTTTAAAAGGCTCTTTTTGACTATCTCTTTTCCTGAATTTTCTGTTAAACTTTCTGCTTCTATTGGTATTACACCCACTTCTAGGCTCCACTAATTTCCACGTGATTGCTCTATTGTTTTCAACAATGCCCATGGACACAAAATGCTCCACAGTCAGATTCCATTAAATTCAGGCCCCTTTGCAAAGGTGGTTTTTGAGGCCAGTCATAGTGAATTTTTTCTTATCCTAGTAGTAACTCTTCCTTTTTCCTGGTTCTCTCTGGCAAACCAACTAGCCCATGATTAGGATTTGGAAGAACAGGGAGACCCCCATCTCCTTGTCCACACTCACACGTAGTGAAGCTTCTATCACACTGCGGTGGGGTTAGGGAGAGAGCAGGTTGTGGCTCATGTTCTTCAGACTCTCACAGTTCTTCCTGAGACTTAGTAGAATACGTGTGTCTGTATTTTTCATATGTCCATAAGACAAAGTTTGGAGACTTTTAAAATAATAGCTGTTTTCTTTAGATAATGATTTTCACTATTTATGGTTGTCTAGGTAAGGAGTGAGTCCGTGGAGCTCCACAGCTGCCATTCCAGAGGTGAAACCATCTTTCTCTGTGCTCTTTTTTTGTTTGCATTTACAATTTTTATGGATACATAGTAGGTGTATATATTTATGTGGTACAAGAGATATTCTAATACAGACATACAATACATAGTAATCACATCAAGGCAAATAGAGTATCCATCACCTCAAGCATTTATCATTTCTTTGTATTACCAACATTCTGTTTATATTCTTTTAGTTACTTTTAAATGTACAATAAATTATTGTTGATTCTAGTCACCTCATTGTGCTATCAAACAGAAGGTCTTATTCATTCTACCTAACTATATTTTTCTAACTACTAACTATCCCCAGTTCCCTCCCCCTCCCACCCACTACCTTTCCCAGCCTCTGGTAATCATCATTCTATTCTCTGTCTCTATGAGTTCAGTTGTTTTAATTTTTAGGTCCCACAAATCAGTGAGAACAGGCCAAGTTTGTGTTTCTGTTCCAGACTTACTTCACTTAACATGAAGTCCTTCAGTTCCATCCATGTTGGTGCAAATGACAGGATCTCATTCTTTTATGGCTGAATAGTGCACCAATTGTGTATAAGTACCACATTTTCTTCATCCACTCTTCTCTTGATGGACATTCAGGCTGCTTCCAAATCTTAGCTACTGTGACTAGTGTTGCAATAAAAATGGAAGTGCAGATATCTCTTCAAGATACTGATTTCCTTTCTTTGGCGTATACGCCTATCAGTTAGATTGCTGAATCATATGGTAGTTCTATTTTTAGTTTTTTGAAGAACTTCCATATTCATCTCCACAGTGGCTGTACTGTTTATATTCCCATCAACAGTGCATGAGTGTTCCTTTTTCTCCAAGTCCTTGTCAGTATTTTTTATTGCCCATCTTTTAGGTAAAAGCCATTTTAACTTGGGTGAGATGATGTCTCATTGTACTTTTAATTTGCATTTCTCTGCTGATCAATATGGTGAGCACCTTTTCATATACCTTTTTGGCATTTGTATGTCTTCCTTTGCTATGTTCTTCATTCTAAATAATGGTTGGTCTTCAAGTTCACTGATCCTTTTTTCCCCTCTAGTATCCAATCTGTTGGTTAGTCCATCTGTTGGATTTTTCTTTTCTAATGTTTTAGCTTTCTATTGTAGAGTTTCCTCTCCTTTTTTATATAATTTCTACTTCTCTACTAAGAGCATGTACCTTTTCACATGATCTAGTTTTTTCTTTTAAGTCTTTGAACATGTTATTAAGTTATTGTCTGAATTATCAGACGTGGATCATCTCTCAGTCTTTATTGACCTTTATTCATAATTATTTGTCATATTTTCTATATCTTCACACATCTAGTAATTTTTAAAATTTAATACTGGAGATTGTAGCTGTATACCGTAGGCAGTTTGAATAGTGTTGCTACACTGTCTTTTCTGTGTTGTTTTCTAGAGAAGTTATGGTGTTTTGCTTTGGCATATAGATAAGTTACAGGAGATGTCCTTAAAATTGTCAGGTTTCCTTTTTTTAAAAATCTTTTAGGGCTATTTCAGTTTTGTCCTTAGTCCTGGGATATCACCTTTCCTCCAAGAAGGAGCCCTTATTTCTAAAGTCTAGCCTTTCTAGGGTCTCAACTGAATACCCAAAATACTCAGTGAGGACTCTAAACTTTGACTGGGCCAGAATTTCAGCAGCCTCAGCCTTGTGTGATCTCCAATAGCAACATTTAGATTCATGTGCACAGCATCTGCTCCCTGCGAGCTTCATGGAGTTTTGCCATGCTCATGCACCACCCAGCCCCCATCCAGGCCCACAGGAGAACCATCAGAAGGCTTCTCCTTCCATCCTGTACTGCTCCTTCCTCACCATTGATTGCCCTATGCCACAAATTCCAGACACTTCAGGGAGTCCAAACTCAGATATTTTATTCCTTATCTTACTAGGTCCTCTACATTCTCCTTGGGCTCATCTTCCCTATGCTGTGGTCCAGAAAGTTCTTCCAGGAAGAAAGTGAGAAGAACTTGGGACCCAATTTGTGTATTTCTCCAATCCAAAGAATTATAGTGCTGCGCTCCTTGATATTCAATCTCTCAAACAGTGTACTCCCACATTTTGTTCTGTTTTGTATTACAGCAGGAGAATAAGTCTGGCGACAATTATTCCATCATGGTGAGAAGCAGAAGTCTCAGAAATTAGATTTTTTGACAGATTAGATTCAAGTTTTTAGAATACTGCCGACATATAATAGAGACTAAGTCATGGTTTTTGAATAAATATTTTATATTTTATTACTTTTTATATTAGAGGAATAAAAGTAGAAAACTGAGATTGAAATTTAGAATCAGAACCAAATCCCAGGAACTACAAATTATAGTTCTACGACCTTTGAAAAATGTATTAGACTTTCTAAACTTCACTTTCCTCATCAGAAAAAAATGGAAATATAAACGGAATTGGCTGGATGGTAGCCAATTTTCCTTAAAGGTTTGTTATGTTACCCATTGAGGTAGTATGTATGTGAGTGTGAAAATGTCCATTACATAAAATGGTAGAATCTTAGGCATTTAGCAGGAAGATCTCAGGGAAGAGAAAGTGTTTAGTGTGGGGATTTTACATGTGAAATGTAAAGAATTGCAAACCTGTGTTCCATTCATAGCTCCATCTTTTGCTAGTTATGTGACCTCAAGTTACTTAACTTTTCTGAATGTCAGTATTGCATATAAAAATAAGTTAAAAGTAGTATCTACCTCAGATTAAAAGTAGAGTATAAAATACTTAGCTCAATGCTTGTTATATAAGATCTCAATAAATTATAACTATTATTATAATTGTCATTTTTAGTTCTTCTCAGACACCATAGTTGAAAATTTTACTTTTAAAACCAGTCTTGTTGGTTTAGTTTTTATCCTAACAATAGGATATCTAAAGATAAGACCCTTGAGGGGGAAACAAAAAAAACACTAGTATATGACATCCCTAAGTAAGATAAACTCCACAGCTGCTAGGGGCAAAAAGTATTCACAGCATATGGGCTGCATATGGGCTCTGGTTGCTGTATCGACAAGAATGCCTAAAGGGATTAAGTTGAGTTATATGGAACTCACACTTGAATAAATGTTCTAAACTGCTGGAGAGAGGTATAGAAAAGACTCCCAGGTTCCCTCAGAAATAAATATGAAATGCAAATATTCCCAGATTACCTTTGGTAAATTTATGTTTGAGATTCCATCTTCCTGACTGATTATCATCAATAGTCAATGGAGACTATATTTCCCTCTATTGTTTCCCTCATAAAAATAAATAGCTCTATCAACCAACCAATTCCATAAAGCAAAATCATGAGTCATCATTGTTTTTGTTTTCCTTCACTGACTTCCTGACTCCAAACCACCAGCTCTGAGTTTTTTGTTTTATTTCCACAGGTTATTTGGGAACAGGTGGTGTTTGGTTACATGAGTAAGTTCTTTACTGGTGATTTGTGAGATTTTGGTGCACCCATCACCCAAGGAGTACACAGTGCACCCTATTTTATACCTCACCCCCTTCCTACCCTTTTCCCCTGAGTCCCCAAAATCCATTGTGTCATTCTTATGCTTTTGCAACTTCATAGCTTAGCTCCCACTTATGAGTGAGAACATACAATGTTTGGTTTTCCATTCCTGAGTTACTTCACTTAGATAAACTATCTCCAATCTCATTTAGGTCGCTGCAAATGCCACTAATTGATTATTTTTTATAGCTGAGTAGTATTCCATCATATATGTGTGTGTATATATATATATATATATATATCACAGTTTCTTTATCCGCTGGTTGATTGATGGGCATTTCAGTTGGTTCTACATTTTTGCAATTGCAAATTGTGCTGCTATAAACATGCATGTGCAAGTATCTTTTTTGTGTAATGACTTCTTTTCCTCTGGGTAGATACCCAGTAGTGGGATTGCTGGATCAAACAGTAGTTCTACTTTTAGTTCTTTAAGGATTATTCACACTGTTTTCCATAGTGGTTGTACTAGTTTACATTCCCACCAGCAGTGTAGAAGTATTCCCTGTTCACTGCACCCATGCCAAAATCTACTATTTTTTGATGTTTTGATTATGGCCATTCTTGCAGGAGTAAGGTGGTATCACATTGTGGTTTTTATTTGCATTTCCCTGATCATTAATGATGTTGAGCATTTTTTCATATGTTTATTGGCCATTTGTATATCTTCTTTTGAGAATTGTCTATTCATGGCTTTAGCCCACTTTTTGATGTGATTTTTTTTTCTTGCTGATTTGTTTGAGTTCATTGTAGATTCTAGATATTAGTCCTTTGTCAGATCTAGAGATTGTGAAATTTTCTTCCACTCTGCCAGTTGTCTGTTTACTCTACTGACTGTTCCTTTTGCCATGCAAAATCTCTTTCATTTAATTAAGTCCTAGTTATTTATCTTTGTTTTTATTGCATTTACTTTTGGGTTCTTGCTTATTGAAATTCTTGACTAAACCAATGTCTAGAAGGGTTTTTCCAATGTTATCTTCTAGAATTTTTATAATTTCAGGTCTTAGATTTAAGTCCTTAATACATCTTGAGTTGATTTTTGTATAAGGTGAGAAACGAGGATCCAGTTTTATTTTCCTACACGTGGCTAGCCAATTATCACAGCACCATTTGTTGAAAAGGGTGTCCTTTCCCCACTTTATGTTTTTGTTTGCTTTGTCAAAGATCAGTTCACTATAAGTGTTCGGGCTTATTTCTGGGTTCTCTATTCCATTGGTCTATGTGCCTATTTTCATAGCAGTGCCATGCTGTTTTGGTGACTATGGCCTTATAGTATAGTTTGAAATCAGGTAATGTGATGCCTCCAGATTTGCTCTTTTTGCTCAGTCTCACTTTGGCTATGTGGGCTCTTTTTTGGTTCCATATGAATTTTTGAATTGCTTTTTCTAATTCTGTGAATAATGATTGTGGTATTTTTATGGGAATTGCATTGAATTTATAGATTGCTTTGGGCAGTATAGTCATTTTTGCAATATTGATTCTACCCACCCATGAGCATGGGATGTGTTTCCATTCGTTTGTGTCATCTATGATTTCTTTCAGCAGTGTTTTGTAGTTTTTCTTGTAGAGGTCTTTCACCTTTTTGGTTAGGTATATTCCTAAGTATTTTATTATTTTTTTTGCAGCTGTTGTAAAAGGGGTTGAGTTCTTGATTTGATTTTCAGCTTGGTTGCTGTTGGAGTATAGAGGAGCTACTAATTTGTGTAAATTAATTTTGTATCCAGAAACTTTGCTGAATTATGTGATCACTTCGAGGTGCTTTCTGAAGGAGTCTTTAGGGTTTTCTAGGTAAACAATCATATCATCAGCAAACAACAAATTTTGACATCCTTTTTATCAATTTGGATGCCCTTTATTTCTTTCTCTTGTCTGACTGCTCTGGCTAGGACTTCCAGTACTGCATTGAAGAGGAGTGGTGAGAGTGGGCATCCTTGTCTTGTTCCAGTTCTCAGAGGGAATGCTTTCAACTTTTCCCCATTCAATATTATTTTGGCTGTGTGTTTGTCATAGATGGCTTTTATTATATTGAGGTATGTCCCTTGTATGCTGATTTTGCTGAGAGTTTTAATCATAAAAGCCAATATCACCCTAATACCAAAACTAGGAAAGGACATAACCAAAAAAGGAAACTACAGACCAATATTCCTGAGGAAAATAGTTTCTAAAATCTTTAACAAAATACTAGCTAACCAAATCCAACAACATATCAAAATGATAATCCATGATGATCAAGTGGGTTTCATACCAAGGATGCAGGGATGGTTTAATATACACAAGTCAATAAACATGATATGCCACATAAACAGAATTAAAAACAAAAATCACATGATCATCTCAACAAATGTGGTTGTATTGATTTTCTATTGCTTCTGTAACAATGTCATATCACCGTCCTAGGGACTTAAAACACCTAAACTTATCATCTTATAATTCTGTACATTTTAAGTGGGATACAAGTCTCATCTGACTAAAATTAAGGCATCAGCAGGCTGCCTTTCTGGAGTTACTGAGGGGGAATTTATTTCCTGATATTTGGGTAGTTGGCAAAATTCAACGGAATAATTGAGGTCCAATTTTCTTGCTGGCTGTGAGCTGAGAGCTATTCTTGGCCTCTTGGGGCTGCTGCATTGCACTGTTCCTGAACCGTTTCCTCCATTTTCAAAGTCATCAATGAAAGATAGATTCCTTGTCATGTCTCATCTCTCTGTTCCACTTAGCCTTCCTCTTACACTTTTAAGGATTCATCTGATTAGATTTGGCCCATCCAAATATTCACTATAATCTCTGCTCTCAAAAGATTACATCCCGTGGGGCGAGATAATAAATAAGCAGATAAATGAAACAAGATATTTCAAATTTAATTACATTTAGAAAGTCCCTTTTGCCATGTATAGTAACATATTTACAGGTTTCAGTAATTAGGTGACAGATATCTTTTAAGGAGGAGTAATTTTGCCTACTACATTGGTTCATTCTTACCTTTTGGAATTCAGCAAATATATCACCCCTATAATCAAATGTTTCACCCACATCAGCAGTCATTCTTCACTACATTGCTGTAGTACATTTCTTTAAAAGCATTTGTATTTCTCTGAAATATCTTCTACCATTTATTTATTCATTTATTCTTATCACATCCCATTGGAATATCTTTATGAGAGCAGAGATTGATTTGCTTGTTCACTTTCTTATCCCCAGCACCCAAAACAGTACTTGGCATATAGAATATATCAATAAATCGTTTCACATTGAATGAATGCATGATTTTAATTATTTATCATAGTCCAAAATTCCATGATTGCTTTGATGGAAACAATTTCTTGATGTTAACTATTGATAGGATATACTATTAAATGTACTACTCAGTTATTTTTTTTTCTGTTCAAACACATTTTTTTTGTTCCTTCTAGCTAGTATAACCTATTTCATATTGATTGACAAGATTTTTGCATTTCTTTTTTTAAACTCCTACGAAAACAGAACTGGGAAATTTTATGTTTTTATTTTGCTAAATGTGACAGTAAGATATAATGCTTTTCTCAGCAAACCATTTAAAACTTGCTCTCCTGGTCATAACTTCCCATTAAATTTTTAAAGTGGCTTTAAGTTCTTAGATTTAAAAGTCACTATGTCGATGCAAAATATTATCTTTCACTTCTTTGACTAGAAGTAGCCTTAAAATTGCTGTAATAGCTCATGTAAATGTAAAAGTATATCAAATCTCTCTGGGAATAATCAGTTCCTGTTAGGCATAAAGGTTGACATTATTTCCCTTAATACCTTGAAAATATATTCTATCTCAGCATAAGAATGATTCTGCTTCTTATAGATTTGAATCCTTGGTGTGGACTGAATTGTGCCCCTCAAAATTAATATGTTGAAACTCTTAACCCCCAATGTGATGGTATTTGGAGATGGGGTCTTCAGGAGATAATTAGGTTAGATGAGGTCATGGGGGTGGGATCCTCATGATGGGACTGGTGCCCTTCTAAGAAGGGCTTGCTCGCTTCCTCTCTCCATGATGTGAGGACACAGTGAGAAGGAAGCCACAGTCAAGCCAGGAATAAAGCCCTCACCAGACACATACATTGCTGGCACCCCAAACTTGACTTCTAGCCTCCAGAACTGTGGAAAAAAATAAATTTCTGTTGTTTAAGCCAGGGTTCCCCAACCCACGGATGGTACTGGTCCTTGGCCTGTTAGGATCCCTGCTGCACAGCAGGAGGTGAGTGGCGTTAGGCAAGACAGCTTTATCACCTGAGCCCTGCTTCCCGTCAGGTCAGCAGTGGCATTAGATTCTCATAAAAGTGAACCCTATTGTGAATTGCACATGCATAGGAGCTAGGTTGCACACTCCTTATGAGCATCTGATGCCTGATGATCGGAGGTGAAATGGTTTCATCCTGAAACCATCCGCTCGCCATTGGTGGAAAAACTGTCCTCCATGAAACTGCTCCCTGGTGCCAAAAATGTTGAGGACTACTGCTGGTTTAAGCCACCCAGTCTGTAGTGTTTTCTTACGGCAGCCTGAGTAGACTAACACAATCGTTGAATGTTTTATTTATAAGCATGTTCCAAACCACTATTTTTACAAGTAAGGAAAACTACAGCTTCTGAAGGTAAGTCATCAGCTCATGTTTATGTAGGAAACTACTGGAAAAGCCAGAACCATAACCCAGAATGCCACCTCCCAGTCTAGCTCTTTTTCCACTATACTCAACTACTTCGCTACAAATGGGATGCCACATGGTGAGTTGCAACGCTTTGATTATTAATAATTTAAGGCAAAAAGCCAAAAAAGTTCCAGATTTAATTTATAAAGTGGCATAGGTGGTGGGAGGGTTACTGAATGGCCTTTGTTCCTAACATGTAATGACTTTGGCCTTCTAAATGTAACTCATTAAAAGATCAAAACCCAGGAACTTCTAGGTTGTAATTGCAATCTTAGGACTTGTTAGCAACTTAAATAATAATTACAGGGCCAACTCATCTCATGAATATAATTATCTGGTCTCTGTTCTGATGCGATCTGCAAGTACTCATCACTGCTGATGATGGCCACAGAGCAGGCCATGGCAGGGGGCTGGTTTGTCTGTGTCTGGGCTTGACCAGGCTGTTGTGGACTTACCACATAGCAGCTCACACATTCACAAACACCTACAAACAGAGCTGGCATCATTTTTTTGCATTCTGGCCATCTCATATTAAACAATCAAGGGAACCTTCATGGTGATGGTAAAATTAGGAATTTGCTCAGCTCAATGTTGAATTAATGCCTAGCTATGGCTTCAGCATATATGCAGTGTTTTTTGTTATTTTTTAAATTGAAATGCATTATCAATTTCTGATCCATTATATGTAAGGAACAAAACTGTTGATTTTTAACATTTCCTTCCAGGTGAAACATACAACTTAGAACTATTGATCACTGCTCTCTTTGAAATTCTATTGTCTTTTAATTTATTACACATCTCCCTAAATTTTCTCTCAAGATTCTGCCCATTCTTTCTTGGCTTCTTTTTCTATCTTCTCTTCCTCATTAAAATGCTATTCACCTACAAGGTACTGACAGCCTCTTCTTGTTCTATGTGGTTTCCTTGGGTAAGCACAATTAATATAGCTGAGAATAGTTCCCATAAACTGTTTTCTTTTTTTCCCAAGCTTTCTCTCATTCATCTTCTTCCTATAATCTCAGTTTCCATCACTGGCCTAACCAGCATGTCAGTAGTCCAAGATGAATATTTTAAATCTTTCTTGAACTCCTTACTATGGGTTATGTCCCCCCAAATAAATGTTGTAATCCTAATTCCCAGTACTTTAGAATGTGGCCTTATTTGAAACTAGAGTGTTTGCAGAAGAAGTAAGATACAGTCATCAGAATGGGTTCCAATTCAATATGACTGGTGTCCTCATAACAAGAGGAAAATATGGACAGAGACACACAGAGAGAATGCCATGTAATGTCAGAAATAGATACAGAAGTGATGACACCAAAGAAAAGGAATGCCAAGGATTGATGGCCAACATCAGGAGCTAGGAAGAGACAAAGAAGGATTTTACCCAGAGTCTCAGAGGGACTGTGGCCCTTCTGATACCTTGACTCCAGACTTATAGACTCCAAAACTGTCAGATAATAAATTTCTATTGTTTTAAGCCACCCAGTTTGTGTGGCCTTTTGTTATAGCAGACCTAGGAAACTAATGTACACTCACAGCTTCTTCCTACATTTAATTAATCACCAACTCTCATGAAGCATGTATTTATCTCCCCGTAAAAAACATCATAGAGGACTTTTCTGATGCTGCTCCTGTTAATTTCAAACTAATATTTAAGCCATTAGATTTACTATCTACCACACAATGACAAAATAAGCCTTTTATAAATAATCAAAGTGGAAGGCAGGAAATTGGAGACATTTCACAATATGAAAACTATTATTGTTTGTAAATATCCCTCGGCCATCTTTACCCAGGCTTAAGTAAATACAAGGGAGCAATTGTATCATCATGGTAATATTTTGAAATCACATCTCAAATCATTCATTCTTGTTGAGTTAGGTATTTAATAGTCCACAGGCAAGAGGCAAAAATTGCTAAATTATCGAAAGCCCTTTCAGATCCCAAATTGCTTTTAGTTGTGATGGTAATATCCTAAACATTAAAGGAAATCTATGTAGTTTGTGTGTTTTAATTATACTATTTGAAAAGCTTAACAACACAGTAAAACAGTCAGAGTGCCCACAGAAGTATATAAATAAATAGTTCTGGATAAATGAGAAAGATGAAAACTCAAAGCTAGGTTCCATTCTCTTGGTAGCAAATGTCATCAAAATGTGAAACTGTTTTGCAAAAAAGAAAAAAAGAAAAGACAAGCAAACCTGTAAATGCTGCTTTAATTTCCACTGGAGGATTCAGGCCATGACTCAGCTGACTCTTTTCCAGAGATGGCCTAAAGGAAATGAAATTGCGTTTATGATCACATTTGAGATGTTGCTTGAAATGATCTGAAGCAGAAATGTTTATTCTAATGATTAGCAGAAGTCAGCTGCAATGAATGGATCATTTATTTATTCAAAGATACATTGATCTGCTTATAGATACTAAATGGAAGATAAAATTATAAGTAAGAGATCCAAGGTCTTTGATGTTTTGGAAATTATAATTTGATGAAGTTCCTAGTTCAAAGGTATAGGCTGGTTAGGAAGAGGTGGGGTAGGAGACGGAAAAAGGGATGTTATGAGGGCTTCAACTTTGATTGGATGGCTTGCATGGGTCTTCAGGTTTCAGTAATTCCAGCAATCCCTAGGATCTAGGAAGGAGGGACCTAGGATACACTTCTCAGGATCTGGGGAGTGTATTCCAGATGATCTATGAGGGATGCCGTTGGAGAGGTAGAAAGTCCTGGAGGTAAATTTGACTCCTTCAAAAGTACACCCAAGGCCTGACTGTGCCTTTCTTTTTCTGCTATGGTAATTGTAAGAGCAAATGTTAATGACATTCTAAATGTAAGACATCATCCCTATCCACAAGGATTTTATTTTTTTTTTAAACTAAAGAACAAAAAACTCAAAATTGATTGTATTTTTTTCTTGAAAGCCAGATTTGGAGAATAGCTCATTTGATTAGTTGGGCTACTGCCCTTTCTTTCTTTGTTGTATTATCAGACTCAGTTTAATATGCAAATATAGGAGACAAAAAGTCATAGAAATCAGAGTAGTAAGCTAAATATGTGACACTACCAATGAAAAGGTGTCACTGCCAGGCCATGATCAACTGGTCGTGTGTTTTGACTGGTTTTCTGAGCAGGGATGATGTATTGCACATATGCATGCTTTGCCACCTTCCAGAATTTTGGACATTGCTTTGGGGCAGAGGTGTTAGGGGATGAACTGGGAAAAGCCAGCCTAGTTAACCCTTAAACCAGTTAAGGAGTGGCAATATGCTGACTATGGATCTTATAGGCAACAAAACCTGGTTGTTTTATTTGAGACAAGTGGCTGAAACAAATGAATTTTGTATCCACACATGAAATACACTGTGTTATACTTGTCTCAGCAATTGGAACATGGAATTTCAGTTTCACTCTATAGGTTTTAAGCCAATCTGCTGGTCATGCCTCAAGGATCCATGTTACAGGCTATACATGTTTACCCAGCACTTGCTTGCTAGGCTGGAAGAACTTTTTTATTAAATATAGATAAAACTCAACAAAATAAAATCAAGACATGCAATTCCATATATAGTAAACAACACTGCACTGGAAGCTAAGGAAGGAAAACAGAAGTAACCAAAGTTATAATAATAAGTGGCTGTGAATATTTTTTTTCTGTTCATCTGACCTATCATTGCCTTATTTTGCTAATTAAGTCAATGTAGTAAAATAACACTTTGGAATTTGCAGCACAGTATTTACAAAATTAGGCTCTCAAATTGAGACAAAGCTTCTGCAAAAGCAAGATGATAATTCAGCAACCATTTCCCAATATCTATTCTGAATGCCATAATTCAAACACATTCAGGTCTTTATCATCATGCATTTATGTCTGACCCAGATTTCCTGCTATTAACTATCACTTTCCCATGGTTCTTTGGCTAGAACTGATAAAAATATACAAAATGAATATAACTTTCTGCTCCCCTTCCACCACTCTTTCAAATATTTTTTGGAAATGAACATTATTAGAAAAGTAAGCAAGCATGATATGAAAGTTTGAAGTTATTCCACAAATCCTCTGACATCTTGCATTCTTCTGTTAGGAATTGCTTTTCACAGTTATGGAGTTAATGAGAATATTTAGTTCTGATACATACCTTCTAAATTCAAACCTTCTTGACCTGTTATTAAAATCTCTTTCTTAGACCATTTTTCCCTTTCTCTTTGCAAAAGAATGTTGATGGAGACTAATTCTTCCTAAGCAGATCTGGAGGAAATCGTGTGGGGAACTATAAATTTCAAGATCTGAAAATCTGTCTCCCAGTGACAAAGATCTTAAGCTACCTTTAAGATATCCCAGAGGAAACCGAAGGGCTCCTCACCTAAATCCTGCTTCTCATTCCTGAATGCTTCCTTTGGCTCCCCCTGGAATGACTCTGTGATCTCTTTGCAGTTCTCTTCCTACAAGTGGGCATTGGCTGGGAGGCACCATTGTAGGAAGAGAACAGCAAAGAGATCACAACAGACCTGGCTTTCCCCTCATCTTGGTCTCTGCCAATTAGTCCTGTTAGAGTGAGTTTAAAAGACAACTCTGACTACAAAATAATATATCCCATATACTTTATCTTATTTCATATTGATTATATCTTGAACTTATGATCATTTAAGCACGTAAAGGTGCAAAAAAATTTTGAAGAAGAAAAGCATAAAAATAACAAACACTTATTCTAAAAATCTTCAGACTGTTCTGAAACAAGACAAATGATGTTAGGTTATAAAAAATAAATTAATAGAAAGACCTATATGCACATTTTTTTGTTCTGGTGGGGCTTATATCATACACTGGTACACAACATAAGGGATAATCAACTTAGATAAATTCCAGGAAGCCAATTCAATACCCAAGATTCAACAATATATTTATAAATTCAACAAACATAAACCTTAAAAAAGCATAAAATACAAGTTAGAATATTGAATATCATTTTAATATACTTGAAAAATTTGCTACTATATTTTCATAAAAGTAATAATCACTTTTTAAAATATGAATCACAAATTTAATCGATTAAAATTATACGATATTTTGTAACAGGATACTTGTTAGTATAAAACAAATCTATTTTGAAATAAATCCTTGTTGACACCAAAACTTTTCATAGTTATCATTGGTATTACTAAATAAACATGATTTATTTTTAAGTTGATTTTTGTTACAGATTGTCTATAAATATTGATAAAGAAAAATGTGCTTGACTAGAAATGATTGCCTAAAGCTAAACCACCAGGCACACATTTCCCCACACCTCCCAAACTTTCTTTTGTTTTCTGGAATATTTTTTTTCACAGAAAGCAAGTTGTCTTATTTTAAACTGAAGATGAGAGAAGAATTTTTTTTCCAAACTTAAAAACACTTGTCTTTGCAGTATATGAATTTCAATAAGGCAAGTCTGACCTAAGCCAGCTTATACTTCTCTTCATAGATGACACAAAAGACATTTCCCAATCATATTTCTTGGTCTTTAAACTCAATATACAGAGATGAGTGTTCTACAGTTTCCCTGCCTTAGAGGTTCATCTTCATGCTTCTGTGTCTTTTTTTTCTTAGAAACAGGATTTTAAAAATGATTTCTACAAGTGCTTCTACAACTATAGGCAAATATAAGATGGGCAGTTCTAATCTTTGTTATACCACATTGTTTATCTTCTTTCATAGAACAAGACTTATTTCTTAAAGTTTTAAAAAAATTCCTTTAACCTCAAATGCATACTGTATACTGAAAACAGTACAAATAAAGGAATTAAAAAAAACTTTATGTGAAAAGAAGGGAATTATCTCTTCCTGGAAGAGGCTCCAGGAGTTGCTACTGTTTTTTATGGAATACGGTGCATATTTATGTATATGATAGCTATTATAATACCTATTAGCTTTTCATTTCTTGGAATCTCAGAACTTAAAAAGGACCTTAGAGCCATTTTGCATACTCCAGAAGAAACAGCAACAGCCTAACAAAAAGCAAGACCTTGCTGGTACTTGAACCCAGAATTCCTAACTATAGTCAATTATCCTTTCACAAGAGCACAGGTTTGTGCCATATGAGAATAGTTGGTGCTAGGGCTGGCATTCTTTGAACATCAGTTCCCTATGTGACTAGACAAGGCACATGACATGCATTGTTACAATTATCAGTTATCAAATCAGATTTTTACCTTATTTACACTTCAGTGCATACTTTGGGATAATAAATATCAGCTTTCACTTTTTTAAAGAAGCAAATGAAAACATGTATGAAGTATTCTTTCTGCAGTCTTCCTTACATCCATCTACCTCTTCCACTTCCACTACATAAATCTAGGCTGTTCATATCATACCTGCACTATCTCAATGGTCTCTTTACTGACATCTTGTTTACAGTGTCTCTTCATTTCAAGTTACCCTACTCACCACAGCCAGGTTAATGTTCACAAAACTTTGCCTAAATAAACACTCTCCCTTGGCATAAATAAATACTCTCCATTGCTTTCAGAATAAAGTAAAAATTTCTAAGTCTGGAATTCAAAGCTCTCCACTACCTGATACAAATGTATTTCTAACTTCATTTCCTATGTTTCTCGTTTGCACAACATTATAATCTGTATGATCTATTCAAAATGTCTTAAATATCCTTTGCTCGTTTATTCATTCCTAGGATTCAATTCCCCCTACCTGAAACATATTCTCCCATCTTCACTGATATAAATTCCATCTATTTTCATGGTTCTTCTCAATGCTTGTGGCTCCATGGATCTCACTTGAATTCTGCCCATTGGCAATTATTTTAATCCATTCTGAGTTTCCATTTTTTACATACATCTCTCAAACACAACATTATATCAAAATTACTTGCAATGCTTGTACAATGCACATTTTCAGGCTCCATTCTAGATATTTGGATTCAGTAAATCAATGGTGAGCCCACAGAATTTTTGTTTTTAACAAAATTTACAAGTGATTCTGACTCTGGTGGACTTGTGATTATACTTTTAGAAACACCACATAGCAGTTATTATTTGGTTTATTTATTTGAACCTTAATTACACATTCATTTTCAGTTTGCAAATTTCCTATTTGCCTCTCTGATTGCCCCAGTAAGATTGTAAATTAACTGAGGATAATAACAAAATATACACTTTTCTCTATTCTATATAGTACTTAGTATATGCATGAAGCTGGTGCCCAATAAAATGCACTAAATTATCAAACTAAAATATGCTTATTACTAAATTATCTGAAATTGCCATATATATTTGCTAATGTATTTACTATCTGACCCCTTCTGTAGGTTATAATCTGACCCTTCTGTAGGTATAATCTTCATGAGTGTAGAGCTTTATCTCTTATTCACATCTAAATCCCATCGATACTTAAAATGCAAGATTTTTTGCTCAATAAGTTGTGTTTCAAGAAATAGGCGAATAACAGACGAGTGTCCTTCTTCTTTAAATGATTTTCCTCTCCTAGTCACATTTAAAAACCAACAACAATAAGAACTATTTACATTATTTTGTCACTTTTTTTGTTTGTTTCCATCCTCAATTTGAAAGATGTATCTCCAGCTGAAATGTATCACCTCATGCAGTGGATGCTATGATGTGTCATTCAGATCACCCTTCAGAGTGAAGGATTTATTTCTCACTCTTGGATGATTCCTTTAGATGTCAGTTCTCTTTGAGAGTTGCCTTAGCTGAATGAAATTGCTTCATTCAGCTTCAAGCTTCCTTCCAGGAGGAGCTTGCATACAAAGACTTATTAACAAGGGGATAAAAAAGGTCTCCTTGTCCCAACTTGATACCACTCTCATGGACCATTACATTTCGAGAACTTCCCATGGTACCAGTTTAGGCATGTGTCAGGACATCATCCCAGCTTAAGGTCTCCCTCTGCCTAATCACCTTTTGTTTTATGCTCCTCCCTCTGCAAATGTTGATCCCAAGGAAATTCCTTAATAAATCTCTCCTGGCCAGGCATGGTGGCTCATGCCTGTAATCCTAGGTTTGAGACCAGCCTGGCCAACATGGTGAAACCCTGTCTCTACTAAAAAAAAAAAAAAAAAATACAAAAATTTGCCGGACGTGGTGGAGCATGCCTGTAATCCCAGCTATCTTAGAGGCTGAGGCAGAAGAATCTCTGGAACCTGCAAGTCAGAGGCTGCAGGGAGCCAAGACCCTGCTCGACTGCACTCCAGCCTGGGTAACACAGCAAGAATCCATTTCAGAAACAAACAAACAAAAACCCTCTTCATACATACTAATCTGTAGCTCAGAGTTTGCTTCCCAGAGATAAAACTCCATTACTCCAGTGGAGTCAGAGAAACCAGACACGGAGTGGGATTTTAAAGCTGGATCACCTGCCCTTTGCTGGAGATGAAATTGAGGATCCCATTATTGGTAGTAGGTGAGCACAAATAGCCCCTGAGCATAAGGTAGCATAAAATTATTAAAACTTTCATCAGTGGCAAACTGGGACGACTTAATGTGGAAGGGACAGCATTACCTTGTGCAATGCATTAGGCATTTGAGAATTATGGGAGGTATGGTGATTTCAAGGATATTGGACTTGAGTTGCTATTGCTAAGTTCTATCAATATTCTGGTAAAAGGTAACAAGCTAAAAGTGATTAATCAGCAATAAAAGCCAAGTGTGAAAGCCAGAGGGCCTCCTTGGTAGCATACAAATAAATTCCCATCTTGAATAGCAAGAGAGCAGAGAAAGGCTGAGGACCAGGCCTAGAACTGAATTATAGGAGTAGCCAAGTTCCAAAGTAAGGTTAAATTCCCCACCAAGGCAGATGTGTCATGACAAGGTAAATTCTTTGTGCGGAAAGAATAAGATACTGACATCTAGAATGGGGATACCTGAAATGACATCGAGACATCTTGAATCTCCAACACCCCCTCAATCCCCTCAGTTTACAGAAGTCCCAATTAATCTCACTAAGGGTTAGCAACCTCCTTTGTCTAAACAAAATATAGAGGCCTCTTTCCTAAAACATAACAGGTATTCCTCCTTCAGTATTAACCTTCTCTCCCTGACCCTCGACCTCCTTGGCCATCAGGAAAATAATTTAGGCAAAAATTTACAATCACCTAGGTAGGAATGTACCAGGCCTACTAAGGGACAAAAGGAATTACACCTCTAAGGGACACTAGGACCTGACCAACATGAATTTGTATGAGGTGGGAGAGTATGCCTGGGACTGCTCTCTGAGGATGCTGGCCGAAGGTGGGAGGGTAGAATATAAACCTGGATGATATTCTTCAAAGAATCAGAATTAATCACTCAGGAAAGAGCCCTGGAAGATGATATGAATGCATAGCTAGAATGCCACCTAGTAGCATGCCGCTTAGACAGCCCATTCTAAGTGAGGTGGTAATTTTGGAACTGTCAAGGCAGATGGTAGAAGAAGAGATAAAAGTCTCAGAGATATGGGTATGTTAAACATATAATATATGGTTGGAAAGCCCATTGACATTTCTAATTTATGGGGGTGTAGAGGAACAGTAGGATACAGCATTTACTGAAACAATAATGACTATGTTGGCGAGACTGGACCTGGTATTACTGAGAAGTTTATTGCCCTTGTCTCTAGGCCAGGTGAGTGAGAAATACCAGTACAGAACTAAGACGTCTAATAGCAATGGGGATAATAGGACCTAAAACAATAGAGGCCAGATGGTAGCTGTTAACCGTCAGAAGGGATGTGGTCATAATCGCCCTGGCAATAATTAAGACTGGAATTAAGTCAAGAAGCCAAGGAAGCCCAACTCAGTGTTATGGAGGTGGTTAATAGAACACAGTATCCCAGGAGTAACCCTAGGTAGGTAGCCAAAAAGTATATCACTCCATCTATAACACCAAAGATAAGTAATCAGAATCTGAGGGTTACTGCAGATATACTGATAAAAAGCCAAGATGACCTACTCAGTTTCCATTTCAGAGCCAGATTTTGGACCTCAAATTCATTGAAGAAAAGTCTGAGTCACCAGGCGAAAGGGCTCCACAAAGCCACAGCAATTGTACATGGCTATGATTAACTGCCAAGTCTTTTCCCAAAGGGGCCTTCAGGTATTTACTCAGGTAACTGTAGTAGAAAAAGAAAAATAGCTGAACATTTTAAGGAATGTTGGACACAAGGCTGAGATGATATGATACCCTGAGACCTGAAGAGTTTCATGGCTACCCTGTTACGGTGCAATCATATGAGAATATATAATAAATGGCGTCCTGGCCCAGGAATAATTCCCAATGGGTCCATCAGATGTATAGACTCACCCAATAGTCATTTCTAGAGTCCACAAATGTATAACAGTTATATTTGCTAGTTGGTGCCATCCCATATACTGGGTTCTTGGCCTGTGGTTATGAGCAATTGAAACCAAGTGGAAATCTCTGGAAATGCTCTATCCATACCCCTAGCCAAGAGTAAATAAAACACAATATCTCATTCTTAGGGAGTGACAGAAATTAGCATTACCTTTAAATACTTAAAAGATGCAGGGCTGGTGGTCATCATTGTATCTTTATTGAATGTAGAAGCCTTTCCTCTGAAAAACAAAACAAAATATAGTGGACAAATATTGGAGTATAAAGTAGATTACTGTAAATTTAAGAAAACAGTAGCCCCAATTATTGCTGTGATGTCAGATGTGGTATATTTGCTAGAATGGAGTAACATGGCCTCAGAAACGTGATAAGTGACCATTGATTTGATCTGGTGAATGTTGTCTTTTGTATCTTTATTAGAGAAAAAGGAACAGAAAACAGAATATATTTACAGCTTTGCTTGATGGCTCTGGTAGCTATTCTGTCTTCTGTCATAACATAGTTTGAAGGAATCCAGGCTGCCTGGACATCTCACAGAATATCATATTGCTCCACTATTATATAAATGGCATTATTATAATTGGACTGGATGAGCAAGAAATAGCTAGCATGATGGAAATCTTGGTAAGCCACATGTACTCCAGGTTTTGAGCAATAAACTCTATAAAAATTCAGGGTCCCATCGTGTTAATGAAAATTTTAGAGGTCCAGTATGCCAGGACATTCTCTGCAAAGCAAAGGATAACATCATACTTTGTGAGTCCCACCATGAAGGGTGAAACACAATGGCTGATAGACCTGGAGTCAACAGGTTTTACACCTAGGGATATACCTAGTGACCTGAAAGGCTGGCAACTTTGAGGGTTTCTCTGGAGTCCTAAAAAGATAAGTAAGCAGCAAAGAGGAACGGGTCCAGGTGTGGGAGAACAATTGTTCTTACGAATCACAAACAACCCCCTGGCAAAATTACCTTGTTCTGCATGTAGCCCCAGGAGCAGGACCCTATAAAACTTTCCTCCAGCCCCTGCCTCTTTGCAGACAGCTCCTTCTCTGCTGTTATGCCTGCTGCTTTCTCGCAAGGTATCTTCATACTTTCTCTAACAGTTCTGCCTTCTTTACCCATGACTGTCTTAGTAAATTCTTTTACCACTTGCGACGCTGGTCCCAGCCAGTTGCACCCATGACATTATGATGGCGCATACAGGGACTGCTAGAGGACTCCTCCCTTACTTCCCCCCTTTCCTCTCCTCCAACTCCAGCTTCCAGGTGGACAGCATCCAAGCACGGAGACAAGTGAAGGTCCCCAGCCAGGGCCACTTCCTGGCGAATCAGAAGGTCTCATTGTGAAGACTTCTGACGGCTGCCGCCCCATCAGGTGAGAGTTTAGAGTTTTGCTTTCATTTTCAGTCTTCTGGAGGACAAACTCTAATAGCCCTCTGGCAATTGATGACACCTGGTGTAGCCTGAAGAACAGGAGGTGAACAGGTGTGGCTGCCTTGCCAGGGAGGGAGGAAGGCTCTCTCCTATCCTTACTGGTCAAAAGTCCCCAGGCCGTATGTGCGGCGTGATTGGCAGTGGAATTTCGACCAGGGCGAATCTACACGTTTTGGGGGACTCAGGCCCCCTCTTTCTCTCTCTAAGTTCCCACATGAAGACAGCCAGCCACCTTGCTTCGGACATCTTAAGCTAGGTGATCCCCGATAGGGCCGGGAGTGTGAGTCGTCCCTCAGCATTTCCGCGCCCCCCAACAATACCTGGATTGAGAGCCCCGCATAATTTGTACTGGACTGACCTGGGGTCGCTCACCCAGTGTTCATCCAGCGCAAGGCCCTAGCGCCGGGAGATCCTTTCCAATAGGTTGGATGCCCCTTTGGAAAGTGGATCCCTCAGTGGACATAAGTGGAACCCCCTTTCCCTGGCGGGACGCCCTGAGAGAAATTGCAGTTCATGTTCCCAGTAGACTTTGTTTCCCAGTCCCATTATAGGACAAAGCCTTTCCATTCCTTCAGACTCGCTGCCGGGCTGCGTTTTAAGGCTTTGGGATAAATCTGACCCTCAGACTCTCAAAAAGAAACATCTAATTTTCTTGTGTAATACAGCATGACCACTCTATAACCTTCCAGGTCAGGAATCCTCTTGGCCTCCAGGCAGGACCCTTGCCCCCAACACTATTCTGCAGCTTGGCCTTTTCTGTCACAATTCTTTTAAATGGTTTGAAGTTCCTTACATCCAGGCTTTCATGACTCTGCCAAACCTGCTGATGTGCTTGGCCAAATTTTTTGGCCTCACTTGCTCTTCTAACATTTTGGACGAACCTTCTTTTACTCTCTTCTGTTCTTCCCAACCAGATGAACCAGCTGAGGCCACACCTTTCCTTGACAAACCACCTTCATATTCAATTACACTTACTCCATCTGTTCCTTCTCCCTCACGTTACCCCAAACATCCCAACCCTGGATGTCATTTTCCAGTAACTTACTTGTCAAATTTGTGTCTTCCAGAATTTGGCAGTTTCAACTTCAAATGGTGATGTGAATGGGATGTCAGTATCTCCCCAATGATGTCTGATATCTTTACAAATCTCCCCTGGATTCAGCTGGACACCAGTTTTGCCCTGACATGTTCTCCCTCTCTGATGAACCCCTTCCTCCAGCAAGATCCAATATCATAAGTCCCACATTCTAGGACAGTAACAGTAACACACAGGGTCTCCTGATAGACCAGTAACCATAGGTAGGGTCAATTCTATGTCCCAGGCCAGCAGGAAGCAGTTGGAAGATGAGACCTTCACCCCAATGTCAAAGATTTGTCATTGTTGTTGTGTCAGTTGGGGTTGGGGGGTGGGAATGTGGAGTCCTAATAAGTAAGCAACAACAAGGAAGGGGCCCTGGGTAGGGGAGAACAATTGTTCTGAGAGTCAGTTAATCAACTTGCTGGCACAACTACCTAGTTTTGCATGTAGACCCAGCAGCACAACCCTATGAAATGTCCCTGCAGCCCCTGACTCTTTGCAGTCAGCCCCTTTTCTGCTGTGCTGCCTGTTGCTTTCTTGCAACGTATCGTCATACTTCCTCTAATAAATCTGTCTTCTTTACCCACAACCGTGTTGGCAAATTCTTTTACCTCTTGTGACACCAACCCCAGTCAGTCACACCCACAACAGGCTCCAGAGCAGGAGAGGGCTCTGAAGTAATTCCAGGCTTCAGTGCAGGCAATCTTGCTGCTTGGGTTGGGTTATATGACTTGAAAGGCCCTGTGGTTTTGGAGATATGAGTGACTGGAAAGAATGCCATACAGATTTTATGGCAAGCCCCTAGTGGGAGAATCTCATGCAGATCCCTAGTATTCTGGAGATTTGTAGCCTTTGAGAAACGTTTCCTTGTATGATACTGTGACCTGGTATCTGGGCTGGTTTGTCCCACTAACCTGCTTCCTCTTAATGCCCCCCAACCTTATATCTAGAGAATAAAGATGTTCCCAGAACCTATAAGAAGTGAATCCAAGTGACAGAGTGAGCTGTGGTTGATGTATGAGGTTGTACTGCCCATGTCTCCCTTCAGGAATAAAGTATTTATTTCCCTAACTGTTGGGAGGAATAGCATAAGATAGCCGTCAAGTATCAGCTTTTTAGGGGGTTATCCTTGGAAGAAAGTTGCCTTAGCCAAGTCACACCTTTTTAGGGTGTGCTACACTCAATGTCTGGCCAATTTGGGAATATAACAGCCAAGCTCCTTCATCCTAATTTGAGAGATCTCTTAAACACCAGATGAGTTCTGGAGCTTCCAGTGGGGTGGGCTGAGGTTTTGTTTGGGACTACAGCCTTGTTCAATTATGCTTTCCCCACTTTCTTTTTCTTCCTTTCATAGGCATTGATCCTAAGAGCACCCCCTCATAAATATATGGCGTGCTAGTCTCCATCTCAGATTCTGCTTCTCGGGGAAACTGTGACACATTGTTTATCCTTGGTGGACACATATTAAGGTAAAGCCACAACTGACTATATACCATTCGTTAGAATTGGAAAGGAAGAAATAGTCAGTAATACGTCTTTTATTTTTTCCTTTTTATCTCTGTTTTCTTCCCTCTTAAACTAGAAGTTTCAAGAATGTCTAATCATTTTTTTCATTAAATCATATTTACATAGCTGAAAGTTTTAAATAGAGAAACATACAGACATGTAAATATTATTTAAAAAATAATAACTTCTATCCTCATGACTCTCACTTATATACATGCACCTTTATTTAATGTTTCTTTATTTAAAGTATCAGAGGCTAATACAAACATAGTTTCCAAAAAATCTCTGTGATTTTTGTGTTACTCTGGATAAGCCACAGTTTTTCATAAATAACACTGAAAAATTTATATATACCTATTGTGTTCAGCTTTATTGTTTCTCCCTTCTATGGGTTTTGGTGAGATAATATGCAGGGGACATAGACCAATTATAGGTAATATCAGGAGGAAAATGTATTACTAAATATAGTCTAAGGTTTCTGGTTCAAGTCATTAGCCAGTACTACTATTTTTTTCTTCCTTCCAAGGTCATATTGAATACTTACATAATATTTCAAGAGAATAAAACAATGAGATCATTGGGAAACCACAATGCTAAGAATTTGCAAACATTTTGGGAGCTAGATAAAGACTGGCAGTGAAGTCACAGCAGATGAAACACCAGAGCTATGTTTTTCAAGCTGTGTACTGTATAACTCTAGGGGCTCAATTTGCATAGAATTATGCAGGGTTTAACCTGCTCAAACATCTAGAGAGGCCCTGGAGACACCAGCCCAAGGTATACGTATGAGTTCTTTCCCCAAATTATTCCTAAAGGAGTCCCAAATAAAAACCAACAAATTCAAAGAACAGAAGTGGGCCTTGGGGCCATAGAAAAAGTCATTAAATGATTGAATACAAAATAGCCCAGAGAGTAAGCCTTTCCTTCCTCCCACAGCCAAACAGAATGACTGGTAAGAAAAGATTTGCTCTCAAGGTAAAACGCTGGAGCAAATTACAGAAAGTCTCTGGTCTGTCTGGGAAGAGTTTGAAGTCCTAAGAGAAAAGCACCCTGGAGCTTTGGACAAGTCCTAACTGCCACAGCAGATAGGACTGGGGAAACTAGAAATTATAATCTGCCCCTGAGGGAAAGAATTTATCCCACTTCACCTCGAGAGTCACTTCTTGTTTTGGCAACTGTGTGGGTCTCCAGGCTCCCTGCCTATATTAATCAATCTAGTCATTCAATTAATTATGAATAGGCAATCAAGACTAACAAGAGAGTTGAGAACAATCAGCACCATGGGTGTTAGCAATAATAAGACTGCCTAGGAAACAAATCATCTGAGAAAAAAGATAATTAAAATATATACTTAATATCGTTAGAGATTTTCAAATGATACTGCATTTTTAAAACAAAACCAGGCTGTCATGATAAAATAAAGAATGACAAAAAGTTCTTGAAAATTAAAATATGATTTTTGAGAACAAAAATAATGAATTTTCTGATTGATACTATAAAAATGGCTGAAGAGCAAATATGTGATCAGGAATAAAATAAGTTTCCTAGACTACACGATAAAAAGGTAAAGTATAAGAAAGTATATGAGAAAGGTTATAATATGTGGAAGATAGACTCAGAATGTGTAGCAAACAGAAATAATGGAGAAGAAAAAACATTTAAAAATTAATAGAAAATTTTCAAAACTAATATAGTATAATATATGTATAGTATAAATGTTTATGTTGAAAGGGCCTACAGAATTAATGAGAAAAATTACAAAAAGACAGACATGTAGATAAACCCTGAAAGATCACAAAAGAGAAAAGGGAGAGTAAAAAACTTAAATATTAAGAAACAAATATCATATTTACCTCAGTTTCATCAGCAATACTGAATAATAGAAGACAGTGGAGTAATGTTTTCTAATTTTAAGCCTATAATTCTATATATAAACAAATTTTGAGAAAAAAATAAAAATTAGGGGATATGGAGGAACTCAGAACATTTCTAATCTATTAAGCACACACATACACATATATATGTTTATATGTAAGAATATGCATGTACACATATGATTTGATATGCATATACACACACATATATATGTGCATATTAGAGTTTCTCAATTTTGGCACTATGGACACTTTGGGTCAGATAATTCTTTATTGTGAAAATGTATCAAGTGCATTGTGGGATATTTAGCAGCATCATTGGTAAAGGCGGGGGATCAAAATCACCTCAAGTTAGAAACCACTCGTATCCTCACATATATATGTATATGTACATATGTGTTTATATGTATCTATATATACACAAACACATATACAAAAACCACATGTTATGCACATATAAGAATATGTGTAAGATTTTATATGTATAGGATTATATATATAAGATTATATATCTACCTGTACACATACATATATGTATATATGTAAGATTTTATACAAGGCATACATAATATATAGTTGACCATTGAATAACATGGGGGTTATGGACACTGACCCCCATGCAGTAAAAAATTTGAATATCACTTTTTATTTTTCAAAACTTTTATGAATAGCTTTCTGTTAACAAGAAGCCTAAGCAATGGTATAGTCAATTAACACATATTTTGCATGTTATATGTATTATATACTGTACTGTTACAATAAAGTAAGCTAGAGAAAAAATATTAAGAAAATCATAAGGAAGAGAAAACATATTTAATATTTATTAAGTGGAAGTATATTATCATAAAGGTCCTCATTCTTATTGTCTTCAAATTAAGTAGGCTAAGAAAGAGGAGAAAGAGGAAGGCTTAGTCTTACTGTCCCATGGGTGGCAGAGGTGGAAGAAAATCCATGCAAAAGGAGACCCAAACAGTTCAAATCTGTGTTGTTCAAGGGTCAAAGCAATATATGGACAGACGATAGATAGAAGATTAGATAGATATTAATGGATGGATGGATGGATGGATAGATAGACAGATAGATAGCAGCCCAAAATCAGCATTCTGGAACACGTGGCCTGGTAGTAAAGTCTTGGTGTTGGTCCTAGCACTCACAGATAGGCCTTGGTTTTTCCTGTTGAACATAAGCAGTTTCATAGAACATCAAGATGAGACAAGTCCACTCTGTGACCATGATGAAATAAGAGAAATAAAGACCACTATGTAATCATGTCTGAACACAGACAAAACACGAATATTTTTCAAACCACAAATGTGACCAGCATCTTCCTATCTTGTCTAATAAGAGTGACAGTTTTTTCCTTATCAATTATATCTTTAACCTTTATCTAATGTTCTCTCCTTCTAGATTTACTGTGACATCCAATCACAGGATTACTTCACTTCCTGAGAGCATACAATTTAAAGAAAGCCCTACTTACTTAAACTCTCCCAAATCATGTAAAATAATTCTAAATCCAATAGTAGGTTCATTCTAACACTCCTTAGTGAGATGCTTCCCTACAGTTTCCAGCTGCAATAAGTAATGAACTCAAGTTCTTCAGCTGCAGATGCTCCTGGTAATCCAAGGAAGTATTACATAGGATATAAGAAAAATTTGAGTATGACCTAGAAAAAGTGAAGGACACTGGAAAGAAAAAAATAAAACAACAACAGAAGCCATTAGCCATTTGCCATTTAGAAGCTTCAGTGACATAGGGTTTTATTGCTCTTTTTATGACCCATATATCTTATTTGATTCTACAGTAAATAGTATTTAAATGTGGATGTAAAAATGTTATTTATTGGTTTTCAGCCTTTATTAAAAAACCTACAAATAAAGGAGAATAAATTTAAGTAGAGTGATGTACCTGAATATACTGATCAATATTATTAATCTTGATGTTGCCAAAATCATGATAGAGATGATGGAAGCTGAGACATGGAACAGAAAAAATAAGATGGAGGAAAAGCCAGTGTGTTAATCATTAGCTCATCTTTCATAGAGGAGACTCAGTAGATAGTGTTGAAAGTTGATAAAAGAAGATATAAAGCCATAAAAATTATAGTTTAGTTTAAAGTTGAAATTACTACACAAAAAAACTAAAACTAAATCAGTAAAAAATGTTGAATTTGTAGCAGGGGCATGGACAATAGTCTAACTACAGTGAATTCTCAAACTTTATTGAAGGAAGTAAATAGTTACTGTTTAATGTTGACAAATCAAAAAATAGAAGTATAGCACAAGATTTAAAGTTGTTACATTAAACTAAGTATGACCAGTGTAATAAACTTTTAGCAGTGGCAGCAACAGCAGAATAGAAAGGAAACCATGAAAAATGGTAGATTTTACTCTCTATTTCATAGATTTCTGCATGCATTTACACCACATGTGCCTATTAGTTCCATAATTTAAATAAATAATGGTACTCTCATGACACATAATACTTTTCAATAGTTAAAAAGACTGTTTACAAAATATTAAGTGAAAAAGCAAGTTTCAGGAAAGGATGCATAACATGAGCTCATATATGTAAATATATACAAAGTACATATTGCAAATAAATATTATATATAATGTATTATATATAATGTATACAGCAAATGTATATATTTTGTATGTCTTACAAGATGCACATTTAATAACAGATAAATCTTGGAGAGTGGGTGGCTTGGAAAAAAGTGAATGGATTTGACAGATGTTTAGAAAATGTATGGCTTAGTGATTAGGTATGGAGAATAGCGAGGTATGAAAGGAAACTGGCATTTCAGCTTGAGCACTAGATGGATGGTCATTCTAATAAGAAAAATCACTGGGAGAAGAGGGCTGCTTGCTTATCTGTCAGTTCATTTGCGGGTTTTTTTTTTTCAGAGGATGGGGCGAGCAATAATAACTTTGATTCTGGACAAATTAAATGTTTGTAGTGCAAACATCTAAGTGGGCATGTTCAGTAGGCAATTGGATATACAGGATTGAAGCTTGCAAGAGAAATTCAGCCTACCGATACTGAGTGGTAGTTGTAGTTTGTAGAGGCTGTTAGAGGTGGTTGAAAACATGGACTGTAGGAGGTGGCTTAGAGAGACCAAGTGAACCAAGGAGAAAAGAGGCATGCAGTCTCTGGGGAACATAAACATTTGATGTTGAAAGAGTATTAGATACAGGTAGGTCATGTGGTCTAGAAAGTGGGAGGGAAAACATCTAGATCTCTCCCTTCCTCACATATTAGGATACTATCAGAGAAGCAAGGTTTAGTACAGGAATTTGACTTCACACAATTGTGGAAGCTGATTAAACAGTCTCAGACCATTTCTTCTGTGTCTGGTGCTGGAACTTGAAATACAATAGGCACAGACAGTTGGGAAGGGAAGATGCATATGAAGTGGGGGAGCATCGGGACAATCTGGAACCAATGAGCAGGAGGTGATTGTAAACTTATGAGGACAGAGTAGAACTGCCTCCAACCTTGATGAAGTGGCTGTCCTTCAGGAGAAGCTGGTACCCTTTGTCATGGAGTTAAACATGCCCTGGCCCAGAAGTCAGAGAACCTAAAGGAGAGTCAGGGAAGGTGAGGCAGTGCAACTTGGATAGGACCCCTACTGGAATAATGTGAGCAAGCAGAGTAGTGACAACATGCATAAGCTACAAAAGTGCCTGCCTTGATCTGAGCATAAAGACAAAATGGGTGCTGCTTCACTTGCCCTCAAAATCTCTCCTAAAATATTTCTTGGTACCTACCTTAACCAGGAACATACAGGGAATTTAGGGAAATGTAGTTCAACTTAGCCAGGTTGACAATTTAAAAGCTATCAAACCTGGTGATGCTTTTAAAAGATGTAAAATTAGTCATTAGTACCTTCTTACTCTTCATTATCTAGTTTATTTTCTAATTCTTAGTCCATGAAGTCCTTAGGGGCCTTTCTCAGGTATTGCCCATTTATGCTTATGCTAAATAATCAACATGCAGCCACTTAACCCACTCCCACACCAAACTCAAATTCCTCAGTGAGCTCATCTCAGTGAGGCTTCAGGAAGTAAAACAGTACTCCACACAGTGCTCGACAAGTGTTTGTTGAATCCAGTGAATGAATGGCTCCAGACTGAATTAAATCACATTAAAATATAAAGTGCTGGTAACATTGCAGAGGCAATGTGGAATAGCAAAAGAAGCAGCAGAGATATTCTCTGGGGTTCGACATATCTGAATTTTGGCCCCGTCACCCTTGTCTTGGTAAATTACTTAAACTTTTTTTCTGAGCTTTTGCTCCCCTCTATTTTAAATTGGATTAATATTATTATAGCTCACAGGGTAGTTGTGAGAATACATGTCTATCACAGTGCTTGTTACTTATCAGTCACTCAATAGATATTAAAACACTTCTGCTAATTCTTGGAACCCAACAAGAGGCCTTTGAACTCTTGACCCAATATGAAGTTAAGTGAAAAATTCAGCCAGCAAGCATATGAAGTAGTTAGATTTGGCAGTGGGTCACAGAGTGGGCCTATCAGCCCAGTCTAAGAGTATAAAACTCTGCTTCTCCTAAAATATATTTCACACACACACACACACACACACACTATATATGTGTAATATTTTATTGCCTTTTCACCTCTTTGTGTCTTCCTTTGCTTTTGAATCCACAGGCTCCCTAATGATAGCGATTTTTTTCCCCAAGAGCTAACACATTATGGGGGAGTGGAAGACAGCCAGTGACAGTGAGGGAAAATCAGTAACATTGAGAGGCAGCAGGGACCTATATAGGTCATTATTAAATCATGGACTACCATTAAAAATTTAGCACTAGTCAATAAGTATATTCAGTAGGCTCCAACCTGCAAACACGCTGTGTGACATGACACTGTTAAAAATTGTTGCCTGGTATAATCTCTTTACTAGACACACCATAGGAATAAAGAAGAAAATAGACTGTGAGCAATAGGTACTTAGAAAAGAGTTAAAATTATTTTCTTCAGGTAAAGACTCTTTTACCAGCACCCTTCCTGTGATATTAACCTGTAAGTGTTCTCTAGAGGCATATTTCACAAGAAGTTTGTCATATCATCTGGTGGTAATTTGTCCTGCCTTCCCCAGCATCACAAAATAGCCATGGGCTTTGCTTTTCTCTAGTGGTTACTTATGCACTTAGCTCCTTATTGTTCTCTTTTACTTTCTGTTCTATTTTCTACCAGAGTGAAAGCTTCCTATGTGCTCAAATGTTGGTGATTGAAGGTATGGGAAGACATTACAATTTTCAAACTTGGACATGCTTATACAAGTTTTCCAGTAACAATCACCTGTTTGTTCTTTGTTGTAAGACCTTTCATATACTTTTATGAACCTCCTCCTATACCACTGCTTTCAGTCACCCAGAAGTACAAAAATGAATTCCTAAAACAGAGTAAGCAATTACGAGATTAGCTATTTCAATGTTACTGATGTTTAGCTTCCTATATTGAATTTGTGATTATAAACAACATTCTAAAATCACTAGTAATGATCTTTTTAGCTCAAGTTATAATTCTGCGATGTCAAGGGTATAATTTCAGTCTGGTAGATTATGTATTTTATATCATCAAAATTTAAACCTGATGCAGTTTTTCCCCACGTTAATGTACATAAGTCCATTGCTTAAGTATTAACAAAATGTCCTAAATTCCAGGCTCCGCTCCTATGAGTTAAAATATAAGAGTCACATTTTAATATACTTTTATCAATTCTTTGCTACACATGTTTTTCCTTTTAAAAATCAGCTATATAATTGCTACCTTTCACGTCTGAAGTTGACACTAATGATGGGCGACATACTCCACATTTGCATCCATGCCTGGAAAGATCCCAGTGTGACTTATGTTCCTACCCACAGAGCTCGCACATACAGCTTGGCTCTCTTAGTACTCTTCCCAGCAGACTCTGTGCCCATAATGTAAAAGTTTCCATATTTCCTTCAGCGTGAGAGAGAGAAAGACAGAGAGAGGAAGAGAGAACAGTGAGAGCACCAGTTGTTTGGTATCTTATAGACCTGAGAACCTAATGTGGCTTTGACTCACTGTCTGTGTGTCATACTGACTCAGTGCTGTGAGACTGGAAATATTCCAGGCATTTAGTTGTGGGACTCCTGCTTTGCCCTGGAATTTTGAAAATGATCCCAGGTAAGGCTGATGAAACAGCTGTGCCAGTGTAGCGTGTTACCTGTAGCAAGTCCAAGTCTGGCATGTGTTTTTAAATAAGATCAGCAAGTTGCATTGTGAAAGGTAATATTTGAAAGTCAATGACATTTGAAAATACTTTAAAAATAGAAAACGTGTTATAAACATGGGTATCTGTGAATAACGGGGGTGGAGTTATACAAAATACTCCAGTAAACAATAAAAATTCACAAGTATTTAGGGAATCCCAATTGACCAGAAGAAATAGAAATTAGTACCAGAGTAACATTTAACCAACATTCCAGACTTAAAGAGTAACTTTCTGACTTTGAGATAAGTTGCTGCTGAAGGAAGGGCCTCAATGAATTCCCTCATTGTACAGTTGCCTACAAATGATTATTATGTTTCCCTGTTTCAAAAGTAGGTCAGATCCCAGTATGCTTTGCTCCATTTAAATTCCAGTCATGAGGCTGATATGAGAGAAACATAGAAGTGGTATCTCCCTTTTTGAAGGTTCATTTATCTGCACAGTCTTTTTTCCCTACTTGTATTACAAAGCTAAATTAGTTTATGTGAATTATAAACAATCTATCTTTATTGCAGCCATCTTCAGCCACTTCATCTATGTTGCTAATCACCTACCGTGAACATGCAAAGTACTCTTAACGGTATCAAAATCTTTACGACATCTTATATTTCTAAAGTATTTCAAAGGACTATGTAGAAACACTAAAATAAAAACCTGCTGTATTTCACACACCTGATAGTTTAAAATCAGATATAAGCCCTAGTGAAAACTTCTGCTTGATCTTCAAATTACAAATATCATTTGCATAGGAAGAGAAAATCCATATTTTCTCAATGCTTCACTCACAAGAATCCCTTAGACTATTGAATATTAATGCAATCTACGCAGAAACTTGGGCATTACAGATGAAAGGGAATGTTTATACTAGTAACACTGCTTATCCAAAACTGGGACTGAGCAGAGAGTAAACATCTACATTTATGCACCACATAATGATGTTTTGGGTCAGCAATGGACTGCATATATGTTGATGGTCCCATAAGATTTTAATGGAGCTGAAAAGTTCCTATCACCTAGTGACATCTTGGTCTTGACCCTGTATAGGCCTAGGCTAATGTGTTTGTGTCTCCATTTTTAACAAAAAAAAAAAGTTTAAAAAGAAAAAAAAAAGAAAAACAAATGCTTATAAGGATAGAACATATTTTTGTAGAGTTATACATTGTTTTATGCTGTTATTATTAAAAGCAAAAAGTTAAAAAATTAAAAGTTTATGAAGTAAAAAAGTTACAGTAAGCTAAGACTAATTTATTATTGAAAACAGAAGTTTAAAAAAAAATTTAGTGTAGCCTAAGTGTACAGTGTTTATAAAGTCTACAGTGGTGTAATGTCCTTTGCCTTCACATTCACTTACCATTCACTCGCTGATTCACCCAGAACAACTTTCAGTTCTGGAAGCCCTATTAATGGTAAGTGCCCTATACAAGTATACCATTAAAAAAAATCTTTAATTTAACATTTTTATGGTATCCTCTCTATATCTACATATGTTTAATTCACAAATACTTAGAATTGTGTTACTATTGCCTATAGTACTCAATGTAGTAACTTGCTGTACAGGTTTGTAGCCTAGAAGCAATAGATTATGCCATATAGCCTAGGTTTGTAGTAGGCTATACCATCAAGGTTTGTTTAAGTATACTCTTTGATGTTTGGACAATGAGGAAATTGTCTAAGGATACATTTCTCAGAACATACCCACGTTGTTAAGCAACGCATGACTGTAATTACTTGTGGTTGAGAATTGGGAAGCTGTTTTTCAAGCACAAGTAAATAAAGGTCACCATTCCTTTTAGACTTTAAATTACAGTTGGATTTTGAAATCCTTAAGAAGCAGTTTGGTTTTCAATTCATTACTCTTCTAATGGTATTACCATTTTCTCAATATTTCTCATTTAAGATGGAAGCACAAACGAATTCATAGTATGTATAGGCACTCATATCTCTTTTTTTTAAGTTCAGGGGTACAAGTGCAGGTTTCTTACATAAGTAAATGTATTGTGGGGGGTTGTTGTACAGCTTATTTCATCACCCATGTATTAAGCCTAGTATCCATTAGTGATTTTTCCTGATCTTCTCTTTCCTCTCAACATCTACCCTTTGAAAGGCCCCAGTGTGTGTTGTTCCCCTATATGTGTCCATGTGTTCTCATCATTTAGCTCCCACTTCTAAGTGAGAACAGGCAGTATTTGTTTTTCAGTTTCTGTGTTAGTGTGCTAAGGATAATGGCTTCCAAGATAAGTTTTGAAAAGCTATTGATCTCATATTCTAAGTTAATGTCCCAAAGCAAGCTTGTCCAACCTGTGGCCCATGGGCTGCATGCAGCCTAGGAAGACTTTGAATGCGGCCCCACACAAATTCATCAACTTTGTTAAAACAATATGAGATATTTTTGCGATTTTTTTTTTAGCTCAGCAGCTATCATTAGTATATTTTATCTGTGGCACAAGACAATTATTTTTCCAATGTGGCCCAGAAAAGGCAAAAGATTGGACACTCCTGCAGCCTAAAGGAAAAAAAATTAGTCCCCAGATATTACAGTCCTCAGGAATTTCCATCTACATGGAACATTTATATTTATAAGATAAAAGTTAAACTCTGCTGGGAACATAGGAGAATACTCTAGACTTTACTTATATCTTAATGGTTTAATTTAAAATAGTTATTTTAAAGGTGTTTTAAAATTATTTTAATACATTCAGTATGTAATTTTGGATTCATTTACTTATCTTTCAATATTATGTTCTTTCACAAAAAGTATATTTTTCACATAATAGTCAATATTTTCTAGAATGGTTAATGATTTATTGAAATTTAAATAGAGGTGATCTCAGGAGCAGATTATGTGTATGAGTAAGACAGTATGCGTGTGTGTGTGTGTGTGTGCGCGTGTGTGTGTGTGTGTGTGTTTTAATCCACTTAGGTTCTCCGGAATCGCTCTCACTAAAGAAGTAGTGCTCATGGTGTCTCCTGAACACTTGTTACATCATTCCTCCAAGATAGAGTGGTACTTGTGAATCACTTAGAAAAAATGAGGTATACACACAAAAGAACTCCAGAAAAGTGACTTTACACTCACCAAGACCCATCAAATTTTTCACTGGGTCTTTATTTTCTTCAGGAAGAAAAGAAATGCTGGAGAGACCTGGACTACACTTTTATATTTTAGCCCATAGATGCAATATCTTAAAGTTTCTTTTCTTTCCTGTTTTTCTCGTGGCACTAAACTCTTAGATTTTAAAATAACAAGTGAATGCACTCTGCAGGAACTCTAAGGATGTAGGCATAAAGGAGAGGTAACAATCTCCTTCCTTCTCTAACCCTATATCTGCCTTTCTTCCACACCTTTCGCATTCACCCCAAATATCCAGTGTATTCAAGTCAATGTGAAAAACACTCTTCCTAATATCATTTTTTGCACAAACACTATATATACATACTTAATATACAATATATACATGATTGTATGTGTATATATATTTGTATTGTAAATATTCATTTTCTCTACAGTATGATGTTTTGACCTCTTAAAATAAACGTATCTGACTGAAGACAGACTGCCCCACAAGGGCTATCTAATTCTTAAAGACCACAAGGGCCCAGCCAGGAGCATGACTTTGATAAACAAACTGACCAATTAGGGCCATATTGCCTCTATGTGGTCCAACCACCCAAGGATAGAATATTACTCTACTTGAATTATTCAGAGCCAGGTACTAAGCAACTCGAGATCACCCCTCTAGTCAAAGCCCACCAAAATTATGCAAATTTGTCAATCCTGAACTGTTCACCCTGCCCGCTTTGCCTTTACCATGGAAACCTCAGTAAAGGCAGTGGCCTGAACCTTCCTGTTGTTCCTGTCTTCTTGTACCCAACTACCCTGGTGTCTTTTCCATGCACCTCTGTGTGGTGTGCAGTGCCTCCTGTCTACAGGACTTATGAATATAAGAAACTGTTTTTTTTCCCTGAACCTCCTTTCCCGGCCATAATTGACTGACCATGTCATAGAATAATACAAAACATAGGTTTATACATAAATATATACAGACACATGTACATACATATAATTATTTTTTAAAAATTAAATAATATTTAAAACTCTACACTCCAGTTTTTTCCTGAATATGTATCATGCATAGTCAACCATATCAATTCATCATTTTAGCAGCTGTGTATTATTCCACAGTGTCCATGGAATCTGAATATCATTCTGGATACCTTCCGCTTTGACTACCCAGATCTGCTTGCCACTGACCTCTGTGCTGCTCTCTAGGAGGCAAACTCCCATGGTTTCCCTTGCCCTCTGGTTGGGTTGACAAATAGGAGATTAACAGGAGGAGAAAAAGGTGAGGGCAGCATATTTATTCCCTGGCTACTTTCTTGCAAGTCATACTCATCTTGACTGTTTTTCAGCAGAATGCCACTTTATCCTCTCAAGGAAGTCTTTCCCCTCCTCTCCTCTCCCCTCCCCTCCCCTCTCCTCTCCTCTCTTCTTTTCTTTTCTTTCTTTTTTTTACCAGAGCTCAGTCACCCAGGTGGAGTCCAGTGGTTCACTGAAACCTCCACCTCCCGGGTTCAAGCAATTATCCTGCCTCAGTCTCCCGAGTAGCACACCACAACCCCTGGTTAATTGTTGTAGTTTTGCTAGAAATGGGTTTTTGCCCTGTTGGCCAGACTGGTCTTGAATTCCTGACCTCAGGTGATCCACCCACTTCGGCCTCTCAAAGTCCTGGGATTACAGGTGTGAGCCACCGCACCCGGGCCCTCTCCTCTACTTTCTTCTGAACTTTGCACAGGTTCCTCTCTTTGGAATTAGGTAGGGTAGCAACTCCAATGCTACTAAACTTTGGTCATTGAAGTAGCACTTGTGGTTTCCCTACATACTAATTATATTTTTAAAATACTTCCTTTATGGATAAACCCTCTTCAAATGATCATGACTTCTCTGTTCTCTTTGACGCTGGCTGATAAAATTATTCAGTGTTCCCCTGCTACTGAATATTCACTTTACTTTCAGTATTTTTGTTGAAATAAATGTCTTCTACCTATATTCTTATGTACTGGTGCTTTTATTGCTGTAAGTATTGGCCAAAAGTAGCAATGTTCATTCAAAAGTTAACTTTTAATATTTATAGGTATTTCCAGATAAGTTTCTATAAGGTTTGAAACAATTCACACTTTCACTAGAAGTTTAATTATTTAATTATTTGATTGACTTTTAACAAGGAATTTTAAATTCTTACCATATGCCAGAGACTCTATAAAGGGTTTTAAGAATATTAACATAATCCAGTATATAAAGTTTCCCATTTCCATATATCTTTACCATATGTTTGTAAAGTGGTGTCTCATTTAAATTTGTATTTACTTGGCTATTAACTGAGGCTAAGTATGTATTTACTTATTATCTATCTATCTATCCATCCATCTTCTACCCTCTATCTTCTCTAAATACATTTCCTCTTCAATGAATTGTCTATTCATATTTTTGCCATTCTATTGAGTGTGTATGTTAGTGAGACAAGTTAGATTGAGAGGGATTTGGACGGGTGGTTGTTATCCAATAAATGTAATAGCTTTTAAAATAGATAACAATTTTCCAATTAAATAATTCTGTAAAGACAATAATTAATCATATGAATCATGTTATTAATCATATGTCACATATGCTTCTATGATCCACAGCCAGTACTTATGTAGTGGAGTGCAGTCAAAAGGAATGCTTTGTATTTCACTGACAAACTCTGAGATATGTAGATTGGTGAACTGCCAAAAATAATGCATTTTACTAAGGTGTCATTTGTAAAGTAACATATTATGGTTTATAGGTTTCTAAAATGTATAAATGTGACTCAATCATACTTGAAAAGGCCTTGGAAAAATTGAGTTTACAGATCAAGAAACTGGGTTTCCTAGTAACACAGTTGGCTAGTAGCATTCAAGTGAGAAGAATCTAAGATTAACAGAGTAGATCTGAACTGCTTTGGCCTTTGTTTCTTATCCCTAAAACTCGGAAAATACTACAGCAGGGTTGGGTAGACTAAGTGAGACAATGGGTGTTTTAGTGTGAAAAACCCAAACCCCTATATAAGGCAATGCTTTAGGGAAAAACTGGACCTAGAACCCAGTTGCTCTGGCTTGTCTGTCTCATACTCTTTGTGCTGACTGCCCTCCAAGAAATTCTGGCCATAGGCATTTTAGGCAAAGGCATGCCAAATAATTCTTCAGTTAGTCTTTAGTATCCAGGAACCTAGAAATCCTCAGTTATAGATATGTAACTTTTTTTTTTAACTCAGGGTTCAGCAACAGAGGTAATAGTCAAAACAAACATCAAATATTTTTAGCTAAAAGGTGCGAGATGACAGATAACTCCTTTCAATAGGAAAACTCAAGTCAGTGTATTTGCTCATGCATCAAGCACATTGCTTTTTTTCCCACCATCACCCTGCTATCCCACCTAAAGCACTTAGATGAAAAAAATGCAAAAGCTCCAACCTTGCTAAGAATAAGTTGTGCTAAGCAGGTGTGGATGATTACAAGTGTGGATAATGCAAGGCCACATAATAAGCTGTATCTAATGATAGATTCAAAAAGCTGATCCCAATAACAAATGTGTTATTAATGAGAATTCAGGGAAATGCTATTATTTTCAAATCATTAAACTATAAAGTAGTTAGCTTTTTATTATATATGTAGTCTATAGATCTGTTTGGTTTTTTATTTAAAAATCTATGGTATGCATTTTTTCTACTGTAATTTCTGAGGACTGAAGTTTGCAAATTAATAATCTGTACAGTTCAATTATGCAGAAGAATTACCATCTTAGCTATGTCAAATAAAAATGCATTTTAAGTTAAAACATTAGCAGTAAGTATATCCTATCCAAGGCATGAAGGATATTTATTTCATTTACTATGTTTACCTAAAAAAATCTGTATTAGTTCCAGTATTGAATAAGATGAAGTAAGCATATGCCCACTGAATGCACCTAAAACTTCTGGATAGAATGCATGAAGAAGCTCTCTGAGGACTCTGGAAAATAAATGGGAGAAGGTGGAATTGGGGAAAGGTGCCAGAATTTGGATGTGGCAACAAAATGGAGACTTCTCATTTTATTTTATATTTTCCACTAGTTCCAAGGCTGGACTCAAAGGAAGCTTAAGACCCATGCTCACTACATGCATTCAGAAAAGATGCCATAGGAAAGTCTCTGTTTCTTATTTGAGGAGTGGGAAAGAAATCCCTAACAGGTAAGAGAGAGTTAAGGAAATATCTGTACTTTCATTTCATCCATTCTCTCCTCTTCCAGTCCCAGGCAGTAGAGGAGGCAATGGCATCAACATTCAAACAGGTAACTACAACTGTAAGGGAAGTGAGCCCTTCTCTCTGTCCAGAGGAACTTTGGTCCCAGGGTGTGAAAAGAATCATAAAATCTCAATTCATATTATCTCTCTCTCTCTTTCTCTCCCTCTCTCTCTCTCCCTCCCTCCCTCCCTCCCTCCCCATCCTCTTATTTGTTGGCCTCTAAGGCAGCCACAGTCATTCTAAGTATGCAACAGAGTGGGGAAAATAAAACACTGGCTTTCTTGCCAGAGGGCTGGAAAGCATCAATCTTGTGAAGTGAAAAGTTTCACAGAAGTGGTAAAGAAGATAAATAATACACCACATAAAGTGGGCTTATCCTAGGAATGCAAGGCTGGTTTAATATTCAAATATTAATTAAAGAACAAAGTAGAAAGCAGATGATGTTAATTGATGCAAACATTTTTAATCAAATTCAACCTCTATTAAGGAGCAAAACTCTCAGTCAACTAAGAATACCAGTGAACATCTTTTAATTGATAACAATAATCTACACAAAAACCCCAACAGGTATCATCAGGCTTAATAAGAAAAGATGTTTTTTTTCTCATAAGATTGGGAACATGGCCAGGATTAAGTCCTTGCCACTTTTCTAACCACTCCTATCCCACATTGTAGTATATATTCCAGAAACTGTAATAAGGGCAGTAAAAAATACATAAAAGAAAATCATTGGAAAGAAAGAATAACATTGTTTCTATTTGCAGATAACAATTGCCTATGGATAATATCTAAAGGAATTTACAGAAAAAAAAGGTCTCCTATAAGTGAGCTTAGCAAGTCGTAGAATATGAGGTCACCATAAAAAAACTCAGTCATATTTCCATTTACTAGTAATGAACAATTAGAAACTATTTTTTTTAATGTCCATTACAATGGCTCCAAAAGGTTTACAAATACGCATCTTTTAAAACAGAATCTGTATACTGAAAATGACAAAATGCTAATGAAATAAAGATGATATATATAATACACACAGATTGGACGACTCAATCTATTTAAGATGTCAATTCTCCCCAAATTGATCTATGTTATCATACAAATCTCAAAAGGATTTTTGTATTCAGAGAAAAGAATATTCTAAAATTTATAGAAAATGTAAAAATAGCTAGAATAGTAAAAAGTTTTAAAAAAAGGAATTTGGAGAACTCACACTAATTTAAGACTTTTCATAAAGCTTTAGTATTTAGGATGTAATATGGACAAACAAAAAAAAATTAATAGTGTTTCCAGAAAAGAATCCTTCCTCCAAAAAAGCATGATAAATTAATTTTGACAAAGGCCCACAGGCAATTCAATAGAGCAAAAACAATCTTACCATTTGTTTCAATAAACAAATGGTATTGAAACAATTAGACATCCATTTATAAAGAAAAAAATGAACCTCAACCTCACACCTTACAGAAAAATTAACTCAAAATAGACCAAATAACTAAATACAAATTGTAAAAACTATAAAACTTCCTGATAAAAAGAAAATTTTCATAACCACGTGTTAGGGAGGAAGTTATTAGATATGACACCAAAAGCATGATTGGTTAAAGAAAAATATTGATAAATTAGGATTTCATCAATATTAGAAAAACTTTTTTCATGTGAAGGAAATTATTAATTAACTGAGAAGTCACATAGGAGAAAGTACTATAATTCATAAGAAGCCTCAAAATTCAGCAATAATAAAACTAACTCAATTAAAAAACAGGCAAAATATCTGGACAGACACTTTACCAGAGAAGATATGCAGATAGATAATAAGCATATGAAAAAACGTAACATTGTTAGCCATTTGAGAAATGCAAATCAAAGCCACAATGAGATATCACTACAAGGCTATAAGAATGACTAAAACCGTTAATGACAACAACAACAACAAAAAGAAAACCTAACAATTCCAAAAGTTGGCAAGGATGTAGAGCAACTAGAACTCTCATGCATTGCCAGTGGGAATGCAAAATTGTACTGTCATTCCGTAAAATAGTTTGGCAGGTTCTTGTGAAGAGAAACATATCTTTACCGTACAATCCAGCAATCCCCATTCTAGATATTCCTCATATAGAAATGTAAACATATGTTCACACAAATGCATGCACACGAATCTTTATAGTGTCTTTATTTATGACTGCCAAAACCTGTAAGCAATCCAAATGTCATTCCTTGGAGAATGGATAAACAAATCACAGTACATCCATGTAATTAAATAGTCTCAGTAACCTAAAGGAAAAAATACTACTGATACTATTGACACAATAACAGGGATGTATGTCAAAAATATTATGCTGAATGAAGACCGTCTCAGAATGTTCCATCAATTTGAAATACTTTTAAAGAGTAAAACTATAGGGATACGGAATAAATCAATGGTTGCCTGGAATTAAGCATACAGAGGGGGCTTGATTACAAATAAGAAGTCCAAGAGTGTTTTTTGGGGAGATGGAACTGATATATATTCTGACTGTAGTAGTGAATACCTGAATAAATATACATATTATATATTATATATTGTATATATAATATACATATTATATATTATATATTGTATATATAATATACATATTATATATTATATATTGTATATATAATATACATATTATATATTATATATTGTATATATAATATACATATTATATATTATATATTGTATATATAATATACATATTATATATTATATATTGTATATATAATATACATATTATATATTATATATTGTATATATAATATACATATTATATATTATATATTGTATATATAATATACATATTATATATTATATATTGTATATATAATATACATATTATATATTATATATTGTATATATAATATACATATTATATATTATATATTGTATATATAATATACATATTATATATTATATATTGTATATATAATATACATATTATATATTATATATTGTATATATAATATACATATTATATATTATATATTGTATATATAATATACATATTATATATTATATATTGTATATATAATATACATATTATATATTATATATTGTATATATAATATATATTACAATTTTAGAAGAAAATAAGGTCAATTGTACTTAGATAAGTTTTAAAACAGTAATAACTCCTTTTACCATAATCTTTAGTTGCCTTTCTTGTTATGCTGTCACCAACAGCAAACCACATAATTGTAAACAATGCCAATCATAAGGCCAAAAGAAAAGAATTAAAGTTGCTCCATTTGTTCTAAACTGTTGTAGATACTCCATGGTGTATTTTTACATGGTATATATTTATAAGAATCCTCTCTATCTTCCTATAGTTCAATGGTTTTACCATGCTTATTAAGGATTATGAAAACAACTCCTCTAATTCTCTGTTAATGTATCAATACATAGGGATATCAGTGTTAAAGCTATTCATCATTGGCAAGTATATTGGAAGTGTCTACAAAATTATTTTTTCTTATTTTAATATTTTTTCGGAAGATGAATAGTAGAAATGCATGCTCAATGGCATTTTGTTATAGAAAACTGTATGCAGAAATACTTTCTCTTCACCATTATATGTGTTTATAAGGATTGACACAACATTTATGGTAAGAAAGATTTAAACGTTCTCTAACTTAATTTGATTCTCTGATTTTTCAAAAAAGCAGGACTTGAATTTCAGTTTAGTAATCTTCAGCACTCTTTGGGATTTGATGAAGTCAACCATTACTTAAATTCAAATGATATGGACAGGAGACGGAAATACTGGGTAAAAGAGGGCGGTTACCTGGCAAAGGCCCCACCCTTAAGCCTGAAGACCTGCAGCGCTAAATGAGGACAGGCATTTCTGTTTTCCAGCCTCAAAATTTTTTTGGCCTGCCATGCCCCCCAATTGTGCCCCCATATAAACCAGAGACCTTAGCAGGCACACACACAGGCAGCTGAATGTCTGTCGAGACCAGCAGACCAGCAGAACAGCAGACCAGTGATGGTAGAAGGAGGTGGCAGAGAAAGGGAGAAGAGGAGGGACATCTGAACTCCGAGGGGAGTTTGGCCAGGGGTGGTCAGAGAACAGCCACTGGGCAGCCCAACTCCAGGGGAAGACTACTTTCCCACTCCATCCCCACTTCTGGCTCCCCATCCACCTTGCTAGAGCCACCTCCACCACTCAATAAAACCTTGCACTCACCCTTTGAACCTGGGAGTGATGTGATTCTTGCAAGATGCTCGGCAAGAGCTCAGGATACAGAAGACCGTCACACTGGCCCTCTGCCCTTGAGATAAGGAAGAGGGTCCATTGAGCTGATTAACACACAAGCCTTCTGCAGACGGCAAATCTGAAAGAGCTTTGTAACACATGCTCACCTGGGCTTTGGGAGTCGCAGACACCCACCCCTAGATGCCGTCGTGGGGCGGGATCGCGAAAGCGCTCACCCGGGCCTCTGCACCTGCCTGTCTGCATGCTCCCCCTAGGGGTTTGAGCTGTGGGGCAACCAAGCAGGCGAGCAACACCCGTGTCTCACATCCTGGGAGGGGAATCAGGAAACTCTCCTGTTTCAACATATATATTACTGTGATTGTCATTTGGTGTGTCAATTTGATTAAAAATATTTGTGAATATTTATTATATCTATAGTTTATTTTTCTTGGGTTAACTTCAATAAATTTGTATCAGCCTATGGAGTCTTGCCTGTTTTTGTGCTTGATCCTTTAGATATTCTTATAAAATTTTGTATATTATAAATACACGTGTAAATTAATAAAAGGACTGACATTACTGGCAACCTTAGTTCTTAAATACATATGATGGAGATTTTTAAGTCAAATAAAATGGAAAACTAGTATTTTTCTGCCTTTCAAAAGCAAAGTATGACATTCCCTTATTTCTAGCCAACCCCATGGTAGAGTCGGAAGCCTGAGAAGGTGCTGAGTTTTACTCATAAGATGTTCTCCAAGAAGAGTTTAACCAGACATACTTCAGAGGTTTCCTTGGAATAGTTTGTTTTTATTTTTGTTTATGAAAATATCACAATCATGCCTCATACTGTGTTAGAAAGTTGTAATATTCCCATGAATCCCAGAGCTAACTCTTGTCTTTCTAAGCACTTAACAATGGATAATGAAACATTCTAGGGAAGCTTTCTTCACTTCTGTTGTCCCAAGGCCGTTACTGATATTAAATTAACCTCATTTTAAAGAGAATTTTTAAAAACTTTCTACCCGGGCGTGGTGGCTCAAGTCTGTAATCCCAGCCCTTTGGGAGGCCGAGGCAGGCGGATCATGAGGTCAGGAGATGGAGACCATCCTGGCTAATACGGTGAAACCTCGTCTCTACTAAAAATACAAAAAAATTAGCCGGGCATGGTGGCAGGGACCTGTAGTTCCAGCTACTCGGGAGGCTGAGGCAGAAGAATGGTGCAAACCTGGGAGATGGAGCTTGCAGTGAGCCAAGATCGTGCCACTGCACTCCAGCCTGGGCGACAGAGGAAGACTCCGTCTCCAAAAAAAAAAACTTTCCATCATTAGTGCATTTCCAAATGTTGCATCTTGGTTAAACACAGCACTTGCTCATCTTATCAAAGGCATTCCTTTTCTTTTAACATTTGGAGCACATGGTTCAGAAAGATAAATTCCATCTATGCTGATGAGCAGAAGATGGCAACAGGGCTCCCGACTCACTGAGTTGTTTTTATCCTTTTTTTTCAGATTAGCTCTGGGAAAGATTTTATAATGCAAGCCAAAAAAACAAAGTTTCTTCTACCTCAACCCTCATAGGCCATATTTCTGATCGGGGTAGTGATTACATTTGATCAGGATTTTAAGTTCTAGAGTTTTCATTACGGAGGTAAAAAAACAGCTTTGAGATCAATGCTGGAGGACACTGAGTGAGTGGTATGAATAAATTATGCGGTGGTGTATTGACAAATATACACTACTGAATATACAGAATTTAATATTAAGGTATTGTGGCTAGATTTTCAAATACCACTGCTAGAATATCATTAATTCTGTTACAGGCTATTTTTCAAAATAAGAGTCATCATTTTATTTACATTAACATTTTATAAACTGTATACCTAAATTGTGTGCTTCAGGGAACTAGCTGATTGCCTTTGGGACCCAGAGAGCTACTGTTACCCAAACTGAAAGGATAAATTGATTAGTAGCATAGTGGGCTTTTTCACACAACCCTGAAACTTGAGGGATTTTAAGCATAGCCAGAAGGAGAATATTCAGCTGAACAACTTAACAGTCAGATTCAGTGAGATAAATTTGATGTTGCTATCAGGGCAACCAACTTCTGTGTATATTTTATTTTTCTTTTTTCATTGTATCCTTAGCTTGCAGAGAAGGAAAGCATGGGGGAGACCCATAAAATATATTTTCCAAATCAATCAAAAAGATCTACTTCTTTAGAATATTATTAGCTTGTCTCCCATGCAATCTATAACTATTAAAGTCTTTTAAAATCACTTTTCAATTAAAAGGGTTAGATGAAACTGGAAAGTATCAAAACCCATTCTTCCCTGGGCCTCTACCCATATTTAAAAACTATTTCAGACAAATAAAAATGTTCTTTTATTTTGGAACCCATGAACCCTTTGCCAATATTTATTGTTGAGGAAGATGGCACAGAGGACAGTAATGTCAAGGAATTTGTTGGAAGTAGGTATCTCTTGCCAATGAGGCAAGGTGTCCCAGAGGAGTTGGGCTTGAATTGCACTTTTAAAAACTTGTAAGAACTGGGCAGTCAGAGGAGATGAAAAATTATAATTTATTTTATTACAGTGATCACAAACAATATCAGTAAATCAGACTGTGTATTTCATACAAAGGGATTAGTGAAATGTTAAATAACTGAAAATTGGCTGGGTGTGGTGGCTCACACCTGTAATCCAGAACTTTGGAAGGCTGAGGCAGGCAGATCACTTGAGGTTAGGAGTCTGAGACCAGCCTGGGCAACATGGTGAAACCTTGTCTCCACTAAAAATATAAAAATTAGCCAGGTGTGGAGGTTGAGGCAGGAGAAATACTTGAACCTGGGAGGTGGAGGTTGCAGTGAGCTGAGAGCACCCACTGCACTCCAGCCTGGGCGACACAGTGAGACTCTGTCTCAAAAACAAAAACCTGAAGAATATTTTCCCTCCTTGCTGGCATTAAAAATGAAAATGAAAAGCAATGTATGGAGAATTCCACTTCTAAGTAGAATGGAGTAATTTGCAGGAGGCTAACACTTTTAATGTGAACACCTAGAAGACCAGATAAATTATAAAAATCATATTTTTAAAGGTTTCACAGAGCTGTGGATACAAGAAGGATTAGACAAACTACAGTTTTAGAGAAAAGCTCAGAAAAAATATTCAGAGGTGAGATCAAGATTTGTAGATGCCTTTTCCCTGGGAAATGTGATGATTTTTAGAATGATATGGAGCCCGAGGACTTGGTTTTCTTCATAAAGAGAAGCAATGGGAAGGAACAAATAAACAAATAGAGCTTTTACCAGTCATCCAGGGCTGGAGACTTAAGCAGCCTCAAACCCATGACCAATTTTTCTTGTAAGAATATATCTTAACTTATAGATGGGCAGTGTGAGTGCTTAAAAGAGCCAACCTGTAAATTTTAGAAAATTAGAGCAAAAATGTCGAAGTATCTCTGTGAGAGAAAAGGTCCATAAAAACACAATTTTTGAGAGCTCTGGAGAGAGTGGTGAATGGATACTGAGAAGCTACCATTTGCTTTTCTTTCTGGTGATATTTGCCTATTCTGAATAAAACTAGAGATAGAATTAAGCCTGGCCCCATGGCAGAGAGTTTTTGGAGAACTAAGAAGCAAGCAGGAATTCTGGCAGTCAGACACACAGTCGACTCTTTCTCAGGCATTGAAAAGCTGCACAAGACAAGACTAAACTGAAAATCTCTCAAAGCAGAGAAGAAATTCCTACATTTTCTCAGAGGTCAGAGACAGATGCTTTCCAGGCCCTCAATTATAATGAGCTTGGTGTGGCATACTATAGAAATAGGGGCAAAGTAGAAATAAATTGAGTCTCAACTTCAGTGCAGTTTTGACCTAGCTCCATTTCTAATTGGATAAAATTGATCACTCCGCAATTTCCTTTGCCTAGCACCTCTCTAGTGAAAAGCAGCATCTATAATCTGAACCTTTATGGTGTTTGTGTACAGTGTTTATCATTACATAAAAAAATTAGACATGCAGAGAAATAGGACCATATGATCAGTAACCAAAAGGAAAAATAGACAATAGTATTAGAAAAAAATGTAAAAATTGGTATATGAAGGAGTTCAATATACTAGAATAATAAAATGAGTATTGTAGAAACAAAAACACAATGTCTGGTTTTTTTTTTTTTTTTGAGACATAGTCTTGCTCTGTCACCCAGGCTGGAGCGCAGTGGCGTGATCTCGGCTCACTGCAAGCTCCGCCTCCCAGTTTCACACCATTCTCCTGCCTCAGCCTCTCGAGTAGCTGGGACTGCAGGCATGCGCCACCACATCCAGCTAATTTTTTGTTGCATTTTTAGTAGAGACAGGGTTTCACCATGTTAGCCAGGATGGTCTTGATCTGCTGACCTTGTGATCCACCCGCCTTGGCCTCCCAAAGTGCTGGGATTACAGGCGTGATCTACCACGCCCGGCCAATATCTGAGATTTAAAAACCATTGAGTATTTTTTCACTGACATTAGGACAAAGTAGAAATTTCCCAAACAATTCAACTCAAAGAGGATTTAACCAGGGAACATTATAATCAAATTGCCAAAAATCAAAGGCAAAGAGAGAATTTTGAAAACATCAAGAGAAAAGAGATATGTTACATACAACAGAACTTTAATTAGACTATCAGTGAATTTCTCAGCAGAAACCTTGCAGGTCAGGAAACAGTTGGATGATATATAGAAAATGCCAGGAGAAAAATTAAAATCTTGTCAACTCAAAATAGCTTAGCTAATAAATCTGATCTTCTTAAAAAAATATTTTAGGTTCATGGGCACATATGCACTTTGTTTTATAGGTAAATTTGTGTCACAGGAGTTTGTTGTACAGGTTATTTTGTCAACCCAGTACTAAGCCTAGTACACAATGGTAATTTTATCTGCTCCTCTCCCTCCTCCCACCCTCCACCCTCAGGTTAAATACAAAAATTAGCCAGGCGTCATGGTGCACACCTGTAATCCCAGCTAACTGGGAGGCTGAGGCATGAGAATAACATGAACCTCCGAGGCAGAGATTGCAGTGAGCTGAGATCGTGCCACTGCACTCTAGCCTGGGCAACAGAGCAAGACTCCATCTCAAAACAAAACAAAACAAAAAACAAACAAAAACACCCACAAAACTTATGTAATGCAGCAAAAGCAGTTTCCAGAGGAAAGGTTATAGTGCTAAATGCCTACATTAAGAAAAAGGAAAGATCTCAAACTATCTAATGTTACACCTCAGTAAACTAGAACAAAAACAAACTAATCCCAAGTTTTGCAAAAGGAAATAAACTACAAAGATTAGAAGAAAAATTAATGAACTATAGAACAAAAAAAAGATTAGAAAAGATCAAAGAAACTGAGAGTTGTTTTTGAAAAATAAACCAAATTGAAAAGCCATTAGCTATACTAACCAAGAAACAAAGAGAACACTCAAATTAATAAAATCAGAAACTAGAAAAAATGGTTAATTCTTAGAAACCTACAAACTTTCAAGACTGCATCACAAATAGAAAATCTGAACAAATCAATAAGAAGAAGATTAAATCAGTAATGAAAATATCCTAGTAAAGAAAACCCAGGACCAGATTGCTTCACTAGCAAAGTCCACCAAACATTTAAAGAAATAACCTAATCTTTCTCAACTTCTTACAAAAAATTGAAGAGAAGTGAACACTTTCAAACTCATTTTATGAGGCCAGAATTACCCTGATACCAAAGCCAGATGAGGACAGTACAAGAAAAGTGAATTACAGCCCAGCATCCCTGATAAACATAGATGCAAAAAATTGTTTTTTATGTTTATCAGGGATATCAGGAAAACTGAAGTCAACAGCATGTTAAAACAATCACCCAGCAGGAGGAATTTGAGTCCTAGCTGGCTCTCCCACTGGCTGAATATAAAGAGGTCTGGGGCCAGAATAAATGTGAGTGGCAGTCAGGCTACTTGGACTACAGTCCTTCAGTGAGACCTGGAGGTTTGTCTGAATCACACAGTGCATTTGGGGTGCAGGTGACCCAGTGTGACACCAACTATGAAGGCCAAGTAGTGCCTGCATCACATCTTCCCCAACTCCAGGCAGTGAAGCTTGAGGAGAGATTCCCTTAGTTTGGGGAAAGAAGAGGGGAAAGTACAGAAGACTCTGTCTTCCAACTTGGATACCAGCTCACCCACAGTAAAATTAAGCAGAAATCGGATTCCTGAAGCACCCAGTTAGAGGAATTAGCTTCTACATGGCATTTCTAGACTCACTTTTGGCCAGAAGGGAATCCACGGCCCTGAAGGAAAGAATCCAGTCTCAGCAGGATTCACCACCAGCTGAATAAAAAGCCTTCTATCCTTGAATAAATGTTAGCAATAGTCAGACAGTAGTTGCCACAGGCCTTGGACAAGACCCAGTACCACACTGGCTTCAGGTGCAACCCAGTGTAGTGCCTGGATGGTACTGGTGTTGGTAGTGATGGTACTGGTACAGTGTGGTACTGGTCGCCACAAGAGTGCTTGTATGACCCCTCCTCCAACCTGACTAGGGGAAAGAGAGGGAAGAGAGTGAGAGATTTTGTCTGGTAACCCAAGGGATTCTCCCCTATCTTGCTCAAGCCCCCCAAGGTAGTGCCTCTAGGAGTTGTCAAGAGTTGCAGCATTTCTGGGATTAGGGTGTTCCGTAGTGCTGAGACCACTGCAGTGACCACAGGCTTAGATCACAACACATGAATACATGGAAAACCTCCTCAAAAAGGATGCATACAAATAAGTCCAGACTTCAAAGATTGAAATAAATACCTAAGTCTTCAGTGCCCAGCAATCAAAAATGTCCACAAGCAACAACAACATCCAGGAGAACATAACTTCACCACACAAACTAAATAAGGCACCAGTAACCAATCCCAAAGTGATGGAGATATGTGACATTTCAGTTCTGACAGGGAATTCAAAATAGCTATCTTGAGGAAACTCAATGAACTTCAAGTTAACAGAGAGAAGAAATTCAGAATTCTGTCCATGATAATTTAACAACGAGATTAATGTTTTAAAAAGCAAAAATTCTGGAGCTGAAAAATTCAAATAAATAATTGAAAAAATCATGAGCGTCTCAACAGCAGAACTGATCAAGCAGAAGAAAGAATTAGTGAGTTTAAAGACAGGCTATATAAAAATACACAGTCTGAGGAGAAAAAAAGTAAAAAGGAATGAGGCATGCCTACAAGATCTAGAAAATAGCCTCAAAAAGGCAGATATAAAAGTGACTGGCCTTGAAGAGGATATAGAGAAGAAATCAGGGTAGATAGTTTGTTCAAAGAAATAGTAACAAGGAACTTTCCAAACCTAGAGAAAGATAGGAATATCCAGGTATAAGAAGGCCATAGATGCCAAGAAGATTCAACCCAAATAAGACTACCTCAAGGCTTATATAATCAAATTCTCAAAGTCAAGGATAAAGAAAGGACCCTAGATGGAGAGAAAAGAAGCAAATAACATATAAAGGTGCTTTGATATGTCTGAAAGCAGACTTCTCAGCAGAAACCTCATAGGCCAGGAGAGAGTGAAATCACATATTCAAAGTGCTGATGGGAAAAAAGACTTTCAACTTAGAATATTATAGTCAGCAAAATTAACCTTCAAACATGAAGGAAAAATACTCTCTTAGACAAGCAAAAGCTGAGGGACTTCGTAAACAGCAGACCTGTCTTAACAATAAATTCAAAAGACAGTTCTTCAAACTGATAGAAAAGGACATTAATGAACAGCGAGAAATCATTTGAAGGTATAAAATTCACTGGTAATAGTAAGTACATGGACAAATACAGAATATTTTAAAACTGTAATTGTGTATTACCACTCATATTTTGAGCAGGAAGACTAAGGACAAATTTATAAAAATTATAACTACAAAAATGTCTTAAGAGATAGACAACATAAAGAAAATAGAGACAACAAAAAGTTAATGGTGGTGATGAAGTTAAACTGTGGAGTTTTTTTAGTTTTCTCTTTGCTTGTTCATTTTTTTTCTTTTCTTGTAATCAGAATTAAACTGTCATTAGTTAAAATAATAGATTATCAGATGGTATTTACAAGACTTACGGTAACTACAGAACAAAAACCTATAACATACACACACAAATACAAAGCAAAACACTAAAACATATTACTAGAATAAATAAGTTTTACACAAAGGAAGACAGGAAGGAAGGAAGGAAGGAAAAGGGGAAGGGGAGGGGGAAAGGGAAGGGGAAGGGGACGGGAAGGGGAAGAAGGGGAAGGAGAAGGGGAAGGGGAAGGGGAAGGGCAGGACCAATGGAACAATCAGAAAACAAATAACAAAATGAAAGTAGTAAGTCCTTACCTATCAATAATAGTATTGAATAAAAATAAACTAAATTCTCCAATCAAAAGACATAGACTTGCTGAATGGGTAAAAAACAAGACCCAACTATATCCTGCCTATAAGAAACTCACCTCACCTATAAAGACACACATAGCCTTAAAATAAAGGAATAGGAAAAGGTATTCCATGCAAATGGAAACCAAAAAAGAGCAGGAATAGCTATATACATATTAGATAAAATCAATTTCAAGACAAAAACTGTAAAAAGAGACAAATGACAAAGATACAATTCAGCAAGATGATATAATAATTGTAAATATATATACACACCCAATGCTAGAGCGCTCAGACATATAAAGCAAATGTTATTACAGCCAAAAAGAGAGACCCCAATACAATAATAGCTGGGACTTCAACATCCCACTTCCAGCATTGGACAGATCATCTAGATAAAAAATCAATAAAAAATATCAGACTTATAAAAAATAACAGATTCTGGTGAGGCTACAGAAAGGAAGGGGACGCTTATTCTGTTGGCAAGAATTTAAATTAGTTTAGCCATAGTGGAAAGGACTTTGGGGATTTCTCATATGACTTGAAACAGAACTACCATTTGACCCTGCAATCCCATTTCTGGGTGTGTAGCCAAAGGAAAATAAATAATCCTACCAAAAAGACACATGCATTTGTGTGTCTCATAGGAGCAAAGACATGGAATCAACCTAGATGTCCATCAACTGTGGATGGGATAAATAAAATGTGGTATATATACATCATGGAATACTATACAGCCATAAAAAGAGCAAAATCCTGTCCTTTGCAGCAACATGGATGCAGTTGAAGGCCAATATTCTAAGCAAATTAATGAATGAACAGAAAACTAATTATTGCCTGCTTTCACTTATAAGAAAGAGCTAATAATTGGGTACACATGGACATAAAGATGGGAACAATAGATCCTGGGGACTACTAGAAGGGGAAGAGATAGAGTGGGGCAAGGGTTGAAAGACTGCCTATTGGGTACTATGCTCACAACCTGAGGGGGTCATTCATACCTCAAAACTGAGCATCACACAATATACCCATGTAACAAACATGAACATATATACCCTCTGAATCTAACATAAAAGTTGAAATTACTAAAAAATAAAAAAGAAACATCAGATTTAATCTTTACTATAGGCCAAATGGATCTAATAGACATTTGCAGAACATTTCATTCAACAGCTGCAGAATACACATTTTTTCCCAGCAAATGGAGCATTCTCAAGGATACACCACGTGTTAGACTACAAAACAAGTCTCAAAACATTGAGAAAAATTGAAATAATATTAAGTATTTTTACTAAAGACAATAGAAAAAAACTGAAAATCAAGAAGATATACTTTTGAACATATACAAACACATGAAAATAAACAATATACTCCAGAATAATCACTGGGTTAATAGGGAAATTAAGAATAACATTTAAAAATCCTGGAAACAAATGAAAATGGAAACACAACATACCGAAACCTATGGGGACACAGCAAAAACAGTACTAAAAGGATAGTTGATAGCAATAAACACCTACATCAAAAAAGCTGAGGCCGGGCGCCGTGGCTCACGCCTGTAATGCCAGCACTTTGGGAGGCCCAGGCGGGTGGATCACGAGGTCAGGAGATCGAGACCATCCTGGCTAACACTGTGAAACCCCGTCTCTACTAAAAATACAAAAAAATTAGCTGGGCAAGCTGTAGTCCCAGCTACGCGGGAGGCTGAGGCGGGAGAATGGTGTGAACCCCGGGGGGCGGAGCTTGCAGTGAGCCGAAATCGCACCACTGCACTCCAGCCTGGGCGACAGCGAGACTCTGTCTCAAAAAAAAAAAAAGCTGAAAAGCTTCAAATAAACAACCTAATGATGTGTCTTAAAGAATTAGAACAGCAAGAGCAAAAAAAAACCCAAATTAGTAGAAGAAAATAAATAATAAACATCACAGGAGAAATAAATAAAATCTAAACTAAAAAAACAGAAAAATTTAATGAAATGAAAAGTTCCTTGTTTGAAAAGATAAACAAAATTGACAAAACTTTAGCGAGACTAAGGAAAAAGAGGACCCAAATGAATAAATCAGATAAAAAAAGAACAGTATAACTGATTCCACAGAAATTCAAAGGATTTTTAGAGCCCATACAAGCAACCATATGCCAGTAAATTGGAAAACTGAGAAGTCCTAGACACATACAACCTACCTTAACTTCATGGTTGAACCATACATCAACCATACATCAACTTCATGGTTGAACCAGGAAGAAATCCACAACCTAAAGAGACCAATAACAAGTACCCTGATATTATAGAAGTAATAAAAAGACTGCAATCAAAAACATCCCAGGACCTGATGACTATACTGTTGAGTTCTATCAAACATATAATAAAGAACTAATACCAATCCTACTCAAACTATTCCAAATAATAGAGAGGGAATACTTCTGAACTCATGATATAAGGCCAATATTACCCTGATACCAAAACCAGAAAAAGATACAATGAAAAAAGAAAACTATAAGCCAGTATTTCAGATCAACATAAATGTAAAAATCTTCAACTACTAGAAAACTGAATCTAAGAGCACAATAAATCTTTTATACAAGTTTTATACAAAATAAATCTTCATATTTTATACAAAATAAATCTTTCATTGTGCTCTTAGATTCACTTTTCTAGTATTTTGTTTACTGGCATAAAACTAGACACATAGACCAATGGAACAGAATAGACAGCCCCAGAATAAATGCATAAATCTACGTGAATTCATTTTTGACAGAGGTGCTGAGAACATAGATTGGAGAATAGACAGTCTCTTCAACAAATGGTGCTGGAAAACTGAATATCCATATGCAGAAGAATGATATTAGACCCCTATCTCTTGCAATGTACAAAAATAAAATCAAAATTTATTGAAAACTTAAATATAAGACCTTAAACTATGAAACTACTATAAAAATTGGAGAAACACTCTAGGATATAGGTCTGTGTAGAGATTTATTGAGTAAGACCTCAAAAGGGCAGGCAACCAAAGCAAAAGTGGATAAATGAGATCACATGAAGCTAAAAAGCTTCTGCACGGTAAAGGAAACAATCAACAAAGTGAAGAAACAACCCACAGAATAGGAGAAAATATTTGTAGACTATCTATATGACAAGGGATTAATAACCAGAATATAGAAGGAACTCAACTCAATAGAAAGAAAACAAATTATCCAATTATTAAAATGGGAAAAGGTCTGAATAGATATTTCTTGAAAGAAAGGTACAAATGTCCAACCAACATCACTAATCATCAGAGAAATGCAAATCAAAATGACAATGAGATATTATCTCACCCCAGCTAAGACAGCTTTTATCCAAAAGACAGGCAGTAACAAATGCTGGCAAGGATGTGGAGAAAGGAGAACCTTCATACACTGTTGGTGGGAATGCAAATTAGTACAACCACAATGGAGAACAATATGTAGGTTCCTGAAAAAGCTAAAAATAGAACTACCATATGATCTAGCAATTTCATGGCTGGGTATATGGCCTAAAGAAAGGAAATTAGTATATAGAAGATATATCTGCAGTTTTATGTTTATGGCAGCACTAGCCACAGTAGCCAAGAACTAAAAAACATGGAGAAAATTATCAGAAATTTGTTCTTATTTAATTTTAATAAAACTGAAAAAACTCTTAGGAAGACTAATTTTTTAAAAAGCAAACACAAATTACCTATGTTAGGAATATTAGAGATGACATAAGTATAAATCATTTAAATATTAAAACTATAACAATTGAATATGAAAAATTTTAACCAATAAATTTGAAAATTTGAATGAAATGAAAACTTCCTCTGAAAACTCAACTTACCAAATGGACTTAATAATAAATTAAAAATCTGAGTGATTTGAAATCTCATGAAGAAATAAATTCAATTTAAGAAATCTTCCCACAATGAACATTTCAAACTATGATAGATTAACCTGTGAATTCTTCCAAACACCAATATTACACAAAATCTACCAGATAATAAAGATGGTACACTTTCTACCTATTTGTATGGAGATTACATTACTGTGATGCCAAATCCCTACAAGAACGGGAAAAGAAAAGAAATTTACTGGCCAATATCTTTCATCAATCTAATTCAAAATCCTATGTAAAATACTACACAATAGAATTCAGTGATTAAAAAAGCAATATTCCAAGACTAAGCTGTTTACTTCAGAAAACCAAGGGTATTTTTACACTTGTAAATCTATCAGTGTCATACACCACATTAATAAATACATAAGTGAAAAATTATATAATCATCTCAATAGAAGCAGAAAAATAATTTGGTAAAATTAGATACCTAGTTATGTTAAAAACAGTAAACTACATCTTCATAATAAAAGAATACAAATTAAAATCACAATGCAATACCACCACTAAAAGAATAAATACAATATAAAAGGGTATAAGCAACAAGTGTTGGAAAGGATATACTGCATTAGAATTCCCATATATTGATGGGAGGAGTGCAAATGGGTTCAAAAACTTTGAAAAACTGATAGCATACACTAAAATGGAATGTACTCATATCCTATGACTCAGAAATTCCATTCTGAAGTAGAGATGTAACAGAAATATGGATATATATTCCCTAAAGACATGAAAAAATGCTTAAAGCAGTGCTATTTCTAAGAATTCCAAACTGATAATTGCCATATTTCCTGAATGTTGAAGAGATAAGTAAACTGTGGTATATTGATGAATGGAATTTTATCAAAAAATGAGAATGAACCAACTACAAGTACAATACATATGAATCTAAGAAACATAACGTTGATTAGAAGACAGATACAAAAGAGTGCCTACTATATGGCTCCATGCATTTCAAGTTCAAAATAGGAACAATTAACCTGTGCTGTCAGAAGTGATAATAATGGTTACCCTGGGTAAAAGCATAGTGACTGGAATGGGGCATTAAGGAGGCTTCTGGTGTGCTCATAATATCTTTTTTGATCTGGCTGGTGCTTATACATGTGTGAGCAATTTGGGATAATTCACTGACCAGTTGAGTTATAATTTGTACACCTCTTCCTATATGTATTATAAATCATTAAATGTTTATACATATATATAATAATGTATATAATATACTATATATCTATATCTATATATATATATATATATATATATATATATAGTATTAGCTTTCTATAGTGGCTATAACAAATTACTACAAACATGATGCCTGAAACAACATAAAGTTATTATCTTGCAGTTCTGTAGGTCAGATGTTTGACTTGTGTCTCACTGGGTTGTGTGTGTTTCTACAGACTCTAGGGGAGAACCTTTTCTTGTCTTTTCCAGCTTCTTGATGTTGCCCACAGTTTTAGCTCATAGCTCTCTTTCTTCATCTTCAAATCTAGCAGCTCTCTTCCATTTTCTGTCATCATATCTCTGACTAACTACCCAAGAAAGTTTCTCCACTTTTAAGGATTCATATGATGAGACTGTACCCACCTGAATAATCTGTGATGATCTCCCATCTCAAGGTCCTTAACTTTAATCACATCTGCAAAATCTCTTTTGCCACAGAAGTTAACATAATCACAGGCTCCAAGTTCTAGGAATTATGATGCAAATATGTTTGGGGGCCATTATTCTGCCTACTGTGTGTGTGTGTGTGTGTGTGTGTGTGTATTTATTTATTCTGCCTACTGTGTGTGTGTGTGTGTGTATTTGTATATTTAGGAAAATTTCACTTGGCTCTTTAATCTAAATCTGTCTTCCTGACCACTTTCTATAGTGGAAGAGTATCTCTAGATTCTATTCCCAATCTGGACACTTGGTGGGTATGTGGTTATGCAAGTTATTTCACTTAGTTTATCCAAATGTTATACTGGGAGGCTAGAATAGTTGATCTGTAAATTAACTACTCATATCTAGAACTGACATAATACAACTACTACTAATAATATAAAATACTTACATTTTACCTTTCATTAAAGAATTTTGGAATACAACATTTTAACCATTTGTGAATTATTCACTGTGGGAACAAACTAGTCAAATCTCATCCAGTTGTTTTCTACCACCCATCAGATTTCTTGGTCTCCATCTCTAAATTCAAGACATGAAGATTCACTTTAATGATCACCAAGACATACTTACTGCTCAAAATATGTGCAAGATGTTTCAAATCTCAACATAAATGATTTTGGGGGGTAGGGGTTAGCTCCAGATCATCAATATCTTAAAAGAGGATCCATATCATTTGCAATTCAGGGAACAAGTTACTTCCATTTTTAAATGTGAATGTTTATACTTTAAATACACGTCTTCCTATTATTCTTCAGTTATTATATAACCTAAATTTAGAATCCAGAAGATCCTAGCTTTGCTATGGCCCTTTTCACAGCAGCATTTTGTATGCCATGCATCAATCTATACCAAGTTCATGAACCCCAAAATTACAGTGAGAAACAACTCATATAAAGAATGGCAGATCATTTTCCAAACCTGAAATGCTAATATAATGCCATCCGGATAATTTATTTTGTCTTTCTACGAGAGACATTTGGTCTCCCAGAGATCACTAAAGACTTCTAATTCTGGTGCCTAAGGCTGGGACAGCATGCACTCTCTTCAAGAGAAGTTCCACTAAAATGCAAAATGACTTTTATTTCTTACCACTCCACACAATACAAGTGTTAGAAAAGTGCCCTAAATATCCTGGTATATCCTGCTGTGGTTTTTCTCACCAACCTTGCTCATTTCCACAGATCATTAGTTTTATATTCTGGAGTTCCACAAGCCAGGAGAACTTTCAATGTAGCTGGTGCAACACAAAAGCCATGGCAAGAATTACTGGCCATGTGGCTGACTTCCTCAGAGAACCTAAACCCAGAGCAACTCCACCTCTGCACTGGAAATAGAGCAGCACTTTGCCTACATTTCAGTCTTGAAAGGATTAGAGCAATTTGGAAGGGCTTATTTATCCTGAATAACATGGTCTGAAGGTCCAGTTTTAGAAATTTTAAGCCTACCAAATTTTCTAAGAAGTAGTATATGTTGGCTAGTAAGAAATTTAAGAACATTTTGTGTCAACTCAAAATCACTTTTGCTTTTTATTTCTATTTGTATCTTCAAAGATTGTACATAAATTCTTTATTTGAAGCAAATGTAAATGAGATGTGGTACTCATACCTGGATTGCATTGTTTCTCGATTAAAATACAACAAGCTGCAGAAAGACTTTAAAATAGTGGAGTTTAGAGAAATGTTGATGCCTTCTTCGGGAAGTGAGAACAGGAGTATTCAACCTACTTGTGGTTGTCTTTGAGTTTAAATAGAGTTCTCCTTCAAGTAGCCTTCCTCCCCACATTACCCTGTGTTTGACACTCTTGAGAACAGTGTAATCAATTTATGTCACTGCTACGTGTGACTTTGGTATCAGTGTACTTTTTAAGACGCTAAACTGAGGTTTATGGTGAAATATCCAAACAGTCCCAGGCTGCTATATTAAGTAAGCATCTCTGCCAAGAACACAGAGAAATGCAATGGAAGAGCCGGCAATAATACACCTGTCCTGAGGCAATCAGTCTTGAGTCGTATTCTATATTTTTGTATCTCCAAAGCAGCTCATGAATTTGACATGTAATGAATGCTATTGTGAGGGTATGCTTGAAAATTTGGAGAACCTGCTTATAAAATAGTAAACAATGTGGAGCATAAGAATAAATAAACACAACACTGTTTTGTATGTGTTTGTGTGTGTGTGGCCATGTGTACATTGATTGGGGAGACTGCAGATAAAATTAAATATTTGAGAATTTTGTTTTTTCCCAGATTATCACTCATTAAAATGTTTCCATATACATAGCAAAAATTATATGTACTGAAACGTAGCTACTTTTCCAGCAGTCCAGGAAATAATAAACATTTTGCAATTTTAAAAGATATTTGAACAGAGTATAAAATAAAAAACATATTCTGTTGAAGCAGTCTATAGACATATACATACAGAAACATTTAATTTTCATATTACATAAATATGTTATGAATTTATATCTCTTTTTTCTTGTAACTCCCTTTGTCAGTGATTAAATTTCATGTGTAGAAAAAGCTATGTGCTTTACTTACATTATCACAGTTGTTCTCACAAGAATCGGAAGTAACAGGCATTTGTATCCCATTTCAAGGGTGAGAAATAGACAATTTTAGAGAGTTAAGTAACTTTCTCTTCATCACACAGCATGTGAGTGGCAGAACTGGGATTGGACTCAGGTATGTCTGACTCTGCCACACTACCTTGCCTCCTCAGTACTATCAATTGCACTAGTGGTCATAAACATGAAATACAAAGTGGCTGCTTTCCTTTGTTCTTCTTTGTCTTATTTCATTTATCAATAAATTATGACCCTGTCTCCATATCAATAAATGAAGCTACAGTGTATTCCTTTCTAAGGTTTTATTGTAATGTTATTCATAATTTTTCAGTCTTTTGTGAACATTTATTAGTCAATTAAAATGTTTATTTATAGCCTATCCTGTGTGAAGTGGTGTACTCCAAAGAATATGTTTATAAATATATCTTTGGGTTGTCATTCAATTATTTCTTTCAGATACATTTCTGCAAGTTGGATGGTTGTAGCAAAAAAGAGAGTGAGTAGGCACAGCATTACAGATGAAAGATTTTGTTATTTATTCATTATTAAAATTATTTTCATTTTTAATTTTTAATTGACATAATTGTGCATAGTTATGGGGTACACTGTGATGTTTCAAAACATGTATATATTATGTACTGACCAAATCAGGACAATTAGCATATCCATAATCTCAACCATTTGTCTTTTTTTGTGGTGGGACCATTCAAAATTCTCTCTTCCATCTATTTTGAGATATGTGCTATCTTACTGCTGACTATAGTTACCCTACTGTGGAACAGAACACCAGTACTTATTCTTCCTTTTTAATTAGGATTTTATTATTTATAACTATGTTTGTAACAGTAGTATAGAAGACTACTATTTTCTCTCAGTCTCACTGACACAAGATATTCTAACTTTAAAAAATGCTAACGTGAAGAGAAAAATATATATTTTAAATTTACATTTTATATTATAGAAAGTACATATGTCCTTTGGCCATTTTATTTTTATTTGCATTCTATATTTATGACCTTTGCACAATTTTTACCAAGCCAATTGATCACTTGATTTTTTTTTTTTTTTTTTTGAGACAGAGTCTCTCTGTGGCCCAGGCTGGAGTGCAGTGGTGTGATCTCAGCTCACTGCAATCTCCGCCTCCCAGGTTCAAGTTATTCTCCTGTCTCAGCCTCCTGAGTAGCTGGGATTACAGGTGTGCACCACCACACCTGGCTAATTTTAGTATTTTTAGTAGAAATGGGGTTTCACCATGTTGGCCAGACTGGTCTCAAATTCCTGACCTCAAGTGATCCACCCGCCTTGGCCTCCCAAAGTGCTGGGATTACAGGTGTGAGCCACCATGCCCATTTGTTTTGTTATTTGATAAATAATTCTAAAAATTATTTACCATAAATATCCAAGAACATTTTGAGTATAAAGGGAAAAATTGCTTTTTAAAAAAATTTAAAATACCACAACTAATACTTTGATTGGAATTCAATACTTTATTCAACTTCTAATTTATGGGGTATTAACATTTTTATACTTATGAAATTTCCAATTCAATAACACTTATTTGGTAACTACCATGTATTCCAGTTTTCTTTTAGGTACCTTAGTATTTTATTTTACTGTAAATCTATAGTATTAATATGTTCACTCCAAGATCGATTATGTTTTTGTTGGTGTTGTGAATGAAATATATTGTATTATATTTTCTAAGTGATTTTTTACTTCATAATTCATCTTCTAAATTTATTTGTCATATTATTTTATTTTACATGTATATATATTTATGTGTATTTATGTGCCCAATATTTTTGGTCTTGTCTTTTGTCATAAATTACATGGTACAAACTAAATAGACTTGGTAGATCTGGTAGCCATGACTGATAGTATTGGACTACTGAAAGGATAAAAGAAAGCAAAATAAGTAAATAAATAAATAAAGATAAGAAAGAAAAAGAGAAAATGGAAAAGGCCATAGGTAGAAGCAGGGTCACTTTCGTTAGTTGATAATTGTACTGGAAATTATGGATTTGCTTTGTTTTGTTACCTAGAAGGTGACACTGAAAATCTCTCTGGACATTTTCTTTATGCTTATATGCAACCACAGCAAGTATAGAAATCTTTGGCAAGTATAGAAATCTTTGGCCATTTAATCCTAAATACTTATGTTGGCAACACAGCATCTTTCTAGAACACAGGAACCTTCTGCTAAGTACTTACTGTTTGCAACTCCAAGGCTAAACCTCTTCTCCTACTATACCCTCCTCCAGCTTCTGCTACAACAGTATCTTTATTGGAGAGTTCTCTTCTTATTCAAATCAAACATTTCAGCAGCATTCTATCCTTCACTTTTGTTAGGCTGGATTAACTCTATCCACTATGGTTACAGTGGATTAACAAGGCTACATGATCTTATATGTGGTAGATACATCTTTGTGCTTATTAAATTCAAGGCAGTTTGCAACTTGGAACTAAGAATTTTGTTTAATATGCAAAACAACCACCCAGTTATGTTTAGTTGTCTTCTGTCCTTAACTATTTCTTTAGTTTACATAAATATAAGCTCATCGTGCATTTTTAATATAAAATTCAAATTACTTTCCCCATTCTACCCAGAACCTAACCTGAATACCAGAAATATTTGTAACAATAATAAATGGAAAAAAATAGTTTTGTTATAAAATAATCACTAAGATATTTGTAATTAAGCATACATTTTAGTTTGGGAACTCGTGGAAGAAATAATATTCAGGAAACTCCAAATCTTATTAACTCACTAAATCCAAAAATGAGGCCTTCACTATCAGAGAGCTAGACCCAGGAACAAAGAATATCTCAGTATAACCTTTTTTTATTTAGCTGAGAAAACTTCAAATTCTCAAAAAATGTGCATTTGTGCCTGGGCAGGAGGTAATACATCCTAATCTCTTGGAAGCTTTTAAGAATTGTACATGGCTCCCAGACAGAGATTCGGATATGCATTCTTCTGAAACTCCCTTTTTAACTCTTCTTAACTGGCCTATCACCTCAGAAGAATTGCTGCTAGTTTCTTATATCCATAAGTATATGATAAATTGAGAATAGCAAGTATAATTCCCATAGTTATTATTAAATACTGTAACTAAGTTTATGCTGAGACTCTTAAGGCCTTTATAATATTTTTCACAAATCATAATTAATCATATTCATATCTATTCTTCTTATGGGAAAAAATCTTCCTTATAGTTCAATTCTTATGTGATCTTTCTTTTTGTACCCTCCCAGTTTGCTTGACAATAATGACCACTTATTTAAAAATACTTACAAGATGAATGAATCGAAAGAAAGAAGTAAAAAATTCAAGTAAGTTGTTACTCTGGGTTGTAGAACAATTTCTTTTTCTGTGGGCATATAAATGTTTTAACTCATGCCCAGTGCCACTAGATAATACTTTTACAGTTTCTCAATAATTTATTGTTTGTCAACATTTCAAGCAAATAGGAAAGCAAGGTATTCTCTCCTCCAGGTCTCCTCATTGCAGCAGCTTCATTCTTTAAACATTTGATTTAACATCTGTCTCCATCTCAGTTCATGATCTTATAGAGAAAGTAGAAGAGATGAGATAAGCATTCTCATTTTCTATAGCTATCACCGAACTTACTGACTTCCCTGAATCTGCATTCATATTTTTCCCTTTTTCCTTTTAAAATAAAAGTGGTGTCTCATCTGTTGTCTATAGTGAATTTCTCCATTTTATCTTGATCTTATTCTCTTCCAACTCTTCAGGTTAATAAGTTATTTTTTCTTTTTCTGTGCCTAGTCTAGATTTAAATATTTTCAATTTTTAATATTTTCATACTTAAAAGTTTTCCCTTGAGATGTGTTTCTAGCTACAGCCTTGACTTCATCCTTCCTCTTTAAATTTATCCTTTAGGTTCTCTGTAATTACTGCACCTACTTTCTCCCCTTGCAGTCACTTCTCAATTCATAGCAACTTGTATTTGGCATTTCCAACTCCACTGGTACTGTTCACACGAGGGTGCCAGGAACCAGTCTGTTGCTAGATCCAATAAAAACATCCCAACCTTACCCTGCTTGATTTCACAAAGTACATATAGCTTAATAAACTCATCTCTCTTTCTTGGAAAATGTGTTTCTTCGGCATTCTTGCCAGCACATTTTTCTGTTTTTTCTTCTATCTTTGGTTGCTATTTCTCTTTTAAACACACACACACACATGCACGTGCGTGCACACACACACGCGCACACACACACACACACACACACACACACTGTATTCCTTGGACGTTAAGGCTCCTCCCAATACTTTCCTCCTACTCTTATTTCTTACTGCAGCCTCCACACCACCTTTTCTCCAACTTAGCCTAATACTCTCCTCTACATCCTTTGCTAACCTTATTTGCTGAACTGAAATTCTGTCATTGGGACCTCCAAACATGCAGATTCTTCCATGTTGACTATCCCTGCTTTTACCTAACTTCTCCTCACAGATTACTTCTCAGCTAAGATCTAAAATCTTCTGGAAAACTTAACCTCACCGAATGACTTTCTGATATGCTTCCCCAAATCTATTTCTCCTTTCTTATCCATTGCCAGAATGCATTGAAATTGTCTGGTTTTTTTTCATATTTCCCCCATTAGGCTGGAATGTAGAGAACATATGTGCCACCACAGCACTAAACATATGTTCACACCTGGCATGTAGTAGGTGCTTAATGAATGTTTGTCAAACTGGATGAATCAATAAATTACACTATAAATATATATTCTTGTGATTTTAACATTGAGCCCCGAAAGAAATCCAGAATAAATTATTGAATAGATAATTTGTAAGTACTTTGAAACTAAAGTGCTGATGACTAGCAGGCATCATGGAGTCACAAAGAACACGTCATGCCCTATTAAGTGGATTCTCTCTGGTATATGAGACTGCCCTAGATGCAGTGCCTAGACTTTTCTCTTTGGAAATGCATTTGCTTCTAAAGTATCTAATAAGTCTTATAATCTCTTGTGTCATTGCGGACAAAATGATGACATGAGATCAAATAAAAAAAAACAAGGAATACTCTCACCACTCTTATTCTACATAATATTGGAAGTTCTGGCCAGGGTAATCAGGCAAAAGAAAGAAATAAAGGGTATTCAAACAGGAAAACAGGAAGTCAAATTGTCTCCGTTTGTAGACAACATAATTCTGTATTTAGAAAACTCCATTGTCTTAGCCCAAGAACTCCTTAAGCTGATAAGCAACTTCAGCAAAGTCTCAGGATACAAAATCAATGTGCAAAAATCACAAGCTTCCTATACACCAACAATAGACAAACAGAGAGCCAAATCATGAATAAACTCCCATTCACAATTGCTACAAAGAGAATAAAATACCTAGGAATACAGCTAACAAGGGATGTGAAGGACCTCTTCAAGGAGAGCTACAAACTACTGATCAAGAAAATAAGAGAGGACATAAACAGATGGAAAAATAAATTCCTTCCTCATAGATAGGAAGAATCAATATAGTGAAAATGACCATACTGCCCAAAGTAATTTATAGATTAAATGCTATTTCCATCCAACTACCATTGACATTCTTCACAGAATTAGAAAAATCTACTTTAAATTTCATATGGAACCAAAAAAGAGCCTCTATAGCCAAGACAATCCTAAGCAAAAAGAACAAAGCTAGAGGCATCACGCTACCTGACTTCAAACTATACTACAAGGCTACAGTAACCAAAACAGCATGGTACTGGACCAAACAGACACATAGACCATTGGAACAGACTTGAGACCTCAGAAATAACACCACACATCTACAACTATCTGATCTTTGACAAACCTGACAAAATCAAGCAATTGGGAAAGGAGTCCCTGTTTAATAAATGGTGCTGGGAAAACTGGCTAGCCATACACGGAAAACTGGCTAGCCATTCACAGAAAACTGAAACTGGACCCCTTCCTTACACCTTATACAAAAATTAACTCAAGATGGATTAAAGATTTAAACATAAGACCCAAACCCATAAAAACCTTAGAGGGAAGCCTAGGCAATACCATTCAGGACATAGGCATGGGCAAAGGCTTCATGACTAAAATGCCAAGAGCAATTGCAATAAAAGCCAAAATTGACAAATAGGATCTAATTAAACTAAAGAGCTTCTGCACAGCAAAAGAAACTAGCATCAGAGTGAACAGACAACCTATAGAATCAGAGAAAATTGTCCAATCTATCCATCTGACAAAGATCTAATATCCCGAACCTACAAGGAACTTAAACAAATTTACAAGAAAAAAAAAACCCATCAAAAAGTGGGCAAAGGATAAGAACAGACACTTCTCAAAAGATGACATTTACACGGCCAACAAACATATGAAAAAAAGTTCAATATCACTGATCATTAGACAAATGCAAATCAAAACCACAATGAGATACCATCTTATGCCCGTCAGAATAATGATTATTAAAAAGTCAAGAAACAATAGATTTAGGTGAGGATGTGGAGAAATAGAAACACTTTTACACTGTTGGTGGGAATGTAAATTAGTTCAACCATTGTAGAAGACAGTGTAGCAATTCCTCAAGGATCTAGAACCAGAAATACCATTTGACCCAGCAATCCCATTACTGCATATATAACCAAAGGAATGTAATTATTCTACTAAAAAGACACAAGCACACACATGTTTATTACAGCACTATTTACAATAGCAAAGACATGGAACCAACCCAAATGCCCATCAATTATAGACTGGATAAAGAAAATGTGGTACATATACACCATGGAATATTATTCAGCCATAAAAAGGAATGAGATAATGTCCTTTGCAGGGATGTGGATAAAGCTAGAAGCCATCATTCTCAGCAAACTAACACAGGAACAGAAAACCAAACATAACATGCTCTAATTCATAAGTGAGAGTTGAACAATGAGAACACATGAACACAGAGAGAAGAACAACACACATCGGGCCAGTCAGGGAGTAGGGAGGCAAGGGGAGGGAGAGCATTAGGAAAAATAGCTAATGCATGTGGGGCTTAAAACCTAGATGACTGATTGATAGGTGCAGCAAACCACCATAACATACATATATATAAAACGTACACGTTCTGCACTCATATCCCTGAAATTAAAGTAAAATTAAATAAATAAATAAATAAATAAATAAATAAACAAGGAATAGTGATATTTCTAATAGGTCTCTGAGTGATATGGTTTGGCTGTGTCCCCACCCAAATCTTATCTTGAGTTTTAGTTCCCATAATCCCCACATGTCGCAGGAAGGACCCAGTGGGAGGTAACTGAATCATGGGGGCCGTCTTCCCCATGTTATTCTTGTGATAGTAAGTTCTCACAACATTTGATGGTTTTATAAGGGGCTTCCCCCTTTGCTCTGTTGTCATTATTCTCCTTCCTGCTGCCATGTGAAGAAGGATGTTTTTGCTTCCTTTTCCACCATGATTGCAAGTTTCCTGAGGCCTCCCCAGCCCTGCAGAACTGTGAGTTAATTAAACCACTTTCCTTTATAAATTACCCAGTCTCAGGCAGTTCTTTATAGCAGCATGAGAATGAATGAATACACTGGGGCTACAGAGGCAGCATTTGTCTTTGCTTTGTTCAACAATTTTACAAATGCCTTGGATAAAGATATAGGAAGTTTTTTTTGTTTTTTTTTGTTTTGTTTTTTTACTGGAAGCTTTAGAATGGAATACTTGCAAAGCATTCGCAGTCTGGGTGATAATTTCTGTCAGGGATATCCTTGTCAAAGAAGGTATTTCTATCCTGAGTAGGAGGTTGGCTATATAATTTCCAAAATCTTTTCCATATTTAAAATGTCATGATTCTGTGAAGTATTATCATTCCAGGATGTGCTGGAGATAACTGTATCATCCCAGAATGTTCTATATAGCACAAATTACAGAATATATCACTGACAAAGAATAAGAGAGTTAAATGTATCACCTTCTCTACTTGGGGCTTTTCAAAGAATACAAAAGAAAAAGGACAAAAATAAAGACTGCAACATCATGTGACAATAGATCTTCAAGAGATATGTAGGAGGTAGACTCCTCCAAAGTTCATGCATTTCAGGTGGTAACATTTGGATTATTTAACTATTACCTATCAAACACAATATGCTTAAACTATTTAACTATATAAAAATCCAGTTGTAACATTGTTTCTTTCTTCGCTTTTTAGAATGTTTTAAGAACTTTCGAAGTTTTTTTGTTGTTGTTGTTATTGTTTTTGCCACCTTCATAGCTGATCTCTGTCTACTGCATCACCTTAAATACCAAAAAGCTAAATGGAGCTTTTATATGGTCAAATTCATAACCTCTGTGTTTTTAAAATCCTTTTAAATGATAATGAATCTGCATTGCTGTAGAGTTTAATGTCATTTTCTGACTTCAGTGCAGACAGAGGGTTCTCTCCCTGTCAGATATGATTTGGAAAGGACATCAGAGGCCAAGGAACATTGTTGGCTTGGATAAGTTCCACAGATGAAAAGGCTTAATTGAGGGGACTGGCTAAATTTTGGTAGGCAGCATATGAGTGAAGTGCTGTTTCCAAATGGTATTTGAATAATTGTATCCAAATAAGAAGCTTTTCAGGTTTGACTTTTGTGACCTTTTAAGTAGTAAATTGTCACACATTTCAACTGAGCTAATGTTTCACCAGATTGATTCATTTGAGACTTCTGATTACAGTTGAATGATTAAAGTACAAAGTTATTAAGAAGTAGTTGCTACATCTTCTCAGTTCTTTCATTAGAAAAACTATTCCATCAGACCCTTTCTTTCTGTTCCTACTGCCATGACTCCCATTCAGACCCTTATTACCTTATGTGTACTTTATTATGATGATTTCACAATGAGTCTTCAGCTCTGCAATTTCTCTTCTCTCCAATCTATTCAATATGAACTATCAATTTTTTAAAAGCACTGTATTGATCACAAATAACTGTCCTCTGTAAAAACCTTCCATGGGTCCCCATTGTTTATAAAATAAAACCCAAACTACTCAGCATGTGTTTAAACACCTAAGCCAACCTATCCTTGCCAAAAATTCCATTTCTATCAAATAAATTATTAATTGAAACTGTCTTAAGATCCTGCCCCTAAGCATTAATGACAGAATGGTTCTCCCCTGGAGCATTGCCTTATAACCATTTGCAAGGTTCTTCTCCTCCAGATTTCCCAGGCTCTTCAGATGGAAGGGATCTGTATGTTGGTAGTCTTAATGCTGTTATTATATGAACAACTCATGATCATGCAGTTACTCTTCTATTATCTTGTGACACCTCTTCTATTATTATATTTGAACTTTATGTTTATTATTTCTTACCATATTCTTATGTGTTTGTCTGTTAGAGGGAAGAAAATACCTAAATATAGTTTCAATTATATCTAGTGTAGAGTCTACAATGATCTTCTTGGCCCCATTTCCTTGTAAACTTCAAATAACTACAGTTGAAATTCATATACCGCCACTTGAAATATCTTTGTTCTCACCCTATCTTTAAACTTCAATTTGGTGATAATAATATGGTTTTTAGTGTGGGAGAAGCTAGAGGCCAAAATCACTAGTTTAATATTATCAACTTATATAGAAGTTTATCTTCCTACTTGTGCAATTATTTTCTAATAACCGTATTATTCTCCTATTTCAGAAGGCCAGGCTCACATCCCACTAAGAATCATTGTTCATTGCTCTATTTTCCTCACTGATAGTTTTCTATCTCTATCTCCATCTATTGGTAACTTCTGGCCTCTTTCAAAACTGACTGGCCCACTTTAACAAGCCTGCCTAATTTTGCCAGATCCTCCACATACTGGCCAGTCCTGCTTTTGCCAAGCACTTATTCTAACAGTGTCTTTCATATAATAAATGTTCCATAAACATGAGGCGATTTCATCTGATAGTGGGTTTCGATATTATTCTATCAGGCCTGCCAATCTCCTTGAATGATAAACAACACATGCATCTATACATGTACAATCTGATCTCTACTGTTGTTCTTCTGTGATTTAAAGCTGACAGCCAAAAATTAAGCACAGTTTTTGGCCAAATTGCCTAAATACTAAAAGGTAATTATTCTTTTTCCAGGATAATTTCCTGTTCTCCTTTTTCTGTTACTTTCTCCTTAAGAATCTTTCTCCTGCCTCTCTCCAACCATTTTCAACCTGATTCCCCTACTTTTATCAACAAGAACACAAAGACTTCAGTGGGAAAAAACATTGGTTTAAAAGCCATGTTTTGTATTATATGTTTTATAATTTCGAATTGTAAAGGACACTGATTGTGAAATTTAATAGCCTTGTATGTTATAATCAGAAGGGAGCTATTCTTCCTGATTGTAAATAATGTATTTTGCAAGTGACCTCCAGTCTTTCAGTTCATGAGAGTCATTCAGTGCTCTGACACTGCTCTGTCATTGAAAGTATTAAGGAAATAGGTTACTTATTTCTGGGAAGAGATGTTATGGAAGAAATACTAGAACAAACAATGGTTAAACTAGGTCACTTACTTGCCCTGAATGCACATCGGAATCACTTGAGAATGTTTTTTAAATGTCTTAGCACCTTAAATTCCACCTTAGTAATTTATGGAGATGGCACGTGTGTGTGTGTGTGTGTGTGTGTACATACGTGCGTGCACATCTTAGTGGATTCAAATGCGAACCCAGAGTTGAGAATCAGTTTAGTGATATTTAAGTTCAATTTTAGTCTCAAACTTGCTCATTTTATAATTTCATAATTAAAACTATCTGTAAGTACGAATATTCCATTCTAATGTGTCTGTAAATTCTATTAAAATCCCATCATTAGCACTTAAAATTAAGGTGGCCATTAAAACCAAAATAGCGATATTGTCTAGCCAGTCCCCTCAGTACAGTAAGAACCACAGGATAGAAAGCATTTTTTTTTTCAATTTTAGTGTACTAGAGAAAGTCTTTTTTTTTTTTTCAAAGCAAGCTTCTATTGCTACTGAAAAGCTTATTCAGAATTTGGATTTGGCAGGTATTATTATTTCTTAGCATTAGGGGTTTCATATCCTTTTTGGTCTTTGAAAGTATTAGCAGAGAAAAGCACTTCAATTGGATAAGCATTCACTGAGCTTCTAGTTGTCCAGGACTTTACAAAGTCTGATATAAATACGGAGAAGTATTTGACCCATTTACATTCTCAAGAAATTTGTTAGGCAGAGTGAAAAGCCAAAATTTACATTCACAAGGCAATTATTGAACTATATGAAAACATCATATGATTAAATAGAACCTAATGCCAGAATGTGTGTGCATATGTATATAAAATGACTCATCAGGAAGAGAAGACACCAAAATTCAAAGGAACTATGGACAGTCTAAAGTATAAGAGAATCAGATGAAAAGAAATGGGATCTAAACAGTAAGATGGGTAGAGAGAAACTAGGAGATTGGGAAGAAGAAAAAAGAAACAAAAGGAAAGGAATGGTCAAATGTTAAACTACTGGTTTCTCTTTTGTGAATTGCCCCACATCAGCAAAACATCTGGAAGAATATCATGCTCTGACATACTAATATAACTGGACCTAACTATTTCAACTTCTGCCCTGGTTTAAATCATTGATGAATTTAGGCATAACCCCAAAATAAAGTGTCCAAGATTATAGTCCTTACATTTTTCATCCATCCATTTTCATAATATTTCCCACTGTATTTGTTACTATTCTGATAGAGTGGAAAAGATCAATCAGGATTCTCACATTCCAACCTCGGATTCACCTATTGAGTGGCCTGGGAAAATTATTTCTTTGGTCCTCTGTTTCCTCATCTGCAGAATGGGTATAATAATGCCATTGCTTGAAAGGAAATGATACATCTGGTTATGTCTAGGTAATACCTGTGTTGTGAGAATTTTGACGGTATATATTATGTAATCAGCACTATGCCTAGCACATTGTAAACACTGACTAAGTGGTAGCTCTTATTACTGTTTTCATAATTATTTGGTTCATAGACATATTGTTTCTGAATAAACAGAAGCAGCCTTGTAAATTGAACCTATGGACTTATTGAACAATAGGAAGAGTTCAAAATTTGCATGCCTTTGGAAGCAGGTATCTCATAGTCATCTTTATGTCACTGCTCAGGATTTTAAAGTTATGTGAAATAGGTCCATCATGCAAAATGTTCTAAGTAGAAAGTCACTTTCTTCTGTGAGGCTAAGAGAACTGCGCTGTGCACTCCAGGTATTTTTTCCATTCATTTGCTCAAAGATAAGCAGCAATCTATTACACTCTTGTAGGGCTGCCTTCAGACACTATTTCTGACCACCACTTGTGGGAATGGTTTATGAGATGTCAGTGTGTGTGAGAAGAGATAGCATAGTTTGTCATGGGAAGATAGGCCATATTCTGCTACAAACTGATGGCTTTGTCTTTTATCACTGTTACAGGCTTATTTAACAAGCTGTGACTCTGGGGTTCATCACAAAGAAAACTGTCATCCCCAGACACGTGGCCTGAACATCCTTTCATCTTCCATGCCAGTAGGATCTGTCATGTGACATCAAGCAGACCAGAAACTCCAGATGGACCATGCGGCTGCAACTGTGTAACAAGGAAGGTTTATACTGGCATAGATCCAGGCTTTGCACCTTTGATTAGATTACACGGATGGGAAAAACATATGTAAGCTTTTAAGTTGTGCACACTGATAATATGTCACAAATATCACCTTAAAGGAAATGGTACAACTCATTGGGTTTAGGTGATAATTATTTATCATGGTGTTATTCTGAGTAACAGATAAATCAATTAAGATTGATTTGCTCCACCTTCCCACCGATCTTAATGAACTGTTTTCATCGCTATGTATTAATAATATGTAATTTTTGAAGCAATTGTATAGCTTTAATTATTAATGATGTCTCAAAATTTTTAAGAGATTAATACCTTGGTTTTGTGTGTGTGTGTGTGTGTGTGTGTAGCAATTCTGTAAATATTGCTTCTTCTACTCAAAATATCAATTAGGAAATAATATATCCAGAAATCTAAGCAGAAAATTCTTGAACATTTCTAGAAGAGTTCCGTTGCTGAGAGTTGAGGGATTTTCATAATTTACAACCTTTTCACCACAGTCTGTAGGACATATGTTAGCATTGGAAGCTGGGCCCTATCCTGCTGAGTTCAGCACATTGCCTGACCCTGGGACATAGCATCATGCTGTAGCTCTGACTTGGCAGATCAGATTAAACTACTTCAGGGACATTAAAGTATAAATATTTCATAGTGCCCTCATGGGACTGAATTTAAACTAAAACACTTAAAAGTCTCAGTTGTTTGGTCTTGCTGATGATTTCTACATTTTTCTTCTCTTTAAATTTTCACATTTTGCAAAGTTATCTTTTATGGAGTTTAGTTTTGACTGTTTGCTACTGTTGTTTTTTATAAATTCTAGAATGTTTAAAGCTGGAATCTTGGCTGCAAAAAATGAAATCTAAAGGCAAAGAAATCTATTGGTTAGCAGGTATCTCTTACAAAAGGACAAGATTAATAAACTGAAGGAGAGCTTTTATTAGAAAGTGAGAATGTGCACAAGAAGCACAGAACAGAGAGTGAACTCAGGGACATTGTGCACACTGGACACTGCACAAAACTGCCAGCTGGGCTTCTAAGGAAAGACTCAAATTCAGCCAGTGTTCAGATCACTGAGCAGTGTGCCCACGAGAGTGTATCTGCCCAAAGGGAATGCCACATCTGAAACATTGTCATGACCAAGGCTAACTGCATCCCTTTCATCAAGATAAATTCTCTTTGTGCACAAAGATTCCAGATAAATTAGCAGTGAGTGCCCTAAGGTAAATTGAAGGTAGACATTTAACAAACAAAACATCTGCTTACATAAAATAATTGCCCCCAAATATCCCCAGAACTATAGAAAAGAGAATTTCAAATTTGATAGGAAATCAACTATAAATATTGCTTTAAGTATTTAAACATATAATAGACTTTCTAAATTTCTGAATTTCTTCTTAGAATTTTAAGTTTTCTTGGGAAATCTATATAATGGATATGACTAGGTTTTACCTTTTAGTATTCCCTTACCTCAAATACATGGGAAGTATTTTACCTAAAGAGATACAAATATTTATTGTAACAAATATATCTATCTAGGTAAATTGTAATTTATCTTGAAGAAAGGGATGTAATTATTCTTGGTCATGACAATGCTTCAGATGTGGCATTCCCTGTCTTTGTCAAATTTGTTTTTCAACCTTTGGATAACAAAAGTTTTTCAAATATGGTGGTGAAGGTATTCTTACTACTTAACAAAGACAATATGTACAGAAGAATACTTTGGGAGAATTTTTGGTAATACTCTAGAGTTGGTTAGTGGCCTCTTTGTTATCTTGGGCAAATAATTTAACTCTTTTATGCCAAATTCAATGAGAATAGGTGAAGCATTGGGACATTTTCTCCCTCACCAGCTACGCATGTAGTACATTAACTTTCTTTTTTAAAAAAATAATTTGTAGGTTAAAATTGATATTCAATAATGAGATTTTAAAAAATAGTGTGCATATAAAAACTTCTATTTGTTAAATACAATATGCAATCGAAATAGAAAATTTATGAACCAGAAGAGCTTAATTTTCTATAGTATCTTGATTCTACATGACTTTAAGGGAAAAAAATTATATAGAATACAAAGGGAAAGCTTTGAGTCATCTATATAGGTTTCTGATAAGGGAATCAGTCTATCCCTTATCCAAAATGCTTAGATAAGAAGTGTTTCAGATTTTGGATTTTATCAAGTTTTGAAATGTTTTCACATATCTAATGAGATGTCTTAGGGATAAGGCCCAAGTCTAAACACAACATTTATTTAGTTTTCATATGCAACTTGTACAAATAACCTGAAGGAAATTTGATATAATATTTATAATAATTTTTGCGCAAAACAAAGTTGTGACTTAGTTTTGATTATGACCCATCACATGAGGTCAGATGTGAAATTTTCCACTTGTGAGGGCAAATTTCAGATTTTGGGTCATTTTAGAATTAAATTTTCAGATTATGGTTGCTCAGCCTGTGTATACATAGGACGCCTATATTTGACATTCACATGTAATTAATTGTATGGCCAATTGAGGTCAGTTAATTTAATGGAAAAAGATGTTTGATTCTTTCATTTAATTGACCAAAATAAAATATTTAAATTTAAACTGAACAGCAAATATCATATATTAAGTTCTTCACCACCTATGCATGTGGTATAGTCACACAGTTGTGAATATATTACTTAGAATATACATGTTCTTGCATCTTCAGGATCACCTAGCAAGATGTGAGCCAGTCTCATACAAAATCTATTCCATTCAGAATATCCATTAAAATGAGTAATCATATTTGACATAAATAGCTTCCACTCTGGTTTACCATCAGACTACAAACAAATAGTGTAAATAATATATGAAACAATGATGCAAATCACCAAGAAGATGTAGCTCCCAATGAGAAATAGGGATTCCCTAGTTTCTTATAAGGATGCCTCCCAAGTTTTGTAATCAGTATGGTTTATGTAGAATGAAGATCTTGGCAGATCCAAAGAACTAGCTCATTAGTTTCTGTAATTCAGGCTGGATGAAGGCCATGCCAATACACAAAAGTTTACCTACTACATTTAAAGCAAGTCCTTCCTGTGCGGCATGAGTTTCCCTTCTTATGGTGTCACTGAGCCAACAGAAGCTCTGGCTGTGAGCTCCTACCCAGAGCTTGTCACCAATTAGATGTTCCCTAAATTTTTGTTAAATTGACTCATCAGAATTTAGATAACTCATCACTTCGGGCATCACTTGGGGAGGATCAGGCTGATCTACTAGACTCCCATGATTACAGCAAACCTTGATACTGTGGTTACTCTAATAGGAAGCAAGCAACTTGAAAATAACAAATGAAATGTTTTATTGTAATATGGAATAATCTCCTTATTTCTCCTTTGCTTTCCACAGTCCATCCCAAGACTGTAGCTAAAAGAGTATTACCTTGCTCATACTTGTCAGGCTTTAAATAGAAGTACTACTTTATATTCCTTGAAATTAGATGTCATATTGGTTTTATTTCCAAAGACTAAGTTGTGACATCTTTGGTGGCCAGTTTTTCATTTTCCTCCTTCAATTCAAGTCACTAGAAAGTAAACCAGATAACAGCAAAAAACCCCACAAACTGCTGGAGAGCTATCTTGGAAACCTTTTGTTAACATCAGATATTCCTAGTTGGGTGTGCCAACAGCATTGTTTATAGGGTGACTATTTGTGTTTTACAGAGAGATTAGGCAAGATTTAGCAGCTCACCAGTGTAAATCCATCATACTGACTACATTAAGACCCAAGAAATAAATGTAATATATTTCTTTCATATAGCCAACAAGTTCTCCAGCCATTTAACAGGACATCAGTTTTAATAAAATATTAGCCATGCTAGCAAAACCAAATGTAATTTGTGGTGGCTTATTAAAACTAAAATCCCTAGCATGTTAATATCACAGCTAAAATCACTAACCTGAAATAATATGATTCAAAGAGATTTGGATGTCCACCACTCTTCTCTGAATCCCAATGATATGTAGCTTCTATAACTGAAATAAAACAAGGAAGAGTCACCACAGTTGTTCAGGAGCAGCTCAATAACACAATTAGTGCAGCTTTGTTTTTGAATATTATATAATAAGTTGGAGAGGCTAAGTGATATTTTCCATAGACTTCAGCATTTGTTCAATAACTTACGAAAATTCTATTTGGTCTCACTAAGTGAAATAGAAGAAAAATATTTTTACCTTCAAATTTTAGCTTTGTTTACCCTTTCAATTGTCAAGATCAAGTCTGTATTTCTGGCTCCCATTTCAAATTACTCAAGTTTATATCTACTATAAAGAAACAATAGCCCATTTGTATATGAAGCACCTTTTTGCAGGCTGTTGTACATGGGCACGTTAGATCTGCTTTCCCAGCACAATAGCATTTTGAATATTTTACAGCTATTCCTGAGGTGAGTTCATTCACTGACATCTGTCTCAAAACAGTAAGCATTTTGTATTCACCTTGTCTGTGTGTTCTAAACTCACACATCTTTTATTTTTCCTTGAGGGAGATCATAAATGCAAAGATGTATAATTAGCCACCCCGTCTACCTGTTTTGTGGCAGTCATTCTTGTATGCGGCATTTTATTTGTAAAGAGCTTTAATGTGAACATTAACAACAATTTATGAAGCACTCCACTCAAAAACAGAATCTGGGATGGAGTACATAATGATAAACAAAAACGGAACATGTGCCTGCAGACAGCTGTGAGTGACACACACACACACACACACACACACACACACCCTAAACTGGGAAATCTTCCTAGAAAAAGGTCAAGCAATAGTGAAGGGAAAGATGTGGTGAGAAGCGGGGGTGAAGCGAATAAAGAGGCAAAACAGATTTTAAATCCCCCACAATAGTGTACAGTAGTAAAAGGAAATTTGCTTGCCTCGGTTGCTTAGAAAAATATGTACAAAATGAAATTTAAGTTAATAGTGTTCTATGTCAGTCTTATACTATCAAATATTTCTAATGTACCTAACTGGGTTTAAACAAGCCAATTTCATGAGTTTTGCCCTCAGGAGAATTACAACACCCCACTCAGCAATAGATGGAGTGGGAAGGTTGCTAGATTAGAAATCAGAAGCCTCAGATTCTAGTTTCAGGTTGAACGCTGACTAATTATGTGACTTCAGATATGTTCTTTAACCAAACTGTGTTTAGTTTCCTTCATCAAGCAGGAAGAAAATGTTTTGAGATTAAAATCATGTGAAAAGTATTTAAAATATATGAAATATAGCAAAAACTACAAATTACAAATGTAAATATATAAAGCTATTTACAGGATATGTAGAATGTACAATTCCTTAAGTTAGAATTTTCATCATATCTTTGTGTGTGTTTGTGTATATAATATAATTAAAGTGTATGTAGGTCTTGCAATATTTACAATAGTTATAATTTAATATGGGTACAAACTGAATGTATTTTAACTGTGGAGTAATCATAAGAGAGGATAAGTGCATTCCATTGCTATTTAATGTATCATTTAAGTCTATGATATACATTCTGAACAAGTTTTCTTTTTAATTTCATAAAATAGAGTTAGAATAGAAAAACCAAGCAAAATAATTTATCTTTTGTTTCTCACACAAAAGGTCAATGAAATTCAAGTTTAAGAGCAATATCAGTGAAGCAATAAGGTTATTAGTAAGTAAAAAGTAAGTACAAGTAACGAATAGTTGAAATAAAAAGAGAAAATTTATCACAAATAATTAGATCACATAGGATGAAAGCTCTTTTCTAGTCACACACGGGCAAAAACTGTGCCTTTTCAATTAAGTAAAGTTTTCCATCAGAGCAATAAAAACTCATTTTAAAAAATAGCAAAAAAAGTTAAAAACCTGATTTCACAAATCCTTATCTAACAAATCAGCATGTGGGTAAGGTGGCAGATTATGTATGCTTATTTTTGTGTGTTGGTGTACATATATGCATATATATAAGGTAGAATCATGGTGACAATCTATGAGCAAAAAGAAAATAAAAATTTTTCTTTCTTCTATATTCCTCTGTACTCAAAAACGACAGGTGTAGGGGAAGCAATGCAAAAGAAAATAGATTCAAACTATTTGTATGGCAGTTTATGACTGAGTTCTAATTCTAAGGTGAATGATAATGATGGCTAGATGTCTAGTAAGTATAACATTGTCTGTAACAATATGGCTATAACACATTTAGTGTCAAAGTCATTATTTTTTATCGATGAGATAAAACACTTCCTAGAGGTGGGTAGGCCTGTGGTAACATACTGTGTATCCATGTTGATCAAATTTGCCATCTGGAACAGCTTATATAATCAAATAATGCTTTTGACACTGGGAAGGAAGGAAAGAAGGAAGAAAGGGAGGAAGGAAGGAAGGAAGGGAGGGAGGGAGGGAGAGAGGGAGGGAAATGGAATCAAGGGAGGGTGGGAGGGAAGGAGAATTAAAAACAGTATGTTGTACATTTTTAAAAGAGTTTCTGGTAATTTATGGCTAATTATAGTAAGTGAACAAATATTTTAATGTCAGCTCAGAGATTCATGACCTCATTAAGACCCTTAGTGATCCTAAATTATGTTTTCTGATACAATCAATTTACTATAGTAAAATCTAAGTCATCTAGCTACTTTTATGCTTGGCTTCTATCAAGCAGAGACAAATATAAGAAAAAAATGAGTCCCAGAAGCCTAATATTAAAAACAATTCTCTAAATATTTCCTTTGGGCCAGTAAATATTCATTTCAGTGAGTTCTACCTCATTATTCATTCTTCATGAGAATGTAGATCCCTGAAGCATTTTAGGAATCTGTGTTAGCAAGGAAAGTCTCAGGTTGCTTTGCTTCTTAAGACAGAAAAATGTACAAGAACATATTTACAACAATTTGGAGATTTTTTTTTTGCAAAGTCAAGGCCAAGAAAAAAAATCCAAGTGAAACAGAACAGCTCAATTCTGCAGCATGTCAGTCAATCAAATTTTTATTAAGCCTAAGAGATATAACATCCTCTAGGAAAGGACCCCGTCTGTACCCTTTGACATATATAATGTGGTTTCACGTTTTAAAGCATTCACTATTATTTTAGTATTACAATATTTTATTTATAGTTTCAATACCATAAACAGAATTTGTTCTGAATCAAAAACTTCTTAAGAATAATTTCACTCTATGTGGACAGCTATTTCATGAATCTCCTAAGCTATAATGGGAATATTTAATATTCTACTTTAATAATAATGATTAATTTACCTGATTAAGGCGTACTATTTTTCAGATATCAAGAATAATATTCTTTAAGTTTGGTCTCAATACTTGAATGCTGTGAAGTCACACAGGCAGCGTGTTGCATACTTTAGAGACAAAGAATTCACTTCTCTTTCGCTACAAAATCCCATCCTACTGCTGGTTGCTAGTGTGTTTTGGTGGTTGTGTCTTGTTTTCCCCTCCACTTCTGACTTGCTGCTCTTTAAGTTTGGGTTGCCAGAAGAGACAGGTGGTGCATGAAGGTTACTTAAAACAGTGCCAATTTTAGCTCTGCAGCAAACATGGGTCAAATCAAGTGGAAACTGATGTTAGGATGGGAGAGAAGTTGAGAGTTAGAAATGGGCATGATCTTTTTCATCCTTTGGATGCATTTTTAACATTTTCTCTTGTTGTGAGTGGATAATCAATGGAGACTTCTGAAATTTAGATTAACAAATTGTATTATGGATATACTGTGTACCAGATACTGCAATACAATATCTCATTTAGTCTTTGTAACATTTCTATGTGGTAGCTAATATTGTATACATTTTACAAATAAGGTATTCAAGGCTTACAGTAGTAAGCTGACCTATCCAAAATTGCATGTAGCTAAAAAACGACAAAGCTCAAGTATAAATAGAACTGTAGTTACATCAGCAGTTGTCAACTAGGGGCAATTCTGCCCTCCAGGGGGGCATTTGCTAATGTACAGAGGAGACATTTTTGGTTTTCACAACTGGGAAAAGGACAATATTGGCATCTGGTTTGTAGAGGCCTGGGATACTACTCAGTATCCTGCAACATACAGGACAAACCCCCAAACAAATAGCTGTTTAGCTCTAAGTTTCCATGGTACTGAGTTTGACAAACTCCAAAACAGAGGTATTTGAACACTAAGCTCAATTTTTTTCTTATCACAACATTACTTTTTCTCTGAGGCTACTAATAATCCATCAAAGCAATAATGTGGAACACAGTTCTTGAGATACTGTGTAAGATACATTAAGAGGGATGACTTGACCTGGGACTCAAAACAGAAACTGCACAATGGAAAAATGTTACGTTATCATTTATGCATTTTTTAAGTGACCAGCCAGCTGTCTTTGGATAGACGGAGTTGAGCAGTTCAGATTCAACCCTTGCTTTCAAGTGAGAAGATAACCCATATGTGTGCATGTATGTATACGTATGTATATATGTATACATATCTAAATATATATATAGAGAGAGATATATAAGAAAAATAACTATATGGGTAACATATGCTGAGTGCATGTGTGGAGTAGGTAATAAATAATAAATGCTAACATTTAATGAATACTTACCATGTGACAAATGTACCTATGAGGTAGATATTACTGTCATCTGCAATTTAGAATTGAAGTTTAGAAAGCTTAAGTAACTTTTCCAAACATCCCATATTAAGATGTAGAACTGATATAAACCCAGGTATCTGGCCCCAGAATTTGTGTTCTTAATGAGTATGTTATACCTACACTGCTACAGATGGCAACAGGAATTCATAGAAATTCTTCTATGAGAAGTCTACACTGACTCAAGATGGCTTGTAGGAAAAGGAGACCTTAATATATTTAGAGGAGTGGGAAGGCACTTCAGAGAAATGAGAAAGGCTAGGAGATAGGTGCTTGTTGCATTTGGGAGACACTAGCTAGAGTGGACACCATGTAGGAACATGGAGACATAACTGCAGAGAAATCAAAGGCATGAGGCACACATTCACACCTTACTCCTACTTCAATGAAAAGTTAAGGTATCCTGGTGTAACCTACATTGTCTTCGTGTCACTATACCTCAAAACTCAAAAGCACAATTAGATAGAAGGAACACAATCTAGTGTTCGGTAGCACAATAGGGGCAAATTTAGCAAACAATAATTTATTATGTATTTCGAATTAACTAGAGGAGTGAAGTTAAAATGTTCCTAACACAAAGAAATGACAAGTGCTTAAGGTGATGGATACCCCAATGACACTGATTAAATCATTACACATTGTATGTCTTCACATGTACCTCTTAAACTTATAAACTATTATATATCCATAATAACTTAGAAATTTGAAAAGCCTTCAACATTTTTCCCATTTACTTCTTCCTTCCTAGCAAGGCTAATCCCTCTATGTGATCCCCCAAAATTCCCCTACATAGGAATCAGATCATAAACATTCCAATCCACCTGGCTCCCTCTTTGCTTCACACTGTTTACCTCCCATCTCCTGCTTCCTCTAAGGTCTTGTTCTGTCAGAATCTGTGTTGAGTTCATTGCAATAAACTCAGAGGCTAGCATAGTGTGCAATATAAAAATATGCTAAAATATGTTTGTCAAAATAACATATTTTTTTTCCGTGAACACCTTTCCTGCTGCCTGCAAACATGTATGGGTCTCCATGTCCAAACAAATTGTTCCTTTGATATAACTACTATCTTAATTTCCTGGACTAAATCACTTTAAGGGCAAGTTTCTACTGCCAGAAAAGAGGTTACAAAAATGTTTGGGTCTTAGAACTTTTAGATTTTAGAATTAGACCAAAGGTCTATAGACTGCAGACATAGTGGTTCCATCATTTAGTAATTGTATATTTGGGCAAGTTTCTCAACCTTTCTGTGCTTTAGTTTTCTCATCTATAAAATGAGGATAATATGAATATATATCTCATAGGCTGATTATAAGGAAAAAATGGTGTTATATGTGAAAGTGCTTCATGCAGAAGAACGATCTGCTCTGTAAGAGCTAAGCTACTACAACTTTTTGTTTCATTTTTAATATTAATAGTCCCCCAAGAAGTAGGGTACCCAAGAAGTAGGGTACCATGCCCATTGAGTTTGGGGTGTCAGGGAAGGAGGTGTAGTTCGAGAAGTCATCCACATCTGTAATTGCAGCTCAGAGTAAGGATATTCAGAGTAAGAATGTTATTTGTCAAGAATTAAGTGCTGGGTGGATGAGAGAGAAAGGTTCAGGCAATTTGAAAAGTCAAAGGCAGAAAAAAAGAGCATAAGGTATTTCCAAATCTTGATAGCATGAATAGTAATGAAGCAAGGAAAAAAAGAGAAGAAAATGAAGATAATATGGCAGAAGAGCAAAACGAGCTGTGAAAGCAAAGCACCACAGTTAAAAACAAGAAAAGGAATTCGTTTTTTTTTTAATATCTTAATAGGACCTCAGTGTGAAGTGTGCTTTGTTTCTTAGTTCTAAAATTTACCCTTTCAAGATCAAATATTTACTAAGCATCTTCTCTGTGCCAATCACATTCTCATTAACCATTTCTTTGACACTTAAGGATCCAGTAAATTAGATACTGTTATCCCTATTTTTAGATATGAGGAACTGAGGCTTTAAAAGTTAAATAAAATAATTAAAATAATTAGTAATTTGTGGGGTTAAGATTCAAACCTAATGGTTAGCTATTTTATATCTAGATATTTGATTACCTCATGTAATGAAGGAAAAATAATTGATATTCCAGGAGAAATAGAAGACTCATATGTCATAATAATTTTATATTTATCCTTCTCCCACTTCCTGCAAAAACTTCTTAAGAGTCATCTACATCTCCTGACTTTATTACTTGCCTGTATTTATCTCTAGTCTGCTCCATTCTAGCTTCCACCAAAAGAACACCTCTGAACTGCTCTTGATCATGTAAAGTAGGTCTTCTGTATGTACATATTCAGTGGATACTATTGCTTCCACATCTTACCCTCTCAACAGTGGTCAAAATCGTTAACTATTTTCTCTTTCAGAAACATTTTCTTCCATTGTGGTGTGTGATGGCATAGTATTCTTGCCTCTCTGTAACTGCCCCCTTCTCATTTTTATGTCTGATTTCAACTCCTTTAGCCAAGCTTTAATTGTCAGAGCTCTTTGGGGCAAAGTTCTAGGACCTCTTTGATTCTCACTCTTGGCTTATTTCCTAGAGATAATGTTACCCACTCCCTTGGCCACTGTTACTCCATTTAACAAATTTCTTTCTCTAGCCTGCTAGTATCTCCATTCAAATGTTCATTCATACATCTTTTAAACTTTCTGTATCCAAGATGGAACTCATTATGTTCCTCCAAAACCTTCTCCTGTTTCTGGTTTTCCAGTCTACTCCAAGTCACCATCTCATCTGTACCACAGCAATAATGTCCTAGCCGATCTCTTTGTTTTTATGATGTTATACCACTGTAGGTTAGAAAGCAACATTTTTCTAAGAGTAATAGGCTTTCTGAATTGAAAACGAAACTGAATTTTTTAAAAGATGAGTAACAATACTTCACTATTTTAAAGCTATTGTCCTGGTGTCCCCCTTTCATCCACAACAAATAAATTTGTAGAACACAAAGAGCTAAAGATAATGCTTTTGACTCTACCTATTTTTTATAATTTTTAGAAGAAAAACACATAGCCTAATCTTTTTATCATTTTATTTATTCAACAAATATTTATTGATTGAACACTATATGCAAGACCTTATGCTAGGTGTTGAGAATTCAATGGTGAACATAGCACATATACTCTCTACTTTTTTGAAGTTTGAAATCTGAATGGTGGAACATTTAACAAACAAATAAAATAATATATAGAATACTATACATTGACTGCTGTAAGGAAACAATAGGATGCTGTGATGTGTTGCATGAGAGATGACAGCTGATTTTTTTTATAATGGTTGGAAAATATATTTGTGAGGAAACGAATGTTCCATAAGAGCCAGTCAGGCAAATAAGGAAGAGTACTGCAAAAAGAGTGTATATGACATGCAATAATCCTGATATGGGAAAAAATAATCTATCTGAAGAACTAAAGATGAGCAATATGGTGAGTTAGGTCAATGTGGTGGATTGAGCTATTAGCTCCAATTTTTCACTCTAATATCTGCATCCTTTGCCATGTAATAATGCATTTTCTTACCTAAAAGAGGAGTGTATCTCCATGCCTTTTGACTTTAGACTCAACGTAACTTTCTTTGATCAATGGAGTATGAATGGAAAAGGCAGTGTGCCAATTCTGAATGATCTTTGCAAACATTGCAAATTTTGTTTGGCTGGTTCCATGGCATGTCTGCCATCTCCATGATAAGGACATGCTGTGCCCAGCCCACTAGTGCAAGAAGGATAAGAGACATATGAAACAGAGCCACCTGGCTGACTGGCAGATCAGCCAACTTTTTTCAGCTTCAAGCAAAACTACCCAGCAATGTCTACCTAGTCCAATCTACCCCCCTTCTATGGACATATGAGAAAGCCCAGCCAAGATTAGCAGAGCCACTTCAGCCAACCCACAGACATGTAAGAAATAATGCTTATTATTGCATGCCACTGAGATTTTATAGTTGTTTATTATGCAGCAATAGCTGTCCAATATGACAAGGTAGGAAAGACAAAATTAGGCCTCATTGAAAATTGCAATATGTTCTGATGAACCAGAAATGAAGATCAAGTTACAATGGCTAGGGAGGTAAAAAAGAAAAAAATAACAATTACATCTAACATCATGGAAGCCAAGACAGAAAAGTAAGTCAGAAAAGAGGAGTGTTCAACTATGGCAATCTAAGTCTAATGAATGAAATAAAAACTGATAAATGCCCACTGGATTTGGAAAACATTTGTGGCTTTGACAAGGTAATTAACTTGAATGGTAGAGAAAAAACTTGGATGGATTGAGATGAAGAGTAAATGGGAACAGAAGTAGAGATTTTATCTATAGACAATTTCCTCAGGAGATATATTTGCTCTCAATCTTAAACAGGACAAATCTTTCTCTCCAACACATAATACGGGAATTAGCTTCCAGTCATGTTACTTGAATTGAAATTCAACAGTACTTTTAGATTTCTTCAGGAGTCTAAGTAGTTTCTTAAGAGAGTGTCATTCACTGCCAAACAAACAATACTAACATGTATGCATATTGTGATTTATTGTTGTGATAATAAATCACAATATAAATACATGTTAATATTGCTAATTCGATTTGTACAACAATGAAGAAAACTTGATATACTTTACTATCTATGTTAAACAAAGTATCTGTTTGATCATTTTTACAATATTATGAATGAAAGAGAAAATCTATCTCAGAAAAAAAAACAGCAAAAGACAAACTAGGATTTTCACAGATTGATAAAACTATATATGGAAGAAACAGTAAACAGTGAAAAACCCTGTAGACAGATGCTTAGATTAGTTTAAAAACAATAGATGTGAGAGGTAGTTTGTAAATAAAGTGATATGATCAAAACAATAACCATACAGACTGCTCTATCAAAGTGAACAGCCACAAATTTAAGAAGAATTTGCATTCTGTATCTAATAGGCTTTTAGCATATAGCACATTCAAAATGAAAAATTAACAGAACAAAATGTCTTGTTTTTATTAGATAATATTTTCTCATTAAAATTCCAAGAACAAGATTGAATACTATTACAAATATATTTTATGTGGGAAAACATATACATTAAGGTGCCAAAGCATACCCAGGCAGTTGGTGACATTTTTTTTTTGCTTTGAATCACAAAACTTTTATATTTCTGCCAAAACAAGGAATCTTTTTAGGATGGCATATCTCCAGTTAGATAGTTATTTTGTCAGCTTGCATGCTAAAAAGGTAGATTTTTACACCTTTGGAAATCAGATGTAAGCTCAAATCTGATACCTAACAGATGAACGATGTTCTCATAATTGAATAAAGAAAATGATCAAACTCCTGCATGCAGCTACCTAAAATATCACATACCCACTAACCAACATACATCAGCACAAAAGCAAGGATGTGATGATGAGAGACTCAAGAGAAAGTGATAGAAGACAAATATTCACAGGGTTGGATTGCAAATACCCTGGGCAGAATAATAATTTGATATCCCTTTTGATTCATATTCTTTATGTATTTTTTCAACATTTATTTAGGGAAGTGAGGATGAGCATCTGTTAGAAATAGTTTACTTGTTTGTTTTTCACCTGGAGGGATGATCTAAAGAAGTGAGAGTGAAACTAGTCTAATAATAACGATCTTTATAAGGAGAGCAATGATAACAAACAGTATTTTCTTCTGTTCTTAGTACCAATGGCTTTGCACTGCTTGAATCTCTCTTCAAGAGAATTTGCTGCAGAGACCATAATTGGCTGAGTTTTCAGTGCACTTTTAATCCACCATTACAGCCACACCGTGGTCATGCTTCCCTTAGGCTGCTTACAGCAATGACTGACAATGGCAGAACTACCACAGCCAGCCATTTTTGACTGACATGGAACTCCTCCAGGAAAACCTTTTCTGAAGACTCCTCATTATTTTAGCCTAGATTTTCAATTCCAATTCAGTCTGAAGCTCTCCTGATGCACTCCTCTTTTCTTCCCTCACTTCTTTTATAGGTGTCAAGCCTGTACTCAGAAAATAGGAAAAGAAATAATTTGAATTCACATGGAATGGACAAAAATATTCATTTTACAGTTTTGCCCGAGGGTTATATAAACTCTCTGGTTGTCTTTCATAATATAGTTTGAAGAGATCTGTACCTTTTGGACATTCTGTCGAATGTGGCATTTCTTTGCTAATCATTGACATCATCATTTCACTTAGGACATCATGGTGATCAAGAGAGAATGAGCATGAAGAGGTTAGAACATGGGAGGACTTGGTAAGACACATGTATTAAATGAGTAGAGATTAAGCCCTAGGAAAGTTGAGAAATTCAGAGACTTTCCATTTAGTTAAAAATGTTAGAAGATCCATGGTAGAGGGCATGTCAGGTTATTCCCTCCAAAGTAAAAGACCAATTGCTGCATCTTACATCCTCTATCACAGAGAAGGAGGCACAGAATCTGCTAGGCCTCTTCAAGTTCTGGAGTCAACACATTTCAATCCTAGGAATATTGCTCAAACCTCCATACTGTGTGATATGGAAGGCTGCCAGTGTTGAGTGGGGTCTTGAGTAGGAAACGGCAGCACAGAAGGCCCAGATTGTCTCTTGGGCCATAATATCTGGAAGATCCTATAATATTGGAAATATAAGCGATGGGAAAAGATTCAGTGTGGAATTTATGACAAGCCCAAGTTACTAGCAATGCAGACTTCTGAGATGCTGAAGCAAAGCCATGCCATTCACAGTGGATAATGTTGCACTTTTTCAAAAAACAGCTCCTGGCATGTTGCTGGGTCCTTATAAGAGAGGAATGCTTGACCACTGACTCTGTACCAAATGACTGTGTGTCTAGAACTTTGCTTACATGAGATGACCTTTGTTGGACCCATCAAACCACAAAGGTGAACAGGCCCATTAGCAGTCCATCAGAAAATGGAAATGGTACATCAGATTTGAGCTTGAGGAGGATTAGAGCAAGTAAGCTGCATGAGCAGATGGTCCAACCTACATATCACTCACCAAGGTGCACAAGAATCCAACCTCCAGCCCACTCACATGGTCCCATGGAGCAGGGAAAAGCATCTCAAATGGCAAGCTGAGAGACTATGAAGGAGCTCAAGCCTGGTTTACTAACGAGTCAACATGGCATATGGTGCCAGCTTAAAATGAATGGTAGCTGCAGTACTACCACTTTCAGGAATGACCTTGAAAAGCAGTGGGGATGGAGGTAGTCAGCTTGGGCTGCCATAACAAAATACCATAGACTGGGTGGCTTAAACCACAGAAAATGTTAGTATTTATTATTTACTTATTTTCTCTTAGTTCTTTAGGCTGGAAGTCCAAGATCCCTGAAGTAATATGGTTGGGTTCTGATAGGGCCCTGTTCCTAACTGGCAGATGGTCACCTTCTCATTGCACACTCATATAGCCTTTCCTTGGTTTATATGCTTGGAGAGAGAGAGAGAGCGTGCTCTTTCTTTTCCTCCTCTTATAAGGCCAACAATCCTATTGAATTAGGACCTTGCCCTGATGACTTCATTTAACTTAAGTTACCTCCTAAAAGCCCTATCTCCAAATACAGTCACATTGAAGTTTAGGGCTTCAACATATGAATTTGCAGAGGGAGAGGCCACAATTCAGTCCATAGCAGGTGATAAGGAGAAATACGTGTGGAACCCAGCTGATCCTAATTATAACTGAAATGGACATATGCAGCAACATTGGCTTGGGAAGTTAGGGATGTCTAACTTTAAAAACAATTGATTCTAAAGTAAATAAAATATGAAAATATTATATTAATATCTGATGACATATGACTGTTTTTAGATAGGGTCTTGTTCTGTCACCCAGGCTGGAGTACCATGGAGCTCACTGCAGCTTTGAACTCTTGGGCTCAGGTGATCTTCCCATCTCAGTCTCCCAAGTAGCAAGGACTACAGGTACTGCACCACCACTCCTGGCTAATTTACTGTTATTGTTACTATTATTACTAGAGAGAGGGTTTCACTATGTTGCCCAGGTTGGTCTTGAACTCCTGGCCTAACATAACCTCCTGTGTTGGCCTTCAAAAGTGCAAAGATTACAGGCATGAGTCACTATTTATGGTCTGGAATATGATTTTTTAGGGTTACACCTACTGGGAATATATTCATACCCCATTACCTACCAAGTTACAGTATTGTTATACTACCATTTTAAGTTAGATTTGCAATAAATGTCTTATTTATGTATTTATTGAACTGAATTAAACTTAGTAGAGATTCAATGGTGGACCTTCATCTTGTCCGCTGCTGAGAAATTAGAACTCCAGTACCTCAGAGGTTCCATTTATTTTTTTTTCGGGGTTAGGTAAAATGCCATACTTTTCTAGAGAATGGGCGTAGTAAACAAAAAAAAAAATCATCAGTCTACAAATCACCTTTAATATGTTGTACTTGTAGTTGTTTCCTCATAGCCTTAAGCTGATGACCCCAGATGTCCCTCAGGCATCACACAGTGAACATATACATTTGAAGATTACGATCTATTTCTGGAGACAGAGGTTCCTGCAAAGGGGGATGTTGGGAATATAGCATGGTGAATCATGCTGTATCACAAAGCCAAACAACAAAATCCATCCAATTATAGGTCTCCTCACAGGTCTTCAGTACTTATCTAAAACACAAGGGCATTTCCTGCTCACTGGAGTTTGGGCAGTATTGATTTTTTTCTTCTAAAATGTTTACTGATTTAGAAATTTTCACAGTATAAAGCATTAATGTGAGAGTTGACTATGTCTTGTCTCTAAAATTCTTAAAAGCCACAACTATTAAAAATATGATATACTTGTCATAGCAAAGGATGATGGGGAAACTCAAAGATATTTTGAGTAAAACAAATTACAAAAGTTCAATTTCCTTCAGAGGAATAAATAGCCATTACAGTTTATGCAAAGCATACAAGGTTTACATTTACTCAAATTGTGCTTTGAGAGGGAAGAAATCTGTTATAGATAGAAAGCTATCAATTTCTAAATTCATAACATTAGCCCTTGTGAATATTAAGCAAATCATCAGAAATTCTGAACTTATTCTGAGAGAAGAACAGCATTATGTAGCAGAAGCAAGTGGTCCACAAATTAAAGTTTGCAAGAATATCTTATTTATTTATTTTCTTTAACCTAGTTAAAGTCAGTGCAGGTCAGTGAAGAACCCTCATTTAGTTGTCCTGCTGGGAAACTTCAATTATTTTTGGTGTCTCCTTTACTGCAGAGAGTAATATAAAATACCACAGGTCTCATACAGCACATTTGGGGGCAGCCTCTCTGGTTTTCTACTCATGCCAGTTATCCTGGGGATGCCCATTTGTTCTGGCCAGCAGCATCTCTTGAAGTCCTTACAATCCACTGTTCCAGTAGAAAGCATGCAGGTGAACATTAGTCCTTTCTGCCTTGAATGGAATGGCAAATAATAAAGAAATTTCACCTATTGTGGCCCCAATGTGTGGTGGCAAAAAAGACAGACATGTGAACAATGTAGAAAGATGAGGCACCCGTGTGTCTTGCTTTCTGTCTGTAAAGGTGGGAAATGAAAGGTGTGAAAAACAGAATAGGAGAAACACCATCAAATGAGAGCAGGACTACAAATCATTGACACTAAACCAGGAAGAAGATGAATCTCTGAATAGACCAATAACAGGCTCTGAAATTGAGGCAATAATTAATAGCTTACAAACCAAAAAAAGTCCAGGACCAGATGGATTCGCAGCCGAATTCTACCAGAGGTAAAAGGAGGAGCTGGTACCATTCCTTCTGAAACTATTCCAATCAATAGAAAAAGAGGGAATCCTCCCTAACTCATTTTATGAGGCCAGCATCATCCTGATACCAAAGCCTGGCAGAGACACAACAAAAAAAGAAAATTTTAGACCAATATCCCTGATGAACATCGATGCCAAAATCCTCAATAAAATACTGGCAAACCGAATCCAGCAACACATCAAAAAGCTTATCCACCATGATCAAGTGGGTTTCATCCCTGAGATGCAAGGCTGGTTCAACATATGCAAATCAATAAACGTAATCCAGCATACAAACAGAACCAATGACAAAAACCACATGATTATCTCCATAGATGCAGAAAAGGCCTTTGACAAAATTCAACAACCCTTCATTCTAAAAACTCTCAATAAATTAGGTATCGATGGGACATATCTCAAAATAATAAGAGCTATTTATGACAAACCCACAGCCAATATCATACTGAATGGGCAAAAACTGGAAGCATTCCCTTTGAAAACTGGCACAAGACAGGGATGCCCTCTCTCACCACTCCTATTCAACATAGTGTTGGAAGTTCTGGCCAGAGCAATCAGGCAGGAGAAGGAAATAAAGGGTATTCAATTAGGAAAAGAGGAAGTCAAATTGTCCCTGTTTGCAGATGACATGATTGTATATCTAGAAAACACCATCTTCTCAGCCCAAAATCTCCTTAAGCTGATAAGCAACTTCAGCAAAGTCTCAGGATACAAAATCAATGTGCAAAAATCACAAGCATTCTTATACACCAGTAACAGACAAACAGAGAGCCAAATCATGAGTGAACTCCCATTCACAACTGCTTCAAAGAGAATAAAATACCTAGGAATCCAACTTACAAGGGATGTGAAGGACCTCTTCAAGGAGAACTACAAACCACTGCTCAATGAAATAAAAGAGGATACAAACAAATGGAAGAACATTCCATGCTCATGGGTAGGAAGAAACAATATTGTGAAAATGGCCATACTGCCCAAGGTAATTTATAGATTCAGTGCCATCCCCATCAAGCTACCAATGACTTTCTTCACAGAATTGGAAAAAAACTACTTTAAAGTTCATATGGAACCAAAAAACAGCCCACATTGCCAAGTCAATCCTAAGCCAAAAGAACAAAGCTGGAGGCATCACACTACCTGACTTCAAACTATACTACAAGGCTACAGTAACCAAAACAGCATGGTACTGGTACCAAAACAGAGATATAGATCAATGGAACAGAACAGAGCCCTCAGAAATAATGCCGCATATCTACAACTATCTGATCTTTGACAAACCTGACAAAAACAAGAAATGGGGAAAGGATTCCCTATTTAATAAATGGTGCTGGGAAAACTGGCTAGCCATATGTAGAAAGCTGAAACTGGATCCCTTCCTTACACCTTATACAAAAATTAATTCAAGATGGGTTAAAGACTTAAATGTTAGACTTAAAACCATAAAAACCCTAGAAGAAAATCTAGGCAATACCATTCAGGACATAGGTATGGTCAAGTACTTCATGTCTAAAACACCAAAAGCAATGGCAACAGAAGCCAAAATTGACAAATGGGATCTAATTAAACTAAAGAGTTTCTGCACAGCAAAAGAAATTACCATCAGAGTGAGCAGGCAACCTACAGAATGGGAGAAAATTTTTGCGATCTACTCATCTGACAAAGGGCTAATATCCAGAATCTACAATGAACTCAAACAAATTTACAAGAAAAAAACAACCCCATCAACAAGTGGGCCAAGGATATGAACAGACACTTCTCAAAAGGAGACATCTATGCAGCCAAAAGACACATGAAAACATGCTCATCATCACTGGCCATCAGAGAAATGCAAATCAAAACCACAATGAGATACCATCTCACACCACTTAGAATGGCAATCATTAAAAAGTCAGGAAACAACAGGTGCTGGAGAGGATATGGAGAAATAGGAACACCTTTACACTGTTGGTGGGACTATAAACTAGTTCAAGCATTGTGGAAGACAGTGTGGCAATTCCTCAGGGATGTAGAACTAGAAATACCATTTGACCCAGCCATCCCATTACTGGGTATATACCCAAAGGATTCTAAATCATGCTGCTATAAAGACACATGCACACGTATGTTTATTGCGGCACTATTCACAATAGCAAAGACTCGGAACCAACCCAAATGTCCAACAATGATAGACTGGATTAAGAAAATGTGGCACATATACACCATGGAATACTATTCAGCCATAAAAAATGATGAGTTCATGTCCTTTGTAGGGACATGGGTGAAGCTGGAAACCATCATTCTCAGCAAACTATCGCAAGGACAAAAAACCAAACACCGCATGTTCTCACTCATAGGTTGGAATTGAACAATGAGAACACATGGACACAGGAAGGGGAACATCACACACTGGGGCCTGTTGTGGGTTGGGGGGAGGGGGGAGGGATAGCATTAGGAGATATACCTAATGGTAAATGACGAGTTAATGGGTGCAGCACACCAACATGGCACATGTATACATATGTAACAAACCTGCACGTTGTGCACATGTACCCTAAAACTTAAAGTATAATAATAATAAAAAAAGAAATCATTGACACTAGTGAGTGGCCTATTTTCCTGGGAAAGCTGTGAACTAAACATAGTCCAACACAGTCGCATCTATTATGATGTGGCAGTATTGCACAGCACTGCCACAAGGAAATGCCTAGAAAAATCTTTTGAGCTGTTTCTGGGTTCCAAGCCCTGTGTGAAGCATGAGGAATTCAGGTGGTCCTGTGTGCCTTCGTTGAAGAGCCACAGAGAAACTAAGAAAGTTGGTGAGACTGCAGAGGCCTGGATGAGGACAAAGCAGCCACCAAGTGTGAGGACTTTCTGACCAAGGACGAGTGGTCCTTAGAAGACTTCAGTGGCTGAATAGGGCCAACCTCACCTCAGCAATCACCAGTCCAGAGAGCAGCCCAGACTAACCATACCACAGCATTTGCCACGGAACATCCAAAGGCACAAAGTGAATTAAAGGCCCAGCCCTCGTTCTCCATTTTCTTCAGATACAACATCATATAACCCCTAGTTTTCATTTTATCTAAAATCTACCTAGGAAAGCAGTAGGGAGAAAAAAGGAAAAATCTTCAAGATATGTTTTGACCTGAAACAAAATAGACTAAAATATCAAATTGAATTGCATTTACCAGACTGAACTACATTTATGTAGAATTTTTTTCTGGACTGGATGGATGTATATGTAATGTGGTGATGAAATGCTCTTAAGGAAGGTTAAATAAATTAGCGGAAATGAGCAAGGTATTTTTCTGGGCACATCAGACTATAAAGTATAAATTTGTGATCTTGTCAACAATAACATGAAACTCTAGGATGAAACAATGACCTTGAGTGACCAATATAAGGCCAACTTAGGAATATATAATTTGTTTGTTTGTGACGCCTTCTCCTCTCTTGACAATCCCTTATTAAAGAGAATGCTTTACATCCTTCTTTTAATGTAATTTGTGCTAATCGGGAGCATTTCCAGTAATGGATAAAAATGTCACCCATTCCAGGAGTACTCACATTTACTAGTGAACATCTTAGATGTGGAATGCCTGTAAGCCAGAGAAATGAATGTTCAATTTAATGAAAGAAACTATGAGCACTTGGTTAGCAACAGTAAAAATTACTGACACTTATAGAGCGTTCGGTGTGTTCATGAACTGAACTAAAAGCTTCACATCATTGTTTTTGATAGGTTTATGAGTTTATAACAGCAAGGTTGGATTAAGATATTTGGAGTAGAAGATCATCCTGTTATATTCAATTCATACCACTTGGTGGTGATGAACTGCAATGCAGTCGTCTGTGCCTTAGGTAGCCTTATTTGTGCCAAGTTTGCATAAGGGACCAGTTTGTGGTTATGTGCTATGCTCTCCAGCCACCTGGTTACCTAAAGGGCAAAGAAAAATGGGTGTGATGAAAGCCTTTGTCAAGTATAAATTCAAATATTTCTTCCAATTCTTTCAACCTTCATTAAGGAAAAAAGATGTGGGACAGTTAAGGAGATAATTTGATTCAGGCTATTGCGATAGAGAAAATGTTCATTAATAAAGAACAAAGAGTCAGGTAAACAAGAAAATAATTATCAAGTCTGATGGGAGTACTGAAGAACAGAGATTGCTCAAATCTGAGTCATTGAAGAAAGGTGGGGGTTAAGGAGAGTGTTTTTTTTTGTTTGTTTGTATTTTGTTTTTTGTTTTGGAATATGAGAGAGAAAGAATGTCCTTTGTGGTTAGGTTAGCCATTTCTTGAAACAAAGTAGTGAGGAGATTTCAGAAAAGAAAATGGTAGGAGGATTTCTTAACTGTCTTAACAGTCTTCTAGAAGTGCATGGCTCACATAAAGATTAACATCGTCACTTCCTGCATACTAATGAAACAAAGCTATGGGGAAAAATAATATTATAACACGGTATACATTTATAGCAATTTCCCTAATGTTCTTGAAATCTTGATTAATCTGCTTGAGCAACAGTACATTCTGTCATTAACAGGATTTTTGTCTTTCTAGCAGAATATGAAAGAAATTCAAATGGCATTTATGACACACAGAATTCGTATTGTCATAGAGCATTTGTCGATTTTAAGAGTAAACTAAAAGTATAGTAAAAGAGCATAGTATAATATAAATAAGAACAAGGATCTAAAAGAGAATGGAGACTCAAATTTGAGGAAAGATAAATTAAAATTAAAAGGAAGAAATAAAGGTGGAGAATGGGGCAAACCCATTGCCAAAAATGGGTTTCCCTTTATTTAGTTCTATACTCCATTGTATTAAGTAATCTTCATTGAACCATTTGCAACTTCATTCCTAAATGTGCAAAAAAAAAAAGAAAAGAAAAAAGAATATGTATCAGTATACTTTCTGAAGAGTGAAAAGGAAAACACATTGCATCTTAATCCTCTTTTTAAATTTAAAAAAATTGCAAACCACCTGCCTTATTGTATAGACACTTTGTCAACTGACATCGTTGTCACTTTTCAAATTTTTAGTGCAGGATTTCTTACAAATGATATTCTGGCTCTCTTCCTAATTACACAAATGCAAGCACCTGCCCTTATACTGAGGCTAATTAGCAATTAGCAAAACAATTAAATTAGTTTGGCTTCCCTACTGTGTTCATAAAATTCTTCAAAGACAGCAAAAATGTTTAATTACTGACAGTAAGCCAATACTGTGTATCTTCCTAGAGGTGATGATCCACAATGACTCTATTGCTTAAGAAAGCATAATAGAACGAGGAGACCTCACATCTCACTGCACCTTTCCTGTCTTGTCTCCTTTCCAACCTTTTCTAAATGAAGTCTTAAACTCAAGTCTGACATTCATTTATTCCACTTTTTTTCTTCTCCCTAAAATTGTCCATACCTGTTCAGCCTGTAATAGTAACTTATTTTTTTTCTTTATTAGCATAAAGCATAATGCTTTGAATGAACAATGCAAACTTGGGCAAATTAGAGAAACTTTTCAAGATTCATTTTGCCTGTTTATAAATTGGGGAAATAGTAATTACTGCACATGGTTATTGTGAGAATAAGTAAAGTAACATACAAAAGATGACTAAGAGTGATAATATGTGGACATGCAGCAATGTCATTTTCCTTGACTTGTCCTTTCTTCCTTCTGTTTCTTTCTTTTTGAGATACCATAAGTTTTAAGAGCCAGTCTTAAAAGAATCCTAAAATTGTGTGTATCTTCTACATCGTCAAGAATTATAACGGTTGAAGTTATATTTCATTGTTTCTGCACTGATGATTGACCATCAATCAGTGCCATGATTATCACCACTCTCTGCCATAACTGCCAATGTCAATGTCAAAGTCATCACCACTACTATTCTTTGAAAGCCCACTACCAGGGACTTGAAGATTCCCAAGGTTATTTAAGATGCTTTATCTGTATCATATATTGTATTTTTATGCCATGCTTGTTCATCTCTTATTCTACTTGTTGCTCCTTATCATTTTCTGAAAATTCCACTTTCATAGCAGTAAAAGGCAGAGAGATCAATTGAGGCTGTAAGTTGCTACAGTTTCTACCCACCTATGCCAACTCACAAATGCTAAGAATGAACTTCAGTCTTCCACACTGTGGTCCTTTGTATATATTGAGTATAACATGGCTTTATTTAGACAGTGTATTTATACTGATTGCTGCCATAACAGTGAGAGAAATTATGACTGGTACAATGCCCAACACATCCTGCAGTACTGATATATTATTATTTACCACTCTTGTCCTTTTGCATCCAGTGATTTCCCCCTAGTTTTTCTCATTATAAGAGCATTAGCATTTTCCCCAGTGGGCTTGCTTTCACCCTGTATGTTTCAATGCAAATGTCGCTCCTCAGAAACACCTTCCCTAAATCCTTTATAGTCTCCCCCAATTTTTCTTCTTCTCACCTCCTTGTTTGTTTCCTACATAACACTTATCATAATCTGTATTTGTCTTGCTTGTTTGTTATGCATTTGTTCACTCATTTAATTGATTATGGTTTTTCTTCTAAATTGGGGTTTATGCTCCATGTGGGCAGAAACTTTTTTTAGTGTCCCCCCAAAATTAGAGCCTAGGGAAACAAGGACTGGGAAGTAAGTAGTTATGTGAGACATGATAGCAAGCACAAATGAGAGAGTGGGATAAGTGAGACAGGGAAGAGGGCAAAGCCAATTAGTATATCTGTTAATGAGGAAGTTCCAGATTGGTCAGTTGGGGCTCAATTACCCTGATGAACTTTTGAGAAACAGAATGTAGAAAGTACTGTCAGTTCTGCTATAATAGTGCATATGTGTTTCTAAAAACAATTACTGCTATACAATATCATCCAGTAGAAACCACAAGGCTTGTGGGAGAAATGGAGTTGGAGTACAACACTAAAAACTGGTATCAGTCACACATAAAAAAGATAAAATCCTTAAAAACGGTAGCATAATTTCACATGTGATAAATGGTTAAGAAATGCATAACATCTATAATAAATACAGTGCTTTATATTGAAGAAGGCTTGACATTTGCATATGGAAGGGCATTTTGGAAGGGTTGTAGTTGATGAGTTATTGCAAAGTGGTGAAAGAAGAGTTAGGCAAAACTGATGGACAGCTGTTAACACCAGAGTTGGCTGAGTGTGACTCATAACACGTGAAGTGCCCTGAGGTCACTGGTAGATGTTGAGGTGTGTGCAGATAAGCATTTTGGTGTTTTTATGTGGCTTAGGCCAACTATATGCTGTTTTCTCTATTTATCTAAATCAGAGATGATCAATCTTTTCCTTAAACGATCAGATAGTAAATATTTTCAGTATTGTGCGACATATGGACTCTGTCACAGAAAAGAGCCAAAGAAAAAAAAAATGGATGTGTCTGTGCTCCAATAAAACCTTCTTTATAAGGCAGTGAGCCAGAGTTTCCCAACCCCTAAGTTAATGTTTTTTATGGAAGAAATCATGCATAATCAAACACAAAATTTGGGTCATATTTAATTTTTTTCTTAATATCTCTATTATGTTGAAACTAATGCATCTCTTCAAAACAAACATTATAGCAGAACTCACTGTACCTCAGAATTTCCTGAGTGAGGGCATTTGTCCTGAGAATGCTGAATTTGCAACACTGCTGGACTTCCCATTGTGTGAGACAAACAGCTTCATGAGTCCTGAAGAAAGCCTAAAGTTTAGACTGGGAAGCAAAAGTACTTGAGTGGAAAGCTGTCAGCCTGCAGAGAAATTGGCCTCCACTGTCACTGACAGAGGATATAAGGGATGTGGCATCACCAGCATCTGCTCCACTTGTTTGTCTTATTTTTTGCTGTATCTTCAGTTCCTGGAATGCATTAGGCACTTGAAACAAATGCACCTGTACAAAGAGGCCCACTCTCCAAGGCAACCAGGAATGAAATTAGCCTGGTCCATTCTTAGTTGAGACTTTTATCTCACTTGATCAGACGTAGTACTAGCCCCCAGAATGCTTCATTTTCATGGTTACAATATTGCAGAGTCTTTATAGTTTTTTCCACTATCTCTTGGTCTTTGTATATGTTACCAAGACTTCTTTTACTCAGACTACCAATTTGGTATACTTTACTTCTAACAACATACATTTTCAAGTGCAATAATCACATGATCATACATTTCCAGCTCTCTAACAAAATACATTCTATACTAATTTTACTTTATTTAGTAAACTTCCCTGCCAAAGGATTTTCCATCTGGTCAACACTAGTGAGCAATGGCTCTGACCTATAAGTGGTAATATGTTTTTCATAGTGAGAGCAACTGATACTCCAAAAGAAATATGGTTATTATTAGAATGTTGCTTAAAAAGTGTTCTTATGGATAGGATTGTATACCTCCAAAATTCATATGTTGAAACTCTAATCCCCAATGTGCCTTTATTTGGAGATAATGACTTTATGGAGGAAAGTTAAATGAAATCATAAGGATGGAACCTGTATTAGTCAGGGCTCTCTAGAGGGACAGATCTAATAGATATATATACAGGAGAGTTTATTAAGTAGTATTAACTCATTACAAGGTCCCACAATAGGCCATGTGCAAGCTGAGGAGCAAAGAAGTAAGTCAAAGTCCCAAAGCTGAAGAACTTGGAGTCCCATCTTAGAGGGCAGGAAGCATCCAGCATGGGAGAAAGATGCAGGCTGGGAGGCTAAGCCAGTCTAGCCTTTTGACATTTTTTTCTGCCTGCTTTATATTCTAGCCATGCTGGAAGCTGATATGATGGTGCCCATCCAGATTAAGGGTGGGTCTGCCTTTCCCAGCCCACTGACTCAAATGTTAATCTCCTTTGGCAACACCCTCGCAGACACACCTGGGATCAATACTTTGTATCCTTCAATCCAAACAAGTTGACACTCAGTATTAACCATCACAGGACCCTAATCTGATAGGACTACTTTCCTTATAAGAACAGGTGAGATACCAGATTTCTCTTTTTCTCTTTTCTTCTCTCTCTCTGTCTCTGTCCCTACCCACCATGCATGCACAGAGGAAAGACCATATAAGGAGACAGACAGAAGGTGGCAGTCTACAAGCCAGGAAGAAAGGCAGTACCAGAAACCAACACTGCTGGCACCTTGATCTTGGACTTGTCCCCAAGACCTGTGAAAAAATATATTTGTATTGTTTAAGCCACCCAAAATATGGTATTGTGTTATGGCAGCCTAAGTGGATGAATACAAATTTTGGTAGAAGAAATGAAGTATTGCTTTAACAAATACCTAATAATGTGGAAGTGGCTTTGGAACTAACTAGGTGATGGCCAGAGCCTGAAAGAGTTTTCAGATGCATGCTAGAAAAATCCTAGATTTTCTCGAAGGGACTGTTGTTAGAATTCTAAATTTTAAAGGGGATTCTAATGAGGGCTAAGGAAGAAAAGAGGAGAGCTGTAGAGAAAGTTATATCATGTTAGAGGACACATATACCATGGCAAACAGAAGGTTTGTAGAAATGTGAATATTAAAGATGCTTTTGGTGCTGTCTCACATGGAAATGAGGAACTTGTTATTGGAAACTGGAGGAAAGGTGATCTGTCTTATAAAGTGATAAAGAACTTGGCTAAGTAATGTTCTAGTGCACTTGTGAGTGATAACACTGGATATTTATCAGAGGAGATTTCTAAGCAAAGTGTTGAAGTTGTGGCCTGGTTTCTCTTACTGCTTATAGTAAAATGTAAGAGGAGAGATATAAATTGAAAGAATCGTTAAGTAAAAAGAAACCAGAACTCAAGGATTTGAACATTCTCAGCTTACCCATATTGCAAAACATAACAAAAAGCATTTCCTGGAGAGAACATCAAGGGCAGCCCTGGAAATCACTCCATAGAAAGATTACTTGTGCATTTGATCAGCCATCTTAGCTGAAGCCAGAAATAGAAATGAGATTATACCAACAGAAACACTGCCAGAATAAAAGGGACAGAGAAATGTGATGGAATGAAAGAAAGGTTTCAGAATTCTGAAATTCTACAGGATAAAACAATAGAGCTATCCAATATTATCCTCCAGGAGAAGAGAAGAATGACCTTGAAGGCACTTCAGAGATGTCAGGCCTGCCACTCCCACCATAGGCACAAGGAAGAGGTTGTTTCCTCTTTCATTTCACTGGGCTAAGATGCTACCACCCGGTGCCTCTGGGGCAGGGCCACCCCACGGAGCTGAAAGGCAGGCCAGGATGCAGAGCCAAGGGAAAGAATTGTCACCCAGGGCCATACAAGTGATATTGCTGTCCCAGTGGGCCCTGGGGGCACAGCGTCCAATCAAAGAGGATTATTCTCAAGCTGTAATAGTTAATAAAATTTTTCTTTCTAGGTTTTGAACTTCTTTTGGATCCATTACCCTTTTCTTCCTTTCAATTTCTCCTTTTTAGAGCAGGAATGTCTAAACTATGTCTGTCCCAACATTATATTTTGGAAGCACATATCTTGTCTGGTTTTAAAGGTTCAGAACTGGAAAGGAAATTCGCCTGAGGGTGATTCATTCCTCGAGTCTCACATATTCCTGATTTAAATGATATTTAGACAAGACTTTGGACTTGAAATTGACACTGGAGTGGGTGAAGACTTTGGGGGCTCTTGGGACACAGTGAATGTAGTTTGTATCTGAGAAAAACATAAATTTCAGGGGGCCAGAAGACAGAATGTTATGGGCTAAACTGTGTCTCTCAAATTTATATGTTGAAGTCTTAACCTGTGAATGTGACTGTATTTGGAGATAGGACTTTTAAGGAGGTAGGTAGTGTTACATAAAGTCATAAGGGTGGGACCCTAATCAAATAGGCTGGGTGTTGTTAGAAGAGGAAGGAAAAAACACACCACATCTGTGTGTGTGTGTGTGTGTGTTTATGTGTTTATGTGTGTGTGTATACTTGTGCACACTAAGAAAATGCCATGAGAGGACATAGCAAGAAGACAGCCATCTGCAAGCCAGTAAGGACACAGCCAGAAACCAGCCCTGCTGATACCTTGATCTTTGACTCTAGCAACCTTAATGATGAAAAAACAAATTTCTGTTGTCTAAGCCACCCAGTCTGTGGAATATTGTATAGCAGTCTAAGTAGATTAATGCAGGAGCATTTATCAACAGGGAGAAAAAAACAGCTAATGAAAGATTTCCAAAATAAAAAAACATTCTTCATATTAGGAATTGTCAGTAGCAACTATAAATCCAAGCAAAGTAATTCAATAAACATTTATTAAGCCCTGAATCTGGCAGACTTTGCTGGCTGTTTGATCAATAGTCATTACTATCCCCACCCCCAACCACTTTTGCTTTCTTCCTAGCATAATAGGTCTCCTAGACTGCAAGAGGCAGAATTAGGAAAAAATCATATAAACATTTCAAAATGTTTGTTTGAGTTGATTTTATCATGTAGGTTTTAGCAAGGGACTACACAACAGAGAGAAATTTAACCTAAAGAAGTTTGATCTGAGAGGAGAAAGGATGGAAAATGCAGTGTTGAGAAAGGAGTTTTGTCTGCAATAGGCCTTCTAAGTAGACAAAGCCCCATTGTATCATGCTTTCCAAGGTTTCTAAAACAATTTCTCTATCCTCGATATGTAGCTAGTGCCTTCAGAGAATTAGGATATAAATGATTCTGCAGAAAATATAATTGTTGAGAGTGAGACCTAAGCCTATTATAGGGTCCTTTCATTAGGCATTCTCCACCAAACAATGAACAAATTTGATTAAGAGTGAAATCTGATTAATGGCTATTATTTATTGGATTCAAGGTAGAGTGCATTAAACAAAAGGTTAGATGTGGGGAGAACATCAAATTCAGTGTAGTCAAGATCTCGGTGATAGTTATTAGTCCAGTAAATAAGTATTATAAAAGTCTGCTAGATTTTTGAGGGGACTCTATTGATATAAAGAAACTTAATAACTTGGCAATAACCTACGAATGCTCAATCCTAAGGCCACCAACTTAACTCCAACAGGAAATGGAGTACTGAAGCAGTGGAAACATAGGAAGAACCCATCCTCCTTGTGGTCTTGAAACACAGTAGAGCTCTTCCTTGAAAGCAAAACTATTATCTTCTATTTCAGATAGGAAAGAAGTTGATTCCACCATCAGACAGTCAAGGACTCTTAGTTATTTCTATTTAGCACTAAATACATGCTATGGAGAAGAGACTGCTGCATTTCCTATTCTGCTCTTATTCAAGCAGGTATCTTACTTATGAGAACTGTATTTCTGTTACTCCATTTTATATTATGTGTTTTGGAGGTAGATAATACCAGACAAAAAGGTGCCTCCTCCAACTGAGAACACTGTGCTGGCCATAACTGCATGTTTTTGTTTCAGGATTTGGCCTCTTGTACTTTCCTTGTGTTTTTGTCTATCAGGAAAAAATTTAAAAAACATTTTATTATACACTAGCATCAAGTCTGTTACTTAATAAAAATGAATTGCTCTTTTTGGTAGGGAGATCCTTTTTCTAAAATTGTGGTTTACATAGCATAAAAATTAACTATGTTAAAGTACACAATTTCATGGCATTTAGTACATTTGCAATGCTGTGAAATCATCAGCACTATCTAGTTCCAAAACATTCTTATCACCCCAAAAGGAAACCCCACACCTATTATACCACCATGCCCCATTACCTCCTTCCCCATGCTCTGGCAACTACTAATCTACTTTCTGTTTCTATGGATAGGACTATTCAGAATATATCAGAATTTCCCTTTGTTGGGTTATTTCCCCCTAAAATCCATGCAGAAAAGGAAACAAGGTGTTTAATAAAATAGTAAAAATAAAGACAATTTTTAGAACCAAGACTTATTGACCAATGCAAAATAATCAGATTCATTATATGTTTTACATCAAAACTATCCAATATATAAAACTAAACAGATTTTGTATGGTATTAGTTTTTCTCTTCCTAGCCAATATCATTGTTAAAGTATTTTTAGGAAATTTCTCATATTCAAGTCCATACTTGGTCTCATTTTTCTTTGTGTAAAGAGAGATAATTATAAATAGAAATTGACAAGATATCCTTTACCTAGGGCCAGAGACAGCCACTGAGCTATTTGATTCTGTCTAATGACCAGCCAATACTGAATAATCCAAAAGTTCCCACTGAAAGAAAAAAACTATCAGATCTTTTAAAAGATTCTGTAGTTCGAAAAAGAGTGACTTATTTAAAGACACAGAAATGTATATTCATTAAAACAGCTACTTTAAAAAAAGAATAAGAAAACATATTAGAAACATAATATTTGTGTTCTCAGTAAGGTTCAAAAGAGACTATTTGAGTTACAAATGAGTAGTAATAAATATGGGGTTATTTGACCTTATGGGGAATTTTAAGTGAATTTAAAACATAATTGTTATATTTTTTAAAATTGAGACTGTGAATGCTGCAGAAAATCAAATTGCTAAGGAAATCGAGCTAAAGGAATTTCCTCAAATTCAAAGGGATAAAAAGAAAAAAAATTAAAAATAAACGGACAAAATGAGAACCTTAACTTAGATTCAGGATAATGTGACCTACCAAAATAGAAATTTCAAAGAGAATCCAGAAGAAATAATAGCATGAAACCCTTTTATCTAAAATAAATTTAGTCTAAAAATTGAGAGTTGAAGCTCTTTGAAGCAAAGTTAATAAAAAGATAATCATATGTATGCTGGTGAATTTTGGAAGATTAAAGATGGGCAGTATTGTGAGCACCTCTGCCTGGAAACTTACAGTCCACCCGCTTTGCTACTGCCAATATTCCTGGCCTTTCCCATCCCTTAGCTCTCAATTTCCATCATGTTACCTTGCAGAGCCTTATGTGGCAACTTTGAAGTCGCTTCTGATATTTTCTATCATAGCACAATGTTTGTTATAATTAGAACATTTTTTGTAAGTTTCATTTATATACTTATTTGTTTTTTTGTACTGACTTCTTCACTAATCTTTTCCCACTAAACTGTGTATGCTCAGGATCATGTCTACTTTGCTTTAGCATATTGCCTAATACTGTGCTCAGTTAACTATTTGTAAAACAATACATTTATTAAATTAAATAAGAAGGAAAACAGGTTTATATTTGTGGATTAAATTAACAAAAGAAGGGAAAACAGTATTAGGCAAAAAATGACACTCAGGTCTTCCATAAGAATGAGGAAGAAGTTATTAGTTTATTACTTATTTTTATGATTTTATGATAATCATAGTAATAATTATAATTTCTATCAACTGAATGTTGCTTATAGTGTGCCAAGGAGTGCACATATATACTAATTTAATTCTCACAGCCAATCGATGGGTAATGTTATAATTCCTGCTTTGCAGGTAAGCAAACTGAGAAACAGAGAGGTTAGGAAACTTGCCTAAAGTCACACATTGGGAGGTATTGAAACAAGGGTTTTATCTTAGTCTTCATATATCATAGTATAATGTTGGTTCACAAATATCATGGAAAAGGTCTAAAGAAAGCATTTATGTAATTAAAAAGCACATGACTAACTGAAATAACTTCAGAAGTTAATAAGAAAACAAAAATAAGCCACATAGAAAAGGAGGATGAAAACATAAAATGGGAGAGACACATGGCAAAATTAAATACTACAGTTTTAAACAATGGATTTTGTTCTTCAATTCATTCAATGACTGTTAGTGAGTACCTAGTATATGCTAGGTAATATTCTAGATTCTGAGTGTAGAGATGTTAATAAAACACCAAAAAACTATTAGAACTAATAAATTCCTGTAAAGTTAAAGGATACGGAATCAACATACAAAAGTCAGTTGCATTTCTATACACTAACAATGAGCTATTCAAAAAAACTGATAATCTCATTTACGATAGCATCAAAAAACAAACAAAACAGAAATAAATCCAGAAGGTGAAATATCTGTACACTGAGAACTATGAAAAACTGAGGAAAGAAATTAAAGACACAAATAAATAGACAGATTCTCACATTCACAGATTGGAAGAATTAATAAATGATCTACAGATTCAATTCAGTCCCTATCAAAATTTCAATGACTGTTTTTCAGAAAAAAATAATTCTAGAGTTCATATGAAACCACAAAATCACTGAATAGCTAAAGCAACCTCGAGCAAAAAGAACAAAGCTGGAGGTATCACACTTCCTGATTTCAAAAAATATTACAAACCTATACTAATCAAAATAGCATGGTACTGCCATAAAAGCAGACACATAGACCAATGAAACAAAATAGAGAGTTCAGAAATAAATCCACGCATATATGGTTAACTAATTATCAACAAAGATGCCAAAAATACACAACAGGACAATAATAGACTCTTCAATAAATGGTGTTGGGAAAACTGGATATCCACATGCAAAAATAAAAATAAAAATTAGGCCGGGCACAGTGGCTCATGGTTGTAATCCCAGCACTTTGGGAGGCCAAGGCAGGTGGATCACAAGGTCAGGAGTTCAAGACCAGCCTGGCCAATACAGTGAAACCCTGTCTCTACTAAAAATACAAAAATCAGCTAGGTGTGGTGGTGGGCACCTGTAATCCCAGCTACTAGGGAGGCTGAGGCAGGAGAATCACTTGAACCCAGGAGGCAGAGGTTGCAGTGAGCCAAGATCATGCCACTGCACTCCAGCCTGGGCAACAGAGCAAGACTCCATCTCAAAAAAAAAAATTAAATTGGACTCTTAAGTCAGATATAAAAGTAAACTAAAAATGTATTAAAGACTTAATCTTAAGACCGGAACTGTAAAACTGCCAGAAGAAGAATATACAAGATAAACTCTTTGACATTGGTCTTGGCTATGATTTTTGGGGTTTCATAACAAAAGCAGAGACAAGAAAAGTAAAAATAAACAAGTGGGGCTTCATCAAACTAAAACATTTTTGCACAGAAAAGAGAAATAACAATAAAAAAGGCAGCCTATGTAATGAGAGTAAATATTTTAATTATATATCTGATAAGGGTTAATACCCAAAATACATAAAGAACTCAACTCAATAGCAAAATGAGTAACCCAATTAAAAAATGAGTAAAGGACCAACATAAACAGTTTTCCAAAATAGACATACAAGTGGCCAATGCGTAAATAAAAAGATGCTCAATGAGACTAATCACCAGGGAAATCCAAACCAAAACCACAGTAAAATATCACTTCACATGTTAGGATGGTTATCATCAGAAAGTGGAAAGATAATAAGTGTTGCCAAGGATGTGGAGAAATTGGAACCCTTGAACACTGTTGGTGGGAATGCAAATTGGTACATCCTTTGTGGAAAACAGTATGGAAGTTCTCCCAAAATTAAAAATAGAACCACCATATGATTGAGGAATCTCACTTCTGGGTATGTACCTAAAGGAAATAAAATCACTGTTTCCAAATAATATTTGCACTTCCGTGTTCATTGCAGTGTTATTTACAGTAGCCAAGATACGAAAACAACCTAAATGTTCACTGACAGAAGAATGGATGAAGAAAATGTGATATATAGACACAATGGAATATTATTAAGCCTTAAAGAAGAAAGAAATCCTGCCATTTGGAAAAATATGGATGAACCTTGAAGATTTAATGCTAGATAAGTAACCCTGACACAGAGAGACAAATATTGCATGATCTCACTTATATGTGGAATCTAAAAAAAAAGTTGAACTCATAGCAACAGGGAGTAGAATGGTTGTTACCAAGGGTTGGGAGATAGCAGAATAGGATAGATACTGGCCAAAGGGTACAAAATAAGTACTGGAGACCTAATGTACCCCAAAATAACTATAGTTAATAATCATGTATATAGGCATACCTTATTTTATTTCAATTCATTTTATTGTGCATCACAGAATATTGTAATTTTTGTAAATTGAAGTAATGTCAATCAAGTCTATTGGCACCATTTTTCCAATAGCATGTGCTCACTTTGTGTCTCCATGCCACATTTTGGTAATTCTCACAATACTTTGCATTGTTTTATTATTTTATTTTATCTGCTATGATGATCTGTTATCAGTGATCTTTGATGTTATTATTGTAGTCATTCTGGGGCACCACAAGCTGCATCCATATGAGACAACGAACTTAGTTGATAATGTTGCATGTGCTCTGACTGCCTCACCCACTAGCTGTTCCCTCATCTCTTTCCCTCTCCTCAAGCCTCTCAATTTTCTGAGACAAAACAATATTGAAATTAGGCCAACTAATAACCCTACAAAGGCCTCTAAGTGTTCAAGTGAAAGGAAGACGTCTCTCACACTTTAAATCAAAAGCTCGAAATGATAAAGCTTGGTGAGAAGGCCTGTCAAAAGTGGAGATAGGCCAAAAGTGAGGCCTCTTGCACTAAACAATTAGGCAAGTTGTGAATGCAAAGGAGTTCCTGAAAGGAATTAAAAATGCTACCCCAGTGAACACAGGAATAATATGAGAGCAAAACAGGATTGTTGCTGGTATGGAGAAAGTTTGCATGGTCTGGATAGAAGATCAAACCAGCTATAATATTCCCTTAAGCCAAAGCCTAATCCAAAGCAACCCTACCCTCCTCAATTCTGTGAAGGCTGAGAGAAATAAGGAAGTTGTAGAAGAAAAGATTGAAGTGAGCAAAAGTTATTCATAAAGGTTAAAGGAGGAAGGTGTCTATATAACATAAAAGTGCAGCAAGTGCTTATGTAGAAGCTATAGCAAATTATCCAAAAAATCTAGCTAAGTTCATCGATGAAGGTGGCTACACTGAACAACATATTTTCAATGTAGACAGAACAGCCTTATATTAGAAGAAGATGCCATCTAGGGTTTTAATAGCTAGAGTAAGTCAATGCCTAGCTTAAAAGCTTCAAACAAGATGACAGGCTGATCCACTTGTTGGGGCTAATACAGCTAGTGACTTTAAGTTGAAGCCAGTGCTCATTTACCATTCCAAAAATCATAGGGCCTTTAAAAGTTATGCTAAATCTACTCTGCCTATGCTCTGAAAATAGAAGAGAAAATGGTTGACAGCACATCTGTTAACAGCATGGTTTACTGATTAAGTCAACTGTTGAGATCTACTACCTAGAAAATAATTCCTTTCAAAAATATTACTGCTTATTGGCAATGCACCTAGTCACTCAAGAGCTCTGATGGAGATGTACAGGAGATTAATGCTGTTTTTATGCCTGCTTACACAACGTCATTTCTGCAGCTCATATATAAGAGAGTAATTTTGACTTTGAAGTTTTATTATTTAATAAATACATTTCATAAGACCATAGCTTCCATAAGATAATGATTCCTCTGATAAATATAGGCAAAATAAATTGAAAACTTTCTGGAAAGGGTTCACCATCTAGATGCCATTAAGAATATTCATAATTCATGGGAGGAGGTAAAAATATCAATATTAACAGGAGTTTGGAAGAAGATGGTTCCGGCCCTCTTGGATGACTTTGAGCAGTTAAAGACTTCAGTAGAAGAAATAACTGCAGATGTACTAGAAATAGAAAGAGAGCTAGAATTAGAAGCAAAGCCTGAGGATGCGACTGAATTGCTTCAACCTCATAATAAAACTTGAATGGATGAAGAGTTGCTTCTTATGGATGAGCAAAGAAAATCTTTTCTTGAGATGGACTCTACTCCTGGTGAAGATGCTGTGAACTTGTTGCAATGACAATAAAGAATATGGAATATTACATAAACTTAGCTGATAAAGCCATGATAGAGTTTGAAAGGATTGATTTTGAAACAAATTCTACTGTGGGTAAAATGGTATCAAACAGCAGAAACAGAAATCTTTCATGAGAGGAAATGTCAGTAGACTCAGCAAACTTTTTTTGTTGTCATATTTTAAGGAATTGTCACAGTGATTTCATCCTTCAGCAACAACCATTCTGGTCAATTGGTAGACATCAACATCAAGGGAGGACCCTACATAAGCTGCCAAAAGATAGTGGTTCCTCTATATTATTTCTTAAATGATTAATAAAATTTGCCATTTGGGTTGAAGATTATTTTATTGGAAATTTGTTAATTATAAATCAGTTTCTTTTAAAGATAAAAGTCTATAGGTTTTCTATTTCTTTTTTATTTAGTTTTGGAAGTTTATACCTGTCAAAAGGATTTGTATATTTCATGTAAGTAGCCAAACTTATTGCCATGAAATTGTTCATAACATTGCCTTATTATTATTTAATGGCTGCTGTGATACCCACAATTTTATTCCTATTATTGGTAATTTGTTTTTCTCTCTTATGATGAATCTAGCCAGATATTTATCAAGTTACTGATCATTTCAATAAACCAGATTTTACATTCATTGATTTTCTCTACTTTTTTGGTCTTCAACATCATTTTACATTTGATTGATTTCTATTTGTATAGTTATCTGCTTCCTTCTGCTTACTTTGCATTTCGCTTGAGTTTTTAAAAATTTCTTTAAAGTTTAAATAACTGCTTTGAGACTTTTTTCTTTTCTAAAATGACGATTTAATTTAATGCTATAAAATTATCTGAAAGCAACACAGATAATTTGTGTGATTCAAATTTTGGTATGTGGTATTTTCATTTTCATTACAATTTGCCTTGTGAGCTATTTTTCAACTGTGGGTTTTTTCAAAATATTTTCTTTAATTTCCAAATATTTAGAAAATTTCCAGGTATCTTTATTTTATTTAATTTATTTCTGATTTGTTCAAATTCATACTTTGTATAAATTCAACCTGCAAAGTGCCTTGAGCATCCCAAAAAACTGTTTTCATGACCCTTGTTTTTGACCGGTATGCTTTTGCTTTTACCAAATCACTTCCACTGCTTGTTAGCTGTTGTTTGATTGTGCTTTGTCTTCAGGATTACGCTAGTAAAGCCATATTTCATCTCCTGTTACAATTCTTCTGAGAAATGTTTCAGAATCTTGATCCCACTTGTTTAAAATTTCCATTCAAAGATCTGCTGTTGTCTGCAGCTGATCTGGACACAACAGTTTTGGTACTCATCAAGTGGAAAATTTACTGAACTTTAATTTTTCAGTCAGAATTGTGTTAAGTGGAATCAACTGAGATGTCTGTGGTAATAGGTATTGTTTCTGCTGTTAATCATTGCTCTCTTCAATTAGGGCATAAACAACATTAATTTTTTCATCAAAAATTGATGTGGATGGTCGGCTGCTGTGAGTTTCATCTTCAACATCATCTTGTCCCTTTCTAAAATGAGTTATTCATTTGTAAACTGATGATTTCTTTGTGGCATTATCACCATACATTTTTCATAATGCATCAGTGATGTCACCATCTTCATAAATTTGATGTTTTTTTGGTGTCAATTTTAGCAAAATATGTTGCTCTGACAGGGGCTATTTTCAAGGAGATGTCTTATCCTTTTTAGTGCGTCAAACTAGACCCTATTCAGATACGTTATAACAAGTTTGTATGAGTTTATTTTGATTGAGAAATATGTGAAATGTATGCATAGTGTTTGCATGATATGCATTTTCCATAAACTTTTTGAAGCCCCTCATATGTTCACTCTATCTGTCTATCTATCTACCTATCTATCTATCTTCAAGTTTTCTAGAGCTGTCATAACAAAGTACCACAGACTAGGTGATTTAAAAACAAAAATTTATTTTCTTATAGTTCTGGAGGCTAGAAGTTTATAATCAAGGTATCATCAGGTTTGGTTTCTTCTGAAGCCCCTTTTCCTAGCTTATAGATGGCTGCCTTCTTGCTATGTCTTAAAATGTCTTTCCTCTGTGCATGCACATGTCTGGTGTCCATGTGTCCATATTTCCTCTTCTTATAAGGACACCAGTCAGACTGAATAAGCACCCAACCTAATAGTTTCATTTTGCTTAATAACCTGTTTAAAGACACTAACTCCAAATACAGTCACTTTCGAGGTACTAGGGGTTGGGCCTTCAACATAAGACTATGGGGGAAATAGAACTGATAACATCTCATAACACACTGTCCTCTCTCTCTTTCTCTTATCTCTAGCTATATATTTATGTATATAAAATTTCCAGATATTTATATCTATTTTTGTAATATACATTTTTCTGACTAATTTTATGATATTCTTATTTTTGGTTTTCAACAGTTTGACTAGATATATTATCTCTTTATTTTTGGTTATCAGCATTTTTAATATTTGTATCTAGATATGGTCTTATATGTGCTATTGTGCCTTGTATTTGCTGTGCTTTTTGAAGTTTCTGTTCTTTTCCATACTTTAGAAGTTTTCAGCCCTATAACCTCAAATACTTTTTCTACCCCAGTTTCTTTCTCTGGTCCCTTTGGAAATCCAATTACACATGATAGACCACTTGATTTTCCATTACAGATCAGTGAAGCTCTTTTGTTTTTTGTTTTTTTTGTTGTTTTTATCTCTGTTTTTAAGATTGGATAATTTGTAAACACCACACACAATGATCATTATCTCCAAAAGTCTGTTTATCAATTTTAGTAAATTTATTTTATACACTGTACCTCTAAATTCTTAAATTTCTGGTTTGCTTCTTTTAATTTCTTATTTCTATGATCAGATTCTCCATATAACCAATCATTTTGATAATATTTTCATTTGCATCTTAAATATGTTTTTAAATAGCTGCTATGAAGTCCTTATCTGGAAATTTCAACATATGAGCTATCTTAGAATCCATTTTTATTGACTGGTTTCCTCTTAAATATTAGTTTCTCCCCCGACTTCTTCCTATACCTAGTAACTTTTATTGTATACTGGACAAGGTAGATGGCACTTTGTAGAAACTCTGGATTCTGTTAACTTGCTCTGAAGAGTGATTTTTGTTTTTCAGACAGTTAAAGCATTGGTTGTTAACTATGGACTATGGGGGCTTGACTTTATATTTTATTAGGAGAGATTTGTTTTGGGTTTGTTCTTTGTCCAAGATAAATGCTTTAGTCCTGCTATATCATCTGTATTCTGAAAGTGTTGTCTTCTGGTGTTTCACTGGGAAGAACACAAATTCAAACTTTCATCTTCCTTTGGTGTGAAGAAACTGAGATATTTGCCTAGCTCATTCAGTCTTCTATTTGATGTTTTACACTATTACCATTACAGTCTTCTCCATGCATGCACAGTTTAGGAAATGGTTAATAATTTGAGAATGATTATACACAGATTTGGGGGCTATCCCTTCTGTGTCCTCTTAATTTCCAGAATTTTCACCCTGAATTTCCAGCAGCTGCAATGGTCTCAAACTCTGTCCTGAGACCTCAAGGCACTGAGATGCTCATCAGTTTTCTGCTAGAGTTCTAGTCACCCAGTACTATATGGATTGAAGTGGATTGTAGTAGAAATGTGGAACTCACTTTTAAGTAATGCCTCTTAATTTTATGCCTGTATTTATTTAATCTTGCATGCCTTAAAATATTTATTTTTAAAAACTTTATTCAGAATTTATTTTTCTTGTCCAAGAGAGAATAGGTTATACCAGTAAAAGCTACTCTACCATAACCAAATCAAAACCTCTCAACTTATATTTGTGAGCAAGGAAAAATTACCAACTAAAGAATGATAAGATGACAGGGGAAAATATATATGATAGTGATATGCTGATTTCTTACATGGTATATGTAAAGTGCCTTTCAGTAGGTTCTTGAGTTTCAGCAATCTGGTTTTTTATTTGAACAAATGTTAGGAATATCAGGTAGTTCCAACCAAGTGTAAACTAAGTTGATACAAACAGAAAAAGTAAAAGCAACATAAAATTTGGCTTTATAGCAACATGTTAAAATCTTATTTTTAGATTAAGTCTCACATAAAGTTTGCTAATTCTACTGCTACATGGAATCATTTCAGTTACTGCATCTAAGACTTCAAAGGAAGAATAAATAATACAAAACTTTTAAATGTTTTATCACATTCTGTGAAAAAATAAGATTTTCCTTCTTATGGCTGATAGAATTATTCTATTAATAATAAAATGTCAGGCAGTGATCACTGTGTGCAGCTGCACCAGTAAACCATATAAGGATATGTTTAGAGGATATTCGTGAGAAACTATTGGTGTCCACATATGTCATTTTCTGTTGTTTAAAATTCTCCTGAAACTGAAAAATTCTTGCAAACAGCTTTACCTGTCAGAAAGTAGAGTAATCAGCAGTTCACCTTCACCGACAAGGCTCAATCTCATAAAGCAAAATTTGTACTCATAATTTTAGGACAATTTTCTTTTGCTTTCACAAATAATTTCAAAAAATTAAAATTAAGTCTTCCTTACAGATAGCTGTATGAAAGTTCGTTCTAGCAAAATGTATTAAATAGAAATACAATTATGTTCAAAGAATGAATTAATGAGCATCTCAGTGTAAACACTAAATTTTTCTGCTATGCTCATATTGTGTCCTACTTTTTCTCATTCCTAAGCTTGGGCCTTTGTTCATAAGCTCTCCCCTTCTTATTGGGCTTGTAAATGAAAAGGCTGCCTCTGAAATAAGTAAAAAGTAATTTTATGGAAAAATAATTTTACACAATTAAATGCTTCTTTTAAAGATAAACATTATGTGCACAATTATGGCCTTTTAAGCTGTTATACCTTATTAAGGAAATCTGTATGCATATTTTATTTTTTCAACCTAGCCTTGTTTACCAAGTAGACCAGAAATATGCAATACAAGTTTGAAAAGCATATTACATCTAAGAAAAAATTATTATAATTGATCGGTTATACATAAAATTTTGTTTGAATTTTTTCTTTATCTTAAATGTTTATTCCTGATAGATTTAAATTTTTTAGATATTTTTCTAAAATATTTAGCTATTATTTAAAAGTCATCCTTCCAGCTTCTAACCACTGGTCCAGATATAATACAGTGAAAATACTAATGCTAACTCAAAATGGTACTGGCTAAGACGTTTTCAGGATTGCTCAGTTTGATCAGTTATTTTGGACATTATCTCTCTGTATGGGACTTTGGGAGTCAGAGAACTTTGAGAGGCCAAGGCAGACAGATTGCTTGAGCCCAGGAGTTCAAGACCAGCCTGGGCAACATGGCAAAATCCTGCCTGTACAAACAAATACAAAAGTTAGGTGGGCATGGTGGTGCATGCCTGTAGTTCCAGCTACTCTGGAGGCTGAGATGGTAGAATCACTTGAGCCTGGGAGGTTGAGGTTGCAGTGAGCTGAGATTATGCCACTGCACTCCAGCCTGGGAGACAGAGTGAGACTCTCTCTCTCAAAAAAATTATTATTTTTCTACAATGTACATACATGTGTGCATATTTTTCTAATGTCTTCATCACATGCCCTTATTATCTCCCACCCCCCTTTGTCATCTCTCTCTTCTCTCCACCCACCCTCCATTCTCCCAGCCTATTATTTCAATTTCACAAGTAATTATTTTGCTAGTGGCCTTCTTTATAATTTATCACACTTTCTGAGTAGATTCAATTACTGGCCTTCGATTGCCTTCTAGGCACAAGTCTTCTCTTCAAATTCTGTTTACTGTCAAATATTTCCCCCTTGCCTGTCAATCAGGCGGAATATATTGGACTTCCTGGTATTCCTTTGCACCTACTGGTGTGAAAAACAGAGAGACAAGGCATGCCTCAAGTAAAGAAAAGTGTGTATCATCCAGCTACGGGCTCTTTTTGAGGAATTGTTATGTCAGCTCCTCATCTTCTTTAGTATTTATTTTTTCTTATTGCTCCTTCTTCTGAGATATATTTACAGTTTTCAATAATTTGTATCTTCTTGAACTCTTATTACAATATGTTGCACATAGCATTGTAGTTGTTTTTGTTTCTTGTATCTTGTTATGCATATGAGTGACCAATCATCTAATTCTGTTTTGTACTTTGGGGTAATTAGCACATGAATCATATGTTATCTAAGACACCTAAAAATAATTTTGCTATTTAAATAATATAAATTGCATTAATAAAATTACACAATTGAAAAGTTTGATTGATTATGCTTTAGTTATATTACCTATTTCTGTTACTTGTCTGTCCCATAGCAGCTGTTAATTTTGAGTTGCATTCATATAGTGATTAAATATTTTTCATGTAAATACAACAGGCAAATATGAAATTGTAAAGCTGTAGCTTTCTTGGATTTAGAGGGGTGAAGTTTATGCAATTCATAGTTATTGGGCACAGACAGGTGCATATCATTTGTTATCATCTACTTGCCAAGTGCTGCTTGCCAGAGCCAGAGCCACATCCATTATTTTGTTCAAATCCTGTAAATTTGTTGAAACATTCAAGAGGCTATATGGTGAGGCAATGTCAACAATGGTTAATTTAAAAAACTATTATATGACTAGATGTTTGGCATAGTGGTGAACACTCTAGATTGCAATTAGATTTCAACTCTTGATAACAAGCCAAATCAACTCTGTTGGCATTGCTTCCTGGCTGTGCTATGTTGAATAGGATGTCAAGGGCCTTTTCTGTTTCAAGAGAGAGTGATGGATTAGTGCTCAAGGAACTAGGAGTGACAGCATTTTTTTCTCTACATTTTCCAGCACGGGTGTAGACCAAAGCACTATTGACTTACATAATTTGTTCACTTTATTATTATCATACTTTAGGTTCTGGGATACATGTGCACAACATGCAGGTTTGTTACCCAGGTATACATGTGACAGGTGGTTTGGTGCACCCATCAACCCATCATCTATGTTTTAAGCCCTGCATGCATTAGGTATTTGTCCTAAGGCTATCCCTCCCCTTTCCCCCCATGCCCTGACAGGCCCCGTGTGTGATGTTCCCCTCCCTGTGTCCATGTGTTCTCATTGTTCAACTCCCACTTATGAGTGAGAACATGTAGTGTTTGGTTTTCTGTAACTGTATTAGTTTGCTGAGAATGACAGTTTCTATATACCCAGTAATGGGTATATACCCAAAGGAATTGCCACACTGTCTTCCACAATGGTTGAACTAATTTACACTCCTACCAACAGTGTAAAAGCATTCCTATTTCTCCGCATCCTTGCCAGCATCTGTTTCCAGACTTTTTGATGATTGCCATTCTAACTGGGGTGAGATGGTATCTCATTGTGGTTTTGATTGGCACATCTCTAATGACTGGTGATGATGAGCTTTTTTTCATGTTTGTTGGCCGCATAAATGTCTTCTTTTGAGAAGTATCTGTTCATATCCTTTGTCCACTTTTTAACGGAGTTGGTTTTTTTTCTTGTAAACTGGTTTAAGATCCTTGTAGATACTGGATATTAGCCCGTTGTCAGATGGATAGATTGAAAAAATTTTTGCCCATTCTGTAGGTTGCTTGTTCACTCTGACAATAGTTTCTTTTGCTGTGCAGAAGGTCTTTAGTTTAACTAGATCCCGTTTGTCAATTTTGGCTTTCGTTGCAATTGCTTTTGGTGTTTAAGCGATGAAGTCTTTGCCCATGCCTATGTCCTGAATGGTATTGCCTAGGTTTTCTTCTAGGGTTTTTCTGGTTTCAGGTCTTACATTTAAGTCTTTAATCCATCTTTAGTTAATATTTACGTAAGGTGTAAGGAAGGGGTCCAATTTCAGTTTTCTGCATATGGCTAGCCAGTTTTCCCAGCACAACTTTATTATATAAGGAATCCTTTCCCCATTGCTTGTTTTTGTCAGATTTGTCGAAGATCAGATGGTTGTAGATGTGTGGTGTTATTTCTGAGGCCTCTGTTCTGTTCCATTGGTCTATATATCTCTTTTAGTACCAGTACCATGCTGTTTTGGTTACTGTAGACTTGTAGCATAGTTTAAAGTCAGGTAGCGTGATGCCTCCAGCTTTGTTCTTTTTGCTCAGAATTGTCTTGGCTATATGGGCTCTTTTTGGTTCCATATGAAATTTAAAGTAGTTTTTTCTAATTCTGTGAAGAAAGTCAATGGTAGCTTGAGGGGAATAGCATTGAATCTATAAATTACTTTGGGCAGTATGGCAATTTTCACAATATTGATTTTTCCTATCCATGAGCATAGAATATTTTTCCATTTGTTTGTGTCCTCTCTTATTTTCTTGAGCACTGGTTTGTAGTTCTCCTTGAAGAGGTCCTTCATGTCCCTTGTAAGTCGTATTCCTAGGTATTTTATTCTCTTTGTAGCAATTGTGAATGGGAGTTCACTCATGATTTCACTCTCTATTACTGGTGTATAGGAATGCTTGTGATTTTTGCACATTGATTTTTATCCTGAGATTTTGCTGAAGTTGCTTATCAGCTTAAGGAGATTTGGGGCTGAGACAAAGAGGTTTTCTAAATGTACAATTATGTCATCTACTAACAGAGACAATTTGACTGCCTCTCTTCCTATTTGAATACCCTTTATTTCTTCCTCTTGCCTGATTGCTCTGGCCAGAACTTCCAATACTATGTTGAATAGGAGGGGTGAGAGAGGGCACCCTTGTTTTACACTGGTTTTCCAAGTGAATGCTGCCAGTTTTTGCCCATTTAGTATGATATTGGCTATGGGTTTGTCATAAATAGCTCTTATTATTTTGAGATATGTTCCATCAATACTGAGTGTTTTTAGCATGAAGGGCTGTTGAATTTTATTCAAAAGCCTTTTCTGCATCTATTGAGATAATCATGTGGTTTTATCATTGGTTCTATTTATGTGATGGATTACATTTATTGATTTGCATATGTTGAACCAGCCTTGCATCCCAGGGATGAAGCCGACTTGATCATGGTGAATAAGCTTTTTGATATGCTGCTGGATTTGGTTTGCCAGTATTTTATTGAGGATTTTTGTGTGGATGTTCATCAGGGATATTGGCCTGAAGTTTTCTTTTTTTGTTGTGTCTCTAACAGGTTTTGGTATTAGGATGATGCTGGCCTCAAAAAATGAGTTAGAGAGGAGTCCCTCTTTTTCTACTGTTTGGAATAGTTTCAGAAGGAGTGGTACCAGCTCCTCTTTGTACCTCTGGTAGAATTCAGCTGTGAATGTGTCTGGTCCTGAGCTTTATTTGCTTGGTAGGCTATTAATAACTGCCTCAATTTCAGAACTTGTTATTGGTCTATTCAGGAATTCAAACTCTTCCTGGTTTAGTCTTGGGAGGGTGCATGTGTCCAGGAATTTATCCATTTCTTCTAGATCCTCTAGTTTATTTGTGTAGAGGTGTGTATAGTATTCTCTGATGGTAGTTTGTGTTTCTGTGGGATCAGTGATGATATCCTCTTTACCATTTTTTATTGTGTCTATTTGAGTCTTCTCTCTCTTCTTCTTTATTAATTTGGCTAGTGGTCTATCTATTTTGTTAATCTTTTCAAAAAAACCTGGATTCATTGATTTTTTTGCACTGTTTTTGGTGTCTCTATCTCCTTCGGTTCCGCTCTGATCTTAGTTATTTCTTGTCTTCTGCTAACTTTTGACTTTGTTTGCTCTTGCTTCTCTAGTTCTTTTAATTGTGGTGTTAGGGTGTTGATCTTATATCTTTCCCACTTTCTGATTTGGGAATTTCATGCTATAAATTTCCCTCTAAACACTGCTTTAGCTGTGTCCTAGAGATTCTGGTATGTTGTGTCTTTGTTCTCATTGGTTTCAAAGAACTTTCTGATTTCTGCCTTAATTTTGGTATTTACCCAGTAGTCATTCAGGAGCAGGTTGTTCAGTTTCAATGTAGTTCTGCGGTTTTCAGTGCGTTTCTTAATCCTGAGTTCTAATTTGATTGCACTGTGGTCTAAGAGACTGTTTGTTATGATTTCCATTCTTTTGCATTTGCTGAGGAGTGTTTTGCTTCCAATTATGTGGTCAATTTTAGAATAAGTGCTATGTGGTGCTGAGAATAATGTACATGCTGTTGATTTGGGGTTGAGAGTTCCATAGATGTCAATTAGGTCTGCTTGGTCCAGAGCTGAGTGCAAGTCCTGAACATCCTTGTTAATTTTTGGTCTCATTGATCTGTCTAATATTGACAGGGGTGTTAGGAGCAGGCCCCCCAAAATCTGGCCATAAACTGGCCCCAAAACTGGCCATAAACAAAATTTCTGCAGCACTGTAACATGTTTATAATGGCCCTAATGCCCATGCTGGAAGGTTGTGGGTTTAGGGGAATGAGGGCAAGGAACATCTGGCCCGCCCAGGGCGGGAAACCGCTTAAAGGCATTATTAAGCCATAAACAATAGCATGAGCGATCTGTGCCTTAAGGACACGCTCCTGCTGCAGTTAACTAGCCCAACCTATTCTTTTAATTCGGCCCATCCCTTCGTTTCCCATAAGGAATACTTTTAGTTAATTTAATATCTACAGAAACAATGCTAATGACTGGTTTGCTGTTAATAAATATGTCGGTAAATCTCTGTTTGGGGCTCTCAGCTCTGAAGGCTGTGAAACCCCTGATTTCCCACTTCACACCTCTATATTTCTGTGTGTGTGTGTGTCTTTAATTCCTCTAGCGCTGCTGGGTTAGGGTCTCCCTGACCGAGCTGGTCTCCGCACAGGAGAGTCTTAAAGTTTCCTACTAATACTGTGTGAGAGTCTAAAATCTCTTTGTAGGTCTCTAAGAACTTGCTTTATGAATCTGGGTGCTCCTGTATTGGGTGCATATATATTTAGGATAGTTAGCTCTTCTTGTTGCATTGATCCCTTTACCACTATGTAATGCCCTTCTTTGTGTTTTTTGATCTTTGTTGGTTTAAAGTCTGTTTTAGCAGAGACTAGGATTGCAACTCCTGCTTTATTTGCTTTCTATTTGCTTGGTAAATATTTCTCCATCCCTTTATTTTAAGCCTATGTGTGTATTTGCACGTGAGATGGGTCTCATGAATACAGCACACTGATGGGTTTTGATTCTTTATCCAATTTGCCAGTCTTTGTCTTTTAATTGGGGAATTTAGTCCATTTACATTTAAGGTTCATATTGTTATGTGTGAATTTCATCCTGCCATTATGATGCTTGCTGGTTATTTTGTACATCAGTTGATGCAGTTTCTTCATAGCATTGATGGTCTCTACAATTTGGTATGTTTTTGCAGTGGCTAGTACTGGTTTTTCCTTTCCATATTTAGTGCTTCCTTCAGGAGCTCTTATAAGGCAAGCCTGGTGGTGACAAAATCCTTCAGCATTTGCTTGTATGTAAAGGATTTTATTTCTCCTTCACTTATGAAGCTTAGTTTGGCTGGATATGAAATTCTGGTTTGAAAATTATTTTCTTTAAGAATGTTGAATATTGGCCCCCACTCTTTTCTGGCTTGTAGGGTTTCTGCAGAGAGATCTGCTGTTAGTCTGATGGGCTTCCTTTTGTGGGTATCCTGACCTTTCTCTGTGGCTGCCCTTAATATTTTTTCCTTTGTTTCAACCTTGGAGAACCTGATGATTATGTGTCTTGGGGTTGCTCTTCTTGAGGAGAATCTTAGTGGTGTTTTCTGTATTTCCTGAATTTGGATGTTGGGCTGTCTTGCTAGTTTGGGAAGTTCTCCTGCATAATATCCTGAAGGGTGTTTTCCAACTTGGTTCCATTCTCCCTGTCACTTTCAAGTACACCATTCAATTGTAGGTTTGGTCTTTTCACACAGTACCATATTTCTTGGAGGCTTTGTTCATTCCTTTTCATTCTTTTTTCTCTAATCTTGTCTTCACGCTTTATTTCATTAAATTAATTTTCAATCTCTCATATTCTTTCTTCTGCTTGATAGATTTGGCTATTGATTCTTGTGTATGCTTCAAGAAGTTCTCATGCTGTGTTTTTCACCTCCATCAGGTCATTTATGTGCTTTTCTAAACTGGTTATTCTAGTTAGCAGTTCCTTTAACCTTTTATCAAGGTTCTTAGCTTCCTTGAATGGGGTTAGAACATGCTCCTTTAGCTCAGAGGAGTTTATTATTACCTACCTTCTGAAGCCTCTACTTCTGTCAATTCATCAAACTCATTCTCCGTCCAGTTTTGCACCCTTGCGGGAGAGGAGTTAAAATCATTTGGAGGAGAAGAGGCATTCTGGTTTTTGGAATTTTCAGCATTTTTGTGCTAGTTTTTCCTCATCTTCATGAACTCATCTACCTTTGGTCTTTGATGCTTACGACTTTTGGATGGGGTTTTTGAGTGGGCATCCTTTTTGCTGATGTTGATGTTATTGCTTTCTGTTTGTTAGTTTTCCTTCTAACAGTCAGGCCCCTCTTCTGCACGTCTCCTGGAGTTTGCTGGAGGTCCACTCCAGATGCTGTTTGCCTGGGTATCACCAGCAGAGGCTGCAGAACAGCAAAGATTGCTGCCTATTCCTTCCTCTGGAAGCTTCATCCCAGAGGGGCACCCACCAGATGCCAGCCGGAGCTCTCCTGCATGAGGTGTCTGTCAACCCCTGCTGGGATGTGTCTCTCAGTCATGAGGCACAGGGGCCAGGGACCCACTTGAGGAGGCAGTGTGTCCCTTAGCCGAGCTCTAGTGCTATGCTGGGAGATCCATTGCTCCCTACAGAGCTGGCAGGCAGGAAAGTTTAAGTCTGCTGAAGCTGCGCCCATAGCCACCCCTTCCCCCAGGTGCTCTGTCCCAGGGAGATAGGCGTTTTATCTATAAGCCCCTGACTGGGACTGCTGCCTTTCTTTCAGAGATACCCTGCGCAGTGCAGAAGAATCTAGAGAGGCAGTTGTGCCCCAGCTGCTTTGCTGTGCTGAGATGACTTCCACACAGTTCGAACCTCTTGGCAGCTTCCTTAATACTGTGAAGGAAAAACTGCCTACTTAAGCCTCAGTAATGGCAGATGCCCCTCCCCGCACCAAGCTAGAGCATCCCAGGTCGACTTCAGACTGCTGTGCTGGCAGTGAGAATTTAAAGCCAGTGGTTCTTAGTTTGCTGGGCTCCCTGGGAGTGGGACCCGCTGAATGAGATCACTTGGCTCCCTGGCTTCAGCCCCCTTTCCAGGGCAGTGAATGGTTCTTTCTGGCTGGGGTTCCAGGCACCGCTGGGGTATGAAGGAAAAAAAAAACATCCTGTGTCTAGCTCAATGTCTGCCAAAATAGCCACCCATTTTTGTGCTTGAAACCCAGGACCCTGGTGGCGTAGGCACACAAAGGAATCTCCTGATCTGCAGGTTGCAAACACCGTGGGATAAGCCTCGTATCTGGGCCAACAGCAGAGTCCCTCACAGCTTTCCTTGGCTAGAGGAGGGAGGGCCCCAGCCCCTTGCACTTCCTGGGTGAGGCAACACCCCACCCTGCTTCTGCTTGCCCTCTGTGGGCTGCACCCACTGTCTAACCAGTCCCAGTGAAATGAACTGGGTAGCTCAGTTGGAAATGCAGAAACCACCCACCTTCTGCATTGGTCTCCCTGGGAGCTGCAGACCAGAACTGTTCCTATTCAGTCATCTTGCCTGATCCTCTGTTCAGTGTTTTTATAGTATGATGCTATGAGCTCATGACTATTAGTACACCTCAAAATAAATTATTTTCAAATGGTAAAACCATCTTACAAAGAAAAGACTGGAGTACTCAGATAAAATATATCAAATAGTCATAAATAAAGTAAAAGTTCTTAATGTGTAAAGGAAAGACTGGACTGTCATATATACAAAGAAAGGGTTTTCCAGAAGTGGAAATTAGGAAAAGAGAAAAATTCTGAAAAGTGTTGGCTTGACAGATGAAGCAAATTGATGGTTATTTAGTATTGCTAGACAATGATTAAAGAAGAAATGCTGAAATGTTACAAATTCAAGTTTTAAAAATCAGAAAGACAGAAAGAGATCAGGGTGCCTGTTAAACATTGGGTTGGAAATTATCATCCTTTCTTCCAAACGATTATTAATTCAGCTTCTGTTTGGCTTTTTGAAAGGACAAGAAACTCATTATCTCGTAAGCAAGCCTCTATCCTTGTTACACAGTTTTAATTGTCATTTAAAAAAATTAACAAATATATCTACCAATGAAATTTCTACACATCAGTAGACTTTTGAGAATTAAAGACAAAGGACAGGCTTAAAAATTATGCCTTATCATAAAATATATTTTATTATCTGCTTTTATTGAACAGTGAAACTTTTCTCTGTTTCTAGCTGTATGAAGACATCAATATAAAAATAAAACAAGAAAGGAAATAAGCAATCTAAGACTGTGACTTTCCAGTCTCATTCAGGTTTTAAGTTTGAGGTAAAGATATACATACTTCTTTTAACATTTCTTATTGGTGAAAAACTCCATAATTTTTCCTTCCCTTACTAAGTAAGTATAAGAAAACAAAGGTCAGTGTTCTTGCTAACCAAGCTTTAAGATATAGCTCGTACGTGTATTAAGAGTCTTCAAATCCACAGTGAGGCCTCATTTGTTTGGATGTTTGTACAGCCAATTTAACGTGGCTTCATTATTAAACGCTATGCTGACTGTTCCAAGTGTTTTCTACCTTTCTTGATTGATAATAAAGTGACTTTGTGATGGTGAGTCAAGTGGTGTGCAGAGGTGGATTAGGCTGTGCTTCCCCTCTTTCCTTATCACCTGCTTCCCTCCAGTATTCTCTACATATCTCTTCTTCCCCAGGACATTCCAGAGGTTTTCTTACTTGGATTTCTAAGAAGTTGTCCTCTATAAATAGCCCCGTTCTTTCCTACCCAGGACTGATTAAAAAAAAAAAAGGAAAGAAAAGAAAACTAAAGCGAAAGAATGATAACAAAGGGAAAAATGTACTGCTTTAGATACTGACAGTGAACAGATTACTGCATGGTATTAGATTTGTCTGGTAGACTACTATACTCACCACCTCTACCCTACAGGTTGCTGGCAACTCTGGATCATCAGCCTAGGCTGCCTCCCAAAGAGGTAACGCTCTTGTAACCTTAATGAAGTGAGTGTCTCTGCAGCAGATAGCTTGCTCTCAAGAGAAGAAAGGCAGGGGTAAGCCAAGCATGCCTGGTTGATTGCCTCAAATTTGCCAGTCAGTTAACTTATCTCACTTTTCCAATGACCAAGAGAGGTGAACAGTATGCTGAGCAAAAAATTCTTCCTCATGGAAGCCAGGAAGAGGAACTTAAAATAAATCTCTTAACATGTTCAATGAAAAGAAATGTGGGGCCGGATCTCTCTCTATCCTTTCTGGAAGCTGCAGAGCAGTGTTTACTTCCAAGAACCTGCTTTTCCAAGGGGACTTCAGATATGCTTGAGAAATATTAGTTGATTATCTTTTTAGCCTATTTTAACTAGTTTCTTCTCCAGCTTTTAAATTTCATGTTCTAGGGGCAGGTTCTAGCACCCAAAACTCCACAATAAATGCTGGGCGTGGCCATTGTGTTCTAACATCCATGCCTCTGCAGCTGTTTATTAGTGGTTAATTCTTTCTTTCATTATTTTGTATTAAGTCCAGATGTTAAGATATCTACTTATAAAGAGGTAATTTCTATCATGACTACCTTAGAATCATAGAACCTTAGAGCATAGAGGTTCTTAGTAAACATCTAATCATAGACTCACATTTTTCACATATAGAAAATGAAGTCAAGGCACAAACTCATATGAGGTCACAAAATTAAGATAAAATGCTTTTTAAAAGAAAACAACTATTTTCTGATTATGAAACATAAAATGTATTAAGCAACTCAGATATATATACTTCAGATATGTATCTCTGTATATATGCATATCTCAATATCTCAAGTAAGATTTATAACACTCTACCTCTTCTATGAGGTTTATACCATAATTTTCCTAATTTTATTGATACAGAATTAAAGTTCAAAGAACTTATGAATATGCCCAAGATCACAAACTTACTAATTAGCATATTTCTGATTTGAACTTTTCTGACTTAGAGACCTGTGTTCTTCATAGAAAATTTGGAAACTATAAAACTGTGTGAAAAAGACTGAGACAATACAAAATTCTAAGATCTAGAAATATCTGTCATCAACAATTTGGTTGTTATTATAATATTTTTTCTACTTTATATGGATTTTATATCATTGAAATTGTTGTTTTAGTATATATTTTCTACTCTTTAAATATGATAAAATCTACTCTTTTAAAGTATAAAATTCAGGAGTTTTCAGTATATTCACAAATTTGTGTAACCATCACCATTGCCTAACTCCACAACATTGCATCACCCAAAAGGAGACTGTACCATTAGTAGTCACTCTCCATTGTCCCCCTCTGCCAGCCCCTAGCAACCACTAATCTTTCTATCTCTAGATTTGCCTATTCATTCATATAAAAGGAATCATGCAATAATCAGCCTTTTGTGTCTGGCATCTTTCACTTAGTGAAGTGTTCTCAAGGTTCATCCATGAGGTAACATGTATAGGCAGTTTCCTTCAATGGCTGAATAATAGTCCCTTGTATGGATATACTACATTTGCTTATCAGCTGATGGACATTTGGGTTGTTTCTACTTGTGGTTATTAGGACTAATTCTATTATTAATAACATTCATGTACAAATTTTTGTGTGAATGTATGTTTTCAATTATTTTTTAAAAAGTGGAATTGCTGTGTCATATGGTAAATCTCTGAAGCGCTGCCAAACACTTCTAAATCAGCTGTACCATTTCATATTCATCAGCAATGGATAAGGCTTCCAATTTCTCCACATCCTTGTGAACACTTTTTATTATCCCTATTTTTGATGAAAATATATTTTTATATCTTACTTTTATACTTATTAAATTATGGCATTAAAATCTTTGTAAACAGATTACTTTATAATTATTCAAATTTTAATATTCTTTTATACAATGTTTTAAAATGTTGCTTTACTGTTTACCATTTAGATTTTTATTAATTTGGACTATTCAAGGTAATACCACCAGAAGCATGTTTTACACAAAATGGTGTCTACATTTTTAAGTATCACAGGGATATGTTCTTAAGAATTAGACTGATCAGAAGGGCATAAACATTATACATATTCTTTATAATGTTCCAAAACAGTTCTGAGATTTTTATAAACATCTTTCCAGAAGTATGTAAGAATGAATGTCTTCCAAATTTCTCAGTGCTGAGTAGGAACTTTTATTGAAATGATGAAAGGTATATTTTTATTAGTATTTAAGTTGAACGCTTTCCTCAGCATCTACTGGTCATTCACATTTTATTTTCTGTGAATTTTTTGGTTATCAGTATTGTCTTTATTCTGTTATTATTTATAAATGTATTTGTTGTCATTGATCTCGATGACCTCTTTAAATATTACATGCATATGAACCATTGACATATTGATTGCAAATTTTCATTTGGGTTTTTCTTTTATCTATAATGTGCATTAAAGAGGAATAGATGTGAATTTTATTGAAAGAGCTAATTTATTAGTCGTTGATTTCTTCCATTGCTTAGTGGTTTAGAAGTTCTTTCCACTGTGAGAGGTCAGTTAAATACTTGCCAAAATTTTATTTTACATTGCAATCTATTTATTTATTTTACATTTGTTCTACTACATGCTGGTTTTATTTTGCTATACTGTATGTGTTCAGATCTGTTTGGAATCCTTAACTCTTTCTTCACAGGTGAGGTTGTGGGCCCTTTATAATATGACATGGCTTATTTCATTCCTCTTATGACTTGTTAACACCAGTAACATCTTGTTGGCTTCAGATAAAGTTTTCATTTCCTGATTTGCTTCAATAATACCTGATGTAATTTGGGATGTGTCTTTGGTTTCTAAATGCAAAATTTACCTTTAAAATGTGCCTACTTTACCTCCCTTGTGACGTATCCTCAATTGCAGGTTTGCTCTGGCCCAGTAAAGTTTATTTCCTTGATTGAAGTTTTTTTCTAAATACCCAACTTCCCCCATATCATTTTTTTACTATTTGATATTGGTCTCTCTCTCTCTCTCTCTCTCTCTCTCTCTCTCTCTCTCTCTGTGTGTGTGTGTGTGTGTGTGTGTGTGGTTTTGAGCACATATATTGCCTTTGCTATATGTTTTCTGATTCTTAACTGATACCATACTCATTATTATAGCTTCTTAATGTGCTTTAACACAGCTGGGTGAGTTCTCCTTCATTACATTACTTTTGAGAAACATTTCTCAGCTATTCACAACAGTCTATTTCTCTTCAATGTTTTAGTTTAATTTTTGCTTTGCACATAAAAAAATATAGTTTTACAAGGCTTACAAAAGAAAAAAAAGTTTTTACCACCAGCTCCATTCCCATTCTTTCTCTCCTCCCTAATAAACACGTCCTCTTCCCCTGTTATTTCCACATTTTCTTAGTGCAGAAAGTTCAAAATTATTGGCTAGGACAATATTCAGGGGCCATATTATGACTGTGTGAACACTTCATGATTGAGCTTTCCTATTTCTCTTTTGTACTTTTTCACATATTTAAACTTATTTTTAACTCAGTTAACTTGGTTAAAAATCATCTCAGTATTTTCAGAAACATCAGATTTTCTTTCAATTTCATACTCTTGGAGATACACCTCCGAAGTCTCCTGCCCTGCTCCAATATGCACTGGCTGCTCTGTAAGTCTATTTTGGGGCTATTTTCTTATGACCTGCCTTCCCCATCATTCCGTGCTGCCCTTCATCACTTTCCCGTGTGTGACTTTCTGTTTCTCGGTATTGATTGCTTCCTCTTTCTAAATGCTTCAAAAAGATAAAACATCTCTTACAATCAGAAAAAGTGTGTAGAAAGTAAATTTTGTGCATGTTGCATGTTCAAAAACATGCTTATTATTTCCCCATACTTAATTAATATGTTTGAATTCACTGGAAATTCTGGAATAAAATTTTTAACAAAAACTTTGAAGATGTTTATCCATCATCCTCTGGCATTTTACTGTTGAGAAGTCTGATGTCATTCTAATATCTGATATTTCATATACAACTTCACCTTCTCATTCAAAAGCTTTTTAGGATCTTATATTTCCCAGATTTCTTGAATGTTTAATATCAAATCTTTGTGTGTGTTATTTCATTCATTGTGCCAGGCACTCTGTGTACCTGTCACTTTTAACTCTTCTGTCTTTGAATTCTGGAAAACATCATTTGTATATTTCTTTTTTTTAATTATTACTTTTTTATTTATATTATTGGTTAGTTTTTTAAACTTCTAGCTTACATTCAGGGGTACATGTGCAGGTTTGTTACACTGGTAAACTGTTCATCACACGGGTTGGGTGTACAGATTGTTTTTTCACCTAGGTAATAAACATAGTAACAAATAGTTATTTGATCCCCTCTCTCCTCCCATCCTCCACCCTCAAGTAGGTCCCTGTGGCTGCTGTTCCTTTCTTTGTGTTCATGTCTACTTAATGTTTAACTCCCACTTATAAGTGAGAACATGAAGTATTTCAGCTTCTGTTCTTTCATTAGTTTGCTTCTCATGGCTTCCAGCTCAAACCATGTCGCTGCAAAAGACACAGTCTCCTTCATTTTTATGGCTGCATAATGTTCTATGGTGTATATGGACTACATTTTCTTTATCCAGTCTACCATTGATGGGCATTTAGGTTGATTCCATAACTCTGCTGCTGTGAATAGTGCTGGGGTGAACATATGTGTGCATGTGTCTCCGTGGTAGAACGATTTCTATTTCTTTGGGTATATACCCAATAATGGAATTGCTGGGTTGAATGGTACTTCTGTTTTAAGTTATTTGAGAAATTGTCACACTGCTTTCCACAATGGCTGAACTAATTTACATTCACACTGGTAGTATATAACCATTCCCTTTTCTCCACAGCCTTGCCAACATATGTTATTTTTTGACTTTTTAATAGCCATTCTGACTGGTGTGAGATGCTATCTCATTGTGATTTTGATTTTAGATAAATGCAAATCAAAACCGCATCTCATACCAGTCAGAATGGCTATTACTAAAAAGTCAAAAATTAACAGATGCTGGTGAGGTTGTAGAGAAAAAGGAATGCTTACACACTGTTGGTGGAAGTGTAAATTCGTTCAACCATTGTGGAAGACAGTGTGGCGATTCCTCAAGGACCTAAAGACAGAAATACCATTCGACCCAGCAATCCCATTCTGGGTATATACCCAAAGGAATAGAAATCATTCTATTATAAAGACACGGCATGTGTATGTTCATTGCAGTGCTATTTTCAATAGCAAAGACATAGAATCAACCTAAATGCCCATTAATGATAGACTGGATAAAGAAAATGTGGTACAAATACACTAGGTATGCAGCCATTAAAAATAATGAGATTATGTCCTTTGCAGGCACATGGATGGAGCTGGAGGCCATTATCCTTAGCAAACTAATGCAGGAACAGAAAAACAAATACTGCATGTTCTCATGTATAAGTGGGAGCTAAATGATGAGAAAATATGGACACATAGGGGGAAAAATGCACACTAGGGCCTACTGGAGGGCAGAGGGTAGGAGGAAGACGATCAGGAAAAATAACAAATGGACATTAGGCTTAATACCTGGGTGATGAAATCATCTGTAAAACAAACCCCCATGACACACATTTACCTATGCAACAAACCTGCACTTGTACCTCTGAACTTAAAAGTTAAAATATATATATATTTTAATATGTTTCCCACAATTTATCTTTAGAATTTGTTACTATTGTATGTATTTTATATATTCCAGTAGGTCATTGTTATTATGACAAAAGTTAATAATTTTTTTATATTGATGTGTTCAGAGGAAGTTACAGAACTCTCCTATTAATCTAAATTGCTTAGGTTTCTAAATAGGTGATCATGTCACTTGTTAATAATAGGTTATTTTTGAAATTTTTTTATGTGATATTCAATTTAATATAGACAATCAAGTTATGAAATAAACAACTTTTCACACTTATTTGTATATGAACAAATTAAATAGCATTGGAATTAGTTGCTACTGTAAAGTTTAAATATGTATAAAAATGTCAAGCCTTAAGCACTAATTTTGAATTGATATCTGATTTCTAAAATTCTACTGTTTTATTATCTGCTTAGGTTTTCTCTCTCTCCCTCTATGTATATATATATAAATATATATATATGCATACACGCAGATATATATATACACACAATAAAAATATATTCTATATAAATATGTATATGTAATATAGTATAAACATATATTTGATGTATTACATATACAATTACAAATTTTTTTCCTTTTATCCCATTAAAAATTTTTATGAATAATTACATAAAATATACAATTATACTTTTGCAATCTCCTACTTACATATCTTGTTACATCTCTTGCTTATTTTATTTGTATCATCTATATTTCACCTTGATTAGACTTTTCAGATTGTTACATATTTTTTAACTAAAAGTTTCAATTTATATATTTATTTTACTCTTTTATTTTTTCATATTTCATAATTTCACATTTCATATTTCTGTAATTTTTCTACTCTTTTCTCTAATAGTTTTCGTTACCTTTGGTTAACTTATCAAATTGAATACTTACCTCATTTATTTTAATTATCCATTTCATTGAGAGGTGACAGCGTGCTGGCAGTCCTCACAGCCCTCGCTCTCTCTCTGCGCCTCCTCGGCCTGGGCTCCCACTTTGGCGGCACTTGAGGAGCCCTTCAGCCCACCGCTGCACTGTGGACGCCCCTTTCTGGGCTGGCCAAGGCCAGAGCCGGCTGGCTCCCTCAGCTTGCAGGGAGGTGTGGAGGGAGAGGCGCGAGCGGGAACCGGGGGCTGCGCGCGGCGCTTGCAGGCCAGCTGGAGTTCCGGGTGGGCGTGGGCTTGGGGGGCCCCGCACTCAGAGCAGACGGCCGGCCCTGCCGGCCCTGGGCAATGAGGGGCTTAGCACCCGGGCCAGCGGCTGCGGAGGGTGTACTGGGTCCGCCAGCAGTGCCAGCCCACCGGCGCTGTGCTCGATTTCTCACCGGGCCTTAGCTGCCTTCCCGCGGGGCATGGCTCCGGACCTGCAGCCTGCCATTCCTGAGCCTCCCACCCCCTCCATGGGCTCCTGTGCTGCCGGAGCCTCCCCGACGAGTGCCACCCCCTGCTCCACGGCGCCCAGTCCCATCCACCACCCAAGGGCTGAGGAGTGCGGGCGCACGGCACCGGGACTGGCAGGCAGCTACACCTGCAGCCCCGGTGCGGGATCCACTGGGTGAAGCCAGCTGGGCTCCTGAGTCTGGTAGGGACGTGGAGAACCTTTATGTCTAGCTCAGGGATTGTAAATACACCAATCAGCACCCTGTGTCTAGCTCAGGGTTTGTGAATGCACCAATCGACAGTCTGTATCTAGCTACTCTGGTGGGGCCTTGGAGAACCTTTGTGTCCATACTCTGTATCTAACTAATCTGGTGGGGACGTGGAGAACCTTTGTGTGTAGCTCAGGGATTGTAAACGCACGAATCAGCGCCTTGTCAAAACAGACCACTGGGCTCTACCAATCAGCAGGACGTGGGTGGGGCCAGATAAGAGAATAAAAGCAGGCTGCCCTAGCCAGCAGTGGCAACCCACTCGGGTCCCCTTCCCCAGTGTGGAAGCTTTGTTCTTCTGCTCTTTGCAATGAGTCTTGCTACTGCTCACTCTTTGGGTCCACACTGCTTTTATGAGCTCTAACACTCACAGCGAAGGTCTGCAGCTTCACTCCTGAAGCCAGCGAGAGGAGGAGCCCACTGGGAGGAACGAACAACTCCAGACGCGCCGCCTTAAGAGCTGTAACACTCACAGCCAAGGTCTGCAGCTTCACTCCTGAGCCAGCGAGACCACAAACCCACCAGAAGGAAGAAACTCCGAACACATCCAAACATCAGAAGGAACGAACTCCAGACGCGCCACCTTAAGAGCCGTAACACTCACCGCCAGGGTCCGTGGCTTCATTCTTGAAGTCAGTGAGACCAAGAACCCACCAATTCCGGACACATCATGATCATGTAATTAAAGGTTAAGAATTGACAGGTACTACTTTAGCCAATTTTCACATTTTTCTGATAAAGTAAGGTTTCCTTCTGAATTAGCTGAAATTGTAATGTTGGTTTATGTCATGAGTTGAATGTGTTCCCCTCAAATGTATACACTGATATCCTAATTTTCATGATCTTAGAATATAACCTTATTGGGGAATAAAGTCATTGCAGATGTAATTAGTTTGGGTGAGGTTCTGTTGGAGTAGGGTAGGCCCCTAATTCAATACGATGGGTATTCTTATAAAAAAATGTCATATGAAGAGACAGACATGCACATAGAAAGAAAGCCACATGAGCATGAAGGCAGAGATCAGGGTGGTGTGTCTACAACCAAGAAATGCCGAAAATTGCTAGTGAACCACCATAATGTAGGAGAGAAACCTGGATCCAATTCTCCCTCATAGTTCTCAGAAGGAACCAACACTGCTGACACTTTGATCTCAGTCCCTTAGACTCCAGAACTGAGAGACAATTCATTTCTGCTGCTTAAGCTGCCCAGTTTGTAGTATTTTAATACTACAGTTCTAGGAAGCAAATGCAGTTTTCTATTTGACCAAGGAATATAAAAGGATTTTTCTATTGTGAAAATCAGATTACAGGATATTTCAAAGTTTTCTTTTTAGATTAAAACTCATTATTATTAGAAATATTCCAAAGATACTTAAATTTTATTCTTTCAGAATATAAAGTGTTAATTGAAGAAGGATTTATCAAGCTAATGAACAAAGAACTGCTATAAGTGCTGGGGCTATTTCAGTGAACAAGGACGCGCAGTTCTGTGATTTTCAAAACATAAGTAACAGAGGTACAGATAATGAACACATAAATAAATTTTCAGATTGCTTTGCATCCTATTAAGTAAATATATACAGCTGTGTATTGCAAAATAAGAACAGTAAAGCATGGAGAACAGGTGAGAGAAGGTCCAAACCAAGAACCAAAGATTGGGAAGGAGGTAGCCAGTTGGAATTGTAAGGGTACATCCTGGGCAGAAGTAACAGTAAGTGCAATCAGCAAGGTAAGAATAAGTATGACCTGTTCAGCAATAGAAAGGAGACCAGGTTACCAGAGTAAGGTGGAGAGTGGTTGAAGTTGGCCAGAGACAAGTCATGGAGCCAGTGAGTAGAGTTTGCTGCATTTTAACATTCAGGGTTCATTTCTATTTTTATTGGTAAGAGAATCCAATTGTCTTCTGGGGGAACCAATTTCTCCTACAATCTCAGGCTAGTGCAGAATCTCAGTGTGGATCATTTTCCCTTTCACAGGGAATACTTGACTCAGGTCTGACTATACAGCTCATCACATACTCTGCTATATACCCTTGTGACCCAATCAGAGGAGAGTCCTGAGGGCAAAACATGCTGTCTTCTGTAGCATAAGAATCAGGTGTTTTATCATCATGTGGATACCTCATCATGACGCAGACAGCAGAGCCAAGAGTTGGTGAGAATGGATTCTGTAGACATCCTCTCTAAGTGCTTAGGTCAGCATACTCTGAAGCCAGATCTATCTTGAAGGAGCAGTTATTTTGAGTTAGGTTTCCTGTCTCTTAGAATCATAATGGAATGAGATCATATCTACTAATTAATCTCTATTAAATATATTGCTCGAAATGTTCCCATTTATCCACCTATTTAGCCTTTGATCAATACAATTTTAAAATCTCTCATTGCAGTTGTATTTCTGTCAATGCCACATTGTATTTCAACATTTAGATGTGCATCTCTTTATTACTGCTTACAGTGGTACTGATGTAAAATGATCTGCTTTGACGGATTTGATTGTTCAGATCCTGTAGTTCTCTCTTCTATTAAAAGAGTTCCAGCTTTGCCTTTGCTTTATTTTTTTAAAGCACATTTCTTGTGTGATGACTATCATTAGTTGTTATTTGCTTATTTAGTTCTTCATTTTTATTTTTAGCAACCTGACTTCTTACCCTGAAGTAGCAGGGCCCTGGTCCTTCAGTAACTTTCTGGGGAGATTTACTGATCAATCTCACTGCTCTACTTACACTCACCTCCTTACTATTCTTTGAATACACCTGACATTTTTACTTTAGAACTTTAGCCCGATGTTATTTGTTCCTGTAATTCTCTTTAACCAAATATCCCCATAGCAATTTCACTTTCCTTGGGTCCTCACCACAAAATCACCTCAGCTAAGCTTTGCCTAATCTCTTTTTTTTAACTTTTTTTGAGACGGAGTCTCGCTCTGTCGCCCAGGCTGGAGTGCAGTGGTGCAATCTCGGCTCACTGCAAGCTCAGCCTCCCGGGTTCACGCCATTCTCCTGCCTCAGCCTCCCAAGTAGCTGGGACTACAGGTGCCCACCACCATGCCCAGCTAATTTTTTTTGTATTTTTAGTAGAGACGGGGTTTCACCGTGTTAGCCAGGATGGTTTCGATCTCCTGACCTGGTGATCCGCCCGCCTCCGCCTCCCAAAGTGCTGGGATTACAGGCATGAGCCACCACGCCCGGCCTAATCTCCCTTTTAAAATGTCACGGGTATCCTCATCTGGGGGACACGAATATTCCCCCTTTTTAATATTTTATCTTTGTTACATGCCATTATCTAACATATTAACTATTTTACTTAATTAATCTTATTGATTATCTGGCTCTCATACTAAAATGCATAATCTGTGAAAAGAGGAATTTTGTCTGTTTTTTTTCCAGCTTCATTGAGGTATGATTGATGAATAAAAATTGTATGTATTTAGGAAATACGATTAGATGTTTTGATAGTTGTATGCATGGTAAAATAATTACCACCATTAAACTAATTAACATATTATTCCCTTACATATTTACCTTTCTTCTTGTTGTGAGAACGCTTGAGATCTACTCATAGTAAATTTCAACTACAGCATACCATGGAGATCCTGAAGGCTGGGTTTCAGACCACTGCAATAAAGCAAATATCACAGTAAAGCAAGTCATACACATTTTTTTGTTTGCTAGTACCTATAAAAGTTATGCTTATACTTTTGGTTTCCTAGTACATATAAAAGTTATGCTTAATATTTAATAAACACTAATTTTACACTAGCCCGTTTCAGAAAATAGAAAAGAACATTTTTCAACTCATTTTATAAGGTCATTATTACCCTGATTCAATCTTGGGAGATTGTGTGCTTCCAGGGATTTATCCATTTCTTCTACATTTTCAAATTTGTATTCATAGAATTTTCACAGCAGTCTCTGAGAATCTTTTGTATTTCTGCAAGATCAGTTGTATTATCACCTTTGTCATTTAGATTGTGCTTATTTGGATCTTCTCTTTCTTGTTAATCTAGCCTGGGATCTATCAATCTTATTTTGTTAAAGAAAAAACTTCTGGTTTTATTGATTTTTGTATGGATTTTTACATCTCAATTTTATTAAGTGCTTCTCAAATTTTATTTATTTATTTTCTTCTGCTAGCTTTGGAGTTGGTTTGTCCTTTTTTTCCTAGTTCCTTTAGGTGCAAAGTTAGATTGTTAGTTTGATATCTTTTTAACTTCTTGATGAAGGCATTAGGGCTATAAAGTTTCCTCTTAACACCACTTTGACTACACCACAGAGATTTTGGTAAGTTGTGTCCCTATGTTCATTACCTTCAAATAATTTTTTATTAATTCCTTAATTTCAGTGTTTACCTTTCAGGAGTTATTCATAAGTAAGTTGTTTAATTTCCATGTATTTGTGTGCCACCTTAATATAATAAAATATATGAAATACATAGGGATAAACTTAAAAAAAAATATGCAAGAACAAGCACTGGAGTCTACAAGAAATTGATGAAGAACTTACAGAAGATCAAAATGAATAGATAGATATAGATATATTAGATAGTTTGTGTGTATTTATATGTATATATGATATATATGATATATGATATCCTATCATATATATGATATATATGATGTATATATGATATATATATACATACACACACCATCTTTGTTAATTAGAAAATCTACTATTGCTAAGCTGTCAGCACCTCAAACTGTTATATAAGTTTTGGTATAGATGTTGAAATACTAATTTTAAATGTTTATGTAAATGCAGGGGATCTAAATCAGGCAAAAGATGTTGCAAAAAGTAAAACAGAGTCAGAAGACTCACACTACATGGATTTAAGAATTACTATAAGGCTATAATAATGAAGACAGTGTGATATTGGCTTAAGGCTAGACACATAGGTCAATGGATCAGAATAGAGCATCCAGAAACAAACTCATACATCTATGGTCAATTGATTTTCAGAAAAAGTAACTCAATAATAAAATTATTGCTGTGATTGAGTGGATAATCCTTCCCCATCCCACCAAAGATGTGCATGTCCTAATCCTCTAAACCTGTAAAGATGTTACCTTATATGGCAAAGGAACTTTGCTGATGCTATTAAAGATCTTGATTTTCAGTGTTGGCCTCCTGTATAATTATGTAGGTAGACAATATAATTACATAGGTCTTTAGAAGAGGGAAGCAGGAGGTTCAGAACAAGAAGGCAATGTAATGATGAAATCAGAGTCAGTGAAGGATTACTGACAATGTTATTCTTCTGACATTGAAGATGGAGGAAAAGGCCAAAAACCAAGGAATGCAGAAAACCTCTAGAAGCTGGAAAAGGCAAGGGAAGGATTCTCCCCTAGAAACTTCAGAAGAAACCAGCCTTCCTGAAATCTTGCCTTTAGCTCAGTGACATTAATTTTGGCATTCTGACCTCCAGAACTATAATACATTTCCATTATCTTAAGTCACTAAGTTTCTGATCATTCGTTCAGCAGCAATAGGAGACTAATGCAATTGTCTTCAACAAATTGTGTTAGAACAATTGAATAACCATACGCAAAAAATCCCTCACATCTTACCCGACACCATTATAAATTTTGAATAAAAATAATTAACAAACTTAAATGTAAGAGCTAATGAATAATACTTCTAGAAAAAAAAAGAAGAAAATTAGATTAGACAAATATTTCCTAGATGGGATACTAAAGTATGAACCATAAAACATAAAAAGTTGGGCTTAATCAAAATTAAGATATTTTGCTCTTCAAAATATACTGTTAAGAAAATGAAACAGCAATCTACAGATATGAAAAAGATATTTGCAAACATGTATCTCATAAATGACTTATATGTACAATGTATAAAAAAGACAAAAAGTAACTTAAAAATATATAATTAGGTAAGATATTTTAAGTTACTTTACCAAACAGGTTTTATGAAAAGCAAATAAAAACATGAAAAAATGTTCAACATCATGTAACTAGGGAAATGCAAATTAAAAACATGGAATAGCATATCGCTGTTATTAGAATGTCCAAAACAAAACAAATGAACAAAAACAAACAAAAAACTATACACATACACACAAACAACTGAAAATTCCAAGTACTAGTGACAATGTAGAGCACCTGAAACTCAGACATTGCTAGCAGCAATGCAAAATAATACAGGTGACATTGGAACATGTATTAGCATTTCCTTGTAAAGACAAATATACATTTATCATAGAACTTAGCAATACAAGTCCTAGCTAATTGTGTAAGTAACTAAATGAACATAAATGCCCATAAAAGGCTTGTCCTTTAGTGTTCATAGCAACTTTGTTCTCAATAGTCCTAAATTAGGAAAAGACTAAAATAATCATCAATTAGCCCATGGATAAACAAATCATATTGTATCCATGTAATGAAATACAATGAATAATTCTCAGCAATGAAAAGGAGCAAACTACTAAATTTCAAAGTGAACAAATTTTAAAAGCATTATTCCAAATATAAGAAACTAGACATAAATACCACATAATCTATGACTCCATTTATATAAAAGCATAAAATACACAAAGCTATAGTGACAGAAAGCAGATGATGGTTTAATAGGGACAGGGACAGGTGGTTGGGGGGAGGGTGAGGAGATGTGGGAAATGTCATGCGTAATGGATCGTACTTTGGGTGGTGATTACATAACTACATATATATATATATATATATATATATTTGTTAACAGTTGTTGAATTATGCACCTGAAATTGTTAAATATGATTTTATGTAAACTATACCCCAAAAAGTCGATTTTACAAAAATTACTAATACACTCAAAACACAGATAAGTCCCTTAAGTGTTACATGGAACAAATGGAACAAGATGCAAGAGTAAACAGTCTATGATTTCATTTATATGATGTTAAACAAGACAAATCATCTACAGTCATCGAAAAAAAAAAAAAACTCAGAAAGGTGTTGTCTGTGGAAATGATGGTTGACTGGAGTCTTACACCAGAATAATATCTTGGTAATGGAAATTGTCAGTAGTTTACCAGTGTGGTTGTACTATGATGTATCCATTTATCATAACTCATCAAAATGTACACTTTGGATTTCTAAATTTTAAAAAATTTACTATATATAAATTTTACCTCAATAAGAAAAAAAGAATGATTTTTCATATTTGGACCCAAACTAAGAGTGCACAATTTGTCACTGTTTTATGGTTTTATACCATGCCATTTATTTCAGGAGTTATTAAAACACTAAGTTATTCTGTGGTTTGCACTTTCCAAATATCACAAACAAAGTCTCCTAACAAACACTCTAGACCAAAAATCTATGACTTCAAAATTCCATACTTAATCCCTTAAGGTAAAATTAAATTGTAAGTGTGCCTGAGGTCATCTCTTTCTAAAATTTCTTGACCCAAGAGTAACTTCTTTTAAGAACTATGCACATTTCATTCAAAAACAACATAAATTTGCAGAGACGCTCTTTCTGTATTAGTCTTTCTATTAGGGGGCTGAATTCTCAGACTATTTGTCGTAAGAGAGGGCTATGGTATCTACTGGCAAACTGCATACAAACTGGGTCTATCCCTTAAAAAAATTTCAACTACTTATAAAAACTTTCTATTTAACATGGTGTCTAGTATAACTTGCTGCATTCTATTTATATTCTATACTTATTATTTAATTATTTGATAGTTTAAATGGAAGGGCTTACCTTTATAAATGTAGCATTGGCAACTATGTTAATTCATACTTTTAATTGTCTAAGTAACACAAAGCAAACTGGTTTAAGCAAAAAAGAGAATGTACTGGCTCACCTGACTGAAAAGTATACAGCATAGGTTTGGACACTGAGAAGAACAGCTGCTTAGATATTATTATCAAGGCTAGATCTCCCTTTGCATCTCTCAGCTGTGCTCTCTTCCATGTTGGTTTTATTTCCAAGCTGGTACTCTACCCAATGGTGACCCCCAGAAGCTTGATGACCGTATCTTAATAGTTCATGTAAGAAGTAATAACAATGCCTCTTTCTTAATAGTTTCAGCAAAGTTGCCTGAAAAGACTGCCATAGATCTAACTTGGGTAAATCTATGAACCAATTTCTCTGGAAAGGAGATATAAAATTCTATTCTTGACCGAGAGGGTGGTCACGTGCTTATCCTTAGAATGGCAATAAAGTCAATAACGCCCCAGTCACATAAACTGAGAGTTTAATAGCTCTGATTTTCAAAAGGTGAATCAATATCCTTCTAAGAAAAGTTGGAGATTAGAAGCTATTCAATCCACACATATAAAAAACAAAACTGAAACCTTATAAACAAAATCTATCCTCTGTAGTAATCGAACAGGATGCTTAAATAAATCCTTTGCATAGAGTTGTTTAAGAAATATTTGTTCATTGAATAATAGTGCTTTAATGCTTACTTTTTCTGTATAAAGTTATGTTGTTCTTACAACTAAAAAGGTTTCTCTTGAAATAATCTAATCTTCCTAAATTTTAGAGAGCTCTTTTGATACAAATTTCTAAGGGGAAACCATAAAAATTTCCTCCTAATTTGTCTTCTGCTTCCATATTTTTCTTCTACTGACACAATTTTATTGTGTATCTAGTAATTACTGCCTATGCTCTTTCAAAGAGGCTTTCTTACTCCCAGTAAAGATTTTGAGGGCAGGGCTTGAATAAAGCCATAGAAGGAGCCCCCATGTCCTCAAAAGATCACTGATTTAAGATTTACTTGTACAGCATGAACTCTAGATTATCTGATTTCATACTGAAATTGAAAAACAGATTATGCTGAATCATGTACACTGTCTATCCAAGTACCCTTCATTATCAAAAGTAAAGCTTTGCTGGAATGCTGGCCAGAATGAGGAATACAATGGAACCTATAAGTTAAAAGTTAATATATATGTATATATTTTAACTTTATGTTAAGTTCAGGGGTACATGTGCAGGATTTGTAGGTTTGTTAATATGTAAATGTGTGTCATGGGGGTTTTTTGTACAGATTGTTTTATCACCCAGGTATTACGCCTAGCATCCATTAGTTATTTTTCCTGATTCTCTCTCTTCTCCAACCCTCTGCCCTCCAATAGGCCCCAGTGTGCATTGTTCCCCTTTATGTGTTCAGGTGTTCTCATTCAGCTTCCACTTATATGTGAGAACATGTGGTATTTAGTTTTCTGTTCCTGCATTAGTTTGCTAGAGATAATGACCTCTAGAGCCACCCATGTCCCTGCAAAGGACATGATCTTGTTCTTTTTATGACTGCATAGTATTCCATTGTATGTATGTGCCACATTTTCTTTATCCAGTCTATAATTGATGGGCATTTAAGTTGATTCCATGTCTTTGCTCTTGTGAATAGTGCTGTAATAAACATACACAAGCGTGTGTCTTCATAATAGAATGATTTACCTTCCTTTGGGTATATACTCAGAATAGGATTGCTGGGTTGAATGGTAGTTCTGTTTTTTAAGTCTTTGAGGAATCACCACACTTTCTTCCACAATGGTTGAACGAATTTACACTCCCACCAACAGTGTAAAATCGTTCCTTTTTCTCCACAGGCTCACCAGCATCTGTTATTTTTTGACTTTTGGTGTGAGATGGTATCTCATTGCGGTTTTGATTTGCATTTATCTAACGATCAATGATGTTGAGTTTTTTTTCATGTAATTGTTGGCCACATGTCTGTCTTCTTTTGAGAAGTGTCCTTTCATGTCCTTTGCCCACTTTTTAATGGTTTTATTTTGTAACTTTAAGTTCCTTATAAATGCTGAATATTAGACCTTTGTCAGGTGCATAGATTCCAAGTTTTCTCCCTTTTTGTAGGTTATTTGTTCACAGTTTCTTTTGCTGTGCAGAAGCTCTTTAGTTTAATTAAATCTCATTTGTCAGTTTTTGTTTCGTTGCAATTGCTTTTAGCATCTTTGTCATGAAATCCTTGCTCATGTCTATGTCCTGAATGGTATTGCCTAGGCTTTCTTCTGAGGTTTTTATAGTTTTAGGTTTTATATTTAATTCTTTACTCCATCTTGAGTTCATTTTTGCAAAAGAAAAAAAACACAAAAACCCCATCCAAATGGCAGCAACCTCGAAGACTGAAGGTAGATAAGCCCACAAAGATGAGAAGGAATCAGCACAAAAATACGGAAGACTCAAAAAGCCAGAGTGCCCACTTTCCTCCAAATGACTGCGACACCTCTCCAGCAAGGGTTTGGAACTGGGCTGAGGCTGAGATGGCTGAAATGACAGAAGTAGGCTTCAGAATGTGGATTAAAAACGAACTTCACTGAACTAAAGGAGCACGTTGTAACCCAATGCAAGGAAGCTGAAAATCATGATAAAACAATGCAGGAGCTGAACAGCCAAAATAGCCAGTATAGATAGAAATGTGACTGACCTGATAGAGCTGAAAAACACACCTCAGCAACTTCACAATTCAATCACAAGTATTAACAGCAGAATAGACCAAGTGGGGAAAAGAATCTCAGAGCTTGAAGTCTGTCCCCCTGAAATAAGACAGACAAGAATAGAGAAAAAAGACTGAAAAGGAAGGGAAAAAAACTCGCAGAAATATGAGATTATGTAAAGAGACTGAATCTATGACTGATTAGGGTACCTGAAAAAGATGGGAAGAATGAAACCAATTTGCAAATATTTTTAAAACCAAGAGTAAATAATATTGGGACCTTGAAATCAGAATTTTAACAAGTCAAATTTTTCTGACCCCCATGAAGCTTCTTCTCACTCAACACTGTGTTTTTTAGTACCTCATCTTCAAGTGTAAACCTTGTTTCACTTAAACCAATCCTCACAGCATTAATTCTGCCCTCCAGAACTGGGCATATGAGCTAAATCAGGCTAATGAGATTTTAATCCAGCTGTTGGCAGGGAGAAGTGCAAAAAGTTTTATCTTTCCTGCTGGATTAGAAGGAAATGAAGAATGGAGTCAAAAATAGTAAGTTGGGTGAGGAAATATGAGAAAAATACCGGGTCCTTACTTGAGCACCAAGATCAATTCTCACGTTAAGCAATATTAGTTATGGCAGCATTTGTTTACAATACTAGTTGTACCAGCATTGTTGGTTTTACTAGCAACAGTAGCTATATGACCAGGAGCTAATAAATTGCCTTTATTGTTTAGGCCAGATTGAGGTGATTTTCTGTGACTTGCAACTAAAAATATCCTAAGATTTAGGATGCATATTAATACTGATAATTATGTAGAAATCTTTTTTAAGAAAAAAATGAAACCAAAACACAATCAAAGATAAAACTCTCTATAATATGTCAGTAAACCTGAGTCTTCCAAAAAACTAATTGTTAGATTTTTCGGGGATTTGGGGTTTTTTTTTGTTTTCTTTTAGCTGTAATGTTGCATTAAAATCATGTCCTGTACTTTTTTGAGGCTCAAATGGATATATAGACTTCATAATAACTAAAGAGTTACCAAAATTCAATTTAATATGGTGTTGAGGCTAATGAAAGAGTAATTCAACTGTGCTAAGAACACCCTAGACCATTTCGACGTGTCTGGCCACTAATCCTACTTCATTTACATGCAGTGAGGGTAAATTTAGGCCAAGTCTCCATGGACAAGACAAAGAAGAAAATCAGGTCTGTTCCCCAGATAATTCAGATAGCAAATTCATCTGCTCAGGGAATGACCTAATTCCCCTCAATTCACTGGTCAGTTGCCTCCAATGGGTGGTTTGTTTGATGAGCAGGAATCCTGCTTATCACCATGCCCTGTCCAAAGAGGAAGTGGAAAAGCACAACCCTTTCTCTTCTCCTCACTTTTACTCTCTCTACGTTTCCAGACTCATCATGTTCTATTTATAATCCCATGCCACCTTCTTACATGAATAGAAGCTGAAAAAATATGAAAACTAACCAAAATTTAAAAATTAAAAAAAAAATCTGGCATTGAATCACAGAATTTCTAAAATTTCTGTATACAGTGTATATAGAAGTGTGGCCTAGGGCCACTGACACAAAACTCACCAAAGGTGATTACTAAAATTTCCTGGTTAAGCCTCCCCACCCACAGATTCCCTTTCAGTATGTCTGAGACAGAAGCCACAAAGTTGAAATTTTAATAAGCCTCATGTGAGTTTTAGGCACATGAAAGTTTGAGAAACATTGACACAAACCAGGTCTTATGCTTTTCACACTTTTATAGCTAATTATCTGGTCTGTATAGCAGGTTTTAAGGTGATTATAGCATAAATACCATACACTTTTTTTTTTTGGTCAAAAATAGGTCTTGAGAGAGTGTAAGGAGTTACCCATCACAAATGAACTTTCAAACAGGCAATAGGGGCTGTACTGTCATGACCATGGGGGAAAACACTTTAAGCTATATGTTACATTGATATTTTTTACAGGAGTCTTAGCATAACACATTATTATGCAAGAGATGTTGAGCAATTGAGCATATTTAGTGATAATATACTCTTTGCTATTTGAAAACAACAAACACTATCACATTAGTTCTGTTTTTAAAATAGCAGATCCCAGTTACTTAGCCTGTGAGGTTACGCATCCAAAATTTTTGTAGGAATTTTTAGCACAGGCATATTGTACATGCATGGCACCAGGTTATTTTGGCACAATTACATCAGATTAAAGATCCGCTGAGACATCCTGTAAATCTAGATAAAATAGCTCCCAATATCTGCAACTGTCAGTGACAGAGCTCCAAATGCTCACAGTCTGCAAAGCAGCAGTAACTTATATAACAGTCTACCTACAACTAGGTTTTTGTCGAAGCACTACAGATACTGAAGAATGTATTCAAACACTGTAAACTAGCTGTGTAGAGGTAAGAGAGAAACATAAAACAAAACCAGAATATAATCACCTAAATCCAAAACGTCCAGCTTCCATGTATATCCATTCTAAGAGAAATGACGGAGCACAAGAAGTAAGGAGAAAGGAAACAGAAAAGAATTCCAGATGTAAAATTATATTAATATTATTACATTCCAGTATATAAGGAAGTGTATGAAAGTAATTTTATTGTATCTATAGGAACAAACTTTTATTTGGACTAAGAAGTACTTTAGCTCTAAAATACATATTTTGTCAATATCAGGTTTTAGTATTTGCGTCAAATCCTTAAATCTTATTAAAAAATTTTCAAGTGCTGTATAACAAATCTGATCTCTAGATGAGTGAGAATTAATCTCTATAATAAGGAGCAATGGTTTCACACTATTTCCTCAGAGATCCCAGGACTAGAGCATAATTAAGCCCCCATCTGCTGATGGTATTAACACACTCTTTATTTCCAATCATTTTTCCTTTGAGTGTGGGACCAGGACCAACTCTGAGGTGAGAAGTGGGAGGGGAAGGACAAAACAGGTTTTACTTTGGAGTAGTTAGATGTAGTTGATTCAGCAAGCACATTCAATTTGAGCACCTGCTTCAGGTCAGAACCTCTAGGAAGAAGATAGCAGGATGAGACACTGTCCCTGATATTAAACAGTTACAGTCTAGTGATGGAATTCTCCTTGCTGTGCTCCACCTTAGAATGACTTGATTCCAATCCTTTGTGTGCTGAGATTTAGAGTCGTCTTCCTTTCTGATAATCTGTCTCCTAAAGCTTTTTATTTTTATCTGAAAAACTGCCATCCTCTTCCTTTCCTTTATATACAAAATTTTTTAAGAATGTCATCTCAGTGTTTGTAATGTTTAACCTTCTCTTATAGTTTGATTTTTGCTTCCACCATTTCTTTAAAATTGCTTTTGCCAATGTCCTCATTTCATGAATGCTATTTTTTAGTGTTTATTTGAATAAAACTCTGTGCTGTATTACATCACTGTTTGTCCCATGTATTTAAGGTTTATTGAGTGTCTCTTAAGGTCCCAGCATGGCTTCCAGTGCTGGGGATTAACAATGAACAAGTAAGGCAAGCACCTTGCTCTCATAAAGCTGGTATTTTAGGTGAACACTGAGGTTGGTTATCCATAAAACTCCTTAGCTTCAGGAAACCATTTTTTTGTTGTTGTTCTTCTTCTACCTCTCTGAGAAGGTTTGCTTTATAATACCTTTTTATTCTAACTATTAATATTCCTTTTAAGTTTTTGCCCTCAAATTATTTTCTTTCTCCTCTTTCTCTCCTAATGTAACTTCGTTCACTCTACTACCATCTATCAATTCCAAATGAATTTCTATATCCAGCCCTGAAACTTCCTTGTGCTTCAGACATTCATATGTCTGCTGGATAGCTGACTCTAACTGCATTTCTTGAAGAAACTCTAAAGTAACATGCCCAAAGCTTAACTCATCATATTCCTGTGTCTCTAATCAATAACTTTTCCTGTATTCTTTATCTTATCTGGCGAAGGCATCAACCATCCCAATCTATGCTAAAAATCTGAGAATCACTCTCAACCCTTTCCTTTCCCTTGGTTATCTCCATCACATACATGTAAGCAATCATCGGAAGTAAAAGGTATAATTCTAAATATTTAGTACATATTTCTTTAATTCTACTCCTTTGTCATCATCCCTCTCACAGCCAAAGTAAAGATTGGACATTTCCCTCCTGAACCTTGGCATCACCTTCTTAAGGGGGCCCATTGCCTCAATTCATCTCTCATACAACATCCACATTAATTTCTCTGCTTAAAATTCTTGAAGAGTACCTGTCAACAAAAATTCAAGTAAACAATTTTTGACACACAGTAACTATGTACAAAATCTTTGTGAAACTGAACTGTTCTATGCCTTATAAATTATTTCGCCCTTTGTGATGGTTAATACTTAGTGTCAACTTGATTGGATTGAAGGACACAAAGTATTGATCCTGGGTGTGTCTGTGAAGGTGTTGTCAAAGGAGATTAACATTTGAGTCAGTGGACTGGGGAAGACAGACCCACCCTTAATCTGGGTGGGCACCACCTAATCAGCTGCCAGCAAATATAAAGCAGGCGGGAAGACGTGAAAAGGAGAGACTGGCCTAGCCTCCCAGCGTACGTCTTTCTCCCATGCTGAACACTTCCTGCCTTTGAACATCAGACTCCAAGTTCTTCAGTTTTGAGATGCGGACTGGCTCTCTTTGTTCCTCAAGCTTGCAGATGGCCTATTGTGGGAACTTGCAATCCTGTAAGTTAATACTTAATAAATTCCCAAATATATACATACATATATATATATGTATCCTATAAGTTCCATCCCTCTAGGAAACCCTGACTACTAATACACCCTGTAATCTAAATATGTTTTTGATAAATAGAGCATGTCCAGACACAGAATAAAACAATATGCCAAATAGTGGCACATAATTACTATTACAAATAAACCATAAGCTCTGTCCTGAAGCTCTGAGGATTGAGTCTTGGCGGAAATAAAGAGCAAGAATAACATCAGTTTTTTCAACCGGAGTCCCCAAAGTGTGTAAATTTGCAAGAAGCCACATTTATGACGTTTTGCTATCAGACTAGAAGTAGATACTACTTTTTAAAAAAGTTGAAATTTTCCAAAGCTTATTTTAAAGAGGCATACATTTCTTCTACAAGCTGTACATTTTATCAATTAAAATTTCAGCCAGGCACAGTGGCTCATGGCTGTAATCCTAGCACTTTTGGAGGCAGAGGTGAGATCATTGCTTGATCCCAGGAGTTCCAGACCAGCCTGGGCAACACGGTGAGAGCTTGTCTCTATAAAAAATGAGAAATAAAAATAAGCTGAGTATGGTGGTGTGTGCCTGAGGTCCCAGCTACTCATAAAGCTGAGATGGAAGGATCACTTCAGCCTGGGAGGTCAAGGGTTAAGTAAGCTGTGATTGTGCCACTGCACTCCAGCCTGGGTAACAGAGTGAGACCCTGTCTCAAAGGAAAAAGAAAAAAAAAATTATTTCTGTATACAAAATGTTATTAAATAAAGGAGTCTTCAATAAGTAATGTTCTAGAACATAAATGGTAATTTTTAAAGTATCACTAATATGTTGGCTGCCCAACTGCTTTCATACTAAATGCCTGTTCTCTATATAAACATTAGTAATAACAAAATCACAGAATTCATTAAATAATTCAAATCCACACTCATAAACTCATTTGAGATTCCTCCTTTCTGAGATACTCAGCTTCCCTTTCACTCTTTTATACTAAAGATTGAATTAGATGTTTACTGAAATTACCCCCTCTATTTGTTCCTGGGCTCATGATACCATTATTCAGACTCAAACTAATGCCTGCTTCTAGTGGTAATTTTTGAATTAAGTAGATGGTGTATCTTTTTAAAGTGGCATCTATATGATGAAACTGTATTGTCATTTTGCCATTCTGGTAATGCTGTCAATAATTGATGCACACATTTTGAAAGTATAAAGGATGGGTTATTAGAAAAATCAATTAAGCTATCCATTAAAGTAGTCAGCAAATTTGTCAGAGTTAAGATTGTCGTAATGAAATCTAAAGGTCATTCAACATACCATGTTCCTTGCATTCAGTACATTAATATCACCTTCAGAAATAATAATGTGGCCTATACTTCACATAAGGCCAGCTCATTCCTTTCATAGGGTAGAAATCATTTGAGGTTGTTTATTCAATGTGGCATTCTGGAAAACATTCCTTTTTTGAAAAATGCATAGCATGCATAATTCTGGATTCTTAATGAGGTTAGATATTCTTCTGGTAACACACTAACACATTGTAATGAAAATACCTTCAGAGAAATCCTGTGAACATTTGCCTTGTTGAATTAAACACATACATATATGTTTAAAGCATGTATATATGTATGTATACATTTTAAATAAATATTTTAAACATATATATCTATATATATATATGTACATAATTTAAGTATATGAGTTGTTAATATAGAAAAAAAGCCAACAGTCCCTGGGATATTTTTATGACATCTAAACTCTGCTCCACAATTTTTTTTATTATATAATTTTCCTGAAAGGAAAAAAAAGCAAGCACATTATATAATTAGAAAATCTTTATTGTAAGTACTTAGTAACTTGATACTCCATGGATTTTGTATATTACTACTTCTTTGCAAATTTCAAAACCTCAGTTTCAATTTCTACAACACTGCTGGACTTAACAGAGTAACATATTTTTACATTATGTCTAAAAACATAGTACCAATTGAATATATCTTTGCCAATAGAAGCACCTCTTAATCACTGTCCTAATGCAAGGATTTGAGGCATTTTTATAGCAATAACTTTCCTTTCAATGTAGTTGGGAGTCACAGCCCTGGAAGGAAAGTTGCCTTAAGGCTTTAGAATCTGCCCCAAAACACAGAAGGGGTTAATGCTAGAGCCAAGATGGGTCCCAGGTGCCCGTACTGACACTGTGATGCTTGTTACCAAAGGCTGTGTCAGTTCTCTTCAGTTCTATCTACTATAATTTTTCCAGTGTTCCCTTTTGGAAAAGGCTGAGGATCATATAATTAAAAGGCTGCATCTGTTCGCTACTGCTGGCACCTCCCCTCTTGTTAGGTTCGTGTGACAGGCTTGGTTGAATATTTATCTGTGACTAATAGAGACCTCTTTTCTCAACTCCAATTGACTCACTGTGTTTTGAGAAGGCAGTGATATTGACATTACAGTTACCACCCCTGAGACTGCTTCTCAAGCTGGAAATAAAAGTGTCGCTGTGCTGTTTGTCAGACACACCTGTGTAGAAAAAGTAATCAAATAAGCAAAGGCCTTTACTTGTTAGTTTATTCAGACTCATGTCACATTTTAATTTTATTTCTTACTCCCCTGATGAAGCAAAATGGAACCACTCTTACACCCATACACACTGTATGCTTCAATGTTTTCAAACCCTAGTTTATGGTTTTCTCCCTTGTATATACGCTCATAGTTTACTGGTCCTTCAGGACCCAAATTGAGTGGAATTGCAACCACAGTGCCTTCCCAGAGCTCATACCCCACAACTGCATACAGTATTTTCATTTCTGGAGTGCCACAGAATTTTATCTCTACTTGTTTTATAAAATTGACATCATATACCTTGCTCAAACCATTGCTCTTGTCATAACATAGATATCTATATATAGTTTTTCTTTTTTTTCTATCCCCTTTGTATTTTTCAATTATCTATTCTTCAAAATTATAAGTTAGATCATCATCACAACTGCCAACCTTTATTAAACTCACCCTGGGAGTATGACACAATACTAAGCACTTGATATGCATTATCTCATTTTATCCTTGTGGCTGCTCTGTAAGTACTTTTATTATTCTCATTCTTTAAAAAAAAGGTGGGGGGAATTGCGATGTGAAACATTTAAGTATCTTTCCCAAAAATGCTGTTATCCAACCATATAGTAAGAATCCAGAGCACAGTCTCTGAACCACTACATCATGTGCCTCTATCTTGTACAAAATAGGAATTAATATAGTTTCTGAATTACTTGATGAATTCCATAGACGCTAAACATATTTTAAATCATTTTTATTTATTTGGGTAAGTGTCCCAAGTGTCCAGGCTTTTTTTCAGGTAATTAGCAAAAAAGTGTTCACTGTAGCTAACATAGTACAGTGATTGTGAAGGGCTAAACACATTAGAATCTCAGGACACTAGTTAAATTGCAGATTCCCGAGTGGTTCCCAATACCTTTGGAATCAATTGCCTTGGGAATCTGGGTTTACAAGTTCTTCAGATGAAGTTTATGCCCTGCAAATTTTGTGAAACTGTGGGTAAAATAAAATGCAGAATGTTTTCATCTCTATATATTATGATAGATTCTGTGAGGAAGTTGACCTCTCCTAGTTGTAAGGCCAGTATTTATTATTTCAGGCTTTCTGGTTGCAGGCTATGAAGCTGCTGCTCTGATGTAAGAGACTGCTCCTTATACCTCTTGTCATTCAGTCTTGCAGGAACTGCAACAGATAGTATCATTAGGAGGAGTCTGGCCCCAGATTCTGTGCTCACAGGTAAAGTGAAAGGTCTAATAAAAACAGAATCTTCTGGTGGCCACCACATGCCCATTGCCTCCTCTGTAAGTTTGAGGCTTTATGCATTCAACTTCTGACCAATTTTGGTCAGAAGTTTCACTTTTTTCCCCCAATGACTTATTTTTGTTAACCTATAACTCTTTAATCAAGAGTCTTTTCTTCATTTAACTTTTCACTCTTTCAACAAACATCAGTATTTTCAAGACACTGGGATAGAATGGGGAATTAAAGGTGAATAAAATATGATTTCTGCCTGGGAGGAGATATAGAAGCAAAACGCAGGAACAATGATGATGCAATCTATTACAAGCCAAGAGAAGGAAAACTTTGCTTGGTAGGTGAAGTCAAGAAAGACTTGCAAAAGAAAAAAAAAAAAAAACGTGTGCCAAGAAGAAGAAATAGCATTTGCAAAGAGACAGAAGCATGATATAGTGTACTTAGTTTAAGGAAACTGCAAGTAGCAGTTAAGGTCAACCTTTCCTGAAGCAATTTAAAACACATCCTTCATGTTATTTACAATCGAAAGAAAATACACTTTCCTCCCCCTGTATAATGAACCTTATAAACCCTTTGCGTTCCTTTTTTTCTCACTTCTTTTTTTTTTTTTTTTTGAGATAGAGTCTTGCTGTTGTCACCCAGGCTGGAGTGCAGTGGCGTGATCTCGGCTCACTGCAACCTCCACTTCCCGGGTTCCAGAGATTTTCCTGCCTCAGCCTCCAAAGTAGCTGGGATTACAGGTGCCCGCCACCATGCCTGGCTAATTTTTTTGTATTTTTAGTAGAGCTGGGGTTTCACCATGTTGGCCAGGCTGGTCTTGAACTCCTGACCTCACGTTATTCATTCACCTCGGCCTCCCAAAGTGCTGGGATTACAGGTGTGAGCCGCCATGCCCAACCTTTCTCACTTCTTTTCAACATCACATCCCTCTTTGCATATTGTTCCTCAGAGTTTTCCTTTTCTCTCAAACTGGTTGGCTCAAGACCAAATACATTTTATAACGTATTTCATAAGGTTGGCAGAATGTAAAAAAGACTTCATGTATGCATTATGCTTATTAATTATACACCAACAGCCCTACATTATATTGCTGACTTGTATTTATTTGAAGTATTTATTAAGTAAAATGGAAGCCTGTTTGAAGGTTAAAAAAAATTATTCTGATTCTATATCAGGAAACTGAGGTGATTGAGATAATTTCTGAGACTGTTGCTAACTTTCAAGTTATAAGATTCTTGAATCTATTTAAGGGTCTACTTAGGATCCAAGACAATAGAACCAATTATATTGCAGATACCATGTGTATAGATAACAATATCCTCAAGTAATTTTAACATTTATGCCCATCTATATTTTTTACAAATCTTTTGCCAAAACCTTTCAGAATAAATTTTTATTTTATCTCTCATTCCCTCCTTTGCCACTATAGAACAGATATATTAATCCAAAGTAAAGTGCCAAGAAAATGATGGCAGATATGTACAGTTGCAGCAAAGCCAATAGGTTCTTTACGTATTGGACACTGACAATGAATAATCAATAGTAAGTTGCTTCCATGCTCCTTATTAGAGAGTCTTCCATATGATAAGACAAGGTGAGCATCAAAATCACCTGGGAAGCTAGTTCAAAATATAAATGACCAATCCCCCAGAGATCCCAATATGGTAAGTTTGGGGTAACATTTGAGCATCTGTGATTTTAACAAATTCTGCAGGTGATTATGGTGTACAGTAAATGAAAACCTAAGAGCCTTTCTGTTAGGCAAGTATAATGATCAGTAATAGCAGAGTCCCTGAGTTTTGGCTAATCAACACATGTGCAGGATTAGGTAAGAACAGAACTTTAATCCTCTCATTTTGCAGACTATGTTACCAGACTAAACCAATGAATTGCTTGGGTTTTGTTTTTGTTTTAACAAATTGTCACCTAATTCTTTAGTCCCATCATGATATTTAACTTTCTAACTTTGTTCCGTAGAGATCTACTATGACTTTGGAAAATTTTGTAATATAAGAGGCCTACTTCTTTTATTTATTTATTTATTTCTAGATTTGTAGTCCATATTTTCTAAATGGGCCTTTCCTCCTATAAGAAGTCAAATGAAGTAGGTGCCAGGTTTTTAACGTGTTTCGTTTGCTATAAAAAGAAAACACAGTGCTATATCTTCCTTGGGGATCGTATTGGATTTTCAAATGGCACTCAGCCATTGATTAGCTGTCTCAAAGATTTCAGCAGGGACAGAACCCTGAGTGAAAAGAGTCATCAGTAATGATAAGTCTGTTATGTTCAGCAAGAGGAGAATTGTGGTTTTCAATTTATATATTCCCATAATGTGTACTGAACATATGAGCAAAGGAGTGAATCAAATTGTACACACTCAGTGTGCTTGCTACCAGGCATGTGTAATCCTTCAGGGTATAGTATGGTAAAAATTTTAAATGGAATCCCGAAGCAATCCACATAAACAACTTACTGCTAATCTCCTTAAGAGTGGCAAAAGTTGATCCCATGGTGGTGTGCTTGAGTTTGGTTTCCAAGGTAATTTTTCATTAACCATTCCACTTTTGCAGAGATATTAATGACATGTTTTTAACAATTTAAAAGTCTGGAATTAAGAATAAAAATAACCTTTTAAGAACAAAAGCATGGTAACTAATGAACAAAGAATATTATGTTGAATAGAATTGCACGCTTTTTGCCTTTCCATATAAACTTTAGAGTCAAGTTTGTCAATATTGACAAAAATAGCTTGTTAGAATTTTGATTGGGATTACATTGAATCTATAGATTAAGTTGGAAAGAATTGACATCTTTACTATATTGAGCCTTCCAATTTTTCAGCACACAATACCTCTTTATTCATTTATGTCATCTTGAATTTCTTTCAGCCATGTTTAGCAATTTTCTTATCTAAATTTTGCACATACTTTGTTAGATTTACGTCTAAGTGTTTGATTTTCTGGTGCCATTGCAAATGGATATTTGTTAAATTTTAAGTTCCAGGTTTTCAATAAATTTTCATAGGAAATCAGTTGATTTTATATATGACCTCGTATCCTGCTATCCACCATAGTCACTTATTAGCTCCGGTAGGTTTTAAATATATATATTCTTCAATAGTAGTAGTTTCTACATAGATAATCATTGTGTCTGCAAATAAAAGCAGTTTTATTTTCTCCTATCCATGCTGTATACCTTTTGTTTCCTTTTCTTGTCTTGTTGCACTAGCTAGGAATTCTAGTATAGTGTAGAATAGGAGTGGTGAGAGAAGACATCCTCACTCATTTGTCTTTAATGTTATGAGTGGCATTTAGATTCAATTCTGACATTTTATGCTATAATTGATATGTGTATCACATACTATTTATAATATATTATGTGTAATAAAATCGTTTTTATTACTTCATTGGGATTTTCAGAAAGATCCTACTTTGTTCTAGTAATTTCTACCTGTTCTAGTGCCCTGCATTTCCCTTTTTCTTAATAACCCTTTACCATCTAGTCTGTCAGTTTTAAATGGTATGCACGGACACTCATATACAACAATTACGTTTTTCAAATTTCCCCTTCTTCCTCTCTTCTCCTCTCATTTTTATTGACTTCTTTCCACATTCTCAGAACATGTAACACTTATAAACTATTCTCTCACCCATCTCCCTATCCTTGTTTTAGTCTTTGATTTACAATTGAATATATTAAATAATCACAAGCAATCAATTCACCATGGTTTCCTCAGAATGCCTTGGTTGCTTGAACTCATCCTCTAGTAGATTTTTCATGAATGACCCATGTATACAATGTGCCTTGGGTTCTTGCAAAGCTAAAACTGTTTTTCTCCAGTCTTGATACTTTGACAGCTTGTCTGCATATAAAAACCTTGGTTAACTTTATCACTTGTTAAGTATTTGTAAATGCGGCTTCCCCAGTTGCTTTGTGTTGTATGTTGCTCGTAAGAAGACTGATTGACATAAAACTAATATTCTTCCCATTATGGGTAACTTGATTATTTTTGCTTAGAGAAACTGGTGATTATTTTCCTGAAAATGTAATTGTTTTTCTAGAATATTTCTCAGTCATTTGTTTTGGATTGTTTTCCCAGGTACAATTTAGGCCCTCTCAGAATACAGATTTAGGTTACCTTTTCTTTCCAGATAGTTTTCTTGGCTTTCACATTTAAATATTACTTCTGTTCTTTCTGTTTTTCTTTTCTATGAACTTTAATTATATAATACCATGGTCTGGATTTTATTTTTATTTTGTCCCAGTCTTCCATTTCATCTACTTTCTCCCTAACATTTTCCTCTTTCTTCAAAATCTCAAATGTACCCTCTTGGTTAATTTCCTGCCTTTCTTCAATCTCCCTTATTAAATTTTTATCTTAATATGTGCTCCCTTGGGCACTTCTAATTTCTTCTTCATTTTCTATTTTCTGGTTAATTTTGTCTTTAACGTCTTTTCTGAATTTGATTGACTCTCTTTGCATTGTTTCCTGTGTTTTGTTCTTTTCGCTATTTTTTAAAAATTTCTGATTCAATGCATTTTAAAAATATATAAATAAATATTTGTTGACAACTACTTAATTCAGTTGGGAGTGTTTGCTACAGTGTTCTGCTTCCTTATTGACTTTTTTGGAGAGAATACTCATCTCAGGATATATTTTATTTGAATTTTCTGTGTACTTTTTGCAGTACTTTTGTGTTGAATTGGTTTGATTTTTTTGCAATCCTTAGCCTTTTGTTGACAATGTTTCCTAGCTCAGGAATACTGCCCACTTATACCAGTATAATAAATGGATTTACAAAGTTAATGATGTTGCTGATGGTAGTGATGGTGGCAGGAAGAGGGGACAGATGGTTTGTCATGTTGTCTTTTGTTTCTGTGGGAGCCTTAACTTTCAATTATTCTTTTACTTCTTTCTTTTCACTTCTGCCCCTTGTCTATTTTTCACATTCTCCCTCCAGAAGAAATGCATTCCAAAGGCTAATACCTCCAGATCTGCTTACTTTTGACCCCCAGTGCAGCAGTTAATGCTCAGAATGACCAATTCCTTGACTTGTGCTTGGCATTTTGGTACTCTATCATAATTTCTCTTTCTGAAAGTGATTTTGTCTGTCTTTTATCTAAATATTCTCTTCCAGTCTTCATTTTCACAGAAGCTTTTATGTTTCCTCTTCCTTACTCTCGATATGTGCAGACTTTTACCAGTCATGAGAGCTTTGATAGAATTTGGTTTTTATTTTTCTGCTTACAAATAATTAGAAGCTCCTGGCATTCTCTGTCCCCTAGTAATGCCTAAAGCATGGCCAATAGTAATTTTATGTGTGTTCATGGTTGATACTGCAGTTTTTTAGTTTTTTATATGAACAGATTCAGATTCAGGTGGCTGCCACTATCTTCCATACATGGAAAATTGCTCAGGGGAAGTTTTAAGCAAGAAAATGACAGTTTCAGGACCCGAATAGAGTCTCTATTGTAGGATTAAAAGAGTGGAATTAAGAGATGGAGCAGTAATTGTTCAGGTTGGTGAAATAACTCACAATAAAAAAAGTAGCAGTATGCAGTGGCTCACGCCTATAATCCCAGCACCTTGGGAGGCCGAGGCAGGCGGATCATTTGAGCTCATGAGTTCGAGACCAGCCTGACCAACATGGTGAAACCCCGCCTCTATTAAAAAAAATACAAAAATTAGCCGGGCCTGGTGGCACATCCCTGTAGTCCCAACTACTCAGGAGGCTGACACAGGAGAATCACCTGAACCTGGGAGGCGGAGGTTGCAGTGAGCCGAGATTGTGCCATCGCACTCTAGCCTGGGCAACAAGAGTGAAACTCCGTCTCAAACAAAAAACAAAAAATCAAACAAAACAACAACAAAGAAAAAAATGTGTAGCAGTAGAACTTATAAAGTAAGGATAGATTCTAAACACACTAAAAGTAATAAAGACTAATCGTCAATTTCTTAAGTATGTTCAGTCTCTGTTTAAATGAACTCTTACTTAGGGACTACATTTTTTATTTATCAAGACCAAAATAATCAGCTCATGGATTAAGATAGCCTCCTGCCAGTGAGCAATAAAGATTGTATTTGTCATTGACCTTCAGGGAAATTCTAAAGGAAGAACTACTGAAAACGATTTGTAATCATAATATTACCATGTCTTTATTCACTATGCCAAATTTTACTTGATATTCTCATTTTGGCATGGATGTTTTGAATTTATATTTCATTAACTTAATTAATAGAATTATTTTAATTGCTGTTTATAATTTAATTATTATAGCATTTAAAGACAATGCTTGGTGGAGTTTTGCTACTGAAAAAGTGAACTAGTTTGGATTGAATAAGGATTTATATAAATTGCCACCAATATAGGCTGGGCACAGTGGCTCACGCCTGTATTCCCAGCACTTTGGTAGGCCAAGGCAGGTGGATCATGAGGTCAGGAGTTCGAGACCAGCCTGGCCAACATGGTGAAACCCCGTCTCTACTAAAAATACAAAAATTAGCCGGGTGTGGTGGCGGGCACCTCTAATCCCAGCTACTCAGGAGGCTGAGGCAGGAGAATTGCTTGAAACCAAAGAGTGGAGGTTGCAGTGAGCCAAGATCACACCACTGTACTCCAGCCTGGGCGAAAGAGCAAAACTCCATCTCAAAAAATAAAAAAAACAAAAAAATAAATTGCCAACAATATAAATCATTTAGAGAATTAAAATAACTTACTAGGGTTATTATGAGAATTATAAAATTAATAAGCATAAAATGCCTGCAGTCGTGTCTAGCACACTGTAACTACCCAATAAATATCAACTCTGGTTGAAACATAAGCTGCACTAACTTTTATTTTGTTTGCACAGCTCTTCTTTTAGATACAGCTAAGAGCAGAAATGGGGGAAAAAACAGTGCTTTGTAGGTCATTTCCATCTGACTGTGGTCAATAATACCAAAAATATCTCAACAAACCTCTCCATTGTTAGTATCTAAAGTCTAAAACAGATAAATTTCCTGAAACATTAATGCTTTTTAAAAAAAAAAAACAAGAATCATTATTAAAAATATGGATCATGACAAAAGAAGAATGTAAGTATTTAATATAAAAGACAAACTGGCAAATGCTTTGAAATCTGAGGTCTTTTGATAACAATATTTTACTCCTATTTCATAGTGGTATTTTTTTTAACCCAGTGCATTAATTGTTGATACCTTCTTTGTTCTAGTGTAATGTAACCATGAAGACAAAAGGGCTTTCTCAGGTGGATATTGAAATTCACAGTAGCACTTTCATGATTACTTAAATGTCTCCATTTGGATCTTTGCCATCATACCCTGTTGGGTTTTAATTATTGGTTAAAACCTCCTTTTTGGGAATACACAGTATACACACACACACACTTTTCCCAGGGAGGGTTACAATAAATAATCTGAATCTTGGGCTATCAGGTGTTTATTATGACTGACACGGTGATTCTGATGCTATCAGAAGAATATGATAAAGTAGGAAAAGAACATTAGATTCTCCTTCTTCTCTCTCTCTTGCTTCCTGACTACTTAACCAAAAGATAAATGACCTTAAATGTTACTTAAAAAGTATTCTGTAGAATAGAAACTAATACAATCAAAATAAATAAGTGGATACAACTGGACACTTTCAGCTCTGAGACCCTGCAGAAGCTGTTTAACATGAAAGCCGTTTGGGCCGAGTTTAACTTCAGTATCCTCCAATTAGAGAAATGTCTATCATATTACCTCCTACTGGAAAATTCCAGATTCTGTTACTTTTTACAAGTTCTGAGAGAAGATAATGGAAATAGTGGTAGAAATAAGAAATAAGGAGGAGAAAGATGAAGAAGGAAGATGGTGCTATGTGTGACAGTCTGGATTTGGACCCCAGTCTATATTCCTATGTACAAGAATAAGTTGCTGGCCACAGAAGGCAACATCCCACTCTTAACGTGAGTGTATTGTAAAACCCCCAAGGAAGCAGCGAGAACTAGGAATGTTATCTTTGGTACTGACACATAGACCTTCTAGTTTTGGGTAAGCTTGTCCTTACCAGTGAAGTAATAAAAAGAACATCACCTTTCACTTTCTATCTCCACGGAACCCCAAGAAATTTATCCATTAATATCCAAACCTGTTTTTCTTGCTGGCCAGGGAAAGTAGGGAACTGTATTAGGCAGAGACAAGCACAGCAGACTGCACATGGATACTAATTTTTATTAGTTGCAGCACTGGCAATGGTTCACACTTATGATGCTTTCTAACATCTATGAGAGCGCTATGCACCACAATGACTAGTGCAGAAAGGCAATAAATATTAAAAAGAAGTGAAAATTGTTTGCAATAACATCAGCTAAATGCTTTGTTGTTACTGTTTTGTAGGTCATGGGGTGCTAAATATGAATGAGCCCAGATCATCATCCTGTATAATATGCAAATTTTAAAAACCCTGCAATAGAAAACAAAAATGAATAGACCCTAATTTAAAGGCAAACAAATAATAAAAACATACAAAGGCATACTTGGTAAAACTTTGTTACAAGGTTACCATAAGAAATTATTGTTGCATTTTATATTCAATTTTTTTGAAACTTTGCATAAGAACTATTTTTATTTAGGGAGTTTTGAACTATAGAATATAGCCAGTTCCTTACAAGCAATGTAGTTCACATCACAAAGTCAATTTAAACCTTGAGTTTGGAGGTAGAGCACATAAGAACATTGCTGAATGTCCTCAATCACCACTTCCTTACACTTTGGGGAAAGAAAACCAGAAGAGGATGTGGGTGGGAACAGATGCTACTTAGAATTCCACTTGTGTTATTTCGAGATTTAAATCCTCTATAATCTGAATTTATGATTAATTTTCTATTCATGTGGTGTGATATTGTTGTATTCGAGAAACAGAAGTTTGGCCACAAATGTTCAGAGTAAATTATATATTCTTTTTTTAATATGGCATCAATTAAATGGCTTTTTCATTTGTTTGTTTTTGTATTTTTTTGAGACAGGGTCCTGTTCTGTCACCCAGGCTGGAGTGCAGTGGCAAGATCACAGCTCACTGCAACCTTGACCTCCTGGGCTCAAATGATCCTCCTGCCTCAGCTCCCAAGTAGCTAGGCCTACAGGCACACTCCATCACCCTGGCTAATTTTTTAATTATTTATTTATTTATTTATTTATTTATTTTTTGAGATGGAGTCTCGCTCTGTCACCCAGGCTGGAGTGCAGTGGTGCCATCTCGGCTCACTGCAAGCTCTGTCTCCTGGGTTCACGCCATTCTCCTGCCTCAGCCTCCCGAGTAGCTGGGACTACAGGCACCCACCACCACGCCCGGCTAATTTTTTGTATTTTTAGTAGAGATGGGGTTTCACCATGTTAGCCAGGATGGTCTCGATGTCCTGACCTCGTGATCCACCCTCCTCAGCCTCCCAAAGTGCTGGGATTACAGGTGTAAGCTACCACGCCCGGCCAAATTTTTTGTAGAGACGAGGTCTCGCTATGTTGCCCAGGCTGGTCTTGAACTTCTGAGCTCAAGCAACCCTCCCACCTTGGTCTGTAATGGCTTTCGATAAAATGCCCTGCTTTGTTAATCCTAACTTTTCTTCATTTAAGATGAAGATGGTTCTTGCTGTATTTCCTCACCATAATGTCATAAGAATTTAAAATGTATCTACTATACTCTTCAACTTTTGTGGAAACATTTTGTTTAAAGTCATAGTACTAAAAAATGAAAGGCAAAGGTCAAAGTTATCCTGACTAACATAAAAATAATCACTGAATTAATTAGAACACATAATCATGTGCCGCAAAAAGCCGTTTGCTTTTATTAGGATTATTATGAGGCCATACAGCTAACTAGGCTTTGGTCACTCATACAAACCAATAATTTTAAAAAAAGGTCAGTGAAGCTCAAATGTAGGAGGAGAAATCCCAACGTCCCTCTTTTTATAAAGGCAAAGAGGTAGTGTTCAGTATGTGCTCAGTATGCAGAAAATAAGAAAAGGGACAGACTTTAGCTAGAAAAAAATTTTTGATTATATTTTTCACATTTTATTTGAATAATAATAGCAAATATCAAATTAGTTCTTATTCATTTTTAATTAGATTTTACTTTTAGAGCAGTAGTAAGTTCACAGCAAAATTGAGTGAAAGGCACAGAGATTTCCCATATATCCCCTCATTATACATGCATAGCCTTCCTCATTATTAACATTCCCCTCCAGAGTGGTACATTTGTTGCAACTGATGAATCTACACTGACACATCATTATCTCGGAGAGTCCATAGTTCACATTAGCATTTACTTTTAGTGGTCATTCCATAGGTTTGAACAAATTTATAATGACACATATCCACAATTACAGTGTCATAAAGAGTAGTTCCACTGCCCCGAAAATCTTCTGTGCTCCACCTATTCATCATCCGGTGAACACTGATGATTTTACTGTCTCTGTAGTTTGCCTTTTCTAGAATGTCATACACTTATAATTATATAGTATGCCTTTTCACATTGGCTTCTTTCACTTAGTAATATGCATTTAAGGTTCCTTCATGTCTTTTTGTATGGCTTGATAGCTGATTTCTTTTCAGTGCTGAATAATATCCCATTATCCAGATGTACCCTAGTTTTTTTATCCACTCACTATTGAAAGACATCCTGTGGAAGCCATCATTCTCATCAAACTAACACAGGAACAGTAAACCAAACACCACATGTTCTCACTCATAAGTGGGAGCTGAACAATGAGAACACATGGACACAGAGAGGGGAACAACACACAATGGGGACTGTTGGGGGCTGGGGGGAAAGGGGAGGGAGAGCATTCGGACAAATACCTAACGGATGCAGGGCTTAAAACCTAGATGATGTGTTAATAGGTGCAGCAAACCGCCATGGTACATGTATGCCTATGTAACAAACTTGCACGTTCTGCACATGTATCCCAGAACTTAAAGTTAAAAAAAAAAAAAAAAGGAATGAAAGACATCCTGGTTACTTCTAAGTTTTGATATTTATAAATAAAGCTGCTATAAACATCCATATGCAGCTTTTTGTGTGGGCATAAGTTTTCAACTGCTTTGAGTCGATAACAAGGAGCATCATTATTAGATCATATAAGAGTATGTTTACTTTTTTAAGAAACTGACAAGCTGCCTTCCAAAGTGGCTGTACCATTTTGAATTCCCACCAGTAATGAATGAGAGTCCTTGTTGCTCCATATCTTTAGTGTACTTAGCGCTAAATTCAGCCATTATTAAGGTGTGTAGCGGTATCTCACTGTTTTAATTTGCATTTGCCTGATGACATATAATGTGGAGCATATTTTCATAGCCTTATTTGCTATCTGTATGTCTTTTTTAGTGAGATGACTGTGAAGATCTTCAGCTTATTTGTATATTGTATTGTTTGTGTTCCTAGTATTGAGTTTTAAGAGTTCAGGAGATTGACACCATCCTGGCCAACATGGTGAAACCCTGTCTCTACTCAAAATACAAAAATAAGCTGGGTGTGGTGGCACATGCCTGTAATCCCAGCTACTCAGGAGACTGAGGCAGGAGAATTGCTTGAACCAGGAAGTCCGAGGTTGCAGTGAGCCGAGATCGCACCACTGCACTCCAGCCTGGTGACAGAGTGAGACTCTGTCTCAAAAAAAAAAAAAAAAAAAGAGTCCCTTGTACGTTTTTAATAACAGCCCTTTATCAAATATGTCTTTTGCAAATATTCTCTTCAGTCTTTGGCTTGTCTTTTTATTCTCTTCAGTTATTTTTGCAGATCCAAAATTTTTAATGTCAATGAAGTCTAGCTTATTAATTTTTCTTCGTAGATCATGTTTTTGTCTGAAACATTGGGTTTAGTCATTGCTAAACCCAAGGTCATCTCGATTTTCTCCTATGTTATCTTTTAGGAGTTTTATAGTTTTGTGTTTTACATTTAGGTCTGTAATCCATTTTGAGACTTTTTTCTGTGAAATGTATAAGGTCTGTTTCTAAGTTTATTTTATTTTATTTTATGTTTTGCATATGATGTCCAGTTGTTTGGGCACCATTTGTTGAAAAGAGTAGTGTTTCCCTATTGTATTGCCTTTGCTTCCTTGTAAGAGATCAGTTGACTATATTTATGTGGGTCCATTTCTGGGTTCCCTAGTCTGTTTCTGTTCCATTGATCTATTTGTCTATTCTGTTGCCAATACTACACTATCTTTATAACTATAGCTTTATAGTAAGTCTTAAAGTCAGGTAGCATCAGTCTTCCAACTTTGTTCCTGCCCTCCTGGGTCTTTTGTTTCTCCATATAAACTTTTAAATCAGTTTTTCTATACTTTAAAAAATAATTTGCTGGGATTTTGTTGTGATTGTTTTGAGTCTATAGATCAAGTTAGGAAAAACTGATAATATTGAATCTTCCTATCCATGAACATGGAATATTTCTCCATTTATTTGGTTCTTTATTTCTTTTATTAAAGCTTTTTAGTTTTGCTTATATAGATCCTGTACATATTATGCCAGATTTATATAAGTATTATGTTTTGGTTAGACTTTTTAAACTAAAATTATATTGTGGGAAGTATAAGAGATAGGAGAGTATACAATATTAAATCTATCTATTAAATCTTGAATGAATTTAAGTTACTAACAAGATTCTTGAGAAATATATCCACTGTAAGGCAGAAATATTATAGATATATCATATGGGTAAAAGCCTGAGAAGAAAAAAGTCAGCTGAGTGGAACCACAGTTTGTTGACTACAAGCTAATAAATGGTCTGTTCATCGATGCCTATGGAAATAGAGGCACGCTTGGATTGTGAGACTCAAGAGGTTGCAGGTATACCTCAACAAGAGTATTAGATGTATGATATGCTATAATTAAACAAGACTCAGAAGGATTCAAAAATAACAATCAATTTGGAACAGGCGAAGTAAAAGAAAATAATTAGGGAACTTATAGATTTTAAGATTGGGGCAGGAAACACAAATGAGAGTTTCTAAAAAAAATTTGGAAACTCAATAGTTAAGTCTCTTGAGTGTTTCTGCATACACTAGACTTGGAGATACAGGCTCTTTATGCAGAAAAGCAAGATTATTTACCAGTGCAATCCTAATTTGACACATTTAATAAATATTTATCTTGCAGCTACTTTGTATCAGGGACAATGCCAGTCTCTGGGCACAAGATGAACACATTAAATTCAACTTTTTGGCCTTCCTTAGGTCTTCTTGCCTGGAATGCCCTTTCTTTTATATTCCCCTTTTCAATACAACAAAAAAATTGCATGATTATATAAGGTGTGAATTTCACTATACAGATTCTTGTTTCTAAAAACTATATTTTCTTCATCTAATTTCACTTAATTTTTATTTCAAGCACATATTCCAACAATCTGTGTGAAAATTTAATTCCGGAAGTACTTTTGAGCCCCACATCCATAGCCTGGAGTTGTGTGCCAATTCTTGGAGTTAACACAGATGAAAGGCATAAGGCAGTGGTTGAGATTGAGAATCTAGGTTTTGCCTAAAAGATCAGGTTACATCTGAATATGATAACTTAAAAATGAATATTAAACATGTTACAGTGAGAAACTTAATTTTATTCTAAGAGTGTTGATTTACAGCTCTTAACAGAGTAGAAAGAATTACTAAACTTAGCTACTTTGGTATATAAATAAGAATTCAGTCTACAGACCAAAATAGATTCAACCAGGGAGTTTTTGGTAGATTTTTCTGATGCTGGAAATGAGTGCTGTTTCATGTTTCAAGTACATTGTACCATATATATTTTGGAAATTTTATGTGCCACTGTGGTTCCATCACTTTTTGCATTTGCACAATTTCTGTTCCTTGACCTTAATATAATGCATTTATTAATAATCATGTGTCATGTTTATTTACATGTATATGTATATTAATTTATACATATGAATGCATATACCTAAATATAATTTATGTGATTATATATTACTATATGCACATGCATGTGTGTGTGTGCGTGTATGTGTGATCTTTTCCTAAGATGAATGAAAACGGTGCATTCTGCAAAGACAGAAGAGATTCAGCAGCATCAAAGGAACTTGAGCTCTATATTTAGCCAAGATTCATTTAATTTTCTCAAGATTACATATAAACTAAAGCACTCCAGATTTTGGATGAATGACAAACATATACTTTTTTAAAAATTACAACTGACAATATTTGCTTTTTAAAACTCTTTAATGCAAATACTACATATGTTCATACAGAGTGAAAAATATATTATTGTTGCTTTATATCTGACAATTTATTTTCTTGAACACTGAGATAAAATTGTTTTATCTAGAATCCTGAACCATAAAATTCCTCCCACACTATTTTTACAGTAATCATACAAAGACAAATTATTTAGTGAAAATTCTTCTTTGTTCTAATAGATTCTAAAGTACATTCAGAATTAGGGTATGTCTAAACCATGCTTAGTTTTAGCATATTTTACTGTTATTATAAACATCAAAAAATAAATTTATCTAACATCCGGCCTGATTAAAACACAATATTTACAAATGAGTATTAGAATGAAAATTTTGAAAAGGAAACAAAATGTGGCAATGATGAGATTTGGGAAGATTACTTGAACAATAATATGTAAAACGTCTTAGTGGCAACACTGGTGGCATCCCTGTTATTACAATAATGTAGAGTTCAAGGGCAAGGTAAAAATATATTAGAATCAGTTGATTGAAGTTGTACACAAAGCAAAGGAATTTGGTATCTAGAGGGCCCCCAAAAAAGAAGATTAATAACTTCTCATGTATATTTTATTTATATACATATACATGTATGTGTGTGTATGTATATATATGTATATATGACAAATTATTTGGTTAATTAAAACAGCCCCCATAAAACAACTATTTATTTGTTATTTAGTAGTGACCCATATTTCTTATATGAAGAATATTGATAACAATACTAAGCTAAAACAAAAAAATGTAAACTTAATGAAAGAAATAGTAGACCAATATTACTTATAAATATGAATATAAAGGTCCTAGATAAAATATTATAAATTGACTCCAACAGAATACTAACAGGTTGCATTGTAACCAAGTAGGATTTGTCCTAAGAATGCAAAAATAACTCAACATTAAGGAAACTTTAAGTAATTAAATTTATCTAAAGAGAAAACCAGCATAAAGAATTTTAGATATTTTTAAAAATATAATGAAATAGAAAAAAAGAAACCTTAACTTGATACTATGCTATCTAATAGAAAATTAGAGGACTCCATACAGTAAATGTAAAGTTCAGTGGTGAAAGCAAAATTGTTTACTGTCACTACTATATTCAATATATATGAGAGAGAGATCAAAACAAATTCCATAAGAAAACAAAAAGGGGCATTATTATTTGAACTGGGGTGGTAGAACTATAGGTAGTTTTTCTACCCTACAAAAGATAAAATTTGCTGCGACAAAGAAAGTAGTAAGAATGTTAGAAACTGGTAAGAGCTGCTGAGAAAGGACCCTATGCCTGCCCCTTGTGCTGAAGATGTGATCAATAGAACTACTCCAGATAAACTTAGAGACATGATAGTAGAAAAGGCCTATGTCCCATTTCATGCCTAGGGATCTGACAGGAGGCAAGTGTTCTCATGTTACCATGGCACAGGAGAGTAGAGTAAAAATGGCTACTTGGGGGTGCCTAGGCAAATGGAACTATTACAATCTCAGAAATTCCCATGGAACCCAGTGGAGAAATAGGAGCAAACATGTTCCCGTGTGGCGAGACTGGATTGATTGCAAATACCAATGAGAGCCAGTGGATCATCTCAGCAGATATTGTATGGAGAGGTAATAACCAAAAACAAGTATCCTCCTGCTGATGTCACGACTCTATGTAAGCCATTGGAACTTAAAGATGTCTCTGGATCAAGTGATAAATGTCTTTATCAATTGAGTCTGCCATGAATTTGAGTAGTCTAAACTATTTGTTTTTCTTAATAATGCATTTTTTCCTAGTCCCAAAATTTATATCTGCAAACTTTTATCCACAGATTTTATGAGGAAAAAGTAGCAATTCATTTGAATTCCTAGGCTATCTCAAAAACCTGGGCTGCACAGATGCTTATTTCTCACTGGGGAGTGTATTGCCTATTCCCCTTTACAATTTTTGTTTAAAAGAAGAAAACGCATTTTGTCATATAAGTCAGATAGTTGTATATCTTCCTTGAATTTCATGAAATAATTTGGATAACAAAATTTCACAAGTGTGATGTTTCAAATTACACTGGTAAGATTAATTTAATTATTTGCATTTGTATGCTGCAACAAGCTAACTGCTTCAGGCTAGTATAAAATCATCACCATTTCTAACATCATGACCATCAATATTTATAAAGCACAACCATCATGCTTTATCACATCACTATCATATTTCATAAAATATACAATGCCATCAATTGTAAGGTGCATCATCACTTTTTGTGTCACTAGAGGAAATGCTTCCAATCAGTGCTAAAATGTCCTATGCTAAAATGTCATAAGCTGTAAAATAGTAAAATACATCTGAATTTTAGGGATATTGAAATGCAAAAAAAGGGCATTTAAAAATCAATCTGATACAACTCCATAAATCCAAATATGCTTTCATAATTATTTCATAAATTGTAATTGTCCTGTGGGAAAAATTATTGAATGCACACACACACACACACACACACACACACACACACATACACAATTTAGGGCATTTATGAGATGATATGTAGTACTTTGGTCTAGTTACCTTTCCAGTTACCTGGTAAATAGATTATTCTGTATATCATGACACTGTAGGCCTCTATCGTTTTCCCACCCATTTTCTACTCATTTTTCTTCTATTAACAGCACCCTCGTTTTGCTTTGGAAGATCCAAGTTGGGGTCATTAGGTGCACTCAACTTGGAATTGAAAGGATGAATGACCAATGTCAAAAAGACCTACCATCATAACATCCAGAAGAGATTGACAGTTTCTTCGTCCCACATATTAACAGCTGCCTTCAACCTGTCATTTCTAAGCTCAATGATTCAATGATTTGTTTCTTTCTTACATTTTGTGAACTACCTTGTTCCCTTCCAAACAACTGCCTGCTTCACTTACTTGCAGCTAATGAACCCTGAATGAAACCTACCATGACAGCCAAATGATCTTTGATATAACATGATTCCATGGCCATTTAGACATTATAGCACTAGGGCAACCATTAAGATGAAAACAGCAAATCTAATTAACCTGGAAACTTGTAAACATGAATCTATCAATTTGCTTTAACTTTTAGTTAATTAATTGGTTAATTAAAATTTCAATTTTTATATTTTGGGTATTTTGTAGATAATTTTAGGCATCCTTAGCAGAAAGAAACATCAACTGCTAGCTTTCAAAAATGCAGGCTTTATCCCCAATCTACTGAATTAGTATCTGGATTTTTAAAAGGTCCCCATTTAAAAAAGAATAAAGCTTGAGAAGCATTGCTTTCATTTTTTCCTGAATTGAAAACCTGAAACAGAACTCTGTTAACACAAATAGAGGTCTTTCTCAAAGATATTATACCTATCACAGTGAGAGAAATCTGTGATTATTGTAAAGTGCACTTGGAAAACCTACAACTTTTTAAAGTGTCTAATAAGTATTCAATTAAAAATGTCTTGTCTGTACACATTTTTAATCATGAAATCCTCTTACTCTTAAACTCATGAATAATGTTATATATTATATATTATAAATTCAAAATATTTAGCATTTTTAATTTCTTTTTAAAATCAAACATGAATATTCATTCTCATGAAATCCCTCGATAAAAATAAATATAGCAAAAAGCTGTAAGTCCTCTGCACACTGCCTACCCCAATGGTTTCTCATCTCTCTTCAGAGTTAATTTATTATATGTCCTTTCAGGTATTTTTCTATTTATGTGTATGTGTATATGTACATTGTGTTTGTGTTTACATGTTGTTATGGACATAGATATATATAAACGAATTCTCTATACTTGGTCTTAACCAAAAGGCCGAGAAGTGATTAGACAGATGAATGTTTTAAATACCAGTTTATATATAGAGATAAGAATGAATATAGTTAGAATGTGTGAATCTATGAAATGGGTCATAAACTGTTCTCATGGAGAAAAAATGCTGTCTTTACATTTTTTATACTTGAACTCTGCATGGATGTCCATTTTTCCCAATAATGAAAACTTTCTAAGTTCTCGTTATCAATTGTGGGCATAGGCAAATTTCTTAACATTTGAACAAAGAACTGGGCACTCTTTCTTTTAAAAATAGGTTTTAAATGAAGTAAATGAAGATTAGAAATAATTATATATAACTTCTAGAAAACAAATTACTGTATATAAATATAACTGACAGTGTCAGCATATGATAGTTCAGTTATTTGTATTTCAATTGTTTTTTATTTGTACTTTCACAGTGAGGTACTACTGTAAGTAATATAGTTAATAAAGTGTATCTGAAAAAAGATTTTTTGAAAACTTAATATTTATAAAGGTTCTTTTATTTTTCTCCAGCAACTTATATCATACTTTCATATGAGGAGTCAATTAATAAGGATCTTTGCTTATTTCTTTAATTTCTGTCTAATTTCTATTTCTGGTTATTAATATTTTTCCATACCCTTCATTTATCTACTTTCCATTATACTAGCTTTGCAGTAAAAAATGTCTATAAACAAAGATCACAATATGTAATAATTTAATTGTGGGTCATTGGGTTCATCTTTTTATAAAATAATAAAATATACATATTTTTATTTTGTAATAGGCATAAATATCTTGTAACTTGATTAACATTAAAAATTTTAAGAAATTGCTTACTATGCTAGTCTTTTTATGAAAAATATATTGATTGTGGACTTTCATTTTGTATAAAATATTGGCAAGATCACAACACATGTATACACTTATGAGACCAAAGTATGTATTTATGAAACTAATTTGAACATTATTAGTAGCTGAAAAACAATTTGATAGAGATAAAATCTATAAAAATAGCCATCAGAATATTCAGTAAAATTTTGTCATATAAAAAGGGAGGCACAATAAAGGATAAAGTATTAAGTAAGTTAAAAGAGTAATGAAAATACATTAGCACTCTTAATGAAGAGGATATTATAGTTTACCTTTCCTTTTGCTGTATAATTACCATCTCTGAATTTGAAAGAGCCTACAGGTTTAAATAAAATTTTATTTCCTTCCTAAGATGATCATTTTAAATAAAAAGAATATTTTGGCTTCACCTTTATAAATAGTTCTTAATACTTACGAAGTTTTGAGGTGTTTTTAAAATTTTTTGCAAAGAAATCCTCACAAATAAAGTATAAGCAAGCAAACAAACAAAGAATACCTTCCAAACCAGATGGGTTTACCTAAATCCTAAGAGCTTTAATTAAGCCAAGACTCAAAGTATCAATTTGACTGAGATGTTTTGAATAACTGAATATGAAACAGTAATATTTTGTATGAAATCCTATAATATGAAAGATAGTTAAAAAAAGATAGAATATTCAATGAGTACAATGAAAAGTGACTTACAGTCACCTGTACAATTGTAACTTGAGAAGTGTGTGAGTGATGTGGTGTGTAGCATATACGGTTTAGTTGTGTTTGTAAGGGTGTAGTGTATAGAGTAAAAATCAATAGTATTGCAATTTTGTTATCACGTTCCATTTTGAATTAACAATAAGCAACAAATTAACATTTATACTTATTTGAATATAAGAGCACTATGTTACATGGTACACAGAGAAAGGAGCCTTGATTGGTTTTCATCTTAATGAGTTTTGACTCATGTACCCCTGTTTCTCATTATCCAGTAAGAGAATTCTAGGAACTCTTAAGGACAGGAGGGTGAACAAAAGCCAGTCAACAATCTAAAAGGAGGGTGGCAACTGTTTAACAGATTCACAAAATATCTCACAATTATAAAGGAGACAGCATCAGTACAGAATGATTCCATACTCAATGTGAATTGTGAAATGAACTGCTGTGCTTGAGAGCACTTCAAGGATTAAAAATATTCTGTCAATAAATAGGCACAAATGTTTAAGTGTTAAGCAAAAAAAAAATAGAATCCAAAGCAATTTTTTCAAGTATCATTCTGACATCTTTTAGGAGCCCTTTGCATAAGCACATTCAAATTTTTAAGTGGCCAATTTAAATTCTACACTGGCTATTTTTTCCCTCACAAACTATTAATTACATTAGACAGAGAAAATTACATTAAAATGGCCAAATAACTCTTTTAGCCAGGTAGGTAAATTCAGATACTTTATGTGTCTCCCTATTAATATAATTTTAAGTGTTATTTATTGATTTCCTATTGTGGGCCAGCCACTATTGTAAGTACTTAACAGGTATTATCTCATATGTTTTCATAATAATACTATAAGATAACTATAATTATTTTTAAAATGAGAGAAATAAAAGAATAATGAAAAAAATTAGATTACCCAAGGCCTCAGAGCTGTTAAGAAACACACCCAGAGTAGTAAGTCAAATCTGTTAATTTTAGAACTTAGACTGTTAATGATTATACCTCTGTCTAACAATATTTACTCAATTGCTGATAACTTAGGTATTTCAATAACACATTCCAAAATTTTATTATTTGTAGGAAATAAACCAAAGTTCTTCTCATGGCTTTTCAAATTACTTATTTGTTCTTGGAAAAAAAACCCATTTTTATTTTTTGAGACTACTAAAAGGAACAGTAAGATCTACTTTACATACTTTTCAGTGATTTTGTAAGAAATGAAAGAGTTAATGAGAGGTGAAACCATCTGGGCTTCTGGGTCAGATGCGGACTTAGAGAACTTTTCTGTCTAGCTAAAGGATTGTAAATGCACCAGTCAGTGCTCTGTGTCTAGCTAAAGGATTGTAAACGCACCAATCAGCACTCTGTAAAATGGACCAATCAGCGCTTTGTAAAATGGACCAATCAGCACTCTGTAAAATGGACGAATCAGCAGGACATGGGCAGTGCCAAATAAAGGAATAAAAGCTGGCCACCCGAGCCAGCAGTGGCAACCTGCTCAGGTCCACTTCCGCGCTGTGGAAGCTTTGTTCTTTCGCTCTTCACAATAAATCTTGCTGCTGCTCACTCTTTGGGTCCGCACTAACTTTATGAGCTGTAACACTCATTGCGAAGGTCTGTGGCTTCACTCCTGAAGTCAGCGAGACCACTAACCTACCAGGAGGAACAAACAACTCTGGACGTGCCACCTTTAAGAGCTCTAACACTCACTGCAAAGGTCTGCGGCTTCACTCCTGAAGTCAAGTGAGACCACAAACCCACTGGAAGGAAGAAACTCCAGGCACATCTGAACATCTGAAGGAACAAACTCTGGACACACCATCTTTAAGAACTGTAACAGTCACCACAAGGGTCTGCGGCTTCATTCTTGAAGTCAGCGAGACCAAGAACCCACCAGAAGGAACTAATTCAGGACACATTTTGGTGAGCATGAAGGAACTATTGACTATCGCCAAGCGGTGAGCACCATCAGACCCTTTTTGCTTGCTGTTCTGTCCTATTTTTCCTTAGAATTTGGGGGCTAAATACCAGGCACCTGTCAGCCAGTTAATAGCGACTAGCACGGCCGCTGGACTAAAGACACAAGTGTCAGGCTTTCTGGGAAAGGGCTCTCTAGTAACCCCCGACTCTTTGGAGTTGGGAGCATGGTTTGCCTGGAACAAGCTTCCGCTTTTCCTGTATTTCTGGGCTGAGCCAACCGTCAACAGAAAGGAAAGCCATTCAGCTCCGGGGTCCCGACAACAACTTGGTTGACCCTGCGGCCATGAGCGGAACTCTCAAAGTCATGTCGCCTAAGCAAGACTCGCCCATCTATTCTATATATCCTGACCCTTGCCTCCTGGGTCCTAATGCTTGTCCGACAAACCTCTTCTCGCCTCTCTTCTCTGAGGCTAGTCCCACTTCTAAAAACCACTCCCTGTCTCTGGTGCTTTTCTAGTTTCTCCTATAAGAATGATTTCTAGTATAAACTCCAGTACTCTGCTACCATCTTTAGGCACCCTGGCTCACAAATCAGAAAGGCATAATTTTTGCCCAAAGCCCTCTCGGGGCCGGGGAGTATCTTATCTGGAATTTAGGGATCCTTCCTCAGACTAGTAGGCTTAACAAAAGCTATTCTGGAAGCTAGGTTATGGGGAGCTTCATAAATGATATCCTTCCTATTCATGTAAATGAGGACAAAAGGCATCACTCTTCCAACTCTGGAGATCTCATCCCTCCCTCAGGGCATGGCCCTCCACTTCATTTTGGGGCATAACATCTTTATAGGACACAAGTAAAGTCCCAATACTAACAGGAGAATGCTGGAGAATGCTTAGGACTCTAACAGATTTTCGAGACTGCGTTGGTAAGGGCCACTAAGTCTGATTTTTCTTGGTCGTCTTTGTGGTCTAGGAGGACAGGCAAGGGTGCAGGTTTTCGAGAATGCATTGGTAAGGGCCACTAAATCCGACATTCCTTGGTCCTCCTTGTGGTCTTGGAGGACCACTAGTGTTTCTGCTACTGTGTCGGTGAGCACAACTATTCCGATCAGCAGGGTCCAGGGACTGTTGCGGGTTCTTGGGCAGGGGTTGTTTCTGCTGCTGCATTGGTGAGAGCAACTATTCCAATCAGCAGGGTCCAGGGACTGTTGTGGGTTCTTAGGCAGGGTGAGAAACAAACCAAGACCGTGGGCAGTTTTGTCTTTCAGATAGGAAACACTCAGGCATTAACAGGCTCACCCTTAAAATGCATCCTAAGCCATTAGGACCAATTTGACCTACAAACCCTGAAAAAGAGGCAGCTCATTTTTTTCTGCACTATGGCTTGGCCCCAATATTCTCTCTCTGTTGGGGAGAAATGGCCACCTGAAGGAAATATAAATTACAATACTATCCTGCAGCTTGACTTTTTCCTGTAAGACAGAAGGCAAATGGAGTGAAATACCTTATGTCCAAGTTTTCTTTTCGTTGAAGGAAAATACACAACTATGCAAACCTTGCAATTTACATCCCACAGGAGGACCTCTCAACTTACCCTATATCCTAGCCTCCCTATAGCTCCCCTTCCTATTAATGATAAGCCTCCTCTAATCTCCCCTGCCCAGAAGGAAATAAGCAAAGAAATCTCCAAAGGACCACAAAAACCCCGGGCTGTCAGTTATGTCCCCTTCAAGCTGCAGGGGGAGGGGAATTTGGCCCAACCTCGGTAAATGTCCCCTTCTCCCTCTCTGATTTAAAGCAGATCAAGGCAGACCTGGGGAAGTTTTCAGATGATCCTGATAGGTACATAGATATCCTACAGGGTCTAGGGCAAACATTCGCTCTCACTTGGAGAGATGTCATGCTATTGTTAGATCAAACCCTGGCCTTTAATGAAAAGAATGTGGCTTTAGCTGCAGCCCAAGAGTCTGGAGATACCTGGTATCTTAGTCAAGTAAATGACAGAATGACAGCCGAAGAAAGGGACAAATTCCCTACCAGTCAGCAAGCCATCTCCAGTATGGATCCCCACTGGGACCTCGACTCAGATGATGGGGACTGGAGTCGTAAACATCTGTTGACCTGTGTTCTAGAAGGACGAAGGAGGATTAGGAAAAAGCCCATGAATTATTCAATGATGTCCACCATAACTCAGGGAAAGGAAGAAAATCCTTCTGCCTTCCTCATGTGGCTACGGGAGGCCTTAAGAAAATATACTCCCCTGTCACCCGACTCACTAGAGGGCCAACTGATTCTAAAAGATAAGTTTATTATCCAATCAGCCACAGATATCAGGAGAAAGCTCCAAAAGCAAGCCGTGGGTCCTGAACAAAATCTGGAGGCGTTATTAAACCTGGCAACCTCGGTGTTCTATACTATGGACCAAGAGGAACAGGCTCAAAAGGAAAAGTGAGATCAGAGAAAGGCCACAGCCTTAGTCATGGCCCTCAGACAAACAAATGTTGGTGGTTCAGAGAGGACAGAAAATGGAGCAGGCCAATCACCTGGTAGGGCTTGTTATCAGTGTGGTTTATTAGGATACTTTAAAAAAGATTGTCCAATGAAAAACAAGCTGCCCCCTTGCCCATGTCCACTATACTGAAGCAATCACTGGAAGGCGCACTGCCCCAGAGGTCAAAGTTTCTCTGGGCCAGAAGCCCCCAACCAGATGATCCAACAACAGGACTGAGGGTGCCCGGGGCAAGTGCCAGCTCATGTCATCACCCTCACTGAGCCCCAGGTACATTTAACCATTGAGGGCCAGGAAATTGACTTCCTCCTGGACACTGGCAGTCTTCTCAGTGTTAATCTCCTGTCCTGGACGACTGTCCTCAAGATCTGTTACCATCCGAGGAATCCTGGTACAGCCTGTAACCAGGTGTTTCTCCCACCTCCTCAGTTGTAATTGAGAGACTTTGCTTTTTTCACATGCCTTTCTTGTTATGCCTGAAAGTCCCACACCCTTATTAGGGAGGGATATATTAGCCAAAGCTGGAACTATTATCTACATGAATATGGAGAACAAGTTACCCATTTGTTGTCCCCTGCTTGAGGAGTGACTCAACCCTGAAGTCTGGACATTGGAAGGAACAAACTCAAGCTCCAGCCTTAAGCCTTCACACAGGACAAAACTTTTCTTTATATGTCACAGAGAGCAGGAATAGCTCTTGGTGTCCTTACTCAGACTTGTAGGACAACCCCACAACCAGTGACATACCTAAGTAAGGAAATTGATGTAGTAGCAAAAGGCTGGCCTCACTGTTTACAGGTAGTTGCGGTGGTGGCTGTCTTAGTGTCAGAGACTATCAAAATAATACAAGGAAAGGATCTCAGTGTCTGGACTACTCATGATGTAAATGGCATACTAGATGCCAAAGGAAGTTTATGGCTATCAGACAACTGCCTACTTAGATACCAGGTGCTACTCCTTGAGGGACCAGTGCTTCAAATACACACGTGTGCGGGCCTCAACCCTGCCATTTTTCTCTCAGAGGATAGGGAACCAATCAGGCATAACTGCCAACAAATTATAGTCCAGACTTATGCCGCCCGAGAAGATCTCTTAGAAGTCCCCTTAGCTAATCCTGACCTTAATCTATATACCGATGGAAGTTCATTTGTGGAGAATGGGATACAAAGGGCAGGTTATGCCATAGTTAGTGATGTAACCGTACTTGAAAGTAAGCCTCTTCCCCCAGGGACCAGCACCCAGTTAGGAGAACTAGTGGCATTTACCCAAGCCTTAGAACTGGGAAAGGGAAAAAGAATAAATGTGTATACACATAGCAAGTATGCTTATCTAATCCTACATGCCCATGCTGCAATATGAAAAGAAAGGGAGTTCCTAACCTCTGGAGGAACCCCCATTAAATACCACAGGGAAACCATGGAGTTATTGCATGCAGTGCAAAAACCCAAGGAGGTGGCAGTCTTACACAGCCAAAGCCATCAAAAGGGGAAGGAGAGGGGAGAACAGCAGCATAAGCGGCTGGCAGAGGCAGGGAAAGACTAGCAGAAAGGAAAGAGAGAAAGAGACAGAAAGTCAGAGAGAGAGACAGAGAGAGGAAGAGCGAGACAAAGAGGGTGCCAGAGAGAGAAAGAGACAAAGTCAAAGAGACAGAGAGAGGAAGAGAGAGAGACAAAGAGGGAGTCAGAGAGAGAGAGAGAGACATAGAAAGTCAAAGAGAGGAAGAGACAGACAAAGAGGGAGTCAGAAAGACCGAGACAAAGAAGTCAAAGAGAAAGAGATATAGAAGTAGTAAAGAAAAAAGTGTACCCTGTTCCTTTAAAAGCCAGGGTAAATTTAAAACCTATAATTCATAATTGAAGGTCTTCTGTGTAACCATATAACACTCTAATACCACCTTGTTGTCAGTGTAAACAAGGGTGTAGCCTGAAAACACTGAGGCCACTGACAGCCCATAGCCTTCCTATCAAAAATCCTTATCCCAAAAGGTTTCCTAATAGGGGATCTAAATCTTAATTAATTACCGTACAAAGATCCGACCAGATCTAGGAGGAACTTCCTTCAGGACAGGACAATAGATGGTTCCTCCCAGGCGATTAAGGAAAAAAGACACAATGGGTATTCAGTAAATGATAAGGAAACTCTTGTAGAAGTAGAGTTAGGAAAATTGCCTAATAATTGATCTGCTCAAACCTGTGAGTTGTTTGCACTAGGCCAAACCTTAAAGTACTTACAGAATCAAGAAGGAGCCATCTATACCAATTCTAAGTTAATATGGATTGAACGAGGTTTTATTAATAGCAAAGAAAAATTAAAATCCCAAACTTACAAGGTTGTCAACTAAAGTTTCCTAAAAGTTAACAGTGTAACATGCATTATCCTACTACCACACACTCTCAAAGGATTTCTCAGACAGTTTGCAAGAAATAATGAAATCTATCCTTACCCTACAATCCCAAATAGACTCTTTGGCAGCAGTAACTCTCCAAAACTGCCGAAGCCTAGACCTCCTCACTGCTGAGAAAGGAGGACTCTGCAAGTTCTTAGGGTAAGAGTGTTGCTTTTACACTAACCAGTCAGGGATAGTACGAGATGCCGCCCAGCATTTACAAGAAAAGGCTTCTGAAATCAGACAATACCTTTCAAACTCTTATACCAACCTCTGGACTTCGGCAACATGGATTTTCCCCTTTCTAGGTCCCATGACAGCCATCTTGCTATTACTTGCCTTCGGGCCCTGTATTTTTAACCTCCTTGTCAAATTTGTTCCTCTAGAATTGAGGCCATCAAGCTACAGATGGTCTTACAAATGGAACCCCAAATGAGCTCAACTAACAACTTCTACCGAGGACCCCTGGACCAACTTGCTGACCCCTTCACTGGTCTACAGTGTTCTCCTCTGGAGGACACTACAACTACAGGTCCCCTTCTTTGCCCCTATCCAGCAGGAAGTAGCTACAGCAGTCATCACCCAATTCCCAACAGCAGTTGGGCTGTCCTGTTTAGAGTGGGGATTGAGAGGTGAAGCCAGCTGGGCTTCTGGGTCAGGTGGGGACTTGGAGAACTTTTGTGTCTAGCTAAAGGATTGTAAATGCACCAATCAACACTCTGTAAAAACACACCAATCAGCACTCTGTAAAATGGACCAATCAGCAGGACATGGGCAGGGCCAAATAAGGGAATAAAAGCTGGCCACCCGAGCCAGCAGCAGCAACCTGCTGGGGTCCCCTTCCACACTGGAAGCTTTGTTCTTTTGCTCTTCACAATAAATCTTGCTGCTGCTCACTCTTTGGGTCCGCACTACCTTTAGGAGCTATAACACTCATTGCAAAGGGTTGTGGCTTCACTCTTCAAGTCAGCAAGACCACGAACCCACTGGGAGGAACAATGTACCACCTTTAAGAGCTCTAACACTCACTGAGAAGGTCTGCAGCTTCACTCCTGAAGTCAAGTGAGACCACGAACCCACTGGAATGAAGAAACTCCAGACACGTCTGACCATCTGAAGGAACAAACTCTGGGCACACCATCTTTAAGAACTGTAACAGTCACCGCGAGGGTCTGCAGCTTCATTCTTGAAGTCAGCGAGACCAAGAACCCACCGGAAGGAACCAATTCTGGACATATTAATACATGTAAGAACATTTTAGATGTTGTAAAGTGTTATAAAAATTGTATTTAATTACCATATATTAAGTGCTCATATGGCACTGAAAATAGTTATTGGTTTAAGTTTTTTATGACTTAAGACCTTAATAGCAATAATGAAAAATCCCTGCCTGTTTGAAGAGACAATCTATAATAGTGCGAGGACAAGAGTGACTATTTTAAATACTAATCTGCCATGTGACTTCTGACTAACCACAAGTTGGGGAATGCCTCCAAAATGTCTAGTTAATGTGCTACTCTTTATGTAGGAATATTTATTCACTGTAAGTTCCCTCCAAAGCAACGTTGTTGTTCCAAAAATCATAAGTTGTGATGCCCATAGCCACCTACACATTCCTTCCAGAGCACATGTGCTTTTTCCCCTAGATTTAAGCCCTGGTCTGGGGGGTTGCAGTGCGGAGATCTACCAGTCTTGAAGCCCTCCAAGACCACGAGTCTGTCTGTAAGTTCCCTAGTAAATCACTCAAACCAACACACTGTATTTGTCTGCCTCCTTCTTTGCTTTCCAGCTCCTTCTGCACTTGGGGGTTACTTTACATATACAGCCCTTTCATGGAACAGATAGAGACAGATCATTATACTGACCACTAATCGCAGAAGTCTTCCTTGAAATCTGGAGGCTTTTCCAAAAGTCAGAGCAGATGAATGTATATGGCAATAAGTATAATGATGAGGAGTGTGGATTTACAAGGGCTTAGTCATTCCTGAGTATGGGTTAGGTCAGTTTTCTTATGGCACCTATTTCTGGCCTCATTATATATAGGTGTCGTGATAAATTATAATGACCTAAAAACTGATGTCATCACTTAGAATTTTCCATATATCCTATAAAGGCTCCAAGTGACATCCAGAGGCAGTTTTTATATCTCAAGTATCCCTTAGAGCAGGATTTGAAAACAATACCCAAGTGACATGCCAAGTGACATGCTCAAGTGACATGCAAAACAGACCAGCTACAGAGATTGCAGAAATACAAGCTTCAGCTCATTTTTGACATTAAAGAATGTAGACCTACTATTGCCAGGTTTTCTGATTTTAAGAAACAGCGGGAATTGGATCTTTGAGTAAACCACGCCCAATTTTGTTTTAAATGTTAGAAACTAACTCAAAGCAAGACAAGCTGGCTGAACAAAGTAATTCTATTTGTTGGATTCATTTTGTAGTCTCCTGATTCATTATCTCTAAATCAGACTTTTATAGTACATTCCTTATATCATTCTCTGCAAAGTAGTCTCATTACCATTTGATACTTATTATCATGTATTTCTTCTCATTGAAAGCAAACTTGAAGCACATTTTCAAGAAGGCATAGTTAAGCAGCTATTACGAGTTACTGTTGTCAAAGGAATCCCTTATTTCTGGTAGAAGTACCATTTTTATATTTGGGGATGAACTCGTGCTGTATTAGAGACTGTGTCTCCACTGCAGCCAGATTACATTGTATGGATATCACTAGAATTGTGCATGTCGAAGGAGTAGGTGCTTTGCTGGGAAGAACTTCAGTTAAATACAGGACCTAGAGATGCTCAAGCGTACTTGGCCATTGCGGTGGTAGACAGTGAAATGTGTTTTCACAAGTTTCTATAACAAAGCTGGGGACTCTGGCAATTGTGTAGACCAAATGTCTGTGCTCAGTGGGATCTTCTTGCTAAATCTGGAATGGCGCAGGACCAGCTTCTCTCTGAACTCCCTGGTGCAAGGTGGCCTCTCTTGCAATAGGACTAATACTGTATGCCTCTGTTGAAATGACTTGAGGAGGTGTGGAAAAGAAAATAAAGCATATACAATCCTGGACTCCATAGATATAAAACTGTGATGTAATATCTGTATTGGTATCAAGTGATAAAACAACATTAAACTTTTCCCCCCTTGGTTTTGGCTCTAAGATAGCAACTCTATCATTGACTTAGTTTTCAAACTATAGGTCACACACTCATTTTTTCACTCATGGGTCTTCATGAAAAGATTGAAACAAGTTCTAGTGGAATTTTGATTAATATCTCTGTGTGGAATTTCCCAGTAGGAGCTGGAAGAGGAGCAAAAAAGAAATCAGAAATACAGTACCTTGAACCCAAGGTCACCCCTATTAATTTTCTAATTTCCACCTTGGAAGGTCTGTGCAGATTTTACCATAATGCCCTTTGAAGCCCTTTGAAGAAGGCTTGATTCTGTTTTTGTTACAAAGATCTTACTGGAGTAGAAGTTTCAAAACACTAAGTCAGCAATCCCAAGATCTACAATGCTTTTTTTTTTTTTTTTTCTGAAGGTTAGGATACATTAATCAGTTTTGGCAAGAGACACTTTAAACATAGATGGACAATTCTGAGCTGGAAAACTATGAGCAAAGTCCCACTCTCAAGGGGAAGCTTAAACTGATTTGAAAGATGGCAAACCTATTTATTCAAACTGTTTACCCCTCAATACACAACTAGAGTCTAGTTGGAAAACCACAATTTCCTTTAAACAATTAGTAAAACTAAATGACCACCCAAACAGAGTGCCTAAAAGTAAATCATAATTTATCATCAGCAACTCATGGATTAGAAAAATCCTATTTCAACATAATTTTTCTGGCTTTTCAAATTACCTTACCAAGTTCAAAAACTTTCGTTTCCTGTTGATGCAGAGTTAGCAGAAGGCAGTAAAGCAATCTTGCCGTAATCCTTGTGTATGCCTTCGTATATCTGTGTTTAAACCGAGAACACATAGTTGTCAGATTTTAATTCCATTTTGGGAAAAAGACATTGGTGTCTTTAAGATAACTATCAAACTTTGAAAGTCAAATATACAAATTATTAATAAACCACTGCCACTATTTTTAATTTCTAAATTGAAAACTTAATATTTTTATCAGGTAAAATTTCCTTTCAAGGTGTCTTGGAAAAATAGGTATGGACCATTTTAAGTTCTATTTTTGTTAGTGTGTCAGCTCTGTTTATATTAATAACTCAAATCTATATTTTATCTCTTAACATAAGAACCAAGGGAGCATGAAACCTAGAATAAATTCTCCGAGGTACTTCTAGGTCACACCAGAATATCAATACTGTACTTCTTGGTTTGAATTCAGTATCTTATTTTTCTTACACAGTCTTAATAGAACCTTTAAAAAAATTATATAGTCAAAGAAAAATAGTTATATTTGTTCATATTATATAACCTATAAACAAATATATGAAAATACAATGATGTTTTCCAAAGTGTGTTTATGAAACACTAGTTCTATTATAAGATGCTATGAAGGAAATGAAATAAATGAAAGATAATTCATAATGCATAGTACTATATTAAAAGCTCTGAGAAGTTTTACAATGAATCAATCTTGTGCTTTCTTTACCAATTACTGCTGATTAAATGACAAATTATGTGACTGCTTTTTGAGTATGTATACAGTATGACATGGAATCAATGATTCATAATTGGGGAAAAACTTAAGTCCAAATAATTATTTACTTGATGGAAAAGATGCAGATAAAATAGTGTTTTCTAAACTTTTGAAATACAAGTAGAAGTTCAGAATCAACATTTAAAGTGTGTGTGTGTGTGTGTGTGTGTGGTGGGAAAGGGAGCTACTTTTTTAGCACTCATGCATTTGTTTGTATGAAAAAATCCCAAATATAGTTCATAAAGCAGGGAGAGAAGGAAGTAAGATTTTTTTTTCTTTGTAGGGAATTGAAATACTGAAAATAAGAGAGATGGGATTGAACAAGCAGAGTTTCAAGGAAAATTCATGTAGATAAATTATCCCTTCTGAGAGGTAAAAAGGTAAAGAAAACCAGTTTTAAAATTGTAAAATGATCACTTAATGTTTTTTTAATAAGTACAATAAGTATTTTTAACTACACTAACAATATACATTATATTTTTTGAGTGGGGAAAGGAGTAGGACAAAATGTAAGAAAAGGGAACTATATCAAGAGAGGTTAAAAGATACAAGTAGATATTTGAAAGACTAGTAAAGGAGAGGTGCTTGGGAAACAGTGAGACAAAAAGAGGAAGGGTTCTAAAGGCAGTGAGCAATTTCTATGGTTCTAAAATGTGTGTAAACTGCCTCGGTTACAGGCTGTTAAACAGTTGAGCAATTAACTTGGGAAAAAAACCTCCCATCAGATTTCTTTGAAATGGTAATTAGCCAGCCAAGCTTCCTCTGCAGATCTTCACTTGCCCTTTGTTCTTAATTTTCATAGAAAAATCTTTGAATGAGGCAGATACCAAAAGCTCAGTAGGGGAAAAGGTATTTTTGTTGTTTCCCAGGCAGCAGCTAGAGAACTCTGAAATCAAGTTAAGGATGAAAATCTTATTTTGAGAAAATTCAAGAATGAAAAATAAAATAAAAAGAAAAAAATATTGAAAAGTGGAAACAAAGGATGCCAGAATGAAAGTCTACTGAGAAATAGGAATCGGTTGCAGGAATGAATTTTGAGAAGAGGCTCTACCCCTCCTATTCATGTTTATTCATATTCTTCCCTGAGCGAAACTTTGGTTCCTGGCAAAGCATGTGATCTTAGGCAAATTTCCTAAATTCTTTGTACATCCATTTTCTCAACTTTTAGTTGAATGCTAATAGCCACCAAACGAGGCTGATCTTCTTAGTCTAAATTATGTTTGCTTTCTTCCGTGTCCCTATCAAGTCCTTTTCCCATTTGTCCTTGAATTAACACTTTATGCCATCCTCATGTAGTTCACATCTCACCTTTCCAAAATATAAAAATCATTTTCCTTTTCCTCTATCTTGTGTGTATACTGCATGAGCTAGGACTGCTTGCATACATGTCTTAATGATATTGGCTTGTCTCATTGCTGAAACTGCCTTTGCAAAAATTATAACAGTGAAAAAATTATGAAAGTAAAAGAGCTGGTCTAACTAACTTAATTCTGCCTTTATCCTCCAAACTGCCCTTGGTCATTCCTGGGCATTGGCCAAGCTAACTCTGGGAGAAATTTTCTTTATATTTTAAATGACAATAGCCCTTTATAAAAGCTAAACTGCCTTGGTAAAGCTAATGAGAGGCCACCAGGTAAGGAGGATGATAGGAACTGAATTCTCACTCTCTCTCTAAGATGTGGACATAATTAAATTATTACCAGCCATTATTCTAGAGGTCACAATATTTGCAGCTTACCCATTTCACTCTTGTAGGACCCAAGATTGACCTTTTAAGATATCCTTTCAGGCTTTTGCATTTCTGACAACCTGATGGCTCCACCGAGACCCTTGACTCTTGTCTCAACTGCTCCTGTGGTCCCCACTCAGAATTCAACTCAGCACATCAGCACCATTTTCCACACATCCATGATTGCATCCCCAACCAATCAGCAACACTCATTCCCTTAGGCCCCTGCCCTCCAAACTATCCTTGAAAAACCCTAACATCTGAATTTTGTGGGAGATCGATTTGAGTAATAACTTCATCTCCCATGTGGCGTGGCCAGACTTGCATCAGTTAAACTCTCTTTATTGCAATGCCATGGCTTCAGTGAATTGTTTGTGCAGTGGCCAGGAAGAACCCACTGGATGATTACAAATTTAAGGGTTTGTCTGGGATAGTCCTTGTGGCTACCTGCCTGCAGTTTGGCAGTCCTTCACTGGTGACAGATCCAGAGGCCAGCCCAAGCATCCCCCTAGTTCTCTTGGACTAAGGGCTGTCTTTGGCACGGTCTGTATAGGTGGGGCACTGTTGAACCATAGTGCATAGACTCAACTGCAATGAAGAAATAGTCCAGGAAGCATCTTGTAACTTGGTTTGGCCAGTATTCCCAGTACTGCCAAGACACCCTTTCTTATTCTGTTCTGTTGGCTTCTCTAGAGGTACTGTAACCCTGTCATAGGGACTGGCTGGTTCTGTATCTCTGTCATGGGGACTGTTAAGCTCTCCCTGGACTATAGAAAGAGTCTCAGTTTGGGGAGATTTCTCCCCAATTGAATGGAGAATAGGGAACCTGTTGAGAGGCTCTTCTATTTTAGAATCTGGTCTGGAATCTTGGTTTGCATCCTAATTTGGTTGATCCCATTTGGTAAGCCCTGAAGGAAGTTCAACAGGTCTAACTTAGGGTGACCATATACTCTTCCATTTTACCCAGAGAACACCTGTTGAAACTTCTGGTCAGAGGCCATGTCACTCCACTTTGAGTGGATCGAAGATGACAAGGGCCAATGGATCAAAATTTGAGCCTTACCAGGTAAATACTTGGACACTGAGTGGGGTAACTGGTGACTGTGTTTTGTCATATGTGTTTTGTTCTGGCCGAAATGAGAAATATTAATCAGTTCCCACATACAGCCTGTTGGGCTGCATCTTGCAAAATTGAGAGGCTTTTGCTCATGATTCCATGAAATAGGAAAGAATTTTTTTTTTTTGTAATACACCTGGGCCCCCACATCTATGGTACAGTGAACACAGTCACCAAAGCATTCACAGAAAGGAAACCCAGAAATCTGGCATGCTAGCTAAAGGGTAAGAATTTCTTACCATTCAGGGTTCTGGCCTCTCATTATCTGTGTAAACTGGATGAATGAATGCTAAAAGTCATTGTTTGTCTCCCCTACAAGGTTTTGATTAACAGGAAAACGGATTTGTGAGACTAGTCTTAGGCCATAGTGAATCTGGTGTATTTTGTGCTATAAATTTGTCTTTCTGTGTTGTTCTGTCATGAAGAGGGATACCACAGGATAAAATGCAGGCCTAGGACCCTATAAGCCCACTGCTCGAGTCAGTTACAAACTTTGCTGTGGGTCCCTGAAACAAAAAAACGAAACCAAATGAGATTTTCCTTTTATCTTGTTTTATGTCCTTGAAAACTTGAGTTTGTAATCATGAAGGGGTACTCTCCTTTGTCTCTGCCATCCAGAGGGCAGGAATTTTGAGGTTCATGTCATGGCTAGTCTTGAGAATTCTCTTGGGCACTTAAAAATCCTTTGTACACTAGAAAATGGCTGCCCTACACTCCTGGGAAGAGTAATGGTAAATGCCAATGGTATAGCTCAGTAGCTATACCTTTGCCCTGTTATAATGGCAGCCGGCATTCTATGTGCAGTTTAGGAAATGAGTCTGTATTAGTCTGTTTTCACATTCTGATAAAGACATACCCAAGACTGGGCAATTTACAAAAGAAAGAGGTTTATTGGACTTACATTTCCACATGGCTGGGGAGGTCTCACAATCATCATGAAAGGCAAGAAAGATCAAGTCACCTCTTACATGGATGGCAGAAGACAAACAAAAAGCTTGTGCAGGGGAACTCCCCCTTATAATACCATCAGATCTTCTGAGACCCACTCACCACCAGGAGGGAAAGACCTGGCCCCATGATCCAGTTACCTCCCACATGGTCCCTCCCACAATATGTGGGAATTCAAGATGAGATTTGGGTGGAGACACAGCCAAACCATATCAGAGTCCTTTCAGATTTAGTACTTATGAGAGTTTTGCCATTTATTCATTATATTTTCCCCCATGAACAGCTTTTGATTTCCTGTCCCAAATTTTCTTTTCTCTTAGCTACCTTTGGGGCAATTCTAAATCTTGTTAAAACCACTTGCCATCTCTTTGAAACTATCTTGTATACCTCTGGTTAAGTCATAACCTTAACTAAAGCTTAAAATTGTTTTCACCTTGGAGCTTATCTTTGGTAAAGTTAAAAACCAGAAATATCAGCTGTTTCTCCTAGCTAAACTCTGATAATAAAATAAAGGATTTTTCTGAGAGCTCTTTAGTTAAAAATAAAATTAATAAAGGCTGATATTTGAGCCATTTGTGTAAAGATACTGGTATAAAGGCCCCATTCTCTCTCTGTAAAAACTTCTTGGTCAACTGAATTCTGTTTTTTCAGTTTCCCTGTCTGTCCCTCCTTCCTCTTATATCTAATGTTTTTGAAATTTGGAGGGACCAAAAGTTATTTTACATTATGAGAAAATGTAATCTTCATGTATAATAGTTACATAAGAGATACACGTTTTAAAATTGCTAATAGCAATTGCTTACAGTGAGTGATTATTACTACAGGGTGATACTCCTTTTTTGTGCATTTAAATGAAAAAAACATGCTGTTAGACACCTAGAATGTACAGTATGAGGAATGGGCTGATTACAGAGTGGGCTAATTGGTGTTTGTTTGCCCCGCAGCCTTGGGGAAATGTCCTTACAATAAAATACACTATGGAAGCATTGCACTCTCTCGTTCCATGGAATTTGCCTCTTTTGAGGACACACGATTAGATGTATAAATGGGATCCTTGATTTTGGAGATCTGTTTTGCCTTCCAGCTGTGCCTGCTTATTAAGCCCTGGTAATTGCATGCTTTCCTGGCTCTGTTCCTTAAAAGGTTCCACCCTAAAGCCAATAATCCAATCAAGAAACAGGTCTTTAACAACATATCCATAGGTAACAATATATCCATATGTCTGCTTTTCCTGGCCATCTGAAGGGAACTTTTACTCATGTCATTTTAAAATAAAAAGTGAATTATCTATTTTGTTTCATTTAAGAATTATCTCTTTAAACATGCAAATTTGGAATTGCCTAGATGACTATTGTTTAAGGTGGGGAACAGGTAATAAAGAAACTGAAAGTCTAAAATGAGAAAGAGAAACTTAAAAACTGGCAAATGAAGAATCTTATCACCCTACCAGATCTGCTTCTGTCTATATTTATATGTGTTGTATGTGTGATATTTCACTACCAAAATATATGAAAGAGCTCTAATTAATTGGCTTAAAAATTATATGTGTGAGCAAGTTGGCTAAAATTAAATGTGTATTATTTAGTTTTTCCACAAATCGAACATTAAAATAAGAACACACTGATGCAGGGCCAGAATCTACACCTATCTTTCTGAATAACAGGGTTTTTAAGAGCATTAATTTGCTCTTTAACAGGAAATTGTAAAGGCTTATAAAAGGCTTCTGAAAATCTTACCTTATGTTCAAAGTGATTGAGATTGAATAGACTTGTTTATAAGACATTATTAAGAATTGCGTTTAACTAATGGTACCTAACGTGAAGGTAAAATTCAGCTTTCTCTTTTAAACAAGATGCTCATGTAATATTAAAAGATAGTAAAAGGTTTTTTTATTTGCTTTTCAAATACACTACAGGAGAAAGAAGAGACAGATTCAGTGGCCTCATGCTGTCTTTATTGGCTCTTGTTTTTTGGAAAGCTGAGTCTCCCCTGTGTCTACAAGTATTGCTTTTTTGCCTTTTAAAAACTTTAAATTATCATTTTGGACTTACAGTTACCTGGATTCTGTTTTGTGGTAAGTGTTTAAACCTTTGATATTTGACAAACTTTCTAAAATCAAATTCTTAATTCTTTTTTTGACCTCACTAATTTTTTAAGTATTAGGTCTCTTGGGGATCAAAGGAGACATATTCCGTTTATTTAGCATATTAATATTATGCAGGAAGCATTGTCAAATATAAAAATTATGTTTAACTTTCTTTGAGTTATATTCATATAAATGTTATCAGTATGTGTTCCAAAATTATATGATTCCTATAATTCTATCTCAGGATATGTTATCAGTAATAATTTTGATTACTATCTTAAATGATTATGTGCCACAGAGATTACAAGATTTCTTTTTTCATTGCATCTTTACCTGTGGATATCTCAAGACTTTGGTCATCCACAGTCAATTAGGTCTTATTTTGATCCTTTTCAAAAGGAGGTTTGTAATCAATTATAGGACTCTGGCAGGAACTCTTGAATGTAGGTATCTAATAACTTTGGAGATTGTGCCACTGAAATAGAGAGAGAAAAAAACACAACACCAGGACTTTTCTAGAAAACCAATGTATTCATAAGGACTGCTGGCCCAATATTGGGCAAAATAATGGTTAATTGCAGTGACTGAACTTTTTATGCATTTTTGCTTACACATTACTGATTGTTTTGTTTTTCAAAGTTAAGAAATCTTTTTTCTTTTTAGCTATTTATAACTTTTAATCATTGAGTAAAGTATTTGAGGAAAGTTTGGAGCATATTTATTTATCTCTATCTGATTTCTACAGAATTTGAAAATCATTTGTGAGTATTCTTAACTTATGGCAAGATATTTATTTGCAAAAGTAAAGTAAGAATCTATTTTCTTTTGTAACAGGACAGAATTGGAGGCATTAGTTATTTTACCAAGACTTTGACTGGAATGACATGTTTTCAGATATAAATAGATTGCTTTAAGGAATCAAAGTTGACTTACAGAGCCCTTGGGAACTTGGTCTTATACCTTGTCTATGCAGATCCTGTACAGAGTCCCTGACCTGTGCTAAGTAAAGAATGTCACCTACTGATAGGCCCAGGAACCCCAAGTTATCTTGGGACCTCCAGAGGAGAGGAATTTATCCAATTCATATAAGTATTGTTGGCACAAATAAACCCATGGCTGGGCTTGAGGCTTTAAAGAGTCTAATATAAAATTTCTTATGAAAAAAGTTCCAGCAAAGCCAATTAAAAAAAAAGAGCCTATGTGACAAATAATTATTCTTGCTTCATTTCATGCAAATAATCAGGCCAAGTATAATAAGACTATAACTTACTATGCAAATTTTTTTTTCTATTATGGTTTGTCTTTAGTAAAAGCATGGATTGGAGAGAGAAAAATTATGGTTGAAGAAAAAAATATCGTACACTTGTTATATTCTAGTCTTATCTGTTGTTTTTGAGTATTTATTATTTTCTGGAATTTGGACTGAATCTTCAATTCTTTCTGGGCTAGAAGTTCCCAAACTAATGCTTTCATTTTGCTGACTTGGACTAATGAAATTACTGTTACCTTTTTCCTGAGGCCCTGCAAAATGAAGCTCATTCCTTGTAATTCAGGTGAAAAAAAAAAGTGTCAGATTGCCACTGTCTTCCTCCTTTTTAACTAAAGATGCTTTGAGTCTAGCATCTGGAAAATGTATGCCCAACATTAACCATTGTTTTTCTTCTATTTCCATAGAAATGCATCTTATTAAAAATCTATTTGCCTCCATTGCATAGAAAGGCCCAGCCCATCTGCAATGCTACCTCCTGGAATGGGATAAAACTTTAATTGAACTGATCTATTCTCAGAACTAAAAACAGAATAAAAAATATGGGATGGAACATTTAAACTTACTATTTCCTGTTTATCTCAATTTGTCTTTCAAACAACCTCTAGCTCAAATCTTAATCTACTAATGATCCCAAGTCAGACTGGTTCTTGGGGCTATTCACCACGATCCCTCGGGGCTTCAGATCAATTCTACAAGGACATGTAGAACTAGGACTTTCACTCATTATATTAACACTGATTGTCTTATAGTCTGACTGTTAATCCTCAACCAGGCACCCATGAATGCACACAGACAGCTATGAAGCAGTTTCACTCCTCCTACCCTGGAGCCAACCCCTATCCCAAATATTCCCCTGTCAGCAAGAAGAAGTTAGAGCAGTGATTGGCCTTTTCCCATCTCCATAGCTCATACCTTAAAAATAATGTGTGGTGAACCCCAAAAGGGGAATTAAAATTGTCTTTGCAAAAGTTATAACAGTGAGAAAACTATGACAGTGAGAGATCTGATCTAACCAACTCCATCTTGCCTTTGACCTCCAAACTGCCCTTGGTCATTCCTGGACATGAGCCAATCTAACTATGAGAGAAATTAATAGTTTAAATGATCTTCCAAAGACTAATCTACCTTTGTAAAACTAAGGCTACCAGACTAGAAGGAGAAGGGCCTGAATTCTGCTAAGAAGAGTAGTTAAATGATCACCAGCCATTATTTCAGATGTCACAAGGTTTGCAACTTCCTTTATTATTCCTGCAAATAACTCACTTTTGTGGAACCTAAGATTGGTCTTTTGAGATATCTTTTCAGACTTTTGTATTTCTGGTGACCAGATGGCCCCACCTAGACCAGCAACTCCTCTGAAGGTCCCCATTCAGAAGTGGACACGGTGCACAAAGACCAATTTCCACACCCCTAGGACTACATTCTCAACCAGTCAGCAGTACCTATTTCTGTTGGGAAAAGCTGAGTGTTGGGAGAAGCTGAGGAAGGGCTTGTATGTCTGACATAATGTAAAAGAGCCTTGGAACACATCCAGGGTCCAGGGTCTAAAGCCCCTTGTGGCCTTTGGAACACCAAGCTCTGTGATAAAGGGTGGAAGGCTACCCTGACGCCCCATAATCTAAGCCCAGGACATAAAATACCTCGTGGCTTGGATAGAATCCAGGGCTCGTAGTTCTGGAATATGTCTAGGCTTGCTGGCTCCTTGCTCCTCCAGGATCGATTGTATCTTGAGTTAAAAGAACCTGCTCTCCATTATCTCAAGTAGCAGAACATGTTCTTTATAAATGTTAAACCATTACAGCTGTAGATCATGTGCCTGCCCTTTTGACCTCCACATTCTCACCACCTGTTTCTTTGTTGGATTACTAGTACAGCTGTAGATCATGTGCCTGCCCTTTTGACCTCCACATTCTCACCACCTGTTTCTTTGTTGGATTACCAATAAATAGCGTGGGCTCCCAGCGCTCCGGGCCTTCGCAGCCTCTACAATTGCGATGGCCCTCTGGTCCCAGCTTTCTCTGTCAAACTGTCTTTTTCTCAATCCTTTGACTCCGCCAGACCTCGCTACCCCCACGACCTGGTGTTGGGTCTGATCACCCCAGCACATTTCCTAGCCCCCTGTCTGCCAAACTATCCTTGAAAAAACGCTAGCCTCCAAAGTTCCAGGGAGGCTGATTTGAGTAATAATAAAATTCTGGTCATTAGTTTAGCTGGCTCTCCGTATATTAAACTATTTCTCTACTGAAATTTCTCTGTCTTGATAAATCAGCTCTATCTGGGCAATGGGCAAAAAGAACCCATTTACAAAAGTGTAAATCTCCTTTCTCCAATTACTGTATAAATGCTTCAAAGTTAGCTAGAATGTTTTCTGTTCCTTCAAATGAGCAGTAGATATAAGGAATAAAAATAACTGTGAGAAGATCTTTAACCCATTTTCTATCAAGGGTGATTGAAGATAAAATATAATGATTGCCTCTTTTTACTCAGTAGTACTCATTTAAGTTAATATGTATAGTTATATAATTCAAAAAGTGTTAAAGTTATGTTACACAAATCGTATGCGAGGTCATTCCTTGGGGCTGAACTCTTGCACTAGACCCAACAGACCAGACCAAATCAAAATGAAGATATTTATGCTAAATGCCACATAATCAAACTGAAGCTTTAAGGAAGCAGATAGATCCCCAAACAGACCAATTTCCTGTTTGCTGAAAACAGGAGATTCCAGTTTACCTGAGTCAGTATAATAAGGAAGTCTCCTCTGCTTTAACCTTTAAAAAAAAGTAATCTGAAGTCGCCTGATGTTAATCAGTCAGACATTTTTCAATTGTTCTGTTTTCTTGTTCCCACCTTACAAAACCCAAGGTTCTGTTATGGCCCAGAGGGAGCTCATATCCTATTCTGTAGAATGGAGGCTTCATGATTCATGAATCATGAATAAAAGCCAACTCAAGATGTAACTAAATTCCTTGTAATATTGTCATTTCTGGTGACAGAGACCCAAAGAACACTGCTGGTGACTCTCAAGACCCCATGAGAAATGCAGAAGAGGGCCCCTGTCTTTCTCATAGAGCCCTGAAGGCTGTAAGTCCCTCTCAGGACAGAATCTGCTCTTTTTGCACTGAATTCCCAGATCTTTTTGGCTTTCAAATCCAGGGTTAGTTTTTACTATGAGAGAGAGCATGACCTTAGGGTGAGTACCAAGGGTTAGTTTGTTCTGTGAGAGAGGTGAAAGCTTTGAGTTTGTGGTGGCTAATAAGTCACTGGCAAGAGCTGCAGTTTTCAAGGTAACTGACAGCAGTTGTAGTAAGAGGATATCACTGTGAGGGGTGCGAACTCTGGCTTTTACAATTTGCAGGAATTTGGGTTCTATCCTCTTTGCTTCTTTTTCTTGTTTAGGTAGGGGGAATCACTGGCTAAGTTGGTTAAAGAGAACTCAGAGCCAAAGTCGCAACTTGACTAGTGGACACAGTTCAGGACCTTAAAAGCTATTGGAGCAACCCACCACCAAGTGAGATTATTGTGAAAAGATAAACTGGACACTGAACAGGATAGCACCTGCCAGCATCAAGAAAATGTTCATGCAAGAAGGTGCACGGTGAAAGCATTATACAACCCACCTCTGTAGCATTTCCTTCTTGGGCTTTTTTCTGGGCCAAGATTCAACAGAGCCAAGATTCAACATAAAAATGGGATTTTTAATTTCTAGAGAATTGAGTACTCCACCTTCTGAGTATGCCTGCCTTTCACAATATGTATACATATTAGGCCTTGGAAGCTGCAAATACTTACAAAAATGGTAAAATCTTACTAAAGATAATTTAGAATTGTAATCACCAACATGTGATTACAATGTGGAACATACCAGATGAAGAACACTGTACTTTAAAAAGTGCATTTAAAAATGAGGGGTTCAAAATTGGGCCCATCCAGGGATGCCTGTTGATGTGCAGAAACTCCTACTAAGATTTCAAAAATTTGTACTGCGTCTTTTAAATGATGCTTTGCAAAAGAAAACTGAAAAGCTTAAGCAACTAATTGGTAGGACAAAAATTTGAATCTACCAACCTTTGCACTTAGTTGTTATGCCACCTAGAACGTAAAAAGTGTTTATCAAGTAGGTTTGCTTCTTTTTCGGTACTATCCATGCTGAGTCCAGGCATAGAAAACGCTTTGTCACTTCTATTTGTTAATGGGCTCCACCAAGAAATCACTAATCCAGTTAAGAAACGAGCTAAATTGAAGACCTACCTATCTAATTGAGTACATCTTTCTAAAATCTCATAGTGACGCTTATAATTTTTTTTTTTTTTTGAGACAGAGTCTCACTGTGTCACCCAGGCTGGCTTGCAGTGGCATAATCTTGGCTCACTGCAACCTCTGACTCCCAGGTTCTAGGTTCAAGCAAGTCTTCTGCCTCAGCCTCCCGAGTAGCTGGGACTACAGGTGCATCCCAGCACACCGGCTAATTTTTGTATTTTTAGTAGAGATGGGGTTTCACCATATTGGCCAGGCTGGCATTGAACTCCTGACCTCATGATCCCCTCGCCTCGACTTCCCAAAGTGCTGGGATTACAGGTGTGAGCCACTGCACCTGGCCTTAACTTTCATTTTGATCCTTTGTGTCTCACCAAACTGACATATCTGAACCTAAGTCTCCTTCCTGTGAGGGCTCTCCTAGAGGGTGACTATCCTGATAGGCCCGTCAGGGCAGGGCTAGAGTTTATAGCCACTTTCCAGACAGAAACCTCAAGACCAAACTAAAGGAAAATGTGTCATATATAATTTTAGCAGAAATTAGAAATTCTGTCCACACAGATGAGTTTAGGAGACATTCAGATTTAATATTTATTCTACAGCCTCTATAAAATTGACTCCTAATACTACGTAACATGTCCTAAACTCTTTCTTGAAAAATACATGCATTCTTTCTGCATGCCTGTTAGGTATAAATTTTTCAATTAAGAGTCATCCCTTTGGAAGTATAAATTTAAGATTCCCTGGCTAAGAATTCCTTAGGACAATGGTAGAGGTAATTGACTTATAGTCTGAAAAGGGGAAGGAAACTATTTGGAAACTGACAAATCAAATATCTCAATGAAAGCCATAAGACGTGTTTTTGTCTGTATGTATATGTATGTCTTTATATGTAAGTATGTTAGGTACACATGATATTTTTCTAACTCAGCTGATGCTGCCAAAATTTGTAAAGGACTCTATTCAACTGGCTTAGAAAAGAAAGTGCTTAAATAAATCAAGTATTCTCTCAAATAGAAACTAACTCAAATGACTTTTAGTTCATGTGATCTCTGGTAGTCTTTGGTAAATAAAGCTAGTTATAAGATTATTGATAAAACACAAACAGAAATGTCTTCAAATTTGTCAGCATTAATTCAAAGGCAAACATGCTTTTTTTTTAACCTAGAGTTATTAGTCAAACAAGCTTGCTATCTCCTAGATGTTTAAGCTTATAAAACTATAAATCCAACTTAAGAGCAGAATGCATGATGAAAATAAATTGCTTGGTTCATGTCAGTCATGGAAGTAAAAGGAAAAAACTATCTTTTTAGTTTCATTGACACTGTGATATTTTTGATACTTACCTGATTTGTCAAAAAATAACTTAAGATAATGGCCAACTATGTTTTCCATGAGCAATACCAACACAACTGTTAAGATCAAGTAAATTAGGTGAGTGTAAATAGAAGTTTCTAAGGAAACTTTTTGTGTATTTTAAAATTCTTTTTCAGTAACTATAAATCTTTAAGTTATATTATGGTGGATTATTTATTTACTTAGTTAATGAGACATGGTTTTACTCTTTTGCCCAAGCTGGAGTGCAGTGGTACAATCACAGCTCACTGCAGCCTCGAATTCTTGGGCTCAAGCAATCCTCACACCTCAGTTTCCAACTAGCTAGGACTACAGGCAGTAGCCACCACACCTTGTTAATTTGTGTGTGTAAGTGTGGAGCATTAATTCCAAAATGAGACTGATACAAAACTACAATTTGATCCTCTCTGTTAAAACAACAAGGTTTTCTTGGATTCTTGATCTGCTCTTACTAGGAAGTAGGTAATTAGCATAGGAAATTTTAGGCAATTCTCCTAGAAAACAGGGATTCTATGTTTTATCAAGATGATTCCCTGTGCTTCATGTTGTTTTTCAGTAGGTCTTTGATCACTTAAGAAAATAGGGTCCTCTCTGTTAAAGAGGTAAAGTTTTATTTACAACTGAGTAACTGTTTATATTTGCCTTTTAAAGTCTTGTTTTATTATTTCCTTTTTTAGAGACAAGGTCTCTCTCTGTCACCCAGGTTGGAGTACAGTGATGTGAATTCAGTTCACTGTAGCCTTCACCTCCTGTGCTCAAAAAATCCTCCTGCTTCAGCCTCCCGAATAGCTGGGACAACAGGGATGTACCATCACCCATGACTAATTTAAAAAAAAATTTTCATAGAGACAAGGTCTCACCATGTGACCCAGGCTGGTCTCAAACTCCTGGGCTCAAGTGATCTTCCTCCCTTGGCTTCCCAAAGTGCAAGATTACAAATATGAGCCACCATGCCTGACCTTGTAATTGTTAGTCTGGTTAAATTAATATTTCACAGTGAACTGTGATCCTATTTGATTAAGGGTTTTAAATGTTTGATATTTTTTACAAACTTCCAAAAATCAAATTCCAAATAGTCTTTTTGATCTTGAGTTAACTTTGGAATTTTTAGGTCGGGCCCCTGGAAAGTTTTGGATAATGTGTTTCTTACCTTGTACGAGAGAAATATTAAAATAATTCCGCTTTCTTAATTGTTAAATTATATGGGAACCATTGTCAAATAAGTAATGCTAAACCTTCTTTAAGTTATGAGTATGTTATAGGTATGTGTTTTTAAAATTGTATGGAGGCCGGGCGCGGTGGCTTACGCCTATAATCCCAGCACTTTGGGAGGCCGAGGCGGGTGGATCACAAGGTCAGGAGATCAAGACCAGCCTGGCCAACATGGTGAAACCCCGTCTCTACTAAAAATACAAAAAATTAGCCAGGTGTGGTGGCGCATGCCTGTAGTCCCAGCTACTCGGGAGGCTGAGGCAGGAGAACTGCTTGAACCCAGGAGGTGGAGGTTGCAGTGAGCCGAGATTGCGCCACTGCACTCCAGCCTGGGTGACAGAGCGAGACTCCATCTCAAAAAAAAAATAAAAAATAAAAAATAAAATAAAATTGTATGGAGATTTCCAGAAAGCTGTTACGTCATAATTTTCTTTGTTAAAATGCCATACGCCACAAAAATAATAAAATTTCCTTCTAAATTGCTGGTTATAATTAAATCTCATTTCATTTTAACCGTGAACATTGTCTTTGTCCTCCACAGTTATCACTGAGTCTTCTCTAAAAACATTTGCAATAAGCTAGAGTTCAAACTTATATCTTTTTCAAGGAGATTTATGGTAAAAACTTTGACAAGTATTTTGGAATACAGATTTCTTACAGCTTTAAGATCATTCCATTGGACTGAGTAAGAATTTCTAGAACTCTAGTGAAGAGATAGCTTCATGAAACTAACCTATATGAAGCAAAACAAAAATTTATTGCATGGAACCAGATGATCTGAAAAGGGTAATTATTTTATGGCTTTTTATGTGAACTTTTTTTGTTCTTTAACTGTTTTATTTTCCAAATGTAAAAGGGTTTTTTTTTTGTTTTTTTTTGTTTTGTTTTGTTTTGTTTCCTGTAAGCTATCTATAGCTTTCAGCAATTGGGTAAAGTACACTTTTGTGAACAAAAATGCAAGCATTTATTTCTTTCTCCCTACCTGATCCCCTCTAAAATTCAGAAACTACTCATGAGTATTCTTATGTTTTTATGGTAACATAGTTACTTGCCTTGCTTGATAAGAATCTACTATCTTTGGCCGGGCGCAGTGGCTCACGCCTGTAATCCCAGCACTTTGGGAGGTCGAGGCAGGCGAATCACAAGGTCAGGAGATCGAGACCATCCTGGCTAACACGGTGCAACTCTGTCTCTACTAAAAATACAAAAAACAAATTAGCCGGGCGTGGTGGCAGGCGCCTGTAGTCCCAGCTACTCGGGAGGCTGAGGCAGGAGAATGGCGTGAACCCGGGAGGCTGAGCTTGCAGTGAGCCGAGATCGTGCCACTGCACTCCAGCCTGGGCGACAGAGCAAGACTCATCTCAAAACAACAACAACAACAACAAAATCTATCTTTTTATAATAGCATAGAATTGGAAATACTGGTTATGCTATCAAGACATTGACTGGAATGCCATGTTTGTGTATGTCCTATATGTATCTATAGCTACAGCAGGTAAAGTCTGAAGTCGGCCTTGCTTTGACATCTTTGCTTTAAGGGGATTTTAAAAGTCTAATCTGATATTCCTTATCAAAAGTTCCAGCAAAATGTACTTTAAAAGAGCCTATGTGGTCAATTGCTATTCTTACCGCATTTATGTAAATAACCAGGCCAAGTCTGATGAGGCTAAACTTTGCAAACAAATTCGTCTTACTTTGATTATCTTTGGTAGAAATGGGGGTAATTGTAGAGAAAACAATTGTACTTCAGAAGAAAAACGGTAACTCCATTATTCAACTGTAACCCTGTTCATTGTTTTTGGGTTTTTGAAATCTACCTACAGACTGGACTGAATCCTGAAGTCTTTTAGTTTCCTCCAAACTAATGTTGTGCCATGGAATTGCTAACCAGCACTTCTCTGTTCCAGAAGCTCCATGAGCTAGAGCTTGAAAATTCAATGTAAATTTCAAGAGAATATTCTCATGCCAGATGTGTGGGCCACTCAGAGACTTCACAAATGCCCAGTGCCATGACCAGAGACATTGAAACTGAAAACCAGGATAAGAAGTTGATGACTTCACTCTGTGGACAGCTCTATGAGAACAAGACTCCACATCATAATGAGACTCTTAGTCCCTTAATTCTTTCTGGCTTATGCCTACCTCTTTCGCTTGGCAAGATGATGCTATAATTAAAATTTCACAATCAATGGCTTCTGTGAGAAACTTGATGGAGTGTTGGATCATTCATATCAAACCCAAATCTTTTATGACCTAAGGGATCCTCCAGTTCACCTGGTGGCTAATGTTAGCAACAGCTTTAAAGCAACTGCTTCAAATTATATGAATGATCTCTTTATATAGCATTAGACTTCTAGACCCACATGTTCTCACTGCCTGTTTCAATTTAATCCAGCCTTGGGATGCTTGATAATAGATTTGCTACATACTAGCTGAATAGAAAGGAGTCTTGCAGTTGCTAATATTTCTTGTTGCACGTGGATGAATACGTCAAGTACTGTAGTGACTCAGCTGCAAAAATTAACAAACAAGCTACTTGGTTAAAGCAGGTAGAATCCTAATCTGGCTTTTTCTTTAGTCTATTTAATTTTAGTTGATTTGGTTCCTGAGCACTCTGGCTGAGAAGCACACTTCAAACTCTTGGTATTATACTCCTTATAGTCATAATACTTTGTAGAATAGAGGCTGCATGATTCATGAATTATGAATAAAAGTCAATTAGATCTATAACTAAATTTGTTGTAATTTTGTCTCTTGACAGTCGAAACAACTTTGGCAGAATTCAACAAAAAGCCATTATTTGTTTTTTTTACTTCTTTTTAATAAATCTGAAATATGAAGGCAAGATCTTAGATCCTAAAGGGTATTGTCTGAAAACACTACTGAGATCTTTTTTCAGAGTGTATGCCTTCAGGTAGGGCTTTAAAAATAGTTATTGTTGTACTCAACCAATTTCACAGAATTTCCAGTTTTCGTTGCTTCCCTAGTTTAATGTCAGCACAAGTAATCACTGCCTTTTTAAAACTTGCCTTCTTGCACCTAAGAACAAAATACAAGTAAGAAAAAATAAATCAATAGTAAGAAGGTTTACTTTTCATGTTAGTTATGTAGACCTACTTCTTCATTATTTTTTATAAAGGCAGAGGTTTAAAAAAATTGCCAGAAGTGTTCACATGATTGCTTTGTGGTGGAATAACTATTACAATCTATTTTATAATCATAAGAATCTTGAAAGTACATGCAACTCTGGAATACATTCAAAAGTTGTGACATCATGAGGTCTAATTGAGTAGATGTGAATTATCACATTTAATTTCTCCTCTCAGTCTTTTTATTTTCTCTCTTCTCATGAGATATGAGTTAGACAAAAACATTAGACCAGGTGCAAGGCTTCCATCCCATGTGATTATATATTGTGTAATGCCATGTTCTCCTTCTTTCAGTAGATGTAGAAAGCACTAGTGATAATAAAGTCACAATTTTCTTTTCATAGTCAACCAACCCAATTTTTGAGCAATTCCTCTGTCCTATTTACTTTTCTTTTTTTTTTCTGAGAGGCAGTCTCGCTGTTTCACCCAAACTGGAGTGCAGTGGCATGATCACAGCTCACTGCAACCTCCACCTCCCTGGTTCGAGGGATTCTCCTGCCTCAGCCTCCCAAGTAGCTGGGAGTACAGGTGCACCCCACCACACCTGACTAATTTTTGTATTTTTAGTGGAGATGGGTTTTCACCATGTTGGCCAGGCTGGTCTTGAATTCCTGACCTCAAGTGATCTGCCCGCCTCAGCCTCTCAAATTTCTGGGATTACGGGCATGAGCCACTGCTCCTGGCCCTGTCTTATTCACTTTTAAATTTATGTTGATTCTGGAGAGCCTTCCCTTTTTTGTGTTTAAGTTGTGATTAAAAATATTTTAGGCATATATATATATACATATAGCATATATGTAAATGCACATACATGTACTTAATGGTGAAAGAGTGAGAGAGCTATGTTATCTTGCTTGGACAAGTTTTTCACTGGGATTCCATGGTAAAGCTGATATTGTTCCAGGTCCTTTTCATTCCTAGATCTGATAGGTTTCAAAGCAGTAATCAGTTGTCCCCAAATCTCAAGCGGTGGCCAGCAGCACAGTCTTGGCAGCTCTTTTCTCCCCCATGCTGTTCATGATTTCCTAGTGCTTGTCAAAGATGACCTATTCAAAACTGCAATTTAGTTTTATTTTCCGTTAACAAAGCAGGAAAACTCACTGATTTTCTGCCCATTGATTCTACTTTCTTATATCACATCTTCTTTGCTTTTGCAGTCATGACAAAATACACTTGCTTCTGATATGTTAAATTTTTAATCCAAGAGTCTAATGCACTAGGATTCCCTAGAACATATTTTGTCCCTGTTATGTGCAAATATTCTCATCTGTCAGTGTGAAAATATAACCCATTACCATCACATATGCTTTTGTCGTGCCTCCTTAACCATAATATTTGTTCAAGAATATTTGGAAGTAATTTAGGATCAGAAATAGTAAAAGAATTACTAGCAGGAAAACACAGCTTAGAGTCTTTACAAAATTACAATAGGGTTTTCAAATTCTTAAAATTGAAAAAGTATAGTATTCAGATTTATTGTTGGTGGTGGTGGTGTGTGTGGATTTTCTTTTAATTGACTTAAAAGAAATTTATGAAAAATTCTTAATGTATTCTTTAAAATATCTCAAACAATAGTATCTTCTAAAGAAGTTCAAAGCAAATGATATATAAGAAGAGTAACCTTGACATAATCTAATCAGTTTATAATTATTGATAAGTATTAGATCTAACCTAACATTGGAGTTCATTACATTTGAGAAATTATTTATCATGTGTAATTTTATGATATTCTCTTGTCACTGTATGATATATACTTTTTCATTCAATTAGTCATCCCATCTTTTTTCAATGCCATCTCAATATATTTTCATTTCAAAATTCTCACATTTTCTTTTGTTTATATTTGAAGGGATTTTTCTTATTGATGATGCCATTGATCACCAATAAAGTATATTCAAATAACCAATTGGAAATAATACTAGTATGGAATATTCAGTCATTAAAGATTAAAATCAGCTCAGGGAATATCTGACAAGGAAATTGTAATGGTCTTGCAATGCTATTTCAAAATATTAACCTGGTAAAAATTCAGCTATGTTTTACTAACATATCCTCAAGTTGCTGCTTAAAAGAAACTTATATAAGGTATCACATTCTTAGTAGATGGTAACAATTTTGTCATTTTCAAGCAAGGGAAACAACTTTCTTTTCTTATAGTCTTGAAATTTAAAACACTTGTTTCTGAGCAAAATGAAACTAATATATTTCCACTAGTGCTAAAAAAGTTTCATATCAACCTAAAGGCATCTTCCAAAAGTGAGAGGTCTCTTACTATATGAATCAGCAGTATAATATTAGGTCATTAATTTTAATGACAAAACCCACAATTACTTTTGCACCGACCTAATATTATAATATCCATTATTTATAACAAGGATATAAATATTACCTCCATCTTATTTATAGATGTTGAAACTGAGGCCCAGAGAGAACAACTTAGTTGTAGGTGATGGAAGCATAATGAGCCATAATAACAGGGAAATGTGAGACAACTGGCCTTTGAAAAACATGAGAAGATAGTTTCAAGTAGGTTTCTTAGAGAACTTAGTCAATATATAGACCGTAACATAACAAGGAGAGCAAAATCAAATAGATCTACACTTATAGCACATTTTAATAATATTAACCAAGAAAAGAAAGAAATTTTATGAGATATATATGCATTATATCTAAAATTATATTCTGAATTGCCTATTTCTTTGCTCTTTTCTTTCCTTTAAAGTATAACATGCTTTTTGCTATGAAATAAATAATATATACTATCTATACATAGTCAAATTTATTAGATAAGAAATATTGCCAGGAATATATTGTTAAAGTATTAGACTACAATAAGTTGCTTCCAATCCATTTTAAGAGGACCTACCACTAAAAATTCCAATTCAGTTTTCAGAGTGGGCCATAGGCAGTTAGAATCAGTAAGTCAATTGTTTGACTATCCGTCAATAGTTGTGAACTATTGACTATTGAATAGTCAAACTGTCCATCAGTAGTTGTGAACTAGTCAATCAATGCATTCCTCAGGTGTTCTGATATGATGGTTTAGCAGTCACTTCTCTAGATAATTTATTTTTAATTTGCTCCCTTGCTGAATTCTAATTTGATTTTTAAGCTTTTAGAGGTAGTTTGAGTTTTTTGTATTGTTTTATTAAGATAGATTACTAACTAATTATAATCAAATTTGTTTACCTTAACTAGGTTGATCATCATACTATTAAGACCTAGGTTGTACTTTGAACGCTATTCTGTAAGCATATACTCTCTTCCAATTTTCCACCTCCAGCCTCATAAAATAATTTGTTTATAACATAAAAAGCAAGCTAAGGAGTTTGTAAAGACCAGATCAAATCCAATGGTTACTGATGAAGTAGTACCTTAGAGAATATACTTAATTGGGGACTTATCATTCCTATTTTCTGAACACTACTTGCTTACTATGTCAACAACTCACATATTTATTTTCTTAATAATCTCTTTAAATGGATTTACTTTCTAAACTCAAATACATAAATGCTTGCACTATTATAAAAAGAAAATGGTAAAATTGTCATAAGTAAAAGACAACTTTTAAATGTATGCAATAACACAGAAATAATGCTTTTAAATCTATAGGTAGTTATTGCTGTCTACTACATAAGGCTTTAAGTTGGGGTTTACTTTCTTGTTAAAGAAAAAAGGTTTGCAAGTAATGTGATATGGTTTGGCTGTGTCCCCACCCAAATATCAACTGGAATTGTATCTCTCAGAATTCCCACATGTTGTGGGAGGGACCAAGGGAGAGGTCATTGAATCATGTGGGCTAGTCTTTCCCAATTCTATTCTCGTGATAGTGAATAAGTCTCACGAGATCTGATGGGTTTATCAGAGGTTTCCACCTTCGCTTCTTTCTTATTTTTCTCTTGCTGCTGCCACGTAAGAAGTGCCTTTCATCTCCCGACATGATTCTGAGTCCTCCCCAGACATGTGGAACTGTAAGTCCAATTAAACCTCTTTTTGTTCCCAATTTTGGGTATGTCTTTATCAGCAGCATGAAAACAGACTAATACATAATGACAAGTATGAAATATATACTAACACAAAACGAATATGCTTAATTTGGGGCTTATCATTCCTATTTTCTGAACACTACATTTTAAATCTTACTATGTCAACAACTCATGTATATTATTATTTATACCTCATACCAAAATATACCTCAAATAATTCATAGTAGTGATCAGACTTGAATTTTTTTGGCATATTAAAATTCCTCAGAATCTGGATTAAATAAGGTAGTAAAATTACATTCATTAAATAGGAAAATAAGTTCAGACATATTGCTAATTGCTCATAAAGATGAAAATTCAGAGTACCAGTGATGAATTTAAGATTATAATCCACATTTTTAATGTTTACCTTCATTAGTCTTTTGGGTCACATTGGGAAAAAAATAACCAATTTCTGGCCACAAGGATGAATTATAAAACCTGAAAATTTTTTGGTTAAAAACAAAAATTCCTAATAAAATAATACAAGCATCCTTTAAAATCACTAGTTGAACTTTTGAAATATAAAAATATATATATCCTAATAGAATGTGAAAAAGGAAAAGAATCTGAAAGAGTTAGGAAAACTAAAACTGAAGCAGTAACTGCCCTCATAATAGAAAGAAAACAGGCCCAGGCCATACAATACGATGAAATGGAATGAGATTTTGCATGATACTGAGAACCTCCATGGGTTACTTCATCATTAGAGGATGTACTAGAAAAAATATTCCCAGTGGCATTAAAGATGACAAGAGAATCTGTCTGTCTTCGCATAGATTACAGGCAGAAGAAAAATTCTGCCCCCTGAGAATTCATAGCCAGTGGTTTCTTCACATAGTTTTATACCTGAATTTATACTACTTGTGAGTCCCAGGACACCAAGTGGTTTTAGGTATCTGGCAGTATCAAAGACAGATCATGTTTAGAAGGACGTACCTCAATTCAGTCTTCTTTTTTTTTTTTTTTTTTTTTTTTTTTTTTTTTTTTTGAGATGGAGTCTTGCCTTTTCGCCCAGGCTGAAGTGGTGCAGTGGCTCCATCTCGGCTCACTGCAACCTCCGCCTCCCAGGTTCAAACGATTCTCCTGCCTCAGCTTTCCGAGTAGCTGGGATTACAGGCACCTGCCACCACGCCCAGCTAATTTTTTTTTTTTTTTTTTTTTTTTTTTTAAGAGACGGAGTCTCCTTCTGTCGCCCAGGCTGGAGTGCAGTGACGCGATCTCGGCTCACTGCAAGCTCCGCTTCCCGGGTTTACGCCATTCTCCTGCCTCAGCCTCCCTAGTAGCTGGGACTACAGACGCCCGCCACCACGCCCGGCTAATTTTGAGACGGAGTTTCACCAAGTTAGCCAGGATGGTCTCTATCTCCCGACCTCCTGATCCGCCCGCCTCGGCCTCCCAAAGTGCTGGGATTACAGCCGTGAGACACCGCGCCCGGCACGCCCAGCTAATTTTTGTATTTTTAGTAGAGACCGAGTTTCGCCATGTTGGCCAGGCTGATCTCAAACTCCTAACCTCAGGTGATCCACCCACCTCGGCCTCCCCAAGTGCTAGGATGACAGGCGTGAGCCATTGTGCCTGGCCCCTCAGTTCACTCTTAGTTCAAAAAAGGATAATTGAATATAAGCTCATAATCCCGAATAATCCAACACAAAAACCAGTCACTGGAGTCAGAGTCAGCAGAAATCATCTACAGAATTAGCTCTACAAATATTTCCAATTATAGAAAGATGGAGACCATAAGTAACGTGTTTAAAATTGAATGGGACTTAAGCTAGCAATGAGTGAGAGACTTTTAAAAAGGAGATAGCTATTAAAAACAAATCAAGTAAACAAAAACACAAATATAATAGGCAAACAATAACTAAAATTGGATGACACAAACATCAGGTATAAATGCACTGAAGATAATTAGTACACTAAATTATTAAATGGAAGTCTAGGGAATCAAAAGAATAGAAAACATGAAGCTTTAAGTGATAAAAATTAGAACATTGAATGCATCTCACCTGCAGAATTCTAGAAGGACAAAATAGAATACTTGAAAGAAAACACTAGAAGAAATAATAGCTGAACATTTTCGATAACTAAAGACATGGACTTTTAGATTCAGGATTCTCAGCAAAATCCAAGTAGGAAAAAAAAATGCACTGTACATGTCATGGTGACATTGTATCACTTCAAAGACAGAATATCTTAAAAGTTATCAAAGAGAAAAGACAGATAGCCTGCAATTAGCATTTAGACTTACAACTTCTCAACTATAGAAGCCAGATGGTAGTAGAACAACCTCTTCACTCTGCTAAAAGAAAATAACTGTTAACATAGGTCTGTAAACACAAAATAAAATAAAGGTAAACATAAGGACATAGTTAAGGATATTACTTTTAGTGGCAAAACCACAATTACTTTTGCCCCCACCTAACAAAATTAGAGTTTACCTTCAATAGAACCACATTAAAGAAACTTCTAAAACATATACTTCAAGAAAAAAGAAAAAATATTTGAGAATGAAATTTGAGATGCCAGACAGAAAAGTATGCAAAAATTTTGCAAACATGTAGGTAAATCTACATTAACATTGACTCAATAAAAATAATAGTGATTTGTGGTGACAAAAAATAGAAAAAAATAAATATCAGAGAAATGTACCATATTAAAACAGAAGGTAATTTTCAGGTTAAATAATTCAATGTTCCTTGTATTGTTGAGTGAGTCAGGTAGAAATAATAATTAAACTTAGTTCAATATACCTGCTAAAACCCTAAGGATAACCGCAAAAAGAATAGAAGGAATATGTAATTTCATCAGAGATGACTGGAAAGAGAAAGCATAATGGAAATGAGCTCACCCAAACTCTGAACACTAGGAGATCTATGATTGCTAAGTTTTATAACAAAGATTTCTTTTATTCACACCTTTTGTGTTGGCTTGGTGAGATCAGCATTTTGACTCTGTACTGCGTCAAATAATCTGCTCTTGTCTTTATTGGCTGCAGCTGATCGGCCCCAGAGCTTTCCCTGTTGGCCATTTCAACAACCACCAGAATAAAAATTATTCCGGCTTTGAAACTTACTGGTTTTCAGAATTCCACAGCATATTTTAAGTAGTACAACTTCACTACTTGCAGAGTATAGCTGTAGACAATAGGATAGAGGGTGTTTAGCTACTCTGGATTCTCTTGGTGTGATAAGTTCAAATTATGAAAAATAGAATGAGATATTTGCATGATACTGAGAACCTCCATGGGTTACTTCCTCATTAGAGAATATACTAGAAAAAATATTTCCAGTGGCAATTAAAGACGACAAGGGAATTTGTCTGTCTTCACATAGATTATAGGCAGAAGAAAAATTCTGCAAATTATTTTTGATTTAACCATTTGGCCCCTTGCTGTGATTTGTGGTTAACTGGAGTTATGGTGCCAATGAGCACCATCTACCCATTTCCTCTTATTTTCACCAAAGAGCAGTGATAGTGAATATCCCAAATATTCTTATCTCAAAGTTATTAATCTGTGACTTCAGGGTTTGTCCTTTAGACTAAGGAAGACATGGAAAAATGGAGTGTGAGAACCTGGCTTCTTTCTTCCTAAAACGTAAGAAATAGGCTCAAATCAAATACATTTCAACATGCAGTGACAATACAATTTTTCACGGAATTTGGTAAATCCTTTTCATCATCCCACCCTAAAAAAGTCTAAATGTAATTCATATTTCCTCAGTGTGTAGCTCAATTTGGCAAACTGTTTTCAAGGAGTAAGATTGGTAGAGTGTGGCTCAGGAGAGTCTGCCACTTACATGGACTGAATTATGATTAGAGTCTGGTAGGACTTTTTATAGATTATCAAAACTACATTGTTGTTGCACCATTTGAGATGATGAATAGACAGAAATCAAGATCAGAGCACTGTGAGTGTAAACGTACGTTTAAAAAGAATCTATTAAAGGAAATGTTGACCTTTGGTGCCAACGGAAATAACACCAACTGAACAATGCTCATTTACAAGCTGCTATGTAAATATTTGAAAAAGCAGGAGAAATAATCATCCCAATAATTCACGAGGGTCTTATCTCTGAATGGCTCTTTCTTTTTAGCCATTAGCTTTTCCTAACCGCCTTGCTACAGAGAAAGGCAAACCATAAATGCTGAAAGGGCACAAAAAGGGACAAGCTAAAAATAAAGTTTCTTGAAACACTTAAAAGCACGTGATAGGCAGAATTTCAAGCTAGATATAATATTGAATGAATTAGGTTCTCATGGAAAAAGTCTTCTTAAAGAAATATATGTTACAATGGTCGGGCGCAGTGGCTCACGCCTGTAATCCCAGCACTTTGGGAGGCCGAGGCGGGTGGATCACGAGGTCAAAAAATCGAGACCATCCTGGCCAACATGGTGAAACCCCGTCTCTACTAAAAATACAAAAAATTAGCCGGGCGTGGTAGCGGGCGCCTGTAGTCCCAGCTACTCAGGAGGCTGAGGCAGGAGAATGGCGTGAACCCGGGAGGCGGAGCTTGCAGTGAGCCAAGATCGCGCCACTGCACTCCAGCCTGGGCGACAGAGCGAGATTCCGTCTCAAAAAAAAAAAAAAAAAAAAAAGTGACAATTTCACATGCAGCTAATGAGAGAATGAGAGAGACCGCGGAGAAGGAATATTGCCCTTTGGCAGGCAGCCAGCCATCACTGTACCAGCTGAAAGTGATGCAGCAATAACTAATGAGGCCAACTATTGGGCAGAACTGTTTATCCCTACGTTAGAGGGGTGTGGGGCATAAGCCTGAGAAAAATACAGGGAAAATAGTTACTTTGGGCTTATTTTATAGTTAATTAAGTTAAAATGTAAAAATATATACATATATTAATGCTTGAATTCTGTCTTGCTGGCTGCCTGAATACAAATATAGAGCTCTGCTCTGAGTTTCCTATAATATACAAGAAGAGCATGTTGTTTACACCCATACACAGAAAAATACGGGTTTTAACGTCCAAATATTTTCAAAGTCAATGTGTTCAGTATATAACAAGGTAAGCTCTTAGTTATTTTAAGTCATTTATTGAGTATTTTTAAAAGGTTGTTTTTTGCTTTTGGGTCTTTTTTGGCAATTATAGATCTGGAGTGAGATTGATTCATGTATAAGTTTGCATATATGATATCAAAAAATGATACTTACCTAGTTACTAGAGAAATAAAAACTCCTCTGCAGTATGAAATGGTTCAGCATGAAGTGTGAGAGTACATGAGCACTATGTACATAAGGTGTAAGGAGACAGAGCCTCATTTCAGAAGCCAGAAAACAATCTATGATACAGAGGTATCAGAGGTGAGAGAGGGATCTGTCAGAGCCACGTCTGAGTTGGGGGATCTTTTGTGCAGGAGCCCAGTCCCAAGTTGAGTCTAAGAGACTGTCTTTGCTAGTTAGTTACCCCTGTTCTTTTGCAGTCCCTAAGCTATGTCTCCAATTACCCACATTGAGAACTTTCCTTATTTTTTCTAGCAGAAGAAGCTCAGAAACCACAAAGTCAAGCACTTACATAGGTATCGTTTCAAGCCACATTTTCATTTGTTGTTCTATGTCTTTAACTAATGAGATCCGGGCTCTAAATATTTTTACATAGAAAAGCAATCAAGTCAAATGTAAGATTGTTAGTGTGATATGTCTGCTAACTGTATTTACTTTATAAAAAGACATTTCCTGGATTTTAAATTATTTTGTCTAACTACAGGCTCCCTTTCATTTACAGATATATGCACCAGAACCTAGGAGAAGACATATCTCCTGAAAAAGTGAACTTAAGCTTAGAACTTTCTTGCTAAACCAATCTAGAAAATAATTAAAGCCATACAGATTTAGATTCATATCATAAGGTACTATTGTGCCTGTAAAAACGGGGTTATAGCATAATATTTTAAGATATTTGGAAATGGCATTGTGCTAAATAGTGTACAGAAAAGCCAAATTATGTATAAAAATAAAACAAGTTTAGAAAAAAGATTGAAACAATGCATACTGAAATACAAAGAAGAATTATTCTGGGAAAGAGATTGATGCACTTTTTCTTTTTTTTTTCTTTGAATTCTTTTATACTCTTCAAAGTGAGTGTTTACGTTATCACATATACATCCTATTAAATATATATATTTTTTACTTTCAATTCGGCAAAATCACTAGTTATGTTTTCATGAGTTTTACATAAAATATGTTCTGTTATTGGTAATGCCACAAGTAGAACATCCTTCCTGAGTAACACAAGTTCTTAGATAGTTCATTTAAATTAATTTCAATCTATAGAAGCTTCATTTGGCTGAAGCTGAAAAGTTTATATTCAGATTTTCCTGATTGTCCCAATAATGTTTTATTTATTTTTTAATTTTTTTATTCCATGATCCAATTAAGGATCACACATTGCATTTAGTTGTTATGGCTCTTTAGTTATGTATAATCTAGACTATTTCTCCTCTTTTTTGTAATCTTTCATAACATTGACATTTCTAACATCCTGTCACAATTGTTTTGCAAAAATCTTTTAATTTTCTAATTTTTGGTTACTTTTTCTTGATTAGATTCATGTTAACATTTTTGGCAGGAAAACTATGCAAGTGATATTGCCTCCTTCCCAATACATCACATTGTGAGGCTCATAAGAGAGCGTGCCAAATTTTTGGCAATGCCAAACTTGATTCCTTGGTCAGTGTGGCATCTCTCAGATTTCATTATTCTCTTTTTTTAAATTTTATTTTACCTTAAGTTCTGGGATACATGTGCTGAATGTGCAGGTTTGTTACATAGGTATACATGTGCCATGGTGGTTTGCTGCACCTATCAACCTGTCATCTAGGTTTTAAGCTCTGTATGCATTAGGTGTTTGTCCTAATGCTCTCCCTCCCCTTTTCCTCCAACCCTTCAACAGGCCCCAGTGTATGATGTTCCCCTCCCTGTGTCCATGTGTTCTCATTGTTCAGCTCCACTTATGAGTGAGAACATGCAGTGTTTGGTTTTCTCGTCCTGTGTTAGTTTGCTGAGGATGATGGTTTCCAGCTTCATCCATGGCCCTGCAAAGGACATGAACTCATTCTTTTTTATGGCTGCATAGTATTCCATGGTGTATATGTGCCACATTTTCTTTACCAGTCTATCATTGATGGGCAGTTGAGTTGGTTCCAAGTCTTTGCTATTGTAAATAGAGCTACAATAAACATACATGTGTATGTGTCTTTATAGTAGAATGACTTATACTCCTTTGGGTATATACCCAGTAATGGGATTGCTGAGTCAAATGGTATTTCTGGTTCTAGATCCTTGAGGAATTGCCACACTATCTTCCATAATGGTTGAACTATTAAAGTATGTTTTCTTTGAAATTCCCAAGTAGTCTGTGGAAAAGCACTTGGGACTGTGTGAATCCTGTTCCACAAAAATCTTTTGTGCAATAGTTCTACCATCCATTGGTGATTGTTGCTGAATTAATACTATGGTGATGATATTATACTTTTATCAATCCTATATTTCTATCAATCCTATACAGATTGGCATTCTGTAAAGTATAACTTCCCTTTTTCTACTTTCTTAACTTTTAAAAAATATATAAACTCATGGATTCTTTTTTTTATTGAATGAGTTATAAAACCATTCACGGTTTTTGTTCATTTTGATACTCAAGTTGTGCCAAATTTGGCCAGTGTATGTTCTTTTAAGTTGGCTCCTGTGTTCCTTTCATATCTCCTTGTGTTTTGGAGTCCTTTTATCTTCTTTCTGGCATGCTCCCAACTTGTACTTTTTCCTGCCCCACCTGTAGTCATTTCTTTATGAAGGCTTGGTGATTTTTAGTGGGGAATAAAATATATTTTTAAAAGATCTGAACACTTTATAGCTACTGGAATTCTAGGTTCTGTCAGTGGACATTGTTAAGAAATGCCTAGATAGATAGAGAGAGAAAGAGAGAGAGACATTTTTTTAAATTAAGAGGCTATACAGTTAGTCCTTCATACCTCAGGTTCTGCATCTGTGGATGCAACCAATCACAGAAGGAAAATATTTTTCTAAAACATGCAACACAAAATAACAATTTTTATTATGTAAAAATGAAATAAAAATATAGTATAACAACTATTCACATAACAATTACATTTTATTGGGTATTCAAAATAATTGAGAAATTATTTAAAGTATATGGGAGGATTTGCATAGGTAATATGCAAATACTATTCCATTTTATATAAGGGACTTGAGCATCTATGGGTTTTGGTATCTGCAGTGTCCTGGAAGCAATCTCCTGTGGATACTGAAGGATGACTGTACTGATACTTCTAATACTCTCCTACATCACAAGGCTTTTTTTTTTTTCTTTGAGGCAGAGTCTCCCTCTGTCGCCCAGGCTGGAGTGCAGTGGCGTGATCTTTGCTCACCCCAACCTCAGCCTCCCAGGTTCAAGCAATTCTCCTGCCTCAGGCTCCTGAGTAGCTGGGATTACAGGTGTGCTCCACCACGCCCGGCTAATTGTTTTTTGTATTTTTAGTAGAGACGGGGTTTCACCATATTAACCAGGCTGGCCTTGAACTCCTGACCTTGTGATCCACCCACTTCAGCCTCCCAAAGCGCTGGGATTACAGGCGTGAACCACTGCGCCTGGCCATCACAAGGCTCTTTATCTCCATTCCTATTTCATATTTGCATCTCACTTCTCCCATAATGAGAACCTACTTCCCAATAGTATCAATATGTTCCTTTCTTTGTTCAATTCTACACTGCATAAAAATAGTTTTGAAATCACTACATGCCTACCACTATCAACATCAAAACCACTATGTAACTTTTAGAATTTTTCGGCATTTTCTCTTGTTTTCTGTCTTTTCCTTAGAGTATATCCCATCAAGGATGTCCCCTCAGAGCACTTTGTTCAAAAATGAACAAATTCCACTTTAGAATAAGTGCATTAATTCTTTGGTATAATTATGGTATCAATGCTGCAGTGATATATTCCTTTGTTTCTATTTGTTTTTCATGTTGATACTTGCTTCATTTGCATTCCTTTTGCTTTATTTTTTTAAATATGTAAATTATTGACATAGTTTCAAAGTAAAAACATATTAGAAGAGTCCCACTCTCAACTCTTTTTCTTCCACTCAATGCCCATCACTCTCTCTGTGTAACCATTTTCTTTAGTATCTGATTGACACTTCCTTTCTTTCTTTAAAAATTAAGATCTTAAAAATACATATATATAAATACATATTTTATACCCATTCATGCTTAAACACAGGTTTTGTATTAAGTATATTTTCCCACTTTGTTTTTTCACTTCACAATACATCCTAGAGATTACACAATATTAATTCATGAAGATTATGCTCATTTTATTACATAGTTGTGTAGTTGTCCATTCATATGTGTTTAGCCTAGTTTATTCAACCAATTTCCTATAAAGGAGAATTTTTTTTTCATATATTTTACTATTAGAAATATTGCTGCAATAATTGTCTTGGTGAAGTTTTGCTTTGTTTGATTTTCTTGGAGATGTATTTTAAGAGTAAATCTTTAGAGGTGGGATTACTGGGTGAGAGAGTAACTTCATATCAGTTTTTTTTTTTTTTTTTTTTTAGTTATTGGGAAGTTCTTCACAATTCTGTTGTATTTTTGTATTCCATCAGCAATATTTGAGAGTGCCTGGTGCTGTACAACTTCAGCAAAAGAGTCTTGTCACACTTGAATTTTTGCCAATGTGATAGATGATAAATAATATCAAGCAGGTAATTTTATTTTATGTTTCCCTTATAATGAGTAAAATTAAGCATCTTTTTATGAGTTCAAAGGCCATTTGTATAATTTCTGTGGGAAATCTTTATTCATGATAATTGCTCAGTTTTCTAAATTTTTTTTTTGTTTTTTTTGGATGGAGTGTGACTCTGTCGCCCAGGCTGGAGTGCAGTGGCGTGATCTCGGCTCACTGCAACCTCCACCTCCCGGGTTCAAGCGATTCTTCTGCCTCAGCCTCCTGAGTAGCTGGGACTACAGGCACCCGCCACCATGCCTGGCTAATTTTTGTATTTTTAGTAGAGACAGGGTTTCACCATATGGGCCAGGCTGGTCTCGAACTCCTGACCTCATGATCTGCCCGCCTCAGCCTCCCAAAGTGCTGGGATTACAGGCGTAAGCCACCGCACCCAGCATTTGAGCCTTGTTTTTAAAGAGTCTTTCATATATTAGGGATATGATACATTAATTTGTAGTGCATAGTGCAAGCGTTATCTCTCATATTTTGGAAATCTGCCTTTTTAATTGTGTTATAGTGATTTTATGTGGCATGATTTTTATTTATTTAGTCGAAGTTATCCATCTTTCTTCTTGCTTCTAAATTTTGTGTTATAATCAACTTACATCAAAAGAATAAAATGTTTTAAAAAGAGAAAACCCCATATAATAATTTTTCTTACTAGAAGTGCTATTTCTCAAATTTCAAAGTGCCAAGGTGGTCATTTAAGCCATATAAATCTATTCCTGGTTAATATTTGGCAAAGATAGATTGTTTTCCTAAAAGGGATAACCTTCTCAATGTCCACCAGTCACCCGTGATGAATCCAGAAGCAGCGTTGAAGCCAGCTACAATCTAAATATAACATAACTACATTTCCTGCCTGATTTTATAAATGTATATATCTCCCATGCAGGTTTATTTTTTCAGTGGGTGATTTAGTCCAATCAGATAATTTCTGTGTGATAACTTTTCAGAAACACCTAGAAGATGTATTAGTTTTAGAAGGTGATATATAAATTTGCTTGTTATTTTGTCAGTGTCTCAATTCCTTTAATTTGCTTCTTTACCCTGAAAGGAAAAAAAATGAACAAGTGAGTTATATTAAATGAGTTAATATTTTTCAAATGCTGAATTACTTCATTTTTCATTTTCAGCCAAAATTATATAATTTTATAGATGTGTTCAACCCAAAAATTTTATTGCCAGAGATTCTGTTTCCAGAATCCATCTAAAGTCCAGACATTCTCTTGAAGAAAGTCCTTTATCTCTGGATCCGGGTGCTTCTATCTGTTTATGCCTAGAAGCTTGATGAAATAGGGTTATTTTGCTTCCCAGTAATGAGAGAAATAATAATGAAATTGTATAAGAGTCTATGGGAACACAGTATGAGTTCAGTACAGTATACTGAAAAAAATCTGGAATGAGAATCAAGAGAATAAAGATGTAGCTGTAGTTCTGTCAAAATTACATCTTAGGAGCTTGACCAATCAATTTCTGGTTTACAATATGCAGATCTGTAAAATCTGAGAGTTGTGATTGATTAAATATAATCTACATTGGAAACTTCAAGATTTTGTGATTTTTCGCACTCCTTCAGCAACTTTTCCTCATATTTCTTTCCTTTGTACTATCTGACCTGCTTCAACTACTCATACTTCCTGAATTCATAATTCCAATTCACTTCCTCACTAAAACTTTTCCCTTTGTCATCCTTACAAGGGCACAGAAATACTTTAGTAAGGGACCCAAATTTTCATATTCCACAACAGTTTGTATTTTGTTCACCATCCTCTATCAAATGCTGTCTTAGTCCATTCAAGGGGCTGTTACAGAGTACTATCCACTGAGTAGATTCTCAGCATCAGAAATTTGTATCTTACAGCTCTGGAGGCTGGCAAGTCCAGGATCAAGGCACCAACAGATTCAGTGTCTACTTAGGTCCCATTTTGTCATAGATGGTGCCTTTCTCACTGCATCTTCACATGGCGAAATAAGCAAGGCAGCTCTCTGGAGCTTCTTTCCTGGGGGTTCCGCCTTCCTGACTTAATCACCTCCCAAAAGGTCTCACCACCTAATACCATCATCTTGGAGGTTAGGATTTCAACATACGAATTTTAGGGGAACATAAACATTCAGACCATAGCAACTACATACTGACTTTTATAAAACTAACTTTTCTAGGTCAGCTACTGAATATTTGTCATTTCTGTTTAAGAGTATGTGTTGTGAAAGGAAAATAAAATCTCGGGACCCCAATTTGCTATTCCAGGAGACAAAAAAAATAAAAATAAAATAAGCTGAAAGCTGGGTCATGTAAGAAACTGTCTTTCACTTTGTTCCTAAGCAGATCGCTACAGATAAAAGGCTAGATATCAACACAGGTAGCTACTCTATGCTCACTTTACCTTATCTAAAGTGCCAATTTACTAATACATAATTGACTATTCCCTTACGTGCTCCTTTTCTCTTGCAACATGTGGATTCAGTAACGTGACCATACTCTCCCTCCTTCTTCACCAACCCACTTTACCCCTTTAAATATTGAAGCTCTCAAAATCATCTTTGAAAAAAGGCACAGACCACAGGTTGTTCCCATGAATTTGTTTCTTTTTTTCTGGACATGTCCTTAACCTTGGCAAAATAAGCCTCTAAATCGCTTGAGATCTGTCTATGATACTTTTTGTTGTATAGTGTGCTGGGGACAGGAACCACATACATGTATAGAATACCATTTGGACCCCTCATGACTTAAAAAGATGCTATGATGAAGTCTCTCAATCACCTTCAGGACTTAGAGAGAATGTACGATCTGACATATTAAATCTGGCAGAATTAAACATCACTTCCAGTCTAGTATACTTCCTTTAAATGCAGTAAAGCTGGTAGCCATTCTGCTGTGTAAGACAGTTCCCATTCCTGAAGCTTTTCTAGTATCCCAAGAAGCTTCACAGTCCTGCTGGCCACTGGGTCAAAATGATCCTCCTTTTTGTATTACTCTATATTGTCTTAATCTTAAAGAAGAGACCTCCAGTACAAATTTTTGGAAAATAATACTTGATGGATGTTCTTTACCACTATATCAATTTGCAAAGGGCAGCTTTTTGTAATTTTATCAAAAATACAAGAATATTACACGGTAATTCTGCTTAGGTAAAAAAGAAAACAAAAATGCAGGAATAAAAAGATAATTTAACTGCATGGTCTCTCATGCTCTTTAAGTCCAAAGAAACTGATGACATTGATATACATATGTCTTTCTTACTCTTTTAAGAGAAAGCATATTTATAAATCCTGTAATATATCTAAATTCAGCTCTGACAATTTAACCAGATGCCTCCCTTCATTACCCTCCACACATATTTCCAATACAGAAAAGCTTAAAACTGGGAAGATTTCAATTTAGCTGGTTTTATCCTTTAAATTTCCATTTTGTATATTTCTAAAGACAATAATAAAATATCTAGGATTAATTATATGCTTGACATATCAAACACTTTTGATGCAACTATACAACTATACAACTTTTTGATTTAACTATAGTTGTAGAAATTGTATCTCTGTAATGCTATTTCCTATTTTAACTTGGTTTTATATATGTGCAAAGTTTTGGATATGCACATGCATATGTATATATAACGTATCTATCTGTGTCTATATTGAGCTGTGTCTATATGAAAGAGATTTTTAATCTAGGAATATAGTTTCCTAGTAACAAGAATCACATATAAGTTCTTTAAGGAACTCTCTCTACAATCATATGCCTTCAGCTTGATTAGCAAGGCAAGAGCTTTTCAGAAGCAGCTTCAACTTCTGCATAGGACATCTAACAGTCAAAGTAATGGTGCAATTGTATAGAGGAGGGAGAAGCCAAATAGACACTCAGGTAGCAATTTCTTTAGATCCAATTCGACTTAAAAAAATCACATGGAAGGATAATAATCAATAATATTATATATAATAATAATAAAATATGGTATATTGCATAGAGGTTACGAGTCTGGTATCTTATTTTCAGAGCTGCATGTTTAAAAAGAATAGTTTAATTTCAAAGTGGGGTAAACAAATGAGCTCTGCAGATAAAAGACTGAATGATGTTTATCTCCTGTTCCCCCACCCCACCCCCACCCATAGCCCCAGAGAATAGATAGCAGTCTATCTAGTTCTAGGTTGTAGAGATAAAAGGCTGCTGGCAAATACATTTTTAAAATTTGTCTTCAGGCCTTATATAAAACATCTGAGGCTAAGAGAGACAGACTTGAGTCTACCATTTACTTTAAAAAATGCATTCATTTGCTTTTGCTTCTTTTCCTATAAATTTGTCCTACAAAAGTAGAAATGAATCATCTTATTAAGCTTTAAGTTAATTAAGGTGTAAAATATAAACATGAATAGTAGAAAACAATGAACCAGATCTTATTTCTTCACACTCTGCCAAGAATGATGCAGTGTAATATTTAGTAGACTTAAGACACCCAAATTATAGTCCAAGCTGTGTCAGTCTATGTGTCTCTTAATGCTTTATAAATTCTATTTTCTCATCTGTTATTCCAAGTTCCAACTCTAAGGTACCATCAAATATCCTGTGTTACTCTGTTATATCAAAGGTGATACAAGGTATTTGACTTGCACCAAGAAAAACATTTAGATCCAAAGCTGAATGAGGTGGGACCCAAATGTTGAGATTACTATGAACTAGTGGAAAGAAAATTTTACCAGGAGTAGAATATCTGTGACCAGGGTTTGGTCCCATCACCTACTATCTGTATCTGTGTTTTATCTGGGAAGTCGCCATAACTTATTTAAGATTCTAATTTTTAATCTATAAGATGGAAAGAGTCTGACATGCTATCACAGAGAGTGGTTGTATTCATTCATTCTCATGCTGCTAATAGATACCTGAGACTGGGTAATTTATAAAGGAAGGAGGCTTAATTGACTCACATTTCCACATGGCTGGAGAGGCCTCACAATCATGTAGGAAAATGAAGGAAGAGCAAAGAGACATCTTACTTGGTGTCAGGCAAGAAAAAGTTTGTGCAGGGGAACACCCCTTTATCAAACCATCAGATCTCATGAGACTTGTTCACTATCAAGAGAACAGCATGGGAAAAACCCATCCCCATGATTCAATTACCTCCCACTGGGTCTCCCCCACTACACGCAGGGATTATTACAATTCAAGGTGAAATTTGGGTTGGCACACAGAGCCAAACCATATAATTCTGCCCCTGGACCCTCCTAAATCTCATGTCCTCATATTTCAAAACCAATCATGCCTTCCAGCTGTAACCCAAAGTCTTAACTCATTCCAGCATTAACCTAAAAGTACAAATCCAAAGTCTCATGTGAGACAAGGCAAGTCTCTTTTGCCTCTGAGCCTGTAAAATCAAAAGCAAGTTCGTTACTTCCTAGATACAATGCGAGTACCAGCATTAGGTAAATACAACTATTCCAAATGAGAAAAATTGGTCAAAATGAAGGGGCTACAGGCCCCATGCAAGTCCAAAATCCAGTGGGGTAGCCAAATCTTAAAGCTCTGAAATGATCTCCTTTGACTCCATGTCTCACACCTAGGCCACACTGATGCAAAAGGTGGGCTCCCATGGCCTCGGGCAGTGGTTAAGAAAATTAAATTGTGTAAAAATATGTGAATTTTGTTTTGTTTGTAAACTACGGATTATTTTGTGAATGTGAGGTGTTCTTAAAGATCATTATTTATGTTGAATATAGGTCTTTCCCAAGACACATAGTATTGCCTTAAACAAGCAAATTAATGTAAACAATTTAAATTATATGGAGTAAAATGCAAGAGTAATACTAATAAACATTAGAAAACATGTTGGCAACTTCAGCAAATACTTGGATCAAGATGACTTGAGATTCTTGATTGTCATCTTTCAATAATCTGTTTGTGTAAACATTAGTGTGCCCATTGCATAATGCCTGATATACTTTAATATAATGACATACCTAATTTCTGAAGCTTTTTCACTTGTTGTGCCAAAATGCACATAATTAAGAGATACTTCGCATTTAAATGAATTTAATTTTAGTAAAATATTTCAAAGATTTCTAGTTCACTAATAATTTGCAAATCAAGCAAATAAAAGTGAAGGGAGCTTTTAGCTTATAAATGAATAACCCACCTGCTGATAACAATTATATACTATGGACAAAATATTGAATACAAATATTTTTTAAAAAATAAGAGTAATAAGAACAAACACAAACTGGAGGAATTTTCTCTCTCTCTGAGTAAGATTCCCATTGATATGGTTTTTCCTTGAGGAAACACCTAGTTTATGTGACATACCTTTGATAGAACTCAAGAAGAAAGCCACTGACTTATTAGTCTAAGGAGGCCGACAATGGGATTAGAGTATAAAATCTCAGAAAGAAGAGTACCACAGATACTGCATATTAATCCCTCTCAAATCGTTGGATGACCCCTTAAACTGTACATGCACAAAACAAGACATCAATAAGCCCATTTGGGGAAAACATCTAAAACTCTAGAAGAGTTGTACTGAGTATTAGCAGCTGTCCACTACTGGAGAAACAGGATTACAGTGAGAATTTCACCATTTTGAGGAAATTGGTAAATATCTCAAGATCTCTGTTGAAACAATGTAAGGGTTACATCTTAGGAGTAAAAGTTGCATACAAAGACAAAACACTTTGCCGTAAGACTCAAAGAAAAAGCAAAATTCTCCATTCTAAGAAAGCCTAAAGATAATCTTTTAAAATATCAAGTAAACTGCCAGTAACTTAGCTGATTTCCTGTAAAAAATACAGCACTCTTCAGAAGGTAACAGATTCCCAAGTCCCTACAATACACAATGTAAACTTAAAAATCAGATATGTGATTACAGTTCACTAGAGACAAACTCACTTATGACCCAAATGTTGAAATTACCAGTAAGAACTTGAACATAATTATGATAAATATGTTAAAGATATTATAGAAAAAGATGGGAAAATTAGGGAAGCAATGGAGAATTTCAAAAGAACCATAAAACTATAAAGAAGGAACAAATGGAAACCATAAACTGAAAAACACGATCTCTGAAATAAAAATTCATTGCATATAATTAACAGCAGATTGCACAAAACTTATTTCATTGTAAACATGAAAATAAGTCATCAGAAATTTTCTGAACTAAAGTACAAATAGAAAGCTGACTGAAAAATAAAATAAAGCCTCCATGTCCATTATGGCAATATCAAGTAGTATAACATAAGTGTAATTTAGAGTCCCCAAAGGAGAATAAAGAAAAGGTGCAGGAAAAAAATTTTGAAGAGATATTGACTAATATTTTTTCCAAATTTGATTTAAAAAGAGCAACCTACAGATGCAGGACACTTGGTGAATCCCTAAAAGCTTAAATAAAGAAGAAAATGCACATAGGAAAATCGTAGTCAAACTACTGATAAATAGAAAAAAATTATGAAAGCAACCAGAGCGGTCAAAAAAATTATAGATAGTGGAACTGCAAAAAGATTTATAACTGACCTCTCTTAAGAAACAACATAAATCAGAAGACAATGGAATAATGGAATAATACTCTAAAAATTCTGAAAGAAAGAATCTGTATCCAGGAAATGTGTCTTTAAAGATTTAAGGTGAAAGAAAGACATTTTCAGGTAAACAAAAGTTGATAGAACTTGTTGCAGCAGACATACACAAAAACATTGCTAAAGTTCTTCAGGCACAAAGTAAATAACTCCAGATGGAAATTCTTTTATATAGGAAGAAATGATGAGCATTTATAGTGGTAAATATGCAGATAAATATAAAATAATAATCTTATCATTTCTTAAATTCTTTAAGTTGATTGCTTAATTATAAAAAGTGTGGTATTTGAAACATGTAGAAATAAAATTTCTGACAAAATTGTACAAAGAATAGGTAAGAGATAAATGGTACTATAATAAGGCTGTTATATTAAGTATGCAGTGGTTTAATTTTAATTCATGGTATACTGTGATTAGTAAAGGATGCAAATTGTAATCCTTAGACCAATTTGGAGAAAGTTTGTCAAGGGAGAACATTTTCTTACCCCAAATTGTAAATCAAATTTATAATTTCCTGCTATCATTCCCTTTGAATAACAATTTAGGAGGCATTAAGTATTTATATGTGGTGGAAAAATCAGAAAAGTTTTTATTCAGTTTATTCTTGATAAACATCAAATAAAACTTTCCTTCTTGTCATTAGACATTTCTAAAGAAGGCCTTCTGTGTTAATTCAAAGAATAAACGTAGAATAAAACACTTATCACAGCCTTCTTGACCCATTATTATGGAAAAATTATATGAAATAATGAATTGTCAATGTCAAGAGAGTTTATTCCAAGTGGTATGGTTTGGATTTGTGCCCCCACCCAAATCTCAAGTCGAATTGTAATCCCTAATGTTGAAAGTGGGGCCTGGTGGGGGGCAATCGAATCATAGGGGTGGATATCTTCCTTAGGTGCTGTTCTCGTGATAGAGTTCTCAAGAGATCCAGTTGTTTAAAGTGTGTGGCACCTCCACCCTCTCTCTCTTCCTTCTGCTCTGGCCATATAAGGTGTGCCTGCTTCCCCTTTGCCTTTTGCCATAATTGAAGATTTCCTGAGGCCTCCCCAGAAGCCATCATGCTTCTTGTATAGGGTGCAGAATTGTAAGCCAATTAAACCTCTTTTCTTTATAAATTACCCCATCTCAGGTATTTCTTCATAGCAGTGCAAGAACAGACTAATACACGAAGACATTCTTTAAAGTGCTAATTGTTGTAGTGGTATAAGAAAAAATAGGAGTTGTACCACATCATCATTTTCCCTTATCTCCCATTCGTAGTTTTAATGAAGGATATTCTCTTCCCAACCTTAGTTTCAAGACAAGATACACTGAGTATAGGTAGAAGATGAGATATGATAACTATTAGTCCTCAGTATCAGTTGCTAATCAAAGCATAGGGTTAAAGAGTAGAACCAGATCTCAAAGATTAAGAAAATTACCATGAGGGGTTTTACATTTTTTCCCTTGCTCTTGTCACTGGAAATTGGGACAAGTTCCTCATGAGCCCATATTCACTAAGCTTCAATATCCTAAGAAGGTAATTACTTCTAGGAGACTTATTTATAGAAGGGGTCTTTTCCTGAGAAAGCAAGCCCAGCTATTTACTGATAAGATAGATAGCATGTTTTCTGGACATTCTTTCTCAAGGACTACTTTGTTTCAAATATTTGATAAGAATTGAGTTAATATAGAATGAAGCTCTTTTGTCAGTGTCTAAAGGGCAGAAATTACACAAGTGGTTGAACAGAAACCCCCTTGTTGTAGATAACATGCTATTAAATAATTGCATTATTGCAAGTATGGTGCCAATGTACTCTTGTGGAAAGATGAACTGTAGGAATCAGTTCCAAATATTTTCTCAAAATGTTCTCTAAACCTGCTCCAAAGACTGGAGACATAGGAAATTAAAACCTATAAAATTTAAGTGTAAGTATAAACAATAAGAAAATCACTAGATGGTTTTAATAGAATGTCTGATTTTGAATCCAGGTTCACAAATTTTATTGAGCCTACTAAAGTATGTTAGCTTAGCTGCAAGCTGTAGTCTCAAGTTGTCACTTCATAAATTATCAGGTGAAACCTATAGTTCCAGCTATTTGGGAGGCTGAGGTGGGAGGGTCACTTGACCCCAGGAGGTCAAGGTTGAAGTGAGCCAAGATTACCCCTTGCATTCCAGCCTGGATGACAGAGCAACACCATGTCTCTCAAAAAAAAAAAAAAAAAAATATATATATATATATATATATATCTATATATATATATCTCAAGTGGAATTGGGATGGAATAATTTTATATTGTCTGAATAGTGGGAAATTCTTGTCTCTAATACTCTGGGGTTTTCATAGTTCATGAGAAATTATTCTTTTTCAATAAGTTCTCAAGTACATTTAAACTTGTAAGAGTAAATAAATGTATTTAGTGATTATGTTCTTAACTCTAGTGGGGCTCATATATTTAAAAACTAAACTGATTTGTTTAGCTATATACTAAGTAGAAAAAACAGGAGCCAAGACACAACTACAATTTATTCCCTTTAACATTATTCATTGGTCTTTCAGTGAGGCATTCCCACTCACTCTGATTCTGGTAAAATATGGCTCAGGCATAGAACATAGAGAAAAATATCCTAAATTTATAAAGCTTGAAGTAACAGGTTTCTGTTTATGGACATAGAAGTGGATCTAAGATTAATAAATAACTAAATGTATAATATTTCTCTTCTAATTTTTCCAAAGTGAAAATGTATGTGAGAAGGGAGAAATTGTTACTGATAATTGAAATAATGTGTGCTCATCATTAAATGCCCACTTAAAACACAGTAAAAACATTTTTAAAATAAGAGTCACCCTAAATCTCACCATGCAGATATAATCATTGTCATCATTTTGGTGAGTAATTTGCTCAGCTTTTTACACACACACACACACACACACACACACACACACAGTATACCTATAATTTTAAATTATCAGAATTATACTCACTAAGTTTTTTATAATCTGCTATTTTTCTTGATATTATGTTATAAATATCCATCATTCATTTTTCTCACTTATTTTTCAATAAGGTGGAACAAAATCTGTCAGTGGTCAGTAACTGAACATTATCTGATAAGCAGTAACCACTTGGTAAATGCTAGCTAATAGCATTATCACCTAGTACTAAATAAAATAAACAAAAAATGAAAACAACTCATTATTTTATTATTTAAAAGTTTTATTATTCACTCAAATGTTTTCATATCTTATTGGTTTGCCAGGTATTAACCTGGGAAAGAATGAGGATGTAACAAATATAGACAGATTGTTACAGAGCAATAAAATTAGGAAAAATAATTTACCTAGTTATCATTAGATTTGTATGCATTCTTGTGATGCTTGAGAGGTGCCATGGATTAAATCCCAAATTTGCTGCTGGAAATTTTCTTCTAATAACTATGTTGCTTTCCTTGAGTTTTCTCTGGAAAGTCTACTTATAAACCGTTACCTTTTATTCTTATTTTTACATTTAACTATTTAACTACTTAGCAGTTTGTTATAGCAGAACTTATATCCTATTTATGCAAGAACAGAAACTTACCCACAATCTTATTTGTTCAATATACCAGAAATCGTTAGAAATTGTTAAGACTATGTTGCTTATCAGTCAGAGGTTTCTAAAAACAGCCAATACAAAAGGTGGCACACTTAAGCAGCAATGAGACATTTATGAATGAAACTTTTGGCTATAATTTTGTAGATGATATTCAACTGTTCTCTAAATGCCTACTTTATGTAGTTCCTCTTTTAAAACAAGGCCAAGAATATTACACTCACTGATTTTTTTATTTCATTCATCATTCATTTATTTAATTATTCAATCACTGAGTAATAATTATATATTTATTGAAGTCCTTCCATGGACCAGAAATCGTTGTAGGTGTTGTAAATGCAATCCTAACATGACAGACATAATCCTTAAAATCACATATTTGGAGTTAGTAAGAAAAATAGACAAATAAACGAGTAACTAAATATAGTTTGAAAGGCGTAGGTATCTTTGAGAACATTTATGCCCTGAACAGAATACATTGTTGGGAACAGCTTCCTAGAACAAAAGGTTTAAGCTGAGACTAGATGATTGAGTAGGAATTAGTCAGGTTGAGGAAAATAGGATTGCTTCATGTCAAAGGATAAGCATATATGAGGAATTTAAAGATAGAGAAAGATTTGAAATTGAACAGAAAACACTTCTAATGTCTGGGACTAAATATTCTAGTGGGTAAATTGTAAAAAGTAAGATGGAGGTGGGACACAGACGGTACATAAAGACACTTATAAAACCCAGAAAGGAGTTTGAGATTTAGCTTAAGATCAATTGTTAAGTAATAATGTGATGTTATCAATTTTGCATTTTAAAAAGATAACTTCACTTACATTTCAGAGATCTTAATTAAAAGATAATTCAATAAGCCATATGAGAGAAAATGAGAGCCTGAATATTAATATGTTCTGACAGAGCAGAGAAAGAGCACAGAAGATTTCCAGAAGTTGTGCATTGGATGTGGCAACGTCAGGGAATGGACTGCAGCTAGCATGCTAGCCAGTATTTATGTAAGAACGAAAATTTTTTTTAAATTTTTTAAAATTGAGGTATAATTTTTTTGCTTAATTAAAGAATAAGTTTTGAGCATTGAGTTGTACAAAGGTACACAACCATATAACCACCACCACAATTGAGATACCGAATATTTTCATCATCCTAAGTTCCTTAATGCCCATTTCTAGTCAAATCCTATCTCCTAAATGTGGAGTCCTAAAGGGATAAGGAGTCAGTCTTGGCAAGGAGGGGAAAGCAAAAGGAGGAAGCATATCTGCTTTATGTAAGTCTGCCTTTTTTCATGGTCCAGGACACATAGCCCTCCCGCGCAAATGACTTGCGATCTTCCTGAGCCCAGCTTATCAGCAGACCCTGATAGAAAAATGCAAGTTAGCTCGCTATGACCTTGGTATTATCAGTACTGCACGTAGCTCTCTCCAGCACAAGCACCATCCTATAAAATCCCCAGCAAGCCTTTGTCTCCTTGCCGTCGGCTCCTCTCTTGCTGATCAGGCTGTTGCACACTTACAACATATTTTCATACTTTCTCTAATATATCTGCCTTTCTTTACATACAACTGTCATGGTAAATTCCTTTACTGCCTGTGACGCTGACCCAGCTACTCATTACCTGTGACACTAAAGATAGCTAGTCTTCTGACTTCACCATAGTTTAATTTTGTTTATGCTTGAACTTCATATAAATGGAATTATATATTATGTAGTCCTTTAGATCTGGTTTCTTTCACTTAGCTAAATGTTTCTGAGAATTACCCATATTATTGAGATACCACAGTCTGTGCTTTTTCATACTGGATGGAGTTTCATTCATCACATTTGTTTATCCGTTCTCTTGTTGCTGGATATTTAGATTGACTTCGCTATTTGTACACTGTGAAGAAAAATACTGCCCATCTTTTCTCTTGGGTAAATACCTAGGTAGTTACCAGGTCAAAGGTTAGGCATATGTTTAAAGTTACAAGATAATGCTAAACTTTCAAAATGATTAACATTTTACAATATAGGCAAGTTCTACTTGCTTCAAATCCTCTTCAATAGTTGGTATACTCAGGCTTTACTTTAGCTATTCCAGTGGGTGTGAAGCGGTATCTCAATGTAGTTTAAATTTACATTGAAGATAACTAGTAATAATGAACATCTTTTAATATGATTTTTGCCAATTATAGAACTTCTTATATAAACTTCCAATTTAAAGCTTTTGCTATTTTTTACTGAGATATTTATTATATTATTGAGTTGCAATTTTTTAATAATTTCTATATCTCTGAGATTTCCAATCGATTTATTACTTTTTATTTCCTTGAGGTCAGTTATAGTAAGTAATTTAAAATCCTTATTTGGTAATTAAAACAGTTAGGTTATCTTGAGTTTCGTCTCCACTGATTGCCTTTTCTCTTGATTGTGGGTCATGTTTTTATATTTATTGATATGCCTGGTAATTTTGGATTGTATCCTAAGCATAAAAAAATTATATATTGTACAGATTCTGGATTCTTCTCTATTCCCTTCAGGGTTTTAATTTTTTATTAATTATAATAAATAATGGCTCATAATAAGCAGACATCTAAACTGTAATTTATGTTTATTCTTAACTACTTAGCAGTTTTTGCTATAGGATAATCTACATCCTATTTATGCAGGGACAGAACTAGTTTTAAACTGCTCACAATATGATTTGCTTAACATACCAGAAATTGTTAGTAGAAATTGGCCATCCTAAAACTTACAAGCTCTGTTTTCTCTAACGTGGGTGATAGCTGAAATCCATGTGTAGCTCTTTTTGTTACTGCTGGGTCGCTTGCAGTCTGTCCTATCAGTGTGTCATTCGGTGACCAGCCAGAGATCCGTTCAGAGGTCAGATACAACTTGGGGCTGTCACTGTCTCACTTCAGCTGTTGTGACTGTCCATACCTTTACTTTCTCTTTCTTTGAGCAAGTAAGACTAAAGATGTTTTTCTCTATGCTTAGCTGTCCCTGTGGTAAGTCCAACCTATTTTCAGTAAAGCTGTGAAAAATGGAAAATCTATCCAGTGTGATCCCTTCTTCCAACGGCCTACATCCCTGCAGTTTTCTGCCTGTTTTTAGTAACCCAGTGCCTTCAGGTAGGTTTTCTATTTGTTTGGTTTGGAGTTTTAAATAGAAGTTGTTGTTATCTTCGGAAGAGTTGATTCAATAGAATCTACTCAGTAATTGCCAGACAGGAAACCTGCAGGCTTAACTGTAAGCTTTGCAAGAGTGGGTCTATTTTGTTTTTTTGTTTGTTTGTTTGTTTTTCTTCTGTCCTAGGGAGACTATTTTAGTCCAGGATGTAGTCTTCACTCCTAAAGTAGCTTTCCTAGAGTTTCAATACACAGTTGTTTATCAAGTGCTTCTGCTTTGTCAGGATTCCAACTCTTTTTCCCTGAAATGGGCAACAGGTGAAATCTCTATTTAACTCTTTTAACCTTGTAGCTGTTTGTTTTTGAATTTTTTTCACTTGGGATTTTTGCAGCTCTGGAAGAATTCATATTTCAGGGGAGCTTATATACCCATTGGAGCTTCCCATTTTGTGGATCTGTCCTTTTGAAAATTTCCACTCTCAGTTTCCAACCACCCTTGTAGCACTGCCTTCTACCCTTCTACTTCTCAAGCACATGACTTCAGATTTCTACTTAAGTCCTAGCCACTCATGACACTGGGGCTCTGGAGTGCCTTCAGGAGAAAAGCCCTATAAGTGTAAATCTCACCCAGTCTGTTTTTCTTCTTTCAAGGATTGAATCTTTTCCAGTTCTCTCTGATGTTTGTCATTTTTAGGGCCATCACACAGTTATTTTTGTATGTTTCTACAGTTTATAATAGTTGTCTGTAGGAGAGTTTGTTGGATATAAGCCGCTAGTGAAAATGGAATTCATTTCCTTTGCCTTTAAGGTGGACAGAATTAAGCATACTTAAATGATGATGAGAAAGAGGTACGAAGAAATAAGTAGGAAAGATACAGGATAACGAGACTTAAAAGTAATCGAAACTAGAAATGAGCACCTGAAAGGCAGGAGGGAATAGAATTCAAAATATAGGTGAAAGGATGAGCTTTTCATGTTGTACCAAGAAGGATACCTTTTCCTTTAAAACAGAAGGGAATAAATATTTAAGAAGTCGGGCTTGTAGAAATGGATGGCATAAACAACAGTGACAATCACAATAATTTTAATTTATACTATTTAATGAGGATCTACTATGTACTAAGCACTATTTTGAACATTTAAAATGCACGTTCATTTAATCCTCAAAATAATTCAATGAAGAAAATAATTTTATTATCATTATTATATAGAAGCTAAAACTCTTTCAGAAAGGTTAAGTTACCTCCCCAAGGCCAAGGCCATATGCTTAGTAGGGCTAGGATTTGAACATAGGTCTGACTCTGGAGTCCATGTTCTGAGTAGTTTCCCAATAGGAAGTCAAGTGATTGTGCGACAGCTTCTGTTTTCTTTATTAAATTCTGGTGTTAATGCTATAAACGAAAGATTCAGTGCCTGATATTTGAGAATAGTAAAATGGCATCTCTGAAGAATGCAAGAAAAGGTAGCAAAGTAGGGAAACACAGAAAGATTGCTAGACAATGCTAAGGACTGTGTTGCAGGTAGAGACCAAAAGTGTTACAATTTTGCTTGTGTGTCATTTTTTCCATTGAAGTCCTTAGTATATTAATCATACTTATTTACAATTTCTATTCTGGTAATGGCCAAGTCTCTGCTATATCTGAGTCTGGTTCTGATGTTTGCTTTGTTTCTTCAGACTCTGCTTGTCCTTGCCTTGTAATTTTTTGTTGAATGTTGGACATGATATATTGGGTAATAGGAACTGAAGTAAATAGGCTTTTAGTTTACCTGGCTAGGGGTTAAACTGAGTTTTGTTTACTGTTGCTGCATGAGTCAGAGGTTTCAATTTCTTCTAGTGTTCTTATTCTTTTGTTTACCCTGTTGTAATTTGGTTTCCCTAGAAACCACTTCTTAAAAAGAACCTGTGCCTTACAAGACTGTAAGATGTCAATTTTGGCTTGTGTTGCCATTGCTTTTGGTGTTGTAGACACGAAGTCCTTACCCATGCCTATGTCCTGAATGGTATTGCCTACGTTTTCTTCTAGGGTTTTTATGATTTTAGGTCTAACATTTAAGTCTTTAATCCATCTTGAATTAATTTTTGTATAAGGTGTAAGGAAGGGATCCAGTTTCAGCTTTCTACATATGGCTAGCCAGTTTTCCCAGCACCATTTATTAAATAGGGAATCCTTTCCCCATTTCTTGTTTTTGTCAGGTTTGTCAAAGATCAAGAGTTTCTGCACAGCAAAAGAAACTACCATGAGAGTGAACAGGCAACCTACAGAATGGGAGAAAATTTTCGCAACCTACTCATCTGACAAAGGGCTAATATCCAGAATCTACAATGAACTCAAACAAATTTACAAGAAAAAAACAACCCCATCAAAAAGTGGGTGAAGGATATAAACAGACACTTCTCGAAAGAAGACATTTATGCAGCCAACAGACACATGAAAAAATGCTCATCACTGGCCATCAGAGAAATGCAAATCAAAACCACAATGAGATACCATCTCACACCACTTAGAATGGCAATCATTAAAAAGTCAGGAAACAACAGGTGCTGGGGAGGATGTAGAGAAATAGGAACACTTTCACACTGTTGGTGGGACTGTAAACTAGTTCAACCATTGTGGAAGACAGTGTGGTGATTCCTCAGGGATCTAGAACTAGAAATGCCATTTGACACAGCCATCCCATTACTGGGTATATACCCAAAGGATTATAAATCATGCTGCTTTAAAGACACATGCACACGTATGTTTATTGCAGCACTATTCACAATAGCAAAGACTTGGAACCAACCCAAATGTCCATCAATGATAGACTGGATTAAGAAAATGTGGCACATATACACCATGGAATACTATGCAGCTATAAAAAATGATGAGTTCATGTCCTTTGTAGGGACATGGATGAAGCTGGAAACCATCATTCTCAGCAAACCTATCACAAGGACTAAAACCAAACACCGCATGTTCTCGCTCATAGGTGGGAATTGAACAATGAGAACACGTGGACACAGGAAGGGGAATATCACACACTGGGGACTGTTGTGGAGTGGGGGAAGGGGGGAGGGATAGCATTAGGAGATATACCTAATGTAAATGACGAGTTAATGGGTGCAGCACATCAACATGGCACATGTATACATATGTAACAAACCTGCATGTTGTGCACATGTACCCTAGAACTTAAAGTGTAACAAAAATATATATATATATATATATATAAAGTCTGTAAGATGTAATCTACTGCTATTATATAATCCTATAGCCCTGACAGTGTGTGAAGTGCTGGGGAGGGAAAGCATTCTATAATCCTATAATTAAATCTCCATTTGGGGGTTTAGGGGAACAGAGCCCCTGGGTTGTGACCATCAGAAGAGTCTCATAGCCTTTTTATTTCTCCACTTATGTGAGACAGGAAGGCCAGTGGGCTGGGAGTTGGCTTATTGCACTTCTCCCAGGTCAGATGAGGCTCTAGTAAAGTAGTTACAGTTGAGAGCAACCTTTGTTAAAGAGAACAGAATGCTCTAGGTGTATTTTAAAGTGGTTGTGTTTCCCCTCCCGGTGCCTAACATATAGGAAGCTTTTTCTCTAATCTTCACCACGAAAACCTGGTAGGGTTCCTGGGGGTAAAAATAATAAAAGTGTGGGGCCTTCCAGGGGTTTTAACTCTGAGGCTAGTTCACCTGTAGCATTTTTGTCAATTCTATTAATTATTCCTACCAATCACTGTCTACACCAGCTTATGCCTTCTGGTAAACTGTGCTTCTTTGACTGTCTTTCCTGTTTTGGGGCAATGGTTTTCCTGGAATCCCAATTATCTGAGGGATCCAAGAAGAGTTGTTCGTTTTCAATTTTTCCTTGTTGTAAGGATGGGGGTGATGACTATCAAGCTGTTTACATGTCAGGGTGGAAAACTGTTTTTACAACAGAAGAGGAATGATCTTCTGGAAGTGGCTATATATGAGATGTGGTCTTATTTCCTGACTTCGAAGTATTTTATGAGAACGTAAGGAAAATCAATATTGCTTCTTTGTGGCCTAACTCAGGATGGAGAAACGAGGGAAGTTAGTGAACTCAGAGGAATGAGTACTTAATGAATCTCTATGCCACCTCTTAAACATTAGCTCTCTCAAGTGAACATCTGGCAAGTATTAAGTTACAATTAATTCATGATTGAATTCTGTACACGTGTCTGAAGCGCTAATATTCCATGTAATTAGAGGGAGATTTGTGTCCTTTAGATACCGGATATGCAGGTGGTAGAATTAGTACTTGTTGAAAAAATGTTAAAGTATTACTTTTATTCTTGTCTAAAGAGGCCATTCTGTGTGAACAGAGTGGCAGTATATAAATAAATATATATATTTTATATATATATATATTTCTGACGTGTGTGTGTGTGTGTATATATATATATATATATATATATATATATATATATACACAATGTATATTAGATGAACTGGGTGCTTGCCCACCTGCCATAATAAATAAAAACTTGAGAGGTAACTGGATCATAGATACTTTTAAAAAGATATATATATATATATCTTTCAAAACAAGGGACATGCACACACATACAAAAAAACTTAGGTTCTACCCAATATTGTTAAAAATTTTAAATATTGTTAAAAAACATAAAATATTGTTTCCACAGAGGAACTAAACCAGCTAGTGTATCAGAGTACCAGTTGAAATTCCTTAAATAACTCATATCTCCCCCATACTCAAGGGGAAAAACAGATCTTTTTATTGCACCATTCTTAGGAATTTATTTGTGGTACTAGTTAGTCGAAAGTTGAATCTCCTTTTTCTAGTTGTAACTATGTCATTATTATGAACAGTCATAAAACACACAGAGAAAAGTAAAAATATTGCTCACATTCGTAAAGCACACTTTGTAATTTTTTACACATAACTTCTGTGGTATCTTACCTCACCTCAATCCTTACAATAATCTTTGATGGTAGATGTTACAGTTCCCACTTTAAACATTTTCCAGCCTTCATCAGAAAAATGAAAATCAGGTTAAAATGATTTCAGGTATTTTAAAGATTGGCATCCAAATAATTTATTTCTATAAAATGAAATGTTAAAATATAATACATGATTTGAAAAGTTATATATTTCTTAGGTTTCTGGTGAGATGAATGTAGAATATAGCCATGATCAAAGGAAAAAAGTAGAGACTAAAACTTGGTTGGTCTTTACACTTAAATATAATCATGCCTATGAAGACAGTATGCATCGTGGCTAAAAGCACAGACTATAAACCCAGACTGGCCTATTTTTAAATTCTAGTTCTGCCTGCACTTCCCTCATAACCTTGGCCAGGTTATTTAACCTTTGGACGTGGAGGTTGTTAAATAAAATTAAATTTAGCCTAAAACTTCCTCAGTACTTTGAATTCTTACATCGTGAACTCCAGCCTAACTAAGTATATAAGCAAACTGAACCCCACTTAGTATATTCTTGTAATAAGTAGCTGAGTCTCAACCAGTCGCAGCTGAGCTTCAGTCATTCATAGGCTGCCAACTGACTAGAAGAAGTCCCTGTAAGGCAAATTCTACACTGTAACTAATTAAGCTGTTTCTGTATAACTTTCTTTTTCTGTCTATAAACACTGCCTGCCCACAATGCTGGGCAGAACATTTTGAACTTCTCCTGGTTCTAATTGCTGCCCAATTCATAAATCATACTTTGCTCAAACAAACTCTGCCATATTTAATTTTTCCAAAGTTTTTCTCTTAAGTTAATATAGGACTATTTTTTAATTTGTCAAATGGAGTTCATAGAGTTAAGATGAAAATTAGAGTATACAAGATGCTGTTCATCTAGTAAAATTTGACAGAGGTTATTAATATTATGCATATAGATTTTAGAACAAAATATTTCCTTTATTCTCACTTCTTTTTATTCATTATTTGATAGATATTGAAAATTACTTACAAATAAGTTAGATGAAGATTGGTGTTATATCCCTAGGTGTTGTCTTATGGCACTGTGGCTTTAAATACTATGAAAAAAGGACTAAATAAAGGTGAGCTATTTGTTAGTCGTTGCTTTTTATCTCAAGAATTCAACACTACCATGCATTTAACAAGCTACAAAAGTACCATGGATTATGATGCCATAAAGCTAATTTCTTTTTCTAACTTTTTAAACCAAATGAAAATATTGCTTTGATTTTCTATATGCAAAGAATTAAGGTTCTATTGCAAGCATTCAATTTCTCAAACTGAAGGACAAGTAGTTAATTTATGAAACATTTATTACCTTAATACATTTACTAAGCTTATCTAAAAAGAAAGCTTAAAAAATTTAATCTGAGCTACACAATTAATGAAAAGATTACTAAAAGTCACTCAAAATATTAAATTGACTCTCATTCACTTTATTTGTATTGAATCAATATTCATTTTCCTCATTTCATGCTATAATATAGACAAATTACAATATGCTCTAATTAGCATAAACTGTATGCTAAATATATTAAATAACAAATGAAAACCGTATTTTTGTTGTTCTCCAAATCAAAAATCTAAATTGACAGATGAATTTTAATGTAAATAATGAAGTTCTGAGGAAGCATAATTAACATGAGTCATGCACTCAAACTTAATAGCTTAATTATTTCTTAGACACAATGGAAAATAATTGTAGTTTAAAATCTATAGTTACCTTATTTCTCTGTGTAATCAATAAACGTATTTGCCAATGCAATATTAATGTAACAGATGAGATTTAAAACTACTTAATTAAATTGCATCGCATAGTCTTAGCAATTCATTTCTTTAGCCACAATTGGATAACACCTCTACTTTAAAACGTTATTGTTACATTATGCTTCAAAACATAATCTATGAATATGTCTTCCAATATTAGTTTTGGATGGTAAACTTTATTATAAGGGCAATTGTTTTTAAGCTTTACATTTAGATTGTTTTTCTACTAAATTATTACATTTCTTGCTTGTTATTTGTGTGGTTAGCTAAATCAAGGTAAAAAGAGATGTGATGAAAATAATTTGCTGGTATCATAGAAAGAAGTAAGAAAATGAAAACCTAGAGGAAAATGTGGTATCTATAGCAACAGATTTAGTATAAATTAGAAGAGTCCTTTCTCCTTCACTTGGCCAGACAAAACATGGTACATAAGTAATCAAAAACCAATGGCAATAAAAAAAATGCATCAGCATCTATTCTATGCGAGACACAATGCTAAATGCTAGCTGCCAATCTAGTTAAGGAAAAGAAACACACATGGGATTTGGGCGAAGAGAACATACTGAGGAACCATGGGAATAAATGTATGAAATGTATAAAGTCATATTAGAGAAGACTTGAAATGGAGCAATTAACATTTATTGAATGTTTTCTATAATCTAGGCACCAAGCTGTGTTCTTGAATTCACAAGACACATCTTCAATTCATTGATGAGGAAGCTGAAGTCCAAATGCTTAAGTGATATTTTATCAGGGCATAATGCATGCAGGGAGACAATGTCTCATTTTCTGATGTTGATTTTATCACCCAAAGTGATGTTTAATTTCTGTATTCTGTGATCCCTATAATTTCCTTTGCAACTGTTAACCAATATGTTAGGAGACATTTTAAGACACTGCGAATATCTTGTACCTCACCAAAATTTCCTTCTAGAGTTAATGTCCATTGATGATTCTTGCCTGAACTAATCTTTGTTATGATTATATGGTTTATATATACAATTGTATGTTGTTGTCAAATGGTTATTTCCCAATGTTAGCATTCTTTCAACACTTGCCACTCAGCTCTTCTATAGCGATCTTTACCCTGTAGAGCCATATCCCAATACAATATGGCATATTTAGTGGTGGTATGGATAAACTGATAGCTGTATAAAAGGAATGGGTGAATGAATAAGTAAATAAGTGGAAAATAAATGGAAAAGCAAAGGTTCAGTAATGCAATGAGAGCTGAGAAATATCTACAATTAGGAAGAAAATGGAAATGCAAGAGACCTAAAATAAACATGGTATCAAAATGATTGGAGGAACATGAAGATAGTGATCCATACAGTCCACACCACAAGAGAGGTTCACAAAGGAAAGCTTGGTCAACAAACTAAGAGACCAGAGGTCCAGTCAAAGTGCCAGGAGAGGTGGCTATAAATGGAGTGCTGGAAATTTAAAACCAGCATTTTTTAGAAGAGGGGTGTCAGGTGTAAAATTGCAGAAGTCATAGTTGATAAAAAATGGGAAGAAAAATGCTGGAATATTGACATGTTTTCAGTGAAATAAAAGACAAAAGTTGATAACCAGGGGCAAGTCTAGCAGAGAAAAGGAAGGATTCTTTGGAGTTTGTTTTCTGGTTGTTGTGTATTAAGATAAAAAAAATACGATGTATTAAGTTAGGAGTGGCTCAACATAAACAATACAGAGCAAAGCTCTCAGGTGTCAGGAAATGATGGGATGAAAAGTTACTTGATTATGGGTTATAAAGATCAGCACACCTTCCCTTGCAATTATTTTTTCAGAAAATAAAATATCAGGTTAAGAAGAATAAATCCAAGACATTCCATCTTTTCAATGAAGCCAAAGGTGAGCTCATAAATAAATAGTGTATGTGTGTGGAATAAGAGAAGCTGGAAATTATATGGATAGAATTATTCTGGGGGATTCAGCAATAAATTCGCAAGCAGGAGGACTACCATTGAGTTGGTCTCTGTAAGGTGAGAAATCCACGTTTGTCTATCTCCTTCTGAGATTACTTTGTGACCCCGAACAAGAACAGAAAGCAAGTATGAAATTATAAGGCCAAGGATTTAGAACAAATGTGGTAAAAAGAGGAATCACGTAGATGAACATGAAGTTCAGGCTGCTGCTGAAGTCTCAATTACCTGAGAATGGGTAATAGGGAAAATTTAGATAATTTAGGATTTAAGGAGTTTCCTTACTATTTATCTAATTATGTATGTAAGTTACCTTTTACATTTATAGTGTGGATACATATATAGTTGTGTATAGTTGTATAGGCATATGTGCTTATATAAACAGCTAAATAATGTAACTAAATATGGTGTTTTTGTCCCTGAAACTGCACTAATACATATAAGTATATTGCATATTGAAGGATATTGTTCACTTAATGCATACGCACTTGAGTCAGGGATACCTGTGACCATCCATGTCATCTTCACTTTCCCTGCTATGCTTTGCTGATATTTTATTAACCCTCATGCAGAAGAATGACAGGAGCATGACTGCTGCCAACGGGAGGCCATAGACTGAGACCATAGGCAGGTAACTGCTGCCCAAAACTTCTGCTTTACAGGAGGAATAATACAGTGAGAATGATGGATATAAACTGTCTAATTATCGGAGGTAGTGTTGCATGATACTTCAGATAGCAGTTGGTTTTGGAATGACTTGGGCTCACCATCGATTTGCTATACAGTAGTCTCTCTTCAGCCACAGTTTTGCTTTTCATGCTGTCAGTTACCTGCAGTTAACTGTGGTCCAAAAATTAGAGGTAAAAAATTCCGGAAATAAAAAATTCATGTTTTCAATTGTGCACTGTTCTGAGTACTGTGATGAAATCCCCACACCAACCCACTCCATCTCATCCAAGACGTGAATCATCCCTTTGCTCAGCCTATCTATACTGTATATGCTACCCACCTGTTAGTCACTTAGTGGCTGAGGATAATCAGATTGAAAAATCATAGAATATATAGAGTTTGGTACTGTTCGTGGTTTCAGGTATCCCTGTGGGCTCTTGGAACATATTCCCTATGGATAGGGGAGACTACTGTACAACAGTGGATGGCATTACCTCATGGGAAATAGTAATTTGCTATGTTTTGAATGTGTCCCCAAAATGTGTTGGAAATTTAATTTCCAGTGCAGCAATGTTGAGAAGCGGAAACTTTAAGAGGTGATTAGGTCATGAGGGCCCTGCTCTCATGAATGGATTAATGTCATTCTCCAAGGGGTGGGTTTATTATAAAAGTGAGATTGACCCTCTCTCACACTCCCTCTCATACATGTGATACCTTCTACCATGTTATGTCACAGCAAGAAAGACCTCACTAGATGTCAGACCTTCAATCTTGGACTTCCAATCCTCAATAATCATGAGTCAAATCAATTTCTATTCATTGTAAATTACCCAGTGTCTTGTATTCCATTATAGCAGCACTAAATGGATTAAGACATAACCCATTAGTTTCATTCATTAGTTAGGGAAAAGAAATCAAAATTTCAGGCTGGGCCTGGTGGCTCACACCTGTAATCCCAACACTTCGGAAGGCCAAGATAGATGGATCACTTGAGGTCAAGAGCTGGAGACCAACCTGGCCAATATGATGAAACTCCATCTCTACTAAAAATACAAAAATAAGCTGGGCATGGTGGCAGGTGCCTATAATCCCAGCTACTCAGGAGGGTGAGGCAGGAGAATCACTTGAACCAGGGAGGCAGAGGTTGCAGTGAGCCAAGATTGCGCAACTGCACTCCAGCCTGGGTGACAGAGTGAGACTCCCTCTCAAAAAAGAAAAAAATCAAAATTTCAGTTAGACAGAGGGACATTGAACATTTTCACATATATGAAAATACATATATTTAAATAGGCTAACTTGGGAATTACTTTTAGCTATTAAAAGTATTCGCTAGTTTACATACAAAACATTTATCTTTATTTATTTACTTTTTTTTGGCAGAGTAGAGGTGGCATTTATATTTGGTAATCATGTAGTTTTTTAAACGTCTAAGCAATTTTTAAAACACTTAATGTAAAATATTTTTAGTTATTCAAGTCAAGAGAACTTCTAAGTTTGAAATACATTAGCTAATTGCAGCCAATTTTTAAATGTTATTGTTTAATAACTAATTCTTGAGTATACTGGGAAAATGGTATGAAAAATGTAAAATTTAAAAAGTCAAAATATCATCTTCAACATGTAGGGAAATAAAATTGTTTCTGTAGTGTTGACTATACTTAATTAAAAATACCTAATCTAAGCAATGTCTCCTCCTCCTATTCCCCATTGCAAGGACAAGAACAAAGTTAAATCAGAACATCACATACACAAGGTACATCTCATGTTCTAAAAATCTAAAAACAGTAGAACCAGAACTGAAGAAAGAGTATTTGCATACCATCTAGTGGTCACTTTAAAGAACAGCAAAATTTTTTCAAAATAATTTGTGTTTAAACGGAAATAGTATATACGGTTATACCTGACCTAAATATAATCCACAAAACCTGTCATTTCACGTCATTAAAAAATAAGAGGAAGAGTGGTTTTATTTACTTCTGACATGTGGAAACACCTAAAAATGATCATCTAATCATAATTATTTCATGCTTGTCTAATTTTTAAAATATATCAAATATTGGGTCTTTGCAGTAGCACACCATGTTTATCAGATATTTATTTGTGTTCTTGAGTTCAACCATGGAATTAAAATAGAATGTCCTTATGCTGAACTTAAACAATTTAAATGAGGCTTAATAGTAGACAACAAAATACAACAGCCAATGCTTTTGTGCACTTCACACAGATTGGTATCATGTTTAAAATAAAAACTTTGCCACAGTTATTTCCTCAGCAGCAGATGAATGGAGGCAGCAGCTAAATGACTGCCTCCCCAAATTTTTGTAAATAATGTCACAATGCAAGTCAATCATATGACTTTTTACTACATTTTTGAAAAATGTCAGTTAACTGGTCATTATTTAAATATAGAATGAGGAATTTGGAAATTTACTTTTTCCTTAGATTAAGTTAGAAGCATTCAGTTCATTGGAAGCACTGTGGTCATCTTTCCCAAAGCCAATGCAGAATGGACCAGTAAAGTGGGCAGAAGGCATTTCTTCTTGAATGCAGAATGTGAGATAAGGAGGTGCCTGTGGCAATGTGGCTGTCAGGAACAATGCTTACATGTGTTCTGCTACCAGAGAAAAGTCAAGAGACTAGGAATTCCAAGCACATTCACTTGGAATGGATCATGCTAAGAAAGGCAAGCTGAATTTTTTGATAAAAATAGAATAGAGCATATTAGTAGAGTCCTCAGTTGGGGGCCTACAAAATTGAAAGGAAATCTGCCTTAAGGCTGAATCTATGCTGGGAAAACTTGCAGGGCAGAAGGTGTTTTCATTTTTTTTTTTCTGCTCAGAGCTCTAATTATGGGAGATGGGCAGAACATAACACTTGAATATGGTCTTGAAACTTTGTGGTATGTATTGTGAGCCATTTAAACGGGCTACATTGACTCCAGCTTCCTTCAAAGTTGGAAGCATATGGCGTTCACTTTTTTCTTAAGGTGTTTTGGTTCAACCATTAATGTTTGGAGTTCATAGTATGAAGTAACATCATTTTTTAAAAAACATAGAGCAACAGAGAAATTTAGGTTACATAAAACAAAGACCTATAGTTCCCTGTGTTTTTAACATAGGCTTTCCCTACAAAGCAGAGCTTGAAACAAAAGCTGTATACAACTGGCTTATTTTGGAACTGACCTCAGAGAAGAGAAGAAAGAGATGAGAAAGAGCGAAAATGGAAAGAAAGGAAGATAATTAAAAGGGTGGATTCTTGCAATGGTCATCACAGGAAGCAATTGGCCCTCATTCCTATTGTGAGCTTCTGAAAAGCCATGCAGAAATCATCTCAGAATTATCTGATTGAGGAATTTAAAAAAGAGAGCTCTTTTTTTCTATCAGTGGAGCCTAACTCTACAATTTAGAGTAAAAGAAGACCAGATAATTTTAGAGTAGCAAAGACTAAAGCAACTCACTTATGCAGATCTCTATGCATTAAAACCACCCATAGGAACAATTTTTCTTGATGAGGCTTCCCTTAATCTCCATTCATACTTGACTATTTCTATTTCTCAGATGATTCTTTTATTTGGGAAATAGTGGAGAAAATTTGGTGATTGTAGAGTTCTATTTTTTTCCCCGTGTATTCTCTTAACAAATGGTAGTTATTGAGTAGTTTCTTGAATGAAGAGCTTGAGACCTAAGTTTACCATGACATATCTTCATGACATTGACAGACCTACTCAATCTGAGTCTGATTTTCTACCAAATTTTGTAAGGATAATATGAAATAAAATATATTAAAGCACTTTTCAAGCTGGAAAGTACTTTTCAAATATAAGTAAGTATACTCTTATGCTATTTCAGCCTTCTGGTATCCAGTGTTTTTCTTGGGGCGATTTTCTACCAATTACAATAAAGGAACCCTTTAATATTTCTCCTAATAGATATCATCTGGCCAGATTACTTAGAGCTTCCCAGACTTCAATAGGAAACCTTTTTTCCCCCAATATATTATACAGTTATTTATTATACAATAAAAATAATATGCAAAATGTGGCCTGTCCTTTGAGGGGTTGCTATTTTGTTCTAGAACCAAGCACTCAAGGGCCATTTGGGGGGTTTCCTTGGCACTGAGTCTGGGTGTGTGACAGACTGAAAAACTCTGCTCAACGCCCACAGTGCTGAACATTCCATGTTCTAAATATATAGCTGGAAAACTTCCCAGATTGTACATCTGCCTCTCTAATTTACACCTCCAAAGATGAGGGTGAGCAAGGAAGAGGTGAGAAGCTTTAATGAACTACTTGGAGCCTTTGCATGTGCTATGAGAAACTTCCCAGCACACACTGAAGCCTGGCAGCAGTGGGCTGGATGGAAAGCAAGTATGTGAACATTCTGTTTCAGTGATGTCCAGTACATTCCAATGGCCACCCTACCTTCAAAGAGTGACCAAGAACCCCTTCCTTTCTTCATTCTTATCTTCTATCAGCCCTTCTAATATGTTTCCTAGGCCCCAAATTGGATAGTCACTGAATCCTCCCACTCAGTCATCTGCCAAAATGCTGGTCCCGGTGTGACTGGGGACTACTTTGATGAGTACATGTTGGGTTTACTTACCCCTACTCTGGATGCTACCTAAGTAGAAACTATGTTTACATTGAACCAAATGTTTACCTTAAAAATAAAACTACTAAGACACTGAAATCAGCAGGATAGTGCTGGAAAGATCATGTAAATTCTAAGTTGGATGTAGTGAAAGAGGAACAAAATTTGTAGAGCAAACCTGCCTAATGTTCAGTCTTAATTAATGGTGCTTCTCAGCAGGCTGTTCTTACAGTTCATAGTGTGAAAGTAATAATCTGTTGCTTATTCGTTAAGTGTGGACTTTGTGATTAAACTTAAGATAACCCTTAAAGTGGCATTTTCCACATCAGCATGGCAGGTTATACCTTCTTTGTTCATGTCATAAATGCCTCCTCATTTTTCCATGGGTTCTTATCCTGAGGCCCATGGACCTCAGATAGACCATGAATATAATTCAATATATTTTTGAATGGGGAAGGGAAAAAATATATGTTTACTTTTGCTACCCTCTAACTGAAATTTAGGGTATATTTAAAAATTATCTGTAGGCTGCAAGCCTCTGTATCATCAGCAGAAGCTATGACTTTGTCACCAACAGAAATTAGGTATTTTCATAACAGGTCACAGTTTTTGTAGATATAGCAAAAACATTTAGGTTCATTACTTTTTTGAGTTAGGAAAATTATTAGAGTCATCACGAGATCTTGTTATTTAATGCATTAATGAAGAAACAATTATTTCTACATAAAAATTTTATTTTATAAATATCTATATTTCCATATAGTTTTCTGTGTATTTTATTTCATGCATTTAAAAATATTGTCTGTGAAAAGTTTATCAGACTACAAAAGGTACTATATAAAAAATAAGCTAAGAACTCCTATTAGACTTATGTCATAATTTACCTGCTCTATGAAGACTCCATAACTTCTCTAGAAGACCACTCAGCATGTCAGTCTTTGTGCATTCACTGCACTTAATTTAAAAATTATAATTGACACATCACATCCAGTCATGTACTGTTCTCCTGCTCCATATTGTGAGCTCCTAGAGGGCAGAGATGCTCCCTCTATCATAAGTAGCTCTGGAGCTGGACTGCTTGCAGTCCTCCCAGATGACTTGCTTAACCCCAGCTGTGATACCTAACCCTAGATGTGTTAGCTATGAGCAATGTGATGCTGGACAACAAGCTTCAGTTTTCTCAACAATGGAACAAAAATAATAATAGTAGTTACTTCCTATATTTGCTCGAAGGATTATATGAGTAAAGCACTTAGCACAATGCCTGAGAGAAAGTAAGCACTCAACGAATGTTAGTAATCATTGCCTTCATCTTTATTATCATTTTTCTTAGCAACAGCAGCAGCAACAGTTTCATTAGTTGTGGTGGTGGAGGATATAGTAGAGGCAGTAAAATCTTTGCAGCTTCAAGGTTTTAGCGCAGCACTTGCCTGGCACATAATAAGCACTTAATAATGAATAAGTGAAATAGTGAATAGAATGTTTTTAATTCAGACAATTAGGATAGATCTATAACTCCAGATCTGAGAACATCAGACATGCACATAAAATTATAAACCAACCAATCAACATGTAATTTATAGAATCTCTGCTATGTGTCCAATACCATGCTGAAGATTCCAAGTTCCTTTACAACTCTAGGGAATTTATAATTTTGCAGGTTGAGGGAAGAAACAAATCACCCACACCCATACACACATATGCATGTGTATGAGATTAATAAGATGTTAAAGTACAAAGGATTTTTGAGATACCTCCTCTAGGAACTGGGTGACTGCTGACTCTTTAGGGAGAAGCTTGAACATTTGAGTCCAACATTGTCAAATTACACTCCTGTGACTTCTCTCCTATGCCCACTCCCCCAAACTCCTATCTTCTTCTTTATTCATTTCATAAGCAGTTGTGCTTCCCATCTGACCACCAATTTTCTTGCCTAGGGAATTGTCTCTTCTCCATGAGGAATGCAGGCGCTTCAGAGGAAAAAAAGTAGATAACTCAGGGAATGGGTGATATGCAGAAGGCAACAGAAGGAAAAATTATAGAGAAAGGCTTGGGGAAAGACTATATTTGAAATCCACAATCAACTATGAATAGAAACTGTTATTGAGACTTACATATCATCTTAAACATTCCTTTAGAATGTTTAGTAGAAAAGTCTTGTTCTAATCCTGTTTTTGTCACTATCTTTATGATATTTATGATCCATGACCACTAACCATCTTTTGGAAAACTCAGGTAACCTCTCCGGATTTGAAATTTCTCTTCTGAAAAAAAGATTAGATTCTATGATCTCTACAGTCCTTTCTGTTACTAAGTTTCAGGTTTATTTACATATCTTTGTTCATTTTATTATGTCTTCTATGCAGTGATTCTTCAATTTTCTTGTACCCTTTTAATATAGAATACTGCCTATATTATACATATATTGTACCTTTTTATATAGGTACAACCTGTATACCATTTACTTGTCTGTATGGAAACTAAGGAGTAGAAAAGCATTACAATTTATATCTCCTATGTCATGTCACTTTGGCTCTGAAATGTTTTATTATCATTTTTTATTTCCTAAAACAAATTCTTTGGGATAATTTTAAACTCAGGTTAGATAAAGAAATGGAGGCAGTTTGTATTCATACAGAAACTCCACACTGAATAGTCCTGGCAACAGTAGAAACTGCCTCATAATTTCTGTTCTAAAAAGGCATGAAGCAAAAAGGCAATAGAGTACACAAAAACTACTTAACAATTCCTGAAATTTTAATGATGACTTGCACCAGTTTAATCATTATTTTTCTGTTCTTCAAATACCATATTTTCTTAATACTAGATACATGCATATACATTTTCTCACATCTTTTCAGCCAATCTCTTGACAGATGGGAAAGATGTGTTTATTGCCTTTACTTATGCCTATACAGTGTCAGATGTGCATAAAAGGAATATGACTAGATTGTCACCTACATTGAGTTACTAGTGTTGTTACAGGACCAGCAGGTTCATAAGCCTGCTGTGCAGTAACAGACAAACACATTGCGACAGCAGGATTTGCAGCAGAGAAAGAGTTTAATGATTGCAGAGTGGCTGAGTGAGCGAACAGGAGGAATCCTCGAATCCATCTCCCTGGGGAGTTTTGGGCTAGAGTTTTTAAGGGGATCGTGGAGGACAAGAGGCTGGAAAGTAGAAGTTATTGACTGCTTGGGATAAGGGGGATGAAATCACCAGGATTGGAAACTGCATTCTTTAGTCAGTCAGATCTTCATGGAGTTCTTCAGGCCAGCTGGCATCAGTAGTTTTATTGGCACGCAGGACCTTGAAAGAATATCTTAAGTGGAAAACTTAACATTTCACAATGCTTAAGATGTTAACTGTAGAGTAGTTAAGAGGGAGTATAATCTTGTAACAGGTTCTATGTGATTTGGAGGCAATAGGCAGAAAACAATTTGAGAAAGCAGGCCAGAGAGCAAGCTGGCTTAATGATGAATGCTGAATGTGCTGCAAGCTTGGCTTATTTTCATGTTTCCCCCTCCCTTCTTCTCTGGTTGATTTTATAAAGTTTATAGAAACAGTTTCAGTATTGATAAAATCTTATGCAGTTTATGTTTACATTTGTATTCTCCAAAGTCATTTAAAATGTCATATTAATGTTGCCACTACAATTAAATTATAAAACAAAAAATAACATTGAAATAACAGCTATAAGATTTAAACACCTGTCACTGGAGAAAAGACTACATTTCTATGTTTTCTTGTGAAGAAATAACCAAGAGATTTTCAGAACTTCACGATGCAAGCTATGAATAAATAAAGTTGTTTCATTTTTTTATTCAGATATATCCAAAATATTTGCTTGTCACATACTAGGCAATGTAATTAAAAACAGTAGACATTGCCAAATCTTTATAACTAAATCATGGAATTCTCAAAGCTAAAAGAAATTATGATCCATTTTGTGCATCATGTAGAAGTATCAGTCAGGTGAAAAAATTTCCATCTTTTAAAGATTAACTGTTTGGAGATGCTGCATGACTTTCAGTGATTCAATGAGGAAAAAATGAAGCAAACTTAATCAAATAATAGACAAAGTGTGACTCAAATATGCCTCAAAATTATACTACCAATTTTAATGCTGCTAAATGTAACTAATTAAATTAGTTAATTTAAAAGCACCGGTTTTGCAGTGAAGTGCTTTACTTGGTGCCTTGGTGCTCCTGCCACATTGTATCAATTTAAGACCAATATTACATAGGATTATGAAATACTTTTCTCTAATACATAATCGTGTTTTCATAAAAAGTGAATGTAAGATTTTTGCACAATAAATTTTTTCTCAAATAGCTATACAAAATATCTCTAGTCAACACAATCCATAAATTTGGAATGAGTTCCATGGACAATCAATCTTATCAACTAAAAATAAGTTTAGCAGAAAATTCTATGACATGACTGTTATTCTTGATAGCATGGCTAGCCACACTGAAGCCCTTGATGCTTAAACATGTCATTTAGAGAAGATCTAAGTCAGTGGTACTCAAAGCATGGTCCCTAGAACACAGCATTAGCATCATCTGGGAACCTGATAGAAATACAAATTCTTGATTTCTCAAGATCTTCTGAATCAGACTCTGGAGGTGGGGTTCAGAAATCTATATTTTAACAAGGCCTCTAGGTGTATCTAATGCATGCTGAAGTTTGAGAACTAGTTATCTAAGGAAATGTTATGAAACCTATAGTGATCTTCATTTTTTCTTCTGGTGCTTATGGTAAGACTAAAAGGACAAGCATTCACCAAAGCTTGCAGAATGAGAATTTGGTAGAAAAAATGACTCAAAGTAATCCCAAAACGTCAATCTTTGATAAGGTGCACAGAAATGAACTTGATAAAATGATATCATGTTGTAGGAAAAAACTTACAAATGATTCTTTGATTCAGAATGTGAAAAAGGTCTAGACTAAAACTTAGATATTTCCATTGAAGAAAAAAGTGCTGTTTAAGTCTAGGAATAATTAAATATTACGGTTGCTAATAATTGTGCATGTACATTTAATATGGAGTTTGTTTCTTTAAAAAATCTAGCAATAAAGACACATGATAAATGACATGTTAGATCTGATGAATTATGATAGAAATTAAAATGCAATAAATATATATTAAACATATGTAGATAGAGTTCTTTACTATAGACCTTCTCAGCACCGTTATTATAAAGCTCATTATAAAGTTCCAAAAGGTTTGTAGGGTATACTTGATTTTTAAATTTTGACCATGAGGCCCATTTATTTACATAAAATCTTGGCAGAACCCTGATTTCATTGAATTTATTTTTATAAATCTGTTTAGATAAATAACAGAGTTGTTATGGATTCTTATAAAAGACAGAGATGCCAGACATAGGGTAAGTTACCTTCCTAAATTTCTAAGCTTTTTGGTCTGACCACAAATAGAATAAGGATGATCTCATCCAAACCTTCCTTTCATTGGTACTTTTGTCAGAGACTGACTTTAGAACTGGATAAAAAAGAGATTGATTCCATTTGAGTTATTAAATTTGGCTTAAACGGTGGAAACCCATCAGGAGCTTTTCCGAACGAATGGTACTTTAAATGAGGTGCCCTAAGTAGTATAGGGGACCAATTTTATTGGCAAATGCAATATCTTAATGCCTCAAATGAGTGCCCAGCATGCCGGAAGTCCTCGTAAATCATTTATCTCCCGTAGCCCTAAGAAAAACTAAAGCAACATATGGGCCAGACCCCAAGTCTTCATTATTTCTCTGATTCTACTGAATCATGATGTCTTAGTTAAGAAAATGCTCATTCATATGTTATTAAAACAAATTTTGCCTAAAATACTCCAAGTATAGTAATAGAAAAGTCATAAAGTATTTCATTCTACTTATTTGACTAATAAAACAGAAAAAGTACATATTAAATAAGGTATCTAAATCCATTAGTGAATATCTTATCACTGTCACCAATAAACAAAACAAACCTTGAAAGCATATATTTGATGATGTTTTCAATAATATAGACTGAACTATGTTTAATGCTACCAAATGTAAAGAATAATAGTAATATTTATGAAACTTATTTTCATGGCATTAACAATGACATCCAGTGGCTGTCTCTTTAAATAATATATATCTGGATACTTTATACTGCTCAAATAAATGGTAATTTAATGTTGTTCTGAAATTTTTCCTATGTGCATTTCAGGCTCTTATATAATACATCTATAGTTTCAAAGGTCACCCAAGAGGAAAGATAAAGTTTGAGTAGAAAGGGTTGTATAGTGAGCAAATTATTCCCAGCCTCTTTCTATCTCAGTAGTGAATTTACCCTAAGGGACGAATATGACAGTATAGTTTAATTTCCTCATTTTTAGTCCTCCTTGAGGCCACTCTTTCTTGTGGGCACCTAAAAGGGACTTCAGAAGGATTTTATCCTATGCTGTTTTATTTTCATTTATATCGGTCAATTAATTATGTACCTGTGACTCAGACTCAGTTTAGATCCAGGATATTTTCCTTACAGTCATTTATTGCTGCCACAAAAATACTCTTAGAAAGCCTTGGGACAGACTTAACTTATCTGCCCTCAAATAATATATTTTTAATTTTTTCTATTTAGAGAAATTTAAAGGAGTTACCTTAGTAACCGCTGTAATGTACATATTCTGCTGGGATTTTGTTAGTCTGACTTTTTATAGTAATGCAATGTTAACAGAGCACGAGAATAAAGGCACACTTTTTTATAGAGCAAACTTGCAATCTAGGTCAAACATACGTTTCTCAGAGAAGTATTCCCTTGTGACCTCAGTTTTTCCTTGATCATTATTTACTTTTTTAATAACTCCAAACAAATTTGTCTTTTTTAAATGAAGAAGATGGTATGTAGAAAGATGATAGGATAATAGAGGGGATGTAAATTAGAGTTTTTGGTAAATGCTAAGGGTAAAACAACAAATTAAGAAATAATGTGCAATGATAAGATTCATACTTACAAATCACGTGACTCTCCGCAGAAAAATAAAGTTCAAATTCTTGTGAAATTATAACTCAGGTCCTGAGATTAATTGATAGTGATCAAAAAGCAAAATAAGGGAAAGGAGGAGTTAGTCATATTTTAGCCATTTGTAAGCATTTTACAATATAATATGTAACATATTGTATATACATAGTATATCTAATTATACATACACAATATCACCTACAATAATGCTTCAAGAAGAGAAAATATTGTTAACTGTAGTTTTGGCCGATAAAGTTCATGCCATTTTAAGTACAAAGTTGGTGATCATATGTCAATAGTTATGCTATTTGAAGAGCTAAGACCTCATTTATCTACTACTGTTGGGAAACACAGTATTCTTTATCAACAAATTTTAAAATTGAAGTTTCGATAACTGAGTGCCAAAGTGTGTGTGTGTGTGTGTGTGTGTGTGTGAGAGAGAGAGAGAGAGAGAGTATTCAGTGGGCATTTTGTAAATACACATATTCTTGCATTGGTCTAAAGTCTTCAGTGCTGCCCCTGATAGAACATTAAGAGTCAGAAAAAAACAGGCCTATAAAGAGAAATTATTCCCAGGACCCATCCCTACTGCTAGTTACCTGAACCCTCTTTCTAAGAATGGTAAAAGCTTTGATAAAAGAAAGCATTACAACTAATAACATAATTATATATGCATACATAATTCTGATAATGAGACGGCCTGGTGGGAAGGGGTCCCCAGAGAAAGTCCAACTAGCCTGTGTACTGGGAGGAGTGCACACTGGGGTGAAGCCACAGGAGTTCATGCCATTTGCAGTGGAGGAGGAACATGGTTCCTCTTCTTCCTGGGTAGAACCTGGAATTCAACCTGCCGGGTGGGAAGCACACTAGCAGGACCCTGGCTTTGCAGAGGGTCCCTGTTTGCTTTTTTTTTTTTCTTTTTGCCCAATAAATTCCATTATTCTCACCCTTCAAATTGTCTGTGAGCCTAATCTCTGATGGCCATTTGACAAGAACCCAGCTCCTAACTGAACTAAGGAAAAAGTCCTACAATATCTTTGGCACCCAACTTGGGGCTTAGAAGGGGCGACTGAAATGGGAACTCAAGACCTTTCACTGTCACTTCTAAGCCTTTTAATCCTCGGACTTCTGAGGGTAGAGGAAACCATACCTCCACCCCTGTCACTCCCAGGATCAGGGGCTTTTCCATGGCCTTTTTCTTCTAGTTTCAGGCTCGATGGGTGAGCGACGGTTCCTCACTCCCCTTCCACTCCCGGCTGGGGGTGGGGAATGTCACGTGTCCATGCCTTTCCTCAGCCAAGGGTTCAACTTCATTGGACAGTAATTAAGCTTTTCTCCCTGGTGGAGGAATCAGTTGTGTAAGAATAAGACATTGATTCCCCAGGCATCCTTTTCCCTACAACATCAGCAGGTAACTTTTAGTTTCTTTTCCATTTGGAAGGCGTTTTACTAGGCTAGAAGTGATAAGGATCACTGTTTATATTCTCTGTAAAGTTTTAATTATGAAAAAGGATTTGTGAGGTTGACCTTAAGCTGTAGCCAATCTAGTGTGCTTTGCATGTCTGTATGGTTCATAGCAAACTTCTCTGCAGGCCTCCATCTTATTTAACATCCTGGGGGCATGGCCTGTAACTCCGTGGCAAGGCTTTGCTTAGCAATCCTGCCTTAGGGAATGAGTTCCTTTCTGGCTTGATATCTGCATGTTTTCCTAGTCCTGTATCTTAAAGCACACCACCAGTGGAATGGGTTTTCTCCTGCCTGTGTGTGTAGTTATATGTGTGTGTGTGATGTCTGTAAAAAGAACTCTAATTAACTTGGCCTAAAGAAAGACAAGCACTTGGATCAAATATTTTTTAAAGGGAAGATAAAAGCCGTTGTACCTTTCAGTTCATGTGACTTTAATTTTTGAGGAATAAAAACAGCCTTAAAGATTATTGGCAAAAGGCAGATGTCATCAAAGTGTAAATAAGGTGACTAAATTATGCAGGTTATATGTAAGGTTTGCTAAGTACTTTGAGGTTATAAACTGCTTTTTGGATTTTGAGAAGTATTTAACTTGCTAGCTTCACAGTTGGTAAGGCCAGGGTACATATGGGACACACACGCCCTTAATTATGCTGGGAGTCAAACCATGGCTGCACCTCCCACACAATTAAAACAATTTACCAGGTTTTAAATTAAAGTTAATAATTACTAGGAGTTGCCATTATAACATGTAATTGAGACTACTGGAAATACTTACATGCAAGTTGTGTAAGAACAGTAAAATGTGGGGGGTTTTTTGGTAAAAGATTATAAGAATGCACAGAAATGTAATTTTCTGCCTAAGGTTAAAGGATTATTTTAAATTAGGATAAAGCTGAAGGTTTAAACAAGTGGTGGAAGGACTGTGGAAATTAATTTTGTAGAAGAGGTTCTCTGTGTGAACAATTAACTCACAAAGGTATTACATGGGTTTTCTGTAAATTAAGCATTAAAATGTAAAACACAATAAGGTATTCTTAAGGTGTTAACCTGCTCTTAGGTAAAATTTGTGAAGGGTTATAAAAGGTTTTTGCTTGTTTAAAATTTCTGAGTCATTATTTTGGCCAAATATCTATGGTAATATGGAATTCTATTTCATAATATCAAGTGTTTTAAACTTCGAGCATATCAAACAGCCTTCCCCAAATCTAACTTTAGTTTCAAAATTGTCCTTCCTGATGCCTGGCTTTTTTTATAGATCAGAGGACCACTGAGACATCTAGAAAAGAGGTAAATAGGATTATTTGACATGTTTAGGTACATGGGATTGCCAAAATGATATTCAGTCTTTTTAGGTTATATTTTTTGTGAGTAATACTAATATGTGTTCCAAAATTGTATGGGATTTCTAAAACTCTGATGTCTAAGTATATGCTATCGATCATAATTAAGGTTGTTATGTTAAGTTATTGTAAACCATGGAGACAACCAAACTTCTTGGTCAAGTGTGTTTCTAACTGTAACTAACTTGGACATTTTGCTATTCACAGGCAATTGTTGTCTTGTTTTAATCTTTTTCAAAAGATGATTTATAATAAGATACAATAGAATTGTAACAGGTGTTCTCAAATACAGGTTTCTGATAACTTTGGAGATTGTGACATTGGAAAATGACAAAGGAAAATGTACAACACTCATGAGGAGCTAAAATGTTCACAAATATCAAGTGCCGAGACCAGCTCGGTCACGGAGACCCTAGCCCAGTGGCTCTAGAGGAATTAAAGACACACACACAGAAATATAGAGTGTGGAGTGGGAAATCAGGGGGCTGACAGCCTTCAGAGCTGAGAGCCATGAACAGAGTTTTACCCACATATTTATTGACAGCAAGCCAGTGATAACCATCGTTTCTATAGATTATAGATTAAAGATTAACTAAAAGCATTCCTTATGGGAAACAAAGGGATGGGCCAAAACAAAGGGATGGGCTCTGGCTAGTTATCTGCAGCAGGAACATGTCCTTAAGGCTCAGATCGCTCATGCTATTGTTTGTGGCTTAGGAATGCCTTAAGTGGTTTTCCGCCCTGGGTGGGCCAGGTGTTCCTTGCCCTCATTCTGGTAAACCCACAACCTTCAGTGTGGGCATCATGGCCATCATGAACATGTCACAGTGCTGCAGAGATTTTGTTTGTGGCCAGGTGTAGGGCCAGTTTATGGCCAGATTTGGGGGCCTATTCCCAACAATCAAGCAAAACAAGAACTAAATGGGCAGAACTCAGAAATCTGAAGCAAACTTTTTAACTTTTGCTTGGAATATTGTTGATACTTATTTTGTTTTTCAGAGTCAAGGAAACTTATTTTTCACTATTTATGGCCTTTAATAATTGAGTAAGGTATTCTCCTGTGAACAAGGTTTGGAGCATGTTTGTTTCTCTCTGCCTGGTTACTCTAGAATTTGAAACTATCTGTGAGTATTCTTAACTTATGGCAATATAGATGTTTGCATCAGTGTGATAAGAATCCATTTTCTTTTGCAGCAAGACACAATTGGAGAAACTGGTCTTGCAGGACTAATAAAAGCCCTGTGAAGAGACTGGCCTCATACCCTTACCTACACAGTCCCTACACAAGTTTCCTGACCTGCAGTCAGTAAAGAATGTCACTTTCTCACAGGTCCAGGAACTCCAAGTTTATCTTGGGACCTTAAACGAAAAGGAACACCCAACTCACTGGTATTTGAGGATAGAAACCCATGGCTGGGCTGGGCTTTAAAAGGTCTTATCTGAGATTCATTGTGGAACAGAGTTCCATCAAAGCCAATCTAAAAGGCCAATGCAGAAATAGTTATTCTTGCTGAACTTTATGCCAATAATTAGGCCAAGTATAAGACTAAAGTCCATTTTGCAAACAACTCAATCCTATCATGATTTTCTTTAACAAAAATGGGTACTGGAGAGAGAGAAATCATGTTTTACAACTTATCATACATTTGTCATTAAATTCTAAACTCACTAGTTGTTTTTAAGTTTTTGCCTACATTTTTAGACTAACCCTGCTTGCTCCTGTGAACCTACCAACAATCTCCAGCTACAGTTCAGAAAGAACAAAAGGGATGGGTAATGTAGAACTCAGGATCAATATTCTAACTCTGAGCAATTATCTTGCAAATCCTGCCAGGTGATAGCAATAAATAGGATACCCATCACTGGGAGGTTTTCTTTTTGGGAAAGTAATACCAAGGGAGTTAACGAAGGCCAAGCAACACACACCCAAATCCTAGCAAGCATCATTATAGCCACCAGCTATATGGATGTGTCACAAGACATCCTTTTCTCTCCCTTGTTGGAGAAGGACTCCACTCCCCAGCTTCACCTTAGCATTTGACTTGTAATGAGGATTCCAAGCAACAGCCCTAAAGACATATTTTTGACCCAAACTCAATGCATAAATGAGGTCTAGGAAGTTCATGGGTACTGATAGCAGGGGAAATAGGGTGTCCATGGGTAGAGTGGATAATTTCCACCCCCCCATGCCCCTCACTCCATGGGTGCAAGCTGCTTTGGCATCCCTGGTGGCACCTGCCAAGGTCACCAAGACTCAGGGATGCAAAGATGGAAGAGGAAAAGAGGATGTTCTTCCTTCTCTCCCTTTTGTACCCAAGGTATCTGCTAGAAAGAGAAGGAAACCAGGGATGGCTGCTCCCCTCTTTCTAGATGGGTAGCCATTCATCTTCAGTCTGTACCCCTTTTGAATGCATCCTGAACCCGGGGACTCTTTTGATAAATGCCTTCTTTTCTTTTCTGTTCCTCTGTCCTCTCTTCACTGATAGGTAATTTTGTCTCTATACTATGGGACACTCTCCTCAGATGCATCCTCCAAACTGGGAAAAGTTAATTTCTCAAACCTTAAACTGATTGGCTTAGAATTGGCTCAGGGGAGGGAACTCAGAAACCCAACATGCGGCAAAAGGCTGTTTTTTTTGTTGTTGTTGTTTTGTTTTTTCACCAGTCATGCTTTTGGCCTCCCTCTCCCTGTGCAAACTGGTAAAAAGCTTCAGGATATTTGAGGTGTCCTTACCCCTCCCCTTGTTTTGTTTTGATACACGTTTTCTATAACCTGGTTTGTCTCATCTTGCCTTCAGGCCATCAAACTCTAAACAGTCATGCAACTGGAGCCTCACACGTTCGTCCCTTATGCTGGGAACCCTTAAATAGGCCTCTGAGGGAGCTCTGACTGCTATTTCCCCCAAACAGCACCTCCTGCCAGCAGGAAGCAGTTAAGATCAGTCTTCATCCTGATCCTCATCCTTATTCTAACGGCAATTAGATATACTTCTTTAGAGGGGGGAATGAGATAGCCAGGTGGGAAGAGATCTCCAGAGAAACTCCAACCAGTCTGCACATTGGGAGGAGTACACGCTGGGGTGGAGCCACAGAAGTTTGCACCATTCACAGCAGGAAAGAACCTGGTTCCTCTTCTTCCTGGGAGGAACCTGGAATTCAATCTGCCAGGTGGGAAGTATACTAGCAGGACCCTGGCCTTGCAGGGGGTCCCTGTTTCCCTTTTTTCCCTTTTTGCCCAATAAATCCCATTATTCTCACCCTTCAAATTGTCTGTGAGCCTAATCTCTCATGGCTATGTGAAAAGAACCCAGCTGTCAGCTGAACTAAGGAAAAAGTCTTGCAACAATAAGTCTTATTTTTCTCAGCTGTCATCTCACTCTACTCCTATCCTTGTAATGTATTTCTGTTATGGAGTAACTTTACTAAAATACAAATAAAGGGAAAGGCCTTTAGGTTGGGTTGATTTCTTAATAATCTCGAGTCATACTTACCACTGTCAACCATGCTTCCTATTGAAACCCAGTATCCTCTTTATGAGCTATTATGTTGTTGGGATGACCATTTGTTGCTCCCTCCTAAGATCATAGGATGTTTGGCTTTTTAAGTATATTTTGCTGCTTTTCATAGTTTATTCTGTTTCTTGTTATTTTTGTTATTGGTTTTTACTTCTTTCAGCCTGCCTCTAGCAATCTCTCTCCTTAGTTCCCTAATTCATTATGTTATCCTGCTATGGACAGAGGAATCAGAATAAATGTTTAAATTGTCCATAAATTTGATAACTATTTGTTAAGCAGAGTTTTTGTGTAGAGCACAGTACTAAGCCATTCACAGGTGTCTTAGACACACAGTTTCTAAGATACAGGTGTGTGAGATATAGCCTCTTTCTTTGGCTTGTTCTGGACTATATTTTTCAAGATATTGATTTCAATATTTCTCTTTCTAGCTCTTGCTCTCTCTCTCTCTCACCATTTCTTTCCACAGAATCACATTTAGTTCCACTGTTGCAACTATTTCTTCCATATGTAAGAACACAAGATCTTGAACTCTTATAACAAGCTTCAAGATGGCTGAGAAATATAAATTTTTCAGTCAACTATGGAATCCCCCTTTAAAGATCTCCCAAGATATTGTATATCTTTATAAATACTAATTGTTCTGGTTATTAACCAATTGTGCTCATTATTGGCTGAAAAATCTCAGAATTATTTTTAAATCTACTCTCTACCACAACTTCCACATCTAATAAAGTCTTGTGGAGTAACATCCCTAATGGCTTTTACATCCATATCTCACATGTATTCCTTTCCTTTTTATTCCCAATAGTACTTTTTTTTTAACCTGGAAAACTTGAGATGGCAAGATGGGCCAAGGCATTACAGATGATGGGACTTAGAACTCTGGCCATTGCTCCACACAGCTTCACTTTGAAAGATGCCAGAACTTTAGAGGTGTTTTTAATTTTTCTGTGTTTACATCTATTTTTCAGAAAGTTGGGCTTTGTCACATTGTGGCTTCTATATCTAGAATAACAAATTCATAAATAAAATAGTGATGTAAGAAACTCCTTTTAACTGAGAGTTTCATAAGAAAATGCAAGCTCACTATTCATGTACATGTAAACAGCTGATAAAATATTGTATAAGTTAGTGAGAAGTGAGTTTCTTATATTTCCATTTTAAATTCTGCCATGAGATTTGTGTCCTCAACTGACAAAATGAAGAGTTACTATTAATATATACTGCTTTTCACATAATAGTGTATTGACTTTTCTTAAGCTAACCACTACCTATTTTTCCACTCTCATCTTTCTTGAATCCCCTATGTACCACCTATAATTAAGATGAACAGTACTAGTTCACATTTCCTGTACTTTATTGTCTCTATGGTTTGCTCATGCTGTTCCCATGCCTGAAATGCACACTTTGACCAACCAAATATATTTCTGGCTTTGGCTTTTGAGATTTCTGAGGCTTCCATTATGTCCCCAGCATCAGGATTATTTACCAAAACTGAATCTATTCTGTGACTTAAAGAAATCTGATCCTCAACTGTGTCTTCTTCTTATTAAATTTCTGTTTTGATTTCTTAATTTCTGTTATTGTATTTTTTATAACTAGTATTTATATTTACTTTTTAATAGTTTCTAGTTTTCTTCTGATATGTTATATATTGTTCTACAATTTCATGACAACTTGATTATAATAATATTCTCCGTTTCTATATTCTAGAAATTTTTCCTTGATGTTCAAAAATGTATTTTCTTTTCCATTATCTATAGTAATTTTTATTTAATGCCAAACATTGTATATGAAAAATGTTCTCTTGCTATGGATGATATTATATTCTTCCAAAGAGGGTGTAATTTTGCTTCTGGCAGGCTAGGTTAGGGATGAATTAATTAACAGTTAACCCTAGCAGTATGCAGATTTTGTGAGTTGTGACGGATGACTTACATCTTTCACTCATATTCCTAAGTTGTAATTCTTCAAGGTTTCAAGGTTTTCTTTTTCTTTTTTTCTTTTTTTTTTTGAGATGGAGTCTCACTCTGTCACCCAGGCTAGAGTGCAGTGGCACAATCTCGGCTCACTGCAAACTCCACCTCCCGGGTTTATGCCATTCTCCTGCCTCAGCCTCCCAAGTAGCTGGGACTACAAGTGCCTGCCACCAAGCCTGGCTAATTTTTTTGTATTTTTAGTAGAGACGGGGTTTCATCATGTATTAGCCAAGATGGTCTTAGTCTCCTGACCTGATGATCTGCCCGCCTCGGCCTCCCAAAGTGTTGGGATTACAGGCATGAGCCACCGTGCTCGGCCCAAGGTTTTTAACTGAGAGCCTGAGGTATTTGCCCAAAATCCTCCTCCTTGTTCACTTTGAACAATTATTTTGTCCCATCACCCTCATAAAATGGCCAGAAGCTCTGCCCAATTTCTCAGGCGTTAAGCTGCCATTTGCTTACCACCTTTCCAGTCTACCAGATACTACATGTTAATTGGCAAATGCCTCAAGAGGAAAAAATGCAATAAATGTTGGGCTCACCTCAGTGTGTTTTCCTTTAGTCCTTGATGTTTAAAACTTTCCTAAACCTAAATATGTCTAGACGATTGGCCTATCTATGTCAACCTAGTCTGACTTAACAGAAGTAGAAAAATAATTGGCAGCTTCTTGAGGACAGATTTCATGTATGCCTGCAAGTCTCCACTCTAACACAGTACCTTGCAGATGCCAACAAATGATTTAGAATGCTGTTCTACAGTAATAAATACCCATTTGTTAATTAACACTTTTCTCATTGAAATGTTAATTCAATATTACACAACCACTGTAATGAGAGAAATAATGCAAAGAAATATAACCAATTTATTAGCTCTCCCTAATTACTTTCCTCTTTCCATACAAACATAATTAAACCAATGTTAGTAGCCTTTGTATTTTCTCTTAGCCTATGCCCACACAAAATCGTATAAGTGTATATACATATACAGAATTTTGGTTTGTTTGTTTGTTTTAACAAAAATGGATCATTTTTTTCTCACTTGCTTTTTTTTTTTTCAATCTGAGAGCAGGTACTGTTTTATTAACTCACCAGATTAGAAAAATAATCGTGGTAGACACCTTAGTTCATTCTTCTGATAAGCCTGTTGATCTGTTCCTCCCTGTTGCCAGGATCATCACTTTCTACTAAATAAGCTGTCTTTTTTTTTTTTTTCATTCCACCTCATGGAGAGGATAATTTGAAGGGCCACAGGAAGTTGTCTGCTTCTTAAAGCATTTTCCAACAGTATAGATCTCATGAATCAGATCCTCCATGAAGATGATGCCAAGAGATCGAGCAATCAGTGTTACCTGTCAAAGCAATTTGCTTCTTATTGATTTTGCAATAACCATCCTTGTAGATAAGTTCATTTACTGACTTCAGATTTGGGTACCCCCATGTAATATATGGTCCTACAATCCTCAGAATGTTAAACGAAGCCTTGTTGAGCTTCATAAAGGTTCCACTGAAGATTTGATGAAGGTGAAGAAGCTGCAACACCTTTCGGATCTTTGGGCTCACATCACTGATACCTCCGATCCTGATGACAAACATCGTTTTGGGTTCTGCATGCAGGTACATAGAAGTTGCCACCTTTTTTTTTTTTTTTTTTTTTAGACGGAGTCTCGCTCTGTTGCCCAGGCTGGAGTGCAGTGGCGCGATCTCGGCTCACTGCAAGCTCCGCCTCCCAGGTTCACGCCATTCTCCTGCCTCAGCCTCCCGAGTATTTGGGACTAGAGGCGCCTGCCACCACGCCCGGCTAATTTTTTGTATTTTTAGTAGAGACGGGCTTTCACCGTGTTTGCCAGGATGGTCTCGATCTCCTGACCTCGTGATCCGCCCGCCTCGGCCTCCCAAAGTGCTGGGATTACAGGTGTGAGCCACTGTGCCCGGCCGAGAAGTTGCCACCTTTTCTTGCCATCCTACCTATCGAATTTCTGTGCTGTACATCTGTCTATATTCCTTGTAATAGTGCTTCTCTTTTTTCACAAATAAGCTTCCTCCTTGCCTTTTGAAGCATCTTTTGGGCAAAATTCTTTCTCAGGTGCTTGATCTTCAGCTCTACGAAATCCCATTGCTTTTTCTTAAGGGTTTCTGGCACAGCAGGAACCTCCTCCTTCTCTTTGACACCCTCCATGGTTTCAGCCATAAAACAGGGTGCTTTTCTTATTTTAAAACATATCCTCTGTTTCCTCCACATTAACAAAAAAGAGATCTGATTCCTTTTTATCATTTTAATACTATCTAATATGAATTATATCAATTTCAACACTCACATTAACCAACCATGTTGTGTTTTGTTGAGACAATGTAAAATTTTTATTTCAGGCTTCTATCAATATATATTTTTTTAATATTGACTCGAATATCTAAAAAATTCTTAAAGTTTATTTCAAAAGTTTAGTTATTTTAGATGGATAGGTAGTCAGGTAGATAGACTAATTGAAGGCTTATAAAATTTGTATCTTCTTTTGGTCACCATCTACTTTGAAATCTCTGTTCTGTTTCAGTTTTCTTTTAATCCAGAGTATTTTTTTGGATATGGTAGATTGGCACTATAATTTATGGATCATTTTTCATCCTCATAGTTTTGCCTTTTCTGGAATGTTATATTGCATCACCCTAGAAAGAAAACTCAAAAGATCTGGAAACCAGAGGTCTGTGTTCAAGCTATCCCTTTGCTAAAGTTCTAATTTGTACTTCCCTTTAATTTATGGATCATCAGTGTGTGTATACATCACAGCTCTCACTCTCAGGACAATTTCCAATGTATTCCATTTAATTATATCTTGATTAATTAGGTATATTTCCCCTCTATAATCCTTCTTCTAAACAATTCCCTGCTATCTAATTAGAGATGCCTAGAAACAGGGCCACCTCTACGGTCAGCAGGACATCAGGCAAATATTTGATACAGGGTCCTTTCTATATCTGCAACATGATTTTAAAATGCCTTATAATACTCATGGGTTTATATTAGGCATAGAGACTTATCATAAAGATGGTTTTTAATAGTGGACAGAAATTAGGCACTTATCAATTTATTTATTTTCCAGTTAGTGCATACAATTATTTTTTATGGTATCCAAACACCATCTCCTTCTATTCAGGTTCATGAATTATTTTGTGTGAGTTGTCAAATGACCATACAGGCTAATTTCATATTTTCCACCTTCAGAAAATAGAGGACATTATTGTTATTAACCACAATGTTGTGGCTTTTTAGAATCTGTTTGTATTAAAACAGTATCTTGCCTCTGCAAAATCTTAATACCATTGACTTAATGCTGGTCACATTACTACTTATGATGGTACATCATTCATTATGCTGCAAATGAATGCTAGTATTCAGTGGCTCTCTAAAAATTATAGCTAAGCATTACTGACAATTTCCCAGAGTATTCAGGAAAATATGAACAATTATTTTCTAGTCATGTTAAGTGTCCTATTGGAATTTTATAGCATAAACTACACATCTTCCACCTACATAGTCCTCATGATACAGTAGATTATAGTCACTGCATTCCTAGAATTTGATGTCTCTCAATGCTGACCATGCTGTTACCTTTCCCACACGGCCACAAGCAGGGAGGATAAGCAAGAGTCCACATGCAGAACAAAAAGAGCATCCCATTTGCCCAAGGTATATACATCCTTGAGTGTCACAGCTTAGTATTAAACTAGGAGAGCATGATGTCACCCATTGATGAAGACAAGAGGTATCTACTGGAGGCCCATTGGCATTGCAAAGTAACAGTCTTGAATGGCCTTAGAGAAGATAAGTATGACCACTTCTAGAAGACTGCCTGACACATAAGACGGAGCCAGTGAAGCAGGTAGAGGGATAGTCACAAACTACAAATATAAGGATACAGATCAGTTCAAAGTAAAATGATTGATAGAAAAAGATATACCATGTAAAAAATAATTGAAAGAAAGTAGTGTAGCTCTATTAATATTAAAGTAAAACTTAAGGAGAATAACTAGAGATTAAAAAAGAGATTTCATAATGATAAAAAGTCAATACAGTTGAAAAATACAACAAAATAAATGTCTATTTAATAAAATATCTTTAAAGAATATTTGAACCATGTGCTTGCAAATAAAATATGTGATTATGGAGTTATCACTGAATATGCCCATAATGTTTTGAAAATAGTGAGCTAACTTTGACCTTTTAAGTACTTGAGAAACACATTTGTCACCCACCTCTCCGCTGGTCTGGTTTCCCATTCCCCGAAGTGAGAACTACCTGCTTGAAATATACTCTGAGGTTATTGACTGTAATTCATGTAATTGCCACCAGATGGTAGTGGTTATCTGCTTAAAGTGTACACTGAACAATTAAAATTTCACAAATGTCAATATCAAGCAAAGGTATGGAGAAAACAACCACTTGCCCTTTAACACCGTAACCTAGTTAGTTGTACAGAATGTTTTATTTTACAAATACTTTAAGGACTTAATATGTCAATCTATTAGGAATCAAGAGGTGATACAACTCTTGCCTTCAAGGAGATTATGAACTAGTGGAACATACTGATGAGTCTACAGGGAATGACAATATTGTGTGATAAGAGCCTTGAGAAAAGAGAAGGATTCTATATAGCATACAAATCTGATCTGACTGAGGTCAAGGCTTTCTGCAAGGCATGGTTCTCTATAATATATGACCACTACCATCTGGTAGAAGCTATTGATTGCAGGCAAAGTATCAAAGAAAATTAATGAATAGTAAGAGTTAGCTGGCAAAATATATGAAAAGAAGAGTACTCCAAAAAGAGAAAAAACAAGTGCAAAGCCCCAGAGGTTTTGTGTGAGTGTGTCTGTGTGTGTGTGTCTGTATGGTACTAAAAATGATTTATGATGGCTGAGCACACAAAAAACAAAAAAATCTCAAATAATTTAATTAAGTTATATGGAAATATAACCTGGAACAATATTTAAAAATTGCGTAAGACCCCAGACCCTGACTATTTTGCAGGTACTTTTTACCAAACATTTAAGGAACGCATACTTACTACTTATCACTCTTTATAAACTTGTTCCAGCAAACAGAAGATGCAAAAAAGGATGATGGAATATCCAACTAATTTCAAGAGACTAGTTAAATTCTATTACAAAGTCAGATGTAAGAAAAAAAAATAAAGCTTATAGATTTAGAATTTCCAGGTTCTGTTCTGGTGCATAAGGAGCTTACAAGTCATTACTGCATCCTAACATATAAAAAGCTGAACAGACTAAAGAAATCAACAACTCATTTTAGATCCATCAGAGAAGTTTGATTACAGAACAAACTACTACCCTCCAAAATTAGCAAGATAAGTACAAAGAGAAAATCACAACTTAATGGCCATAAGCAGAATCCTCCCCTAGAACAAGTACTGGGGTAGGAAAACCTGAACTGTAATTGGTAAGTTGCTTTGGAAGCCTGAAGTAGAGAGCCTGAGAGATAAGTGCTCCAGAAGGACCCGGTCATGGGAAGGTGGGTGATATGGTTTGGGTCTGTGTCCCCGCCCAAATCTCATGTCAAATGGTAATCTCCAAAGTTGTAGGTGGGGCCTGGTGGGAAGTGATTGGATCATGGGGGCTAATTTCCCATTTGGTGCTATTCTTGTGATAGTGAGTGAGTTATCTATTATGAGATCTCATAGTTTAAAAGTGTGTCTCACCTCCCCCCATCTCTCATCTTCCTTCTGCTCTGGCCCTGTGAAGACAAGCCTGCTTCTCCTTTGCCTTCTGCCATAATTGTGTTTCCTGAGGCCTCTGCAGCCATGCTTCCTGTATAGCCTGTGGAAAAGTGAGCCAATTAAACCTCTTTTCTTCATAAATTACCCAGTCTCAGGTAGTTCTTTATAGCTATGTGAGAACAGACTAGTACAGTGGGGGAGGTCATACTTTTATGAGTTTTAACTCTACCAGGTCTCACTGTGAAGATCAGAGCAAAACCCTCTCGGGCTTCTAGAAGGAGAAGGGGAAAACAACCACTTCGAAACACCTCAGAGCATTCAGTTCTCCTTAATAAGGCCTGGCCTCAGGAGAAACTATTTTATCAGAGCCCAAACATTGTGGCTAACTAACATGGTGAAAGAGAAATATCCAACTCCAGCCCCCCTGTAGCAATCCTGTGCTACCAAAACAAGCTAAGAGCGCTTGTGAAATGCGTGGCCAAGGGGCACAGGCTTGCCAAAAGACAGACTCAAAAAATGCTTCCCCTCCCTGCACACCTTACCAGTACATCACTAAAGGTCTGTTCACCAGGGTTACTTTTACCCAATACATCCTGTCTACCTTTTGACAAAAAATTACAAGGCATACTCAAAGGCAAAAACCACAGTTTGAAGCAAGGCAGAGCAACCGTCAGAATCAGACCTAGCTATGGCAGAGAGGTTGGAATTATCAGACCATAGTTATAAAACAACTGTGACTAATATGCTAAAGGATCTCATGGAATAAGTAGACAACCTGCAAGAACAGTTGAGTAATATAAACAGGAATGAAAACTCTAAGAAAGAATAAAAAGAAATGCAAGAGGTCAAAAACATTGTAACAGAAAGAAGAATGCTTTTGATGGGTTCATTAGTAGACCGGCCATGACTGAGAAAAGAATCTCTGGGTTTGAGGATATATCAACAGAACTCCGAAAACTGAAAAAAAAAAAAAAAAAAAAGAGAGAGAGAGAGAGAAAAGAATGAAAAAATCGGAACAGAAATATCCAAACTGTGGGGCAACAAAAGGCGTAACATGCACAAAGTGGGAATACCAAAAAAAGAAGAAAAAGAGAAAGAAACAGAAGAAATGTCTGAAGCAACTGCAAACATGCATTGCTTAATGATGTGAATACATTCTTGGAAGTGCATACAATTTTATCATCATGCAAATACCATAAAAGTATTCTTATATAAACCTAGATGTTATAGTCTACCACATACCTAGGCTGTGTGATATAGCCTATTATACCTAGGCTACAAATCTGTAAAGCAGGTTACTATAATGATTAGGCCATTTAACACAACAGCATTTGTGTAACTAAACATAGAAAAAGTACAGTGAAAATATTGCATAAAAGATAAAAAGTGGTATATCTATATAAGGTACTTATTATGAATGGAGCTGAAAGAACTGGAAGTTGCTCTGGATGAGTCAGTGAGTCATGGTGAGTGAATGTGAAGAAACAGGATATTAGTATACACTACTATAGACTTTATAAACACTACATTTATATTAGGCTACACTAAATTTATTTTAAAAATTATTTCTTTAGTAAGTTAAACTTAGTTTACTGTAACTTTTTTGGTCTGTAAATTTTTTATCTTTTTAAAAAACATTTCAACCCTTATAGGAATGCTTAGGTTAAAACACAAACCCATTGTTTAGCTGTACAAAACAATATTTTCTAATTTAAAAATTTTTAATCTTTAAATTTTTTACTTTTTAAAACTTTTCTTCTTAAAGTTGAAGGCAAAAACATACATATTAGCCTACACAGGAGTAGAATTATCAATGTCACTGTCTTTCACCCCCATACCTTGTCCCATTGGAAGGTCCTCAGGGGAAATAACAGGCATGGAGCTCTCATCTCTTATGATAACAATGCCTTCTTCTAGAATACTTCCTGAAGAACCTGCATGAGGCTATTCTACCATTAACCATTGTTATATAAATAGAAGGAGTGCACACTAAAATAACAATAAAAAGTATAGTATAGTAAGTGCATAAACCAGTAACAAAGTTTATTATTATTATCAGTGTTATCTACTGTACATAATTGTATTGCTATACTCTTAAATGACTGTCAGCTCAGTAGGTTTGTTTACCTCAGTATCAACACAAACAATTGAGTAATGCATTGTACTACAACTTTACTAAGGCTATAGTTTTGGTAGGTAATAGGATTTTTTTCAGCTCCATTATAATTTTATGGGACAATCATCATATATGCAGTTCATCATTGACCAAAATGTCATTATGCAGCACATAACTGTATATTTTTCTCTCTCAGTTCCTTACTCCACAACTAAATTTTAGTCTTTATTCACTACTGTTCTATTCAATGGTCTATTTTTATCTGATAAATTCTTTAACTATTTTGACATATTTTAGCAGTGTTTCAAAGGCAGTCATCTTTATATCTTACTTATTAAAAAATATTTCATGTGCTTTGAAAAAGATCCTTTTCTAATATGTAAGTTGATGTATGTAAGGAATAAATAATAGGTGGTCATTGGTTATTCATTTCATTAACTGCCTTTACTAAAAAGAACACAATTATTTAACTTGACTTCTATTAAATATTTTCCAGAATGTGTGGTCTTTGTACTTCCTGTATCTGTAAAAATATAAGATGTAACATAGCATAACAAATACCATTACCAAAGGTTTAAGAAAAAAAAGAGGGTTAGTTAATTTGAATGACAACAACAAAAAGAGTTTTCAGAGCACCATGACCTTAACAGGAAGCAAATAAGGAGCTTCTGATAATAGTACTCAGTGACACATTTTCCAGTCCTGTTTTTTTCAAAAGTGTTTATTTGGTAATAAAAAAATTTTTTAACCACAAAAGTTAGCTAAAATAAAGGGCTCAGAAAATGAACAGTTCAGATCTTAGGATTAATTGATTAAATGACAACCTGTTACATTTCTTGAAAAACAGAACCTCATTGATTCATCTTATTGGATTAGAACTGACATTAGAACTAACCTGAGCCAGATTACCTGACAATCTTATTGTCCCTTTGTCCACATCACCTTTGCAAAGAACCTTCCTCACACTCAGTCCTGGAGAGGCAACTCTGATTACCAACTCCCAGTTCCCACACCAAAGGCGATTGATGGGGTATGTTTTTGGAATTTCTAGTATATTTTATACTCTTTTTTTGCCTGGCATTCATACTCATCTACACACACTTATAGTATTTCAAATATGTGTCTAAAACAGATTACAACTCTAACTCTACAGACAGCTTCAAATGTATTCATATCAAAGATACAACGCAAAGATTTGAGAAATGAAGGAGCAACATTTCTCAGAGTATACAATCTTCCGGTTATATCCATTCCTTTTCCAATTTTTTTTTGGACTGGATATACTAAAAGGCCTTACTATCAAACTCTTAATTAAAATTCAATCATTCCAGTACAGATGATTGTAATAAACATGATTATTTACAGAAAGAGAATAAAGACAGAAACTCTGGGAAAGAAACCCACATCAGTAATGAGACCAGAATATATCTTATATACTAGAACACAGAATTTAAAGGCATATAAAAAGACCAACAAATTTTCAGGTGCATCCATTTATTCATATCCATTTATTCAGTCACTGTCCTGAAAGTGAATTCCTGGGTCTGCAAATGTGGCTGCTCCAGATTCTGCCTAGTGGGAGTGTTTTTATCTCCAATTTTCTTTGTGGGTACATCCTGGGAAGGGCAGGATACTTTGAGCTACTGATAATCTTTATTTTTTTCTGTACACCAAGCATAGAAAAAGTTTGATTTGAGGGGGAAAATATATCTCTGACGATAAAACATGACATTTTTCTGCATAACTGTAGTAGGTACCTGATTTTATTGATGAGATTCTTTTGGTTGTAACAGAGACACAGAGATGCTGTCTTGGGTAGCTTATCTTGGGATCCTCCCACCATTCGGAGCCATTAGAGCTAAATTTCTAAACTTCTTTTACTTGGCAGCAACCAGACTGTTTGATTTTTCCACTTTTAATGGATGTTGCCTCAGTGCACTGACTGAATAATATGTTCCTGGGGTACCCTTATTTCCTAACATTTAAAAATGTTGTTTAAGTCTCATGACACATTACAAATTCCAAGCCCAGGCTCACAATGATCAGATTCTTTTTTTGCTTGTTTGTTTGTTTGTTTGTTTGTTTTGGATAGTTTACGGTGCACTATCACTTAGGTCAATTGAAAAGCTTTTCCTATGTTTTATTTAATTTCATTTTTTTTCTCTTTATGCACACCAAATCCCAACTCTAATATGCTTATTAGGGGATCTTGTAGATCTATGTATCCCTAGCAGAATATAAGCACCATGAGAATGGCAATTATATCCTGGCAAATAGTACACATCTAACGTAGGTTTGGTTGTTGGAGAGAGAAAGTGTAGGGGAACAGGGAAGAGACAGAAAGAAGTAACTGCCACAACATTGTATGTATGGCTACATCAATTGACACTCTCATCAACAGTTCTTGGCAGCAACACTTGATTACAAATAACTTCTAATTTTTTGCCAATATGAAAGTAGTATTCTTGTTTTCTCTGATTACTAATGAGCCTGAGCATATCTTCAAATATATGTCAACCAGCCTGGCTTCACCTGCAAATTAACATTTCTACCCCTTGCCCATTGTTTTCTGAGTTTCCTATAATTTTCTCGCTAATTTGAGAATTTGTTTGCATATGCAAAATGATATTCTGCTGATTTGGAGTATTGCACACATTTTCTCTCAATCTCTGTGTGTTTGTACTGAAAAAAGCACTACTTTTAATGTAGGTAAACCCATAACTTTTCACATTATATTTTCTGTTTTCAGGTTTGTTTGAGACATCTTAATCCTCCACATCATTAGAAGGTAATTCCAACTATGATTCTAATAGCTTTATAGTTTACCTTTTAAATTGAAGTCTTTAGTCCACTTGGAGTTTTAAAAAAATGGCATAAATTAAGCATCCCAAGCCACTTTTCTCCATGTAGTAAGGAAAATGTTTCCATCATTATCCGTAAGAAAATCTAGCCTTGCTTCACTTATTTGTGATGTCATATCTCTTATATTGTTACCAGTAGAGGGTCTTGACTGCAAATTGTCCAGGTTCTTGGAGTTTTGAACAAAGAATTGGGCAAAATACACAGCAAAGCAAGGAAAGAATGGAGCAACGAAAGCAGAGATTTATTGACAGTGAAAGTATACTGCACAGGGTGGGAGTGGGCCGAGCAGCCACTCAAGGGCCCCCGATACAGAATCTTCTTGGGTCCAAATACCCTCTTGAGGTTTCCCATTGGCCACTTGTTGTTCACCCCATGTAAACGAAGTGGTGTTCTGCAATCAGTCTGATTGGTTGTGGAAAGCAACCCAAACCACTTTTCTCCGTGTAGTATTTGAGTCATAAATATGTATTTTACGCTTTGGGATATAATCTATTTTATTTTGCTGTTCCAGTTGTTTCAGCTTTGCCAATTGGGTGTGATTTCAGTTGGCTTCTGTTTGACATACCCTCATCAATGTGAAATATCATTTTGTTATTTGTTTTTGTTTTTAGCACTTTTTAAACTTTCTAGTACTACAAGATTCTCTACGTTCATCTTGTATACTTTCCACCCCTATCCCTAGTCCCTTTTATTGGATAATGGTATTAGAAAACAAGATATGGACTCTAGGTATATATGTTATGACTGAGTGTCATTTCTTTTAGGCCCTATCAGCTGACAGAGCAAAAAATTATATGTCAGTGTACTAATCTCTACATATATACATATCTATAAATATATAGATATATAGTATGAATAGAGCCTACAAGACTAAAAGTAAAAGATATTGCACATTAGTACTATAATCTAGTTGATAAAGTTGTTTCCTATGGGAATACAGGTTAATAATTCTGATACTGCTATACCAGGATATTGGAATTGAACAATTTAGTAAATCAGTGGGGAACGATGAGAACCAGATTTTTCACATTTGTTGAACCAGATTTCTCACTATTTACAGATTAGGAGGGGATTGATCTACATAGTAATGGATTCATTTTAGAGACATCATTAAGAATTCATGTTTTATTTAGTGTAGATGAAATGGTTACATATAGAAATATTTTTTCTTTTTTATTTCTTTGGGTTTATTTTCATTGTTCTTTTCAATATTTCTGAGTAAAATATTTAGCTCATATCATATTTTTATTGTTTCCTGTTTTCTGGTAGATGTACTTGAAGTTTTTCTTTGCTTTTTAAAAATACTGCTTTAACTACAATTCAACAATTTGGCATTGGGCTATAAGTCATTATTTCCCTCATGAAGTGTTTCTTATCTCAAAGATATTATTTTTAAGTGTTCAAATACATGATATTTTATATTGCTTTTGATTCTTACTTCATTTTTCACAGAATACATAGTCATAGGGGAATGGCTCACCCATACTACTCTGGTGACCTTTAATATATTCACTAGGCAAAAGCTCGAAATACAGTTTATCTGAATCTTGGCAGCACATCTTATGGTATCACCAGACTTGAGAGTGTGGGAGACCCCTAAGGAGCTGCTGTGAGGCCATCTCCCACTTACCTCTTTATCTGCCATGGAAGGCTATTGTAAGAATGTTTCATCACATCCTGGATCTGATGAGTTAGGGGCTTTCTGCTCCACCTTCTTCAGAATAGAACTGCAGAATATAAAGCCCTTTCACTGCAATCTAGATTTGGCTCCTAAACAAAATGGCAGTCACTCAGCCCCTAAAAGTGGATCTTCGCAGCTTTACCAGTTGAAATTGTCAGGCCTTGTCTTGTCTTTTGTATGTGTGTGTGTGTGTGTGAACCTCTATCATATTCTTTTAAATTTAATATTTAGTATAAATCAATTTTGTCATATTTTGTGTATGCATCAAAGTAATATATAATCTAAAGTCTATAAAAATTAATTTTAGCTTATTATGCTTAAATGCACTTTAATCTTCCATATATTTGCTTATGTCTGTGTCATCAGTCTTAGCATGAGATGGAGTATATCAAAATCCCCCACTGTATTTGTTGATTTCTATGTTTCTGCTAGATGTTCTATCAAATTTTGCTTTATATATTTTTGGAGCAAAATATTATTTATATTTACCTTAAATTTTTAGATATTGTTGACACACCTTTTTTCTTATACCAGTATATCATGCTTTTTTGTTTTTTATCAAAAATATTTCTTTCTTTTGGTTACTATTTTTTTGTTATATCTTTTCCTTGATTTTAGGATAAACAAATTTATCAAAGGAATATGTGTATTTGTTTAGTAATATGAAAAAGATTATTTTATTTCCTGATTTCCTTCTATCCCTAACTTCCATTTTCATGAGACAAATACTTTGAACTGTTTCAGCTATTTCTTCTGGTATTTACTTTCAAATTTCTATACAACCAATTTATTCTGGTATTTCTTATAGGTAGACAAGAATTTAGTTCTCCCACAAAACCTCCAAGACCTCTCCTCCACCAAACATACAAACACATAAATTTGCTAAGTGTCTACATTGACTTCCTAAAATTTTCAATTTGCATTGTGTAATTTCACCTACATTTTAATAATTATGTAACTAACATCTAAAATAAGAATTTGGATGTTGTTACATTCCTTTTTACACACTTTATTTATTCTTGAATTAACATGTGCTTTATTTTTCTGCGTGACTGAGACAACCCCAAATTTTCTCAGAAAGTATTAAAAGTCTCATCTGAATACATACAAATATACCCTTTTTAAATTTATTAGATTTTCTTCTTGGAGTCTTGCCCTCTAGAACGAGATGCTGTTTGAGCAGCTTTCTTCGAAGTCCCCACTTCATCATCTTCCTTGAAAGTGACTTTTCATCTCTCCCTTCTCTTGCATTAAGTTTTGTATTTCTGTATTTATCCTTCTAAGTGATCTGATAATCTATTACTGCAAAACAAACCATTTCTAAACATAGTGGATTGAAATAAATATTTCTTTTTTTTCCCTATTTTGAAGGTCAAGTATTAAGGAAGGGCTTTACTACGACATTTGTCTGTGGTGTACCCAGTGCCAACCGAAATAGCTTGGGCTTAATGTTCTACATCCAAAATGGTTTCTTCACTCATATATTCATTACTGCAATGTCCCTTGGCCTTTCCTACATTCCACATAGTTTGCCATTCTCCATTGTCTTTCCCTGTAGCTTGGTCTCCTCATAGCATGGTGGTCTGAGCACTTCTCACATGACAGATGGTTTCTGAAGTGGCAGCTGCCAGACCAGTTAAAGGTCATTCATGGAGCTTTCATGCTTCACTTATATAATATTTTATTAGTCAAAGCAGTCACAGAGCTTGTCAGATTGAAGTGGGTATAGAAATAGACTCTGACTCTTGATGAAGGAGTGGGAAGTTCGTATTGCAGAGAGCACATAAAATAGAAAATACTTTGATGACCTGCTTTGGAAAATTTGCCATACATAGTTTATTTCTTCATTTTATGGAGCACAGTATCATCTAGTGACTTCTAAGTAAAGGCATATTGAAAGTAAAAATTTTGAGAACTTTCTTAATTTCAAAATTACTTTTTCCTAATGTTTGCTAATTTAGCTAGGTATAGAAGGGTAGATTGAGCATCATTTACTCTTAATGTTTTAAAGACATTGCTTTATTATTTTTTAGATTTTCTGGGCTGCTCTCTGGATGTCCAGTGCCAATGATTTCTGATGGTTTTGTGTAATTTTTCTCTTCCATATAGCTTTTGATTTTTTCTCCCTTTTGTTCTAATTTTCATGATGATCTGTCTTAATGTGCTTCTATTTTTATTCATTGACCTAGATCATTTATTGTTCTGTTTATCTTGGAAACACATATTTCTTAGTTCTAGGATATGTTATTAATTCTTTCATAACTTTCTCCCCAGACTTTAAAAAGTAATTTTATGGAAGGAAAAGACTTAAAAAAGTAAAAAAGTCATAAGAATGTAGCTTGCTTGATAGATTTTTACAAAATTAACATGCCTATGTAACCAGTATCCAGATCAAGAAACAGTGCATTGTTAGCATGCCAAAACCCCTTTGCAACTCCTTCCAATCATTAAACCCCAGACAGTAGCCACTATCCTAACTTCTAACACTGTATAGATACATTTGTGTCTATTTGTGAACTTTACATATGTGGAATCATACAGTATGCATTCTTTTGTATCTGGCTTATTTTGCTCAGCTTTGTATTTGTGGTATTCATACATGTTGTTAATTATAGTTTTGGCTTGTTAAATCTCATTGCAGTAGAATATTTCCTTTTATACATATGCCACAAAATATTTGCACACTTTACCATGGATAGACAACTAGATTTCTTCATTTTTTGGGCTACTACCTATAGGACTGCTACAAACATTATTTGTCTATTAGTGGACATATTTAAGCATTACTGTATGTAATGTTGTATGTAATCCTGTTTCTTTCAAACAATATTATATTTTTCACCCTTCACAATTAGATTTATGATCCACCTGGAATATGTGTGTGTGTGTGTGGGTGTGTGTGTACATTTTAAGGTAGACAGCAAAATTCCTTTTTCTTCCTTCTGTGGATATTCCATTTCCCAGCACAGTTTTATTGAAAAGACCACTTTTTCCCCAGTTCTCTGCAAAGTCATTTTCTTAAAATCATAAATAAACAAATGTGTTTTGCACTTCTTTTTGTTCTATTCAGCGTTTATCTATCTTTGCATCAATTTCCCAGTATTTTAATTATCATTGCTTTGTAAAAAGGGCTTATCTTAATATCTGATACAATATGGTCGTTTTTTAATTGCCTTTGAGTTTTTGTAGAAATGTAGAAGCAACCTGTCAGTTTTACACACACACACACACACACACACACAATTCTGTATTTTTTATTGGAAATGGCTTTTATCCATGGAACAAGTTGGAAATAGTTGATATATGAGAGTTGATATATGAGAGTTGATAGAGTTCCAATCCGTGAGCATCAGATATCTCTCCATCTATATAGAACTTCTTTAATTTATCTTGTTAATATGTGTAGGTTCGATGTCTTGCATACTTTAACTGAATTTTTCCTTGTTTCACTTTTTTATATTATTGACAAATTTTCACTTCCCATATGCTTATTGCTAGCATTTAGAAATGCAATTAATTTTTGTATATTTACCTTATATATAGTTACTTTGCTACATATACTACCCTGCCAAAGAGTCTGGATGTTCTGCATACACAAAGATGCCATCTGCAAAACTAATTTCATGCTTTGTGAACTAATGTCTTTTTGTCCTTGACTTCTTTTTTGTTTCTTTTTCTCTTTCTTTTTTTTCTTGATTTCTTTAGTTGCTGGGATTTTAGTACAATGTTTTCTGCAGGCAGTGATAGCGTGCATCCTTCTCTTGTTCTTGATCTCTATGGAAAATCTTTCAATAAATTTATCATTAATTATATAATTATAATTATATTAATTTAATTATATTATTTTAATTATAATATTTTTTAAAGATGTAGCTTTTAAAAGGCATTCTTTATCAGATTAAGAAAGTTCTTTTGCATTCCTCACTTGCAAAGAATTTTTATTATAAACGGGTGTCAAATTTTATTAATTTTCTCTGCATCTGTAGAGATGATCCTATATTTCTTCTTTTCTCTGATGATATGTTGAATTGAATTGATTTTATCTCAGGGCTATTTTAGCTGTTCCCCAAAAGTTTTGATATATAATATTTTAAATTTAATTTAGTTCAAAATAATTTCTAACTTTCAATTGTATTTCAAAAAACATTGATTGAATATTTCACTGAAATTATTGTTTTTGGAGTACATGTGATAAATGTATTGTTATAGCATTATACAAAATTCCTTATATTTTAGTCACATATTCTGAAATCTGCACGGATGAAATGCTGTGATGCTAAGAATTTGCTTTGAAATAACATGGGAGCAATAGAAAATAAAACTATTTGTTAGCTCTAAACTTAACTACACTCTTCTAATATTCAGATTCTAAATATGCCATTGACTATGAGCTCATAATACAAGTAGATAAGAAAGATGAACCTTTAATAATGATGATAGGAACCAATTAAACTAGACCTGTGTATGTACATATGTGTGTGCTGTATACACACACACACACACACACACACACCGAGAGACAGACCAAGTCTGAGTTCAATATACTTTAATTCAGTTTTAAACTTAATAAGTTAAACTTTTAAGGTTGTATTCTCTTCATTTATGAAAAGATTATAAATCTTTCAGTGGATTATAAAGATTAAATGAAATTCCGCACCTGAAGTTTTAACATCATTCTTGGCATATGGTATGTACCCAATAAAACTGGTCTTTACTTTACTACTAAGAGGATTGTAAGCTTGGCTTCAAGACAAAACATCAGGAAAAAGCTTCTCTTTTGTTGAATATGAAGAAATCCTAGTAACCTGTAGCTTTCTTCTGAATGTGTATAATGAAGTTTGAATATAGATTTGCTATACTAAAAAGTCTCTTTCCAGAACAAGTATAGGAAATACTTATTTAATTATGTTTTAAAACCTTAGGCAGTCCCTTAATGAGGCTCAGCTTAAGCTACAAAGGCTTTTGGAGGAAACAGGGAGTTGAACTCAAAAATTTAGATCACTTCGTATGTTGAATGCCATGGAGTGAGGTTGGGGAGATGACCCCTGGGGAGACACACATTTTCTGTTGCTGTCCTCAATAACAAACCAAACAACAGTAGAGGTACTGTGGGTGTATAGATTTTAAAGAACCCAAATATACTCTTGCAGCTCATACAAATATGTTTAGAGATAAATCCATATTAGATATAAGTAGCCCTTTTACTCATATGCTTGGGATTTCACTGATTCTCGTAATACCACCCAAAGGTAGAATTTTAACTCACTCAGGGATCAAACTAGTGTTAGGAATATGATGTACAGTATTTTAGAATAATAATATTTTAGAGGTGACAATTTAGAGATCATCTAGTCCACGCACTGCAATTAAAAGTTAGAAAACCATTGCACAGAGAGGTTAAGTGCTTTGTAAAAGGTTGCACATCAAGTTAACCACTAATCATGGAATCATTAAAAAAGAAAAAGTCATCACTAATTTAAATTTATAGTTGGAAAATTTAGAACTGGATTTGGCTTTTGAAATTACCTTGTCATCCCTTCTCATTCTGTGGATAAAATAACTATGGTCGGTAGACCATAGTTTAGCAGCCCTGGGATTTGCAATCACACCTCTCACAACCAGTCCACAGCTCTTCTCTCCATGCTATGTGGCCTCAGCTTTTCAGGCATGTCTGTGACACAATGATGTTAGTTGGGAAATATAATTGATATGGCATAGCACAAGATGTAACTATAATTATAACCACAATTGTTTTATGATTGTTACTGATACAGAGAATTAAATAGTGTTTTACTCAGATATTTGAAAAAAAGAGCTATTTCTACCCTATCACTTGCTGCCAGGTGTAGTCTCCTTTGTGGCACTCACTTTATATTTCTGTTTTTTACTTTACTCTTCCTTAAAAAAAAGAAATTCCCATTATATTGTTACCATGGAAATTGTTCTCTTCTCCATCAATTTTCCCAGTCATTTGAAGCTATTTCTATTATGGAATATATTCCAGGCATCTTTAATTCTTAAGGGAGAGCTTACACACTTTAAGTGTTAATGCTGAATTTATATTTTCCTGTTTCCATTGAATGCACTTTCCTCACACTAAAAGCTTACCACACCCATAGAATCCCTATTTTAAATGAATGCCATTCATTACACACAGTCTCCTATAGGTGTCACTATACACCATATATTAAAAGAACTAACGCAATGCCTTTTACTCGACAAATAGATTTTTTGACAAAACTATATTGCATTAAGGCTGATCAGATTATGTCCGTGATTCTCTGTGGTTTCACATAATAAGGTCTAGGCTGACACTGTAAAAATTTGCAATGACATTAACAAAACAAATGACTTACACTGAGATTCTCACTCTCTAAGTAATATATGCACTGTCCTTTATCTTGATTTTGTACCAGGAGGCCAAATTAAGAAATAGGTAAAATATAGTAGTTTAAAAACTGTATTTAAATGGTGGCGGGTGCCTGTAGTCCCAGCTACTCGGGAGGCTGAGGCAGGAGAATGGCGTGAACCCGGGAGGCGGAGCTTGCAGTGAGCCGAGATTGCGCCACTGCACTCCAGCCTGGGAAACAGCAAGACTCCGTCTCAAAAAAAAAGAACTGTATTTAAAGTAGGAATATTTAGTATTTGACTTTCAAGTATTATGTGCCTATCTTACAAGTTTACATATTGGATTATTTCCCTTTAGAGTTTTAAATGAAAGCACTGATCACATGCTTTTGTGGCCAATGGTGGTTGTCTGATGGCTTTCACTCACACAGCAGATTCAAGAAAATGACTTCTGCATGAAATTGATGAAAAGTACTTTCAAGACCTCATTTAGAAACTTCATTCCAGGATTGAGAAACTGAGCCTTATGGATGATAAATGACCTGGCCAAAGCCACAAATGAAAATATAGGCAGATTTCTACATCATAAGTGGTTTTATATTTTTCTTAGAAATGAAGATCGAAGCCTAATTAAGAAGCTAGAGCAGCTAGGGAAAAAATGTTCAGAGCAAGCTTTGTACAACAATTATGTTGACAACCAAAGCCATAACAATATACATACTTATTGAGGACCTTATGCAACAGCTATATATGGATCATCTTGCATAATCCTCACAAGTATATTACATATTGTCTATTTAAAAAATGGAGTTGTTTGTTGGTAGTTATAAAGCAATATTGCTATAGTAGTGAGACACATGGGGACTAGTAAGATATAGATAATAATAACACTAGTAAAATATTTTTAACCACCTACTATAGGCCAGGCAAATATAATAAAAGTAACATTTATTAATCACTTACATGCCAAGCATGGTGCTAGACTCCTTACACAATCACACAAATATGTTATCCTTAAAACAGCTATGAAAAATAATTACTATTATTATTAATATTCATAAGAAGAAACAAGAATGTCAAGAGGACAAATAACTTGTATCAAGGTACCCATCCACTAGGAATTGGAGCTAACTTTGACTTCAAAATCTAGGCTCTTTAATGCATCACAGGTAGCACTAGGCCTAGGATAGGTGCCAGGAGAAGGGGTAAATATATACATACACACACAGACACATACACAGATACACATACGTTCATACAATTATGTCAATATAAGTCTATGTATATATCTTATCTATAAGCAATTTTATACTAAATATAATGAGTAAAATCAATAAATAATTCTAGAACTATGGAGTTGACTGTAGGAAAAGAAGTCAAACATTTAGTAACTAAGCATCTTAACCCGTAATTTTTTTTTTTTTTTTGGTCCTGGAAATGAAACACTCAAGAAAAACAAAATAAAGAAAAGAAAATAATTACTTATCCCTAAACAACAAGCTTAGGCTTTCCTTCTTCGGTGAAGGATAACAATAAAGATGGGAAGGGATACAGGAAAGAGGGAACAGCTACCTAAGGGTCCAGTGTTTATTCTCACTGAAGAAAAATGATGATTCTGGAATGTCCAGGTAAAAGTTACAGTTCATCAAAAGGATGAAAGTTAACAACAACAAAAAGTGGCAAAATTGCCCATTTAAAATCAGCCATCTCAGTAACCTGGATTAAGTTTAACTATACCAAAAATCACTAAATGACACAATGGTTCCTGCCACTTAAAGCTACTTTTTGAAAAATTGTTTACTTAGATGAAGAATAAGTTTATCTCCAGCGTGTCTTCCAAACTTCAAAACCAAGAATTTTGAGTAGTGTGGTTACCATTGTTTAATGTTAAAAAATAGCAATTTATTTATTTGTTTAAGCAATCATCTTCCATTAGTTTAAATACCAAAATCAACTGGTCCTTTGTCCCTCTGAAGTATTATTTTGCAGGATTTGCCAATATTGTGAGGGTATGTCACTGTTTGGGCTGTGTCATCAGGAACTACCACAGCACTGAAACAAGGAATGGATTAAAGACGGATTCAAAAGCCCAGCAAATGTTGAGGACAAACTTCCATTGAAATGCTAATATACATAGCCTCAGAATACACTAAATGTTTCCTTGTACTGGCTCTGCCTCTTGCTAATTATAGAGCCCTGGGTAACTCCATCAATTTTCTGTGCCTCCTTTTCCTTATCTCTAAAATGCTATTAGCATGTACCTCATAGAATTGTCCTGATAATGTAAGGACTTAGAATAGTGCTGTGTGACCATTACTATCATTATCTGAAATAAGTATCATCATTTTATTGCTTGTTTATTCATCCTGTAGTTGTTCATCTGGATATGAGGTGGCTAGTTTTTCAAGACATTTTGATATGCAATGACAGTGATCTAATCTTGTCCTAGTTTGTTCTGGGTTTTGTTTTGTTTTGTTTGAGTCATAGTCCATGATAGATGAGATTTCTTAAAATTTCACAATCCATAGACGTACACTGAAGAGAAGGATGGATGCCATAGTTGATTATATTAATGCTGCAGCTTAGTGTTTTTTTTTATTTTTATGTTGTGCTAAGACATATTAATTTTAATATAGTTCAGTTGCCAAACTCCACTTTTAAAGAACTATGCCAAACTAATCCAAATATTGCCTAGAAATGCATTTCCTTACAGGGGTAGGCATTGTAGAATTTTATTCCCATTATTCTGCTGTAAAGCGGTACTTAGTATATATCTCTAGTTTTCCTTCTCCACTGGTTCCTTTCTCTTCTCCTTCATATTCTCTATCAAAGGTTATAACTTCTTATGAGTCAAAGGCACTGCCATAATTGGGGACACCTTACCAGAGGATAAATTAGATGTCTGCTTCTGCTTAATTTCTGAAGTTATTCCAAAAAAATGATTTTGTTCCTCACCCAAGTGAATTTCTTCCCTTCTCCTGATGAAATTCCAGGATTAGAAATCTATTTCTCTGTGTAAATCAATAACCTCTCCAGGCAGTCTCTTTCAAAATGAAGATACTCACGGGAGTGTTCATCATTAAGCTCTTAACACCTCTGTGTGAAGGATTTTCATCAGCTTTTTCCCACTATGAAAAGACAGCTTGACCCTGCAAGCCGGGCTTGGCTCGTGTGGGACTGTGCAGACACCAAAGCTGGAAGAAAATGAGGGTTGGCTTCAGAGAGGGAGAGGAGTGACATATTTGCATATGTTTCAAACATTTCTAGAGTTGTCTCCATAGGAGCAGTTTTAGGCACATAGAGCATACCTTTTCTAATTGAAGTGTCCCTGAGGAGCAAAGGATAGAAGAGTTAGGCGGTACAGTTTGTCCCCACCAGCTGCCCCAACAGTTCCCTTATGGCAAGAGTTCATGGTGACTGAGATACTGGAGACAGTTACGAAGGTGAAAACAGTAGATGAGTGGTGAGGGGTGTATGTGGGAGCGGTACTCGGGGAGGTGGCTGGGCAGGAAACATAGGAACACCAAATCTCACCTCCAGTCCACATAGGAGACACCCAAGAGTGGAAAGTTTTAGTCTCATATGTGTGGACATAGTTTTTAGAAGGCAATAGGAAAGCAGGTGCTACACAAAGAACAGAAGCTCCTTAGAATGTTAACTGCCCACGCACTGAAAGGGGACCCTTAGAGAAATATCCACAACTGTCTATTTCTAAGTCTGTATTCTTTTCCTGCATGCTGCAAAACTTGCTTTGTTCTCAAGTTTTCTCAAAAACAAGGTAAAAATTCTAACTCTACAGTTTCTAGGAGACAACTGATCTATTTGTTGTCTGCTTGCTTCTGCTCCAAGGAACCAGAAGTGTTTACTCGGGCATGAGCAACTGGGTAAGGAACTCTGCTTGTCCCTTTGATCTATATCAACCAGGCAAATCAACATTCTCTCCATTTCCCAGGACCTGAAACCAAGCTAAGCCAACCAGAGGCTTGAAGGACTGTACATCTGTTCTCCTTTCTATTGTGTTCTTGATTGTTTTTCCTGAGAACTTTCAGAGAAGACTGCATTTGCTGTAGACAGATGCCTGTGTTCTCTAAGCTGATGCAGCAAATATTCAAAAACACCAATACAAATTTGATTTCTGTTTGGTGAAAATTTTCTCAAACTTAGATATTAAAAATTATTTTTCACATTTGTTCTAAGTTAAAATATTTTCAGAACTTCTTTGGGCATAATAATTTAAAACAAATAAGTTAAAATCTGGCCTCCAAGAGTAACTATTTGTTTATTTCCAACATTTGTGGACTCTGCAAATTCATTGCTATGGGTTCATCTAGGGGTTGTAGGGATTGTTTTCCAAATCTGCAATTTATTTCTGATTATTCTTAAAAGGCTTTAAAAGAAAAAACTAATTGTTTACAATTCCAGAACCAACTGTGAGCCCAGCTTTTTCTCACTTTTGTGTGTAGGTGAGTACTTCCTACTATCTATGAGCATAATCTCGTTTCATCTACCTTGACTGAGTAATGTTTAGAGGCCTGGCCTGTGGGCAAATTGAACACTCTGCTGAAGCAATGGCAGTTACAGTACAACTAAGCTGTCTGATCAGAGAATGACAGAGCTAGAAAGATATTATTTGATTGAATCCTATGTACAATTGTAATTTAATACTATGCCCCAATTTATTTCTGCCCTACTTTCAATTCAGTTTTGGATGTCTCCAATTCATGCTACTGTCGTAAGATGTTTCTTAATGTTATTTGAGCATAAATAATACAATAGTTCTAAGCCATGCTTAAACAAATATTTCTTAATTCTGAGCCTGAGAGTTAAAATATTCAAAGTTAAAGAGAGTTATCAATTTTCTGCTATATTGGGCAACATTTAAACAAAAGAATCATTGACCAGATATGTTTTTAGGTCATTTTTCTCTCCTTTGGGTCTCCTTTTAAAAGAGTTAAGGGTCAACAAATAAAATTTTAACTACTTACTAACTCTACTGACATGGTTTTAATTTTTTAAATTTTTTTTTCACTGTTTTCTCTGGAAATTTATACAAAAACACTCATTCAAGCAGAAAGAAAATGGATAGTATATGTGTTTATCACCAGTTTGTCAATGACTTAGGCGTTGTGTTTCTCAACTCTCTGAAGTTGGCAGAGCAGGATAGGTACAATACTATCTTCTCCAGTTTATAGCTGAAGATAGAACTGAGGTTGAAGGAGATGACATGACTGGCTTAAGGACATACAGTCTGTAATTGGTATAATTGGACTTTAATGCTGGTGTATGTCTCCCAAGTTTCTGGTGAGTATTTAAATGTGGTTTCATTTATAAAATATGAATATTCCTTTGAAGAATGATGCCCCAAATTGAGGTGCTCACTATGGCTAAAATGTTACCTTGCAATTATTACAAGTGTCATGCTTTTAATCTTTGGCTGGGGGACCAAAAGTATTTATTTTATTTCATATATTTATAACATAGAAGAAAGAGTACCCCAGAATTATGTTATTCCTGAGTAGTGACACAGGGCCTGCTATGACCTTTCAGTGAACTTGAGCCTGTGCAGCAGGTTGGGGAGCCCCAGAGTGGTCAGGTGACCACATTGCCATCTGCAGTTCTGGACTGGTCATCTGGCCAGTGCTGACCTTTCAGAACATGATCCAGTGAAATCCAAACCCTGAGAGCGGCTGGCAGGCAAAATCTGCTCCTCAATGTCAGTTTCACTGCTGAGTCGCTTAATTGTCCACTACAACTTGTAAAGGGCCCATTAGGCTCAGGTCATGAACCTCCCATTTAGCATTAATGGATAATCAAATCCCATTTGATCTGAAATACTTTTTTCTCGATTGTATTTCCTTCATAATTATAAACACCTAACACTTTCATAACATAAACTTTAATGGAATGACATCTCTTTGTAAGTGTGACTTTAAGAAACTAACACCTATTGTCAAAGCTGAACCATCAAGATAATATAATTTTATTAAAATCATATCCTCAAACCACATAATAATGATACGGGTTACAACGGTGTTCCAGTATTTAATATAGTAGATTTTAACACTTTATTCTCTGGCAATTTTGTAAAAAGCAAAGCTTACATTATTTTTCTTGCTCAAAACAGATTTCCTTTCATCTCATGTACCTTGAAAGTTTACCAGGCCTTTACCTAATGATCAATCATTCATTAATTCATTTACCAAAAACTTATTGAGCATCTTCCAGGTGCTATACTAGGCTGTGTACTAGGACAACAAAGATGAATAAGACCCTGTTCACAATGAGCTTGCAACTTAACTGAAATAATATACGTATATAGATATGATTATAAGACAATGTGGAAAAGGAAAGGCTATTTATCCATATGGGGTCACAGGGTAGATACTGAAGACATGTGGGCCCGATACCTTCAAGAGTAAAAAACAAAGGAGAGCTTAAAACGTGTTGATTTTAAGCTACCAAGGAGGAAATGACTAGAAGGCAAGTAAATCTCAGGAGTAAGGTTAAGCTAGTTCTATATATGTGGGAATGAGCTTCCTGTAACCAACAATTAAAGTCATGGGAGTTTGTAACAGAAGGGAAGAAGTTCAAGGTTTTTCCTAGAGAAAAACTTTTATTTAAGGTATAGAAGAAATGAAACAGAAAAAAAAAAAACCCAACCCTAGCAACACATTATAACCACCACTAAGAGAAGCGTTTGAAATGTAGTAAAATGTAATGAATTTGTTATGGTACTTCAATACCTAACAGTAATAACACTAACCAAAATTCATATAAGTTGCGAGAATTCATTGATCTTGATTTGAAGTTGAATATCCTGAATTCACAGTCCTGTTTAATATTAATTTCCTCTGGATCCAGAAATGGTTACTTATTCAGTCCATACCTCAGTTAAACCAAGTCTAAAATAAAGATAGGATGTGAACATCATCTTCCTTTTTATTAGCTATCTGTGTACTGGAGTTTGCTGAAGAAGAAGAAAAGAAAAACTACTGCATAAATTTAAGATGTATCATTGTTCTAAGTGCCCCATACCTATTTATAAAACTAAGACTACTAGAAGTGAAAACCCTCATCTAAATATCCAGCAACTATTTAATTATAGGATAGTCCGTAAGTTATACATCTATGCACATAATGTGTTCTTTAAAAACGTGTCCCACATAACTCTAAGGTAATTCTCCAAAGAGGCGATTAGTCTGTTGTGTCACAGGATATTATGTTATTAATAATACACAGATGAAAGAAAATTGTCCAGTTAATGTGGTTAGCTAGAGACACAAATTGAGAGTCAAGATTCATTGGTTCTATTTTGAGCTCTACCACCGACTCTGAGCTTTCAGAAGTCACATATTCTTCAAAATAATATCGATCCCTCACAAGGGTATAGGATTTTAAAACCAGATAATTTTAAAGTTCTTTCAGCTCTTCTGAAGCAGTAGCATTCTTTTTTTTTCAATTAGCAAGGAATCTCACAAGTTTTCCAAAGTGTGTGTCAGGTCTGCTCTGTTGTGTACCCATATTACACACAAGGGCTTTGAAATATTTTACATTTAAGTTAGAGACATTAAAAAAATAATTTCCTAAATAAGCCCTAATTAAAATATCATGCACATGATCTCATTTGCAAAAGAACTAGGTCTAAAGTAGGTATTTAAACAACAGTGTTAGTAAAAGGTAATAAAAAATATAATGAGTATGTGTTAAAATACCCTGACACATTAAATGCTGAATTTTGTAAAATATCAAAGTCATGTTATTGAAATTTTAAGACAAATTATTGTACCAGGCAATGTCTGTGTTTTCAAAGTTAATCAGGAAATAGAAGAGTATATAGCACTTGAATGACAGACAAATTCTCTATGAAGGCTGCCAATTAGAGTCTTGTATGGGCGGGCTAAGGCTCCAGGAGTTTTCATTTTGCTTCTGTTTCTCTGTTGGAGTTCCTTTCAAGCTGTCAGAGCTTGGGAAGAACCTGGGCTTTGGTTTTTTAAAAAAATACCTTTCATTTTCCTACACGAAGTTAAGTTTTGAAAATTTAAACATGATAAAACTCCATGGGACATGACATGATTCAGCTAACGATTTGACTGTGTAATGATCCACAACCAACAAGAGATTAAAGATAGAAAAGATGGTTATTACTAGTAAAAAATTACAGTGTTGAGGTATGGATAGCCAAAGATTGTTATCTCTCTCTTAAGACTATTTGTATTAGGGTTTCTTAAAATTGCTTCAAAGGAAATGGAGGATACTTCATGCTGTGTTTTATATTAGGGGATGCTACCAAGAGCAATAAAACATATCAAAAGTTTAAAAATTCTATGCATACACATGTATGCAATTATATATGATATAATATTTTTATTCACATATGTTGTATATATGCATATATATATGTGTATGTGTATCTTGTTTAAGACTTCTTAAGAAATTAGCACCTCTCCTGAATTTTATGTGTTCACTACTTTTAATTTCTTTTCTTTATATTTTATAGATAAAAAAGGTAGGTTTTTTTGTTTATACAGTGGATTGATAAGAAACTATTTTACTTTTGGAACTATAGCTCCTGTGAGAAGGAAGGGGAATAACATCCCTAAAATAGCATTCAGAGCAGTGCCTGCCTACTCTTATAACTCTCTTTCTTCTGTCATCTCTCCTGTCTTCTCTTATTACCTTATGCTCCACACTCCCATCATCTTTTCCCTTGAACCAGTAAGAATTTGCAGAAGTATTTTTAGAATATTAGAGTCTATTGAGGGAGTTTGGTAAGACAAAATATATGAACAAACAGTTTTCTACAAAATTATTATTGCAAAAGGTTAGTACTGTTGATATTATTAATAGTAAGAAATGGGATATAATCTGTATCCACCCACAGAGGATGGGTTAAACAATGGTACAGCCACTTAGTTGAATACTATTCAGGTTTTATTTTCTGTTTTGTGTTTTGAAGATTTTTCTTTTGAGAAAGAGTCTCACTATGTTGTCCAGGCTGGAGTGTATGGTGCAATCTCAGCTCACAGCAACCTCTGCCTCCCAGGTTCAAGTGATTCTCATGCCTCAGCCACCCCAGTAGCTGGGATTACAGGCATGTACCACCACATCTGGCTAATTTTTGTATTTTTAGTAGAGACGGGATTTCACCATGTTGACCAGGCTGGTCTCAAACTCCTGGCCTCAAGTGATATGCCCACTTTGGCCTCCCAAAGTGCTGGGATTACAAGTGTGAGTCACTGCACCTGGCTGAGAGCTTTCTTTTTTTCTTTTTTTTTTTTTTGAGATGGGGGTCTCACTCTGTTGTCCAGGCTGGAGTGCAGTGGTGTGATCATGGCTCACTGCAACTTTGAACTCCTGGGCTCAAGAGATCCTCCTACCCTAGCCTCCAGAGTAGCTAAGACTACGAGTGTGTTCCACTACACCAAGCAATTTTTTTTTTTTGAGATGGAGTCTCGCTCTGTTGCCCAGGCTGGAGTGCAGTGGCACCATCTCGGCTCACTGCAAGCTCTGCCTCCTGGGTTCACACCATTCTCCTGCCTCAAACTCCTGAGTAGCTGGGACTACAGGCACCCGCCACCATGCCCAGCTAATTTTTTGTATTTTTAGTAGAGAAGAGGTTTCACTGTGTTAGCCAGGATGGTCTCAATCTCCCAACCTCATGATCCGCACACCTTGGCCTCCCAAAGTGCTGGGATTTCAGGTGTGAGCTACCGCACCTGTCCTATACCAAGCAATTAAATTTTTTTTTTTTTTTGTAGAGATGGAATCTTGCGATGATGCCCAGGCTGGTCTTGAACTCCTGGCCTCAAGAGATCCTCCTGCCTCAGCCTCCCAAAGTGCTGGGATTCTAGGCATGAGCCACCATGACTAGCCTACTATTCAGTTTTCTAAGAAACTCTTTTAATACTAAAAGTAAGGTAAAAACCAATGTGCATAATATGCTACCTTTTGTATACAAAAGGATTAAAATACTAAATCAAGTTAATATTTTCTTGTACTTGCCTAAACGTACTAGAAAAGAGAGAAATAAATTAATAAAAATCATCTCTTATGAGAGTAGATAGGGACGGGTAATAGTGAGACTTCTTGATATATCCTTTTAAAAAACTTTCTGAGCCACATGAATGCATTACCTTTTAATAAAAATGCAGAGTAGCACTCAACAAATGTTTGTTGAATGAATAAATGATTGAATTACTTAGAAGGCTCAAAGCTAGTTAGTTAAGATGACAAATTGAAAGAGTATATTTAATTTCCCTAACTATTGCCACTGCTTTCCAATTCTTTATTTCCTTAAAACTCAATGGACCCAGTTCTCATTAAAATACACAATTTATTCAAAATCTTACCTTGTTCTGAAGTGTTTTTCTACTTGTACTTTGTATTCTTTGGAGTTTTAGCTATCCTAGAGTAGAGAAGATCTTTTGTGTTTATATTTATTCTTTCTCCAATATCCCATATAAGGCCATGCTCATAGCTAATGTTCAATAAATCATCAACCTCCATAAATTCTACTAATGTGTCATATAATGATGCTTATTATAGGACATAAAATTTAGATATCTTTTATCTCCATTCAATTAATCGAGTCATATCATTTTACAATGATATGAGTCCTGGTGATATGTCATATATTCTGAAATAGTGGCTTTTGGATGCATTCCAGGTGATGATAAATCCCCAAGTTCCTTTAGATGACCAATTTGAATATGTGGAGATAATTAATAGTGCTTTAGTATGCCTCAATCTTCATACTACTATTTTGTATCTTCTGTTAGAGCCATGTGCTTTTATTTTTCCTATTTTTTTCTGCAGTGGACATTGAGATCTCTCTCCATCACCTAGAAGCATCATTCTACTACTCATCATGAACAAAACCCAGCAAAAACCAAAAGCCATATCTAATCTGTTGGCTAGCTACCTTTGACCAGTTAATAAAACTCCTTTTTAGCATAAGTTGTTGTGTTTATTTTATGAAAATATTTGGATTTCTATTTAAATTTCTTCATTGCCATCTCCCCTAGAGGTCTTCTTATTATGCTGCCTTAGGATTGAGGCTCAGGAGATCACCTCATAGTCAAGGCTCTTTTCTGATTTCTTATTGAGAAAAAGTCCTTTTGTTTTTATCTTTTTAAAATTCTGACTTTTACTTTAGAGTGAAGAGAGATACAGGAATTTTTTTTGCCTTTAATCAAGTAATGTCAAGAAAGTCAAAGGCTCAAATAATGAGTAAATAATGAGTTTTCCACATTTAAATATATGTGGAGACTAATTATATATGATACACTTATTTATTAATGAAAGTTATTATTGGAATTATTGTTTATCTCCACCTATTTAAGCTAAAGCCTCTACTAGATATTACTTTGTGAAAATGAATAATACCTATAATAATATTTGTTAAATAAATGGAAAGAGAAAAGATGTTTGGGAGTAGTGCCTAGAAAGAGTATGTTTGAAAATGTTTGGAGAATAAAGCTCCAAAATGCTTTAAGGACGAGACAAAGTTTAAACAAACTTTAAGATAATTTGAAAGGATATGACAATAGAAAAGATGGAATAGCCATTCTCTATAGTGTAGTCTGTATGTTCATCTAGCTGATTAGATGTATTAGACTGAAAAATGCAGTGGAACTGAAAAAGTGAAGTGTGATTTAAAGGGGACAAATAGGAATTGGATCTAAAATAGAGAACAAAAATGTGAAGCCCACAAATGTGTTTCATTTAGTTTGCATTGAATTGGTTCCAATTCCTTCAGATTAGAGAGTCCACATAAGAATCCTATTTTCATCTTCCCTTTACAAAGCACAGGGCAACCCTAGGAAGCTTCCCCTTCTGGCAACAACCACTACAGCTAATTAAAGGCTACCTACTTTGCATGGGGCATGCTCTCCAGAGTTCTGCCTAATGCCTACTTGGCTAATTTTTAAATTTAAGTTACTTGTGTGGTCTCTGTAGACACTTGGGTTTTCAAGTCCTGGCTTTAAAGACTTAATCTTTCATCAGCTTTATGGTATCAGCATCCCTTTCTATTTGAATCTATGTGGTTTCTAAGTTGTGTTAGTAAGTAATACCCAAACCAGGATAACCATCATTATCACCAGGGGAGCTTATTAAAATTGTGGATTCCAGTCATCTCCCTTCCATAGGCGTAGGGGAGCATGAGAGACATATATTTAACAAATGTCCAGATGATTCTAATGAATCTAGTTTTTAACGGGCTTCGGAAATCACTGAATGGGGATACAGCAGCAGGTATATTCAGTCCATTCTTGAGTGTGAGGAGCCGAGCCTAAGCTGTTTCTAATTTCTTCACAATTGTGACTGTAATAGCTCTGGCTCCTTGCCAGTGGTCCTGGGAATCTTGAGCTATCCCATTGGATGCTCTGGTAATGGATGTTATCTGAATACTGAATATGAATTTAAAGAATCCCTATTATCATTTAAAAAGTACCTGTCTTCTATGCACCAAAAGCCAAATATCAGAGGAGAGCTATGTCATTGTAATTAACCATCACTGTCTATTAAGTCCTTATCATTAAGAATTTTCAAGATGGAGAATATCTAATCTAAATATTTCAGATGAGAAAATTGAGACCCAAGGAATTAAATGACTGACTCAGGGTCATACGATTCAGTAGTAATAGAGAATGTTGAGAACTCCAATCTTCTGAGCTTTCTTGTATCATAATGATTCACATCCATGTAGAAAGGATGGATTATAGCACGTATATTCTCAGGGGCCACTGTTGTTTAGGGCGAGTTGAGTTCAAGGTTAAAGTGATATAGATTACAGGTGCAAAAAATGCATTCTGCCACCTCCTGCATTTTTCAGGTGTAAAAAGAACTCAGATCTGCAGTTTAGCTTACTTTTCCAAACTGAAAATATCAATTTAAGACTTGTGCATATTTTAGAACAAAATCTGTAACATAATATTAATTTTTCTCTATAAGGGATGAAACAAATATCTAAATTATTAGGACCAATTTACAAGAACAAAGACAACCGTCTTACTAAAATAGAAACATGTTTAGAGGTTAAAATTGATGTATTAATGTAATGTTCCCTGTGAACCACCAGATGTCACTATTAGAGTCATCATGCATCACCTTACAGTAAATTATTAGAGATTTTAGCCTCAGCCAATATTAACAATTTTGTGTTCATGTTCATTGTGTAGATCTTGCAAAATACCTTTTTCTGTTTTTATAAAGCATATGCCATTTTTACCTTTCATAATTGTTGATGTGAAGGATATGAAATCAAGAAACAAGAAATAATGTCCTCAGCCTTCAAATATGAGCTTAGGTATAATCATTTGAGAAAGATAAGCACCTTGTGAAAGTCTAGTTCACTCCTAAAAATCAGTACTTTTAAAAACTATCTTTTTTCCCCAAAGTTGGAGGTCTAATACATTATTACAGAATAATTATTTCAATTAAATTTAATTCGATTACAATTTAGAAGTCATTGACTAAAATTTGCAGGAGTTTAAGTCAACGCTGGAAGAGGTAAATATTAAAAAAGACATGAAAGTTATTTTTAAGAACCTTAAAATCCATTGGAAATGTAAAAGCTAAATTAAGATAAAATTGTAAAACTATGGAAATAGAATGAGAGGAGAGAGTGCCATTTAAATTGGGGATTGAAAAATTAGGGATGTTGGAGATTTTTTTTTTTCGGTAGGATAGGGAGGGAGGGAAGGAAGAATACAAAAGATACACAATTGTGACAGAACATGTTACATTCAGGAAGTTGTGTGACTCTAGAGCAAAGACTATGGTGGGTAGCAGTAAGAGTCTACTCTAGGAAGGTAAATTAGAACTAATTAATGAAGAACTTAAATGGATACACTGCTATTTTATTTTTGATAATAATTTCAATAATAATAAATTAATAACATTGCTAATTTTGAAGAGGGAAGTCATGTGATCTAATTACTGTTTTGCAGTCACTAGCCACATGACTATAGATGGATGCATGGATTGGAGGTATCAGAGACTAGACTTAGGGAAACGAATGAGGAGGCTCTTGAAATAATGAAGAGCCTTGGGTAGGAGAAAAAAAGGGAGCATAAAATAGAGAAAGTGGATGCCAATGAGAATTACAAGTGTTCCGCAAATTTTGACCTTTTAAAAGTTTTGCCGCCACTCTTTTTGGGGAAGACTTTTTGGAAGGCCACTCAATTCAATTGGTGGCAGAGTTAGGAGATTTTGTTCAATTAAAAAATGCCAGCTATTTATAGGGTTTCAGTCCTCTAAAGATTTATATGATTAATAGTATTAAAACATTTGCAGCTCAAAAACATCTGAAATTATCCTATAAAGATAGTTTTAGAACACTGTAATTCTTATAAACTAGTGATTCCAAATGCTACAAGTGAATTTGAACCAGGATTCAAATGTAAACAAGAAAATTGATTAACATGAAATCTTAGGTCAATATACAAATACCTTCTTCCTCAAAATCTGTCTCCAGCTGTCCTGCCACAATGCTTGAAATACCCACTTCCCAACCCACTAATGATTTGGTTCTCTTAATTAAGGTATTACATTTCTGGGACCGCATTCATCCATGCAACAAACATTGATTGCCTAGCATGTGTCAGGATTCTGCAAGTTCTTGGGGATACAAAGACGAATGAAATGAGATACCTGAATTCAAGGACCTCATAACTTTACAATGGAGCTAGAGGTGTAAATAAATAATTTCCATACAACTTGAAGTATACCCCTGTGGCTTTGGGAACATAAAGAAATTTACTAACTTTGGAGGAAGGAGGAAGTAAGGAGAGGGAGCTCAAGAAAAATGATTCTCAAGGTATCTGAAAAAATGAGAAAATCCTCAGGGCAAAGATTACTCTGATAAACTAACTCCCTATAGAATAAGAAGGACATAGGATGCTATTAAAACACCCATTAATTTACTGCTGAAATGGAGAAAGTAGTGTGACTATCCCTCCCAGTTTCCCTGACACAGCCCTGGTTTTTACTTATTGCTCTCCTTTCACTCTTAAAAATGTGCTAGCTTGGACAATAATTTTATTTGTGTGATAAAGCATATAAAGAAAGTCATAATAAAGACATCTGTGAGTGAATTGTCATCAAGATCAGTAGGGCACGTAGATCCAATGGTCAAGATGTAGTTATAATGGCAGGACAGGCAAGGAGTCAATGGCTAGAAGAGCCAAAAGAAATAAAATGAAGATCAAGGTATTACTGCAGGGTACTGTTCATCTGAAACATGATGAAAGTGTTGGCATATTTGTCTTGTCACATGTGGGGAAAAGGGAGGCCTGGAAAGTAATAGAACACAATGTTTAAGTGGAGAGTGTTGGAAAGCATGAAAGGTCTTTTATGTCTTATTAAGAACTATAAAATAACTGCTAATATTTTTTCAGTGTCTACTGTGTTGTAGGTACTGTACTAACCACAGGATAAGAAATAAACCCCTTAATCCTTACAACAACCATGTGAGGCATATGGTAGTCATTAAGGATGTTCGCTGAATATTTCAGGCTCTGCAACTTCTAGGCACTTAATGAGATTTCATTTTTTGGTCTCCTAGTGTTGAGTAGGGTCATATGACCAGTTAAAGCATTTAGTTATAGTATTAAGTTGTGGCATTATGACGTTAAGATGTGTATTTTTTTAATTCATATTACTGACAAGAAACTGATACTCAAAGGTTTAAGTAACTTAATCTAAGGTTACTAGTTGGTAAGTAGTCAGTGAATGGTAAGTAGATATGCCAAGATTAGCACCCAGGAAGTCTAAACAGATATAAACCTGCAGACTCTATTGCTATACAATATTGGATCACAAACACCCAAGACTTAATCCTGTTTATCCTAAATGACTCATACTGATGGTATTATTTCTCCTTTTCTTTCCATCATTAAGTCATTATATCCCCCTTCTCACAGCATAGACACCAAAAAGAAAAAAAGTCTAAGTAAAAAGGAAAAAACAACCTTTAGGATATTTGTCTGTTTTTGTTTACTCAGAAGTTGAAGCTCAGAACTCTAACAGATAGACAAAGTGTGATAGGTATACAACATGACCATTATGCAGCAGTTAAAAACAGTCAATGAGCTGTATACCTAAAACCTAAAATGGGTACTAAAAACATGGTGGATAAAAGTAGAAAATGGAAAGTTATCTAACAATATCATTCATGTTAAAATATATCCACATAAGTCAATATCCACCTACCAAGAACACAATATAATAAATAGCTACACATTTAAATGGTTGCTCATTCAGAGAGTGGTAAATGGGATTGAGGAACGGGGATAAAATGGAATTTTTAAAAGATAAACAAATCAGCCAGCCATGGTGGCTCATGCCTATAATCCCAGCACTTTGGGAGGCCAAGGCGGGCAGATCACCTGACGTCAGGAGTTCGAGACCAGCCTGGCCAACATGGTGAAACCCCGTCTCTACTAAAAATACAAAAATTAGCCAGGCGTGGTGGCAGGTGCCTGTAATCCCAGCTACTCGGGAGGCTGAGGCAAGAGAATTCCTTGAACCCAGGAGGTGGAGGTTGCAGTGAGCCAAAACTGCACCACTACACTCCAGCCTGGGTGACAGAGCAAGACCCCATCTCAAAAAACAAAAACAAAAACAAAACAAAACAGAAAGTTACCAAACCAACCAATTCACCAATATAGGGGACTTAAATATACCAAGGACGATAATGTTTTGTGAACTAACAATACAAATGGCTGAACTTTGTTTAAACCTTATGTATAAAAACAAAAGCAAGAGCCAAACCTCAGAAGAAATAGAGTACTAGCCTACCCACCACAAGATTTGTTTTCAGACTGCAATCATTTTGAAATATTTTTGAAGGAGCATACTATTTGAAAAAGGCAGAATATCTAAAAAGAACAAGAATCATTTATACACAGAGTGGGGAGTGAAAACTCTTGGCAAATGCAAATTACTCAACTGCTCAAAGTGGCTCAGACCCTCGTTGTCTACCAACAGATCAGACCTTTTGAAAAGCATAAAGAAACCCTTAATTATCCCATGCACATATATGTTCATTCCTTCTGCCTTGATGTGACATCTAGGTCCATAAATTGGCTTTCTTTAGATATTAATTATTTGTAGGTTATATAGAGGGTTTGTAGGAGTCTGGAAAACTTAAACACTGGGGAATTAAAGTTACTGTCAGATGTATCTCAAAAGCCTTGGGAAGTTTTTTGCTCCAAGGTGACATGAAACTGTGACAGGAGCTGCATCTCAAGCTGTTTGTCCAGCCAGACCTGGAGATTTGGGAGGCTGGTACCTGCTTTTATTTATTCATATGGAGGGTTACTGAATACAGATGCCAATGCTGACTGTGAGTTAAAGAGAAGAGAGGATAAGAGCTTAGGCTTAACCTACAGGGGACCTGAGGAATAAAGAGCCCCAGAGTCCAGCGTGGAGAAGAGAGAAGAAAGGGGAGGAAGAAAAAAGACTGAGAGAGATCAGGCCTAATGAACCTTTCCTGAAGTCAATGGGAATGGGGAAGTGGTGCCTCAGAGAGCAAGACCATACCCAAACAAAGCAGGGATAAAGTGGATCAGCCACAGTGTCACCAAATTTATCAAGAGTTCAAAAACTAGCAAATCAAAATCTGCAGGAAGAAGAAATTCTCGTGCAAAGCCATACACTATGTTATTATCAAGATGAAGATATGACAGTAAACATGCTACACACATATGTGAGACCAAACAGGCATGCACGCACACACACACACATACACGTTTTTGATGCTCACTCAGAAAAATCTAAGGATAGATTGTATTATATGGAATAGTGATATTCTATCTTTACGGAAAAGGGAATTTAGTTATGTAGTTTCTTTTTACTTCTATGACTGAAAAAGCTGAAAATGATGAAATGCTTTATACTATTATGAAGGAGTTAACAATAAAACCAGCAGGTCATTGATACCTTTCTTTCCTGGAAAATGCTTGGGAATCAAGTTACAGAAAATGCGGGGCTTGGAAGTTACCTCAGGAGAACAGAAACTGAAGGAAACCTGGGCAATGTGAGTAAAATATCTCTGTATTTACTGTAAGTGTGAAGTAAATGGATGCGTTCACCAGGAGCCAGCTGAAACAACCTTACTTCCTGTGGCAATCTTGATTATTGGAAATTGCCAACATACCACAAGCAATTTTAATTAGAGGAAACGTATCTTCTTGTCATACTTCATTTGTAAGCAAATGCTTTTTTTAACGAATATAGCATTATGACTGAGTAAATTAACTCCTGGTTACATTTGTATTGTATAGTTAAAAAAAAAAATTGACCATTTGACTCCCCAGACACTTACTCTACAAAGCATGACTCATTGTGGAAATAAAATGTCTTTTCCTTTCTTTCTTTACTAAAAATCAACTTCCTTTCTTAATTGTTTCTCTAAGTCTTTATACCTGACTCAACATTGAGCAGGCCAAGAACGACACATTTTCTTTTACAAACTAGAATTAAAATATTCTCTTTTAGAAACCTCCTAATACCAAAAAGTGTGTTCCAAATACTCATACACAATGTTGCATCATTAATGTCGCGTGTAAATCTACTGCAGGACATGATAAAAGTAGCAGGCCCAGTCATGTAGAGGGGAAGGATGCTTTGGCTTGTTGTCGTAATGCATTTTAGCAATTTGCCAGGCCTCAGAACACTGGTTTACACTTTCTGTACCACAGCATTTTCCTCTAAATTCCTATTTGATTTTTTTTTTTTTTTGGTTTGCTCATTTTTATGAAGAACGTTCTAAAGTCACCTATACAGTCACCTATTTTTTTTACCACTGGTGTAATAATGTTTACTGTTTTATTATGATATTCTAGGCCTCTGCTCACTTCTTAATTGATACTCTCACTGTGGTTATAGTAGCATGTTGTACAGTGCCAGGAGTCAATATTAGCTGAGTAAGCGAGGAAATAAATGAAATGCATTTGATGCTATTCTGGGGACAACTAATAATCTTTACTAGCAAAAAAAAGTTAGAGCAATGATCTATCATATTAACTAGATTATTAAGGTTCTGACATGAAGGTGTTATTCATAAAATATAGTTGTAATTTTAGGGGAAGAGAGCAGTATGGAATGGTGGAAAAACCACAGACCATAGAGTCATAAAAAGTCTGTTTAAATTCATGTTTAATTTCTATAACCTCTTGGGCAACTTACAGAACTTCTCTGAGCTTTAGGTTTTTCTCCTATAAAATAGGGATTAAAAAAATCTACCTTGCTGGGCTTTAATGAGAATTAGAAATAATATGTGGAAGATGCTTGGATGTTGAACATAGAAGCCACCAAATTAAGGATAGCTATTGTCATCACTATTTTTCTTAGCAAATTTTCAACAACTGATTTATTAATCTACCTTTCCATTTTTAAATTCAATTATTTCAGATATTATTTAGACATTTAAACAGTAGGTAGCTACAAAAGGATATTTGATATCCATTTTCCTAAGATCTAGGTATTCTTTTAGCCTCCAAAGTATAAAGGCCCTTATGATGAATACCAACCCCTATTCTTGACTACCTCTGCACTTTCACTGTGTGAATGCAATCTTTGTAAATGTTAATTATTATGAACTACAGCTAATGGAATGATTACTTGTAAAAGGCATAAATGAATACTTGGGACTTGATTTAGTCATTATGCACTTCTCTTGCTACATGCAGATATGGATAGAAAGACTTTATTTTTAAAAGATGGAAGATGGAATAGTATCAAAACATAGAAATTGATTTTAGAAAGCCATTGGAACCCAGGGGTGTATGTAGAAAAAGGCATTGCCTGCGTTGTAGGTTATGATGTTCTGACACCTACAAGCATCTGACATAGCTGACTTTTTAAAAAGTGGTGCTTAAAAGAGTTGGTATGGAACATAAGTAGATAATGCAAATATGTTAGCGACCCCTACCAACAGTTGCAATTATGCAAATTTTAAAACCTTCATCTTTTATAATTAGGTGTAGTGGACTTATGTAGTTAACTTCTCCACTGGCTAGCTCAGATTCTCTAATCTGTTGAACAGCTTTTCCCCTAAAAATAATGCACCTCAAATAGCCAAAAATATGCATTCTGCAAAAGAATGACAATATTTATGATGAAAAGGAAAGACATGACATCCTGAATAATTGTTAGTGACAAATTTCTTGTTTGTGATTTAAGAAATGTGCTTTTATAAAAACCGAGATTCTCTGACAATAATTAAGCATACTGTTGAATTGGTCATAGGAGGATGAAATTTTAATTAATATACTTAAATTCTGGAAATAAAAAAAATTTTGACTGAGTGCTAGAAGGGAAGAAGGCTGCCTATAGTAAAATTTATATAGAAACTAAAATTATCCTTATTAGGTAGATAATTTGCTTGTAGTTAATTACTTTTGAATACTTGAATCTCATTATGCATAGTAGTGAGTATACAGAACTCAATATCATTATCAGCACATAACACAACTATGTGAAATACAGTTTTTAGTAGAGTTATACATATGTTATATATATAAATTATACATACACTTGGAAAACTTTTGTTAAAATTTACATATAATTATAAATATATAAAATTATATATACATATGGCATATTAACCAAATACACTAAATCTTTTGTTTCATTACAATAGAGACTCCAGATGTCTGTTAGTATAGCTAAGTTTTGAATTAAAAAGTTATACTAATTTGAATAAGTTAAAATCTGAGCGATTTGCTTTCATTTTAGTGACAGGCCTAGTGTATTGGTAAACTACACTCGAGATAGGTTACATATGCTATGTTAATTTTCTAATTAAATGTCAGGCTGTACTTAAGGACATAAAGGTTATTTAACAGGAGGAAAAGGAAAAATACAAAAAGCCAATTTTAGCTTATTTTCCCATAAATGAATCAGCCATCGAAATAAGACAGGATAGGGAAAAACGGATACCATGATTTTCTAGAGAGAAAAAATATTCAATCCAAAGCATCCCAAGACATGTAGGGCTTAAGTAAAGTCTGGATAGTAGCTTTAGAAATAGGGCTTGTATTTTATTATCTAAATATTCTTTCCTAAGCATTTTATCTACCAGCTTTCTAGGGACTAATGGAAGGTGATCCAATTTGACTGGTGGAAACTGTAATCACCTGTTAGTTTAAATAATAAAGGCTTAGAGATAATAAAAGGACTTGAAATTTAGATATGATCAGTTTCTATTTCAATGATTCTCAAAAAATTGAATTCACAATTTTTTTCATTAAAACATCCATCATTTCTACCCATTTAAAAATAGGTATAAAAATATATAAACTTCTCAATACAAATTAACTTCAGTGTTATATTAGAATGTGCACACCATAGTCATTACTATCTTTGATTACAATTACTTCAAAACATCATATTTTGTTTGGCTTTACCCTTAGATTCAGTACAGAATCCATCTCTTCCCCAATACCTCTTTTCATGGTATGAATACATTAACCACATTCTAGTAGGGAAACAGTGCATTAATTTGCAACAAAGTGAACAAAACAGTTAGGAAACAAGAATTATTTTAAATACTTTTTTCCTTCATATTTCAGTACTTCAGTTGACTAATTTTAAATTAGGACAAAATAACCCATATTTCTTCTGCATGTCATTTGGCATGAGGAAGAAATATTAGGTTTTGAAATCAATGCAAAACACAAAACAGAAGAACTGGGTCATCAACACAAGGTGGCACTGTGGACCAGTCTCTTAGGAGGAAGTTTGTATTTAAGCATTTTCTCTCTTATTTCTCCAAGACTGATGATTTATATAATTCAGCCTTCCTAATTTTGCCTTTAGGTTTTTTGTTTTTGTTTTTTTTACAAATCTAGTAATGAGATGGGGAATGGAATTATTTTCTCAATTTAAAGAAAAATGCAAATTTTGAGCTCACAATGGGTATTTTTATATAATTAGTTATAATAAAACCCCTAGGTACTGTACTGTATTGACAACTGAATACATATATGGTTACCACTTTTCTCCAAGAGGGACAACTTGCTGTTTTCTTTCATCATATCATGAAAAGGCTCCTCTCCTCTACTGACAGCTATCTCCCTATCATGATTTGCCTAGGATCTGATTTCTTGCTGCTTTAGTTTCTCATACACACTATTATAAGAATCTTTTTACTTATAGCCCATTTTCATGTTGCCATTATTTTGATCAAGTATTTTCTTTCAATCAGGTATCTTCAGTGGACATCTTTTTAAGCATTAGTTTAAATGTAAATTCTTACAATACTTAACTCCAACCCTATCTTAATTTCAAGGCACTGGTGTGCATGCACTCATGTGCACACATACAACACGCAGCTACTATTTCTCATTTGTCTACCCAGGCAAGTCCCATTATCTGTTCTTTAAAAATATTATGAGAATTCCTGTCAGTTATAAGGCCCTTTTCCTAACACTTACTATGTCATTCCCCCAACCCAGGCCATTGTTCACTGGTGTCAATCAGCTTCTTTAAATTTCTCCACAAGGCCCAGCTTTTTGAATAAGACTAAACCCATATTCCACCAGCATATGAGCCTACATTTTGTGGCACATGTATAAAAACTACACTTACATGATGAAATAATCAGAAAATATTTAATGATAGACTATTACTTACAAGGCATGATCTCCAATTAATGCAGCCTCTTCTTCTTCTCTCAGGAATATTTTGTGTTTTCCAATCATATCAAGCATGTGGTGTAATACATATATTTAGCACTTGACACAAGTTCAGGGAATAAATGCATAAGCCCAATTTTCCAATAGCATAAGACTATTAATACTGACACACATGCCACACACACACAAACGTAAACGTATATGATATATATGCAAAAATTTGTTAAAATAATGAAATACTTATAAACTGACACAAATAAAAGTACACATATATTATGCAAGTTTTAAAGGTAAATATGTTTAAAGGCAGAGCATAAGAGTCAATATTGTCATTTAACAGTACTCAACAAAATGCAGAATTAGATACAGATCTAGTGGAATGAGCCTCCTGATTTCATTTCTGCTGTTCAAACGATGAGGACAGCAACTACAGATAATAGTTCAACTAGTAAATGCAGAATATTTAAGATAATACACACTCAAATTTATATAAAAAACTGCATAATTAGCACATATACACCTGAAAAGTTTTGGATGTAACCTTTTAATATTATAGATTCAAAAGTCAGATGTCCATGTACAGTGTTTCTTTCAAAAATTTAATTATTGAATTACAGAAAATTATATTTTAAGATAGGAACATTTTCCACTCTCATATTCCATGAAATAATTTTATTTAAATACTTAGCAGGCATCATTGAGACCGGTTTCTTTTTTATCAATTGAGTCATATCTTTGTCATGTAGAAAGATTTCCCAGGAAGATTTACCTTGACTTTTTGATATATTATACGACAGTTTTTGAATCAATATATGATACTGTCACTGGAACTTTTGTCCCAAGTTACAAGTACCCATTTTCATAACACTAGGAGAGTTTCAGATTTTGTTGTTGTAGTAGATGTTATTTTTGCCTGTTTGTTTTTTCAGTAATGTATCTTAATAATCTATGATCTCCACAATGTAATCAGTCACTATCTTGCTTTATAAAGTGATCTATAATCTATTAATAACATAACCAGCAGGTTTTAGTTCAGGTATAAAGAGTTAACCTGTATTTGACTCATTTAAAAAAATTATATAGATTATAGGTAACTTCTAATAATTCGAAACTAACATTGGTGACAATTATTTCTGGCTTGTTCGCCTTCTCCAAACAGACTTTGCGAGAACTCAATTATAAGATGTGTTTCTCTCTTCTTAGGGAAAATTTTTGGGAAAAACTACATTCCAAAAGGAACTGCATGCAGTTCATGTTGGCTGAAATTGAAGTTCAGTTGAATATTAGATAGATGTCACATAGATAGATAGTATATATAGCAGATATGCTATTTATTTGCAGCAACCTGAAAATATGAAAATAGGTGGGGCTATATATGTAAACAAAGAAGTTGAGCTACTAATATAATAGTGATTCCATGCACTTACTCTGGAATCAGCCAGCCTGGGTTTGAATCCCACCTCTACTATTTACTGCTATGTGATCTTGAGCAAATTGTTACTTGCTGTGAGCCTCAGGAGTAATATTAATGTTTCTTTGATAGAGTGATTTTAAAGGTCATATAAGCTGATTTTGCAAAACATCTAGCTATTGGCTAATGCCTGGTTCATACTGAGTGCTGCAAAAGTGTGTTTTAAAACAAACAAACGACAACAACAAAACGCAAAACGAAGAAACAGACAATGCAATAATCTTTTATTTGTACATGTGTTTTTCTGTTTCTTTTTTTTTCTTAATTCTGTGTAGTAGAGAAGATGTCTAACTGTGGAGACTGTTAAAGAATGATCTTCCTTACTTTTATATGCACTGTATTATTGCTTCGTGTATTTTAGATCTTGCTCTCTTTTCATGTATTAATTTCTAAAACTTTTACCTTTTTTAGTCACCTGGCCATTTTCCTAATGTAGCTTTATATTCAGTTTGCTGTTTGGGGTATTTTATCTTTTTCTGTTTGTCAACTTAAAGTAGTTAGTTTCTCACATTAAATTCTAACATGTAGCTTAATTGAAAAAGGCACATCAACCTGGCATGTTATGAACTATTTAACAATTTAGTAAATATTAATTTAAATATTTTTAAATTGAATGAATGCATAATTCTGAGTCTGTTTAACTTAAATAATCATTAACTTAGAATATTTTAAAATTCTGCTTAAATTCATTTTAAGGCTATTTTTAAATTTTTTGGAAAAATGTTAAACTTTATTTTACTTAAATAATGTAATAATAAGACTTTTATTTTATAGTGTTCATACTAATTATCTATTGCTATATTATAAATTATCACAAACTTGGAAGCTTGAAAAAACACCTATTTGTTAGCTTATGGTTCTTTTCTTGTTAGGAAATCTTAGTTTGTCTATTTGGGTTTTACAAATGTGATGTTATGGGATACATATAAATAGTAAAATGGTTATTATAGTGAAGCAAACATATCTGTCATCTCACATAGTTATCTTTTTTGTATTAAGAGCAGCTAAAATCTACTTATTTAACAAAAATCCCTAATACAATACTTTAGACCTTGTGTTGCACATTAGATTTGCAAACTTGTTCATTGTACATACCTTCCTTTTGTTATTCTTTACCCAACATTTTACCCAACATTTTCCCATTTCTTCTCCTCCCACTCCATGGTAACCACTGTTTCATTCTCTCCATGTAAATGGTCTTTAAAAAAATATACATTTTCTAAGCCAGGCGCGGTGGCTCAAGCCTGTAATCCCAGCACTTTGGGAGGCCGAGGCAGGCGGATCATGAGGTCAGGAGATCGAGACCATCCTGGCTAACATGGTGAAACCCCGTCTCTACTAAAAATACAAAAAATTAGCCGGGCGTGGTGGCGGGCGCCTGTAGTCCCAGCTACTCGGGAGGCTGAGGCAGGAGAATGGCATGAACCCGGGAGGTGGAGCTTGCAGTGAGCCGTGATCGTGCCACTGCACTCCAGCCTGGGTGACAGAGCAAGACTCTGTCTCAAAAAAAGAAAAAAAAAAAAAAAAAAAAAAAATATATATATATATATATATATATATATATTTTCCACATGTAAGTAAGATCATGCAACATTTTTCTTTTTGTGTCTTGCTTATTTCACTTACCATAATGTCTTCCAGGCCCATCTGTGTTTGTGACAGACAGCAGGATCTCCCTTTTTTTAAGGTTGCATAATATTCCATTGTATATGTATACACCACATTTTCTTTATCCATTCCTACATCAATGGACACATGGCTGTTGTGAATAATGTTGCACTGAACATGGGAGTGCAGATGTCTTTATGAGGTGATGATTTTATATCCGTTGGGCATATACCCAAAGACAACTTGATGGATTGTATGGTAGTTCTACTTCTAATTTCTTTAGGAAACTCCAGACTAGCTATACCAATACGCATTCCCACAACGGTGTGCTTGGGTTCCCTTATCTCCACACACTTGCCAACATTTGTTTCCTTTTGTCTTTTTCTATATTTTTTAAGTTGGAGGTCTCACTCTTTCACCCGGGCTGGAGTACAGTGGCTTTATCATATCTCATTTCAGCCTGAATTCCTTTGCTCAAGAGATCCTCTTGCCTCAATCTCTTGAGTTGTTTGGACCACAAGCGTGAGCTATCGTGTACAGCCTTACTTGTCTTTTTGATAATAGCCAAAGATATTTCATAGCGGTTTTCATTTGCGTTTCTCTGATGATTAGTGATATTGAGCACCTTTCCATATACCTGTTGATCATATATATATATATTTTGGAGAAATATCTGTTCGGATTCTTTGCCCGTTTTTTAATCAGGTTATTTATTTTTCTGCTATTGAATTGTAATTGTTCTTTATGAATTTTGGATATTAACCCCTTATCCGATATGTGGATTGCAAGTAGTTTTCCCAGTTGTAGATTGCTTTTTCATTTTGTTGTTTCTTTTGCTTGTGGAAGCTTTTTAGTTTGATGCAGTCCCATTTACTTATTTTCACTTATGTCGTATGGGCTTTTGGTGTGAAATTTTAAAAAAATCATGCCAAAGCCAAGGTTCAGCTTTTTTCCTATGTTCTTTTCTAGGAATTTCATGGTTTCAGGTCTTAATTTAGGTATTTTATCCATTTCAAGTTGATTTTTGTGTATGGTGTAAGATGAGGGTTTCATTTTATCCTTTTGCTTGTGGAAATCCAGTTTTCCCAGCACCATTTATGAAATAAACTGTTTTTCCCCTATTATTTCCTGTTGGTATCCTTGTTGAAAATTAGTTGACCATATATGTTTGGACTTATTTCTGGGCTCTTTATTTTGTTCCATAGGTCTATGTTTCTGTTTAATGCCAGTACCATACTGTTTTGGTTATCATAGTATTGAAATATAATTTTAAATCAAGAAGTGTGATGCCTTCACCTTTGTTCTTTCTCGGTATTGTTTTAGCTATTCTATATATTTTTTTTAATTTTTGTGGTTTCAGGTGAATTTTCTTTTTTTTTCTATTTCTGTAAAGAATGCCATGGGAATTTTGATAGGGATTGTGTTAAATCTGCATATTGCTTTGAGTAGTATGGACATTTTAACAATATTAATTCTTCCTACTCATCAACTCAGAATATATTTCCATCTGTTTGTGTCTTCTTCAATGTTTTCCATTAATGTTTTACAGTTTTTAGTGTACAAATATTTCATCTCTTTAGTTAAATTTATTCTGAGGTGATTTTTGATGCTATGGTAAATGTGATTGTTTTTCTGAATTCTTTATCAGCTAGATCATTTGTGCCTAGAAATGCTACTGATTTTTTAGGGTAATTTCAAGTGCAACATTTTTCTGTTAATTTTCAAGGGTGCTTTTAATGTAAAAATAATTTTACTTTTTTATGTTTAAGCCAAATTTTAGATACTTTTGAAAAATATAATTTATTGTGACATGAAATTCCTATTGAGAATTCTTGATGCTCTGGTACAGTCTAAAACTCACCAAATTTATTTTTAAAATATTTAAAATGGGAAAACAGGTTTGAGCTGAAGAAAAAAAAATTATTTAGAGCCATAACTGTGGTTCAATGTATCCTTGTTAATATAACTTTGGCATATGGAAAATGAATAATGTTCCTTTTTTATGTAGCAAAAACTTGTTTTTTGTCTGTGTTATAATCACTGCTATCCTTTTCAAACAAACAACTAATCAGGACAATATGTACTTCAAATGCTCAGATAAATCAGATTACCTTTGCTTAGTTCCATTTTGATCTAACATTCTTACTACTAGCTCTTCCAAAGCACTCCACAATAAAGCTCTGTCTCTGCTGTTTCTAATTGGTCCTTTGTTTATAGTGTTGTCTGGATTCCACATATTGGAAAAAAAAAACAACAACAATGGCACTTTAGGCTTATTATTTGCCAATAAACAAACCTGTCAAACAACAGTGACATTCTCCTCTGACATGCTTAGATTCAAGTTGTTTGATATGGTTTACAATAAAGTAACTAAATAATAATCTTGGATTATATTTGTAAATGGGCTTTAAAGTGACAGGAACATTCAATAAATGAAACCAATGAATCTGTGATCCAGTCTTCCAGTTCTTCTTGAGGCAACTCAAAGTGTTTACTTTGTCTGTCATTACTTAGGTGCTAAGAATTTTCTTTTATTCCACCCTTTTGTTACAGGGGAAGTAGCCAGACCGCTAGAGCAATAGAATTGCATCAGAACAATAGAGTGCCCTCACCTGAGGTCAATCCCAAGATACTGAGGTACTTAGTGGTTCATACCTATGAAGTTGCTGAAAGGGAGCAAGAGTGTGTCCTGAGTCCTGATAATGCAGCTAACTGATTGGCTACCTTTATTACTTTGGCCTGTCTTTCTAGGCCCTCTCCTCAGATGGGCCAATTTACCCACAGGGATGAGTAGATGTCTAGCTAACAACTGTTCTTGTATCTAACTCAGTCATAATTAAACCCTTAATGGCAATCATGAAAATCTCCTTATCATTGGTTTGGTAATTGCAGACACAGAGAATAACAGCTTAACTGTAATTGTAGGCCTTGTTGCCAACTGAATATTGAAATGTGTTAGTATTGTGATTACTTAATGTCCCAATGTGGCTTGTAGCCAATGCTTAAAGTGCACTCTAGAAAACTATAACAAAAAGCATAAACAAAGCTTAATTCTCTAATAGCATCTTAATTCTGCTTATATTGAGACTATATAAGCTTTGCCATTCTGAAATGAAACCATGGTGTAGGGTAGCTCCCTATATAAACTAAATTTGAAATAAGGAGCATGTTATTAGGGCCACCTATCTGAAAATGAAATCAACTGGTTACATATTCGCCTCTTTCCTTTTGCAAGTAACTTTCATTATAGTCTCTTTTCTTTTTAACTTGTTAAGAGGTGTGTCAGTTAACTGTTTTTGCTCAGGAAAACATCCCAAAATTCAGTGGCCTAAAACAGCCCATCATTTATTCTTGTCCATGAATCTGCCAGTTGGCTGGGGTTTGGATGAGCCAGGCTAGGCTCAGCTAGGCTTGGATCGTCTTGGCTCCAAGAAGTGGGTTGAGTTGAACTCTGCACCACATGTCTGTCATCCTGCTTGGAGTGTTGCTTTACTGGGGGCACGTTCTTCTCATGAAGAATGTAGAAGTGCATTCAACCATAAAAACACAATTCAAGCCTTTGCTAATATCATATCTACTTAAATTCATTAGCCAAAGTAAGTCACATAGCTGAGCCCTGAGTCAAGGAGTGGAAATACATACTCTACCTTTTAGTTGAAGGAACTGCAATTACCTGGGAAAAGAATGTGGATTCAGGGATGGGTAAAGAATTAGAACCAGGAACTCTCTACTGCACAGGTTAGATAAATGGTTTTCAAATTACATTCATGTAGCTCAGGAGTTTTTTTAAAAAGCTTCCTCTGTAGGCAGAGTTACCAGATTCTTACCCAGCCATAAACCAGAGAATTTATGTGTTCTTCTCTTTTATAGATTCTCAATTTTCCACGGACTGACTCTCCATTTCTCAGGTTCACTGTGGTAAAAATAATACATTTATTTTAAAATATATTTTTAAAAGAATAAACTTTTTTTAAAAATAGCAAAATATAAATTATTATGACTCAGCATCTATATGTAAGAATGTATGCATTGTTTGGAATTACATAATTACCAGTAATTGCTACGTAGTGTCTATACACAACCACCTCTCCCCATGACCAAATATATAAGTAGTTCTGAGGAATTGTATCACCTCCTTCTTCCAACAGTTCACTTTGAGAATGGAGTAAGAGTCATACTACAGGGAAGGCAGAGGAGGACTCGAGTTTCTCCTGATGCCAGGGCTGTAATACCTGACCAACTAGGTGTAGAAGGAAGTTATAGGAAAGTACAGAGATGAAAAGGTATCACTGCTCTATTCTTTTCTGTTCTAACACTGTAGTGGAAGTGAGTTACATTAAGAGACGGCTCATAATAAAAGTTTTTAGCAAACACTTAATATTTGTGCTTTTTTGTCAGGCAATTTGTAGGATTATAGCAGAACTGTACAGTAGTTTTCCTCTTCTTTCTGGTAACACTGGAATACACTCTCCAGCCTCTCTGCAACTGGTGCAGTAGTGTGATGGATTCCTTATTAACAGATTGTGAGCAGAGCTTATATGTCTCACTTTTGGGCCAAGGCCTCAAAAATGTGCATGTTTTCAACACACTCTCGCTTTCCCCATTCAGTCGCTTAATGCAGAGCAGAATAAAGCCCTAGAAAATGGTTGAACTACGTGAGAGAAAAGGTTTATTTCTATGACATAAAGCTCCACTGCCAACCATAGTGAATTTCGATGTTTGAAAAATAAATATTTATGGATTTTAGATACTGAGAAGCTAGAGTTTTCTTATAGCCATTAAGATCTACTGACCAAAGGAGAAAATTATGCCAAGAGTGAGATAATAATGTAAAATACCCAAGATATTCAGTAATAAGCTTAGTGACTGGGCTATGTTTAGTGCAAAACCAATTAATATTGGAAGCTGGTAGGGCTGAAGAACCTTGATACTATTTGGCAAAACATTTGGTAAAATTGCTGACTACCTTGAAAGGCAGAGCTTGTGCCTTTGAGCAGGTTGCTCTAAAAAAGTCGGAAAGAATGACTAGTGTGTGTTAGAGGACTATTGGTAACTTTGGAAAGGAATTAAATGAAATAGATGGGCTATACAAATAATTAATAGGTTTACAAACATATAGAACTGAGCTGAGAGAGACCAGAAGTTCTGGAACTTGCTACCAAACATCAATTCATAAAAAATAGCATTGAAAAGACAGAGCAATGAAGACTTAAAGACAAGTCTCAGTTGTAGGCAGTGACTCAGCCATGTGGCAAAGATCAGGATTTGGTTCTAGATGGCCTAAAGTTAGCACAATTAATTCAAGGCAGAGAAGCGAGGGGGAAAAAAAAGCAAGAAATAAACAAGGCTTAAGAATTGTCTAGGAAGGAATATGGTTACGGCACATGGATTTGATTAGAAGCAAATGAATTCCATACCTACTATGCTTTTGTCAAAACCCTCAAAGAAACCATGAGGCCAGGCTAAACGGAACCTTTGGTTGTTCAAGCTGTGAAACATATTTTGGGCCCCCAAGCTTACTCCATAAGAAGCAGCGTGCAAAAACTGCACAGCCTTCAAGGAAGACACACACCTCAGTGCCCACCTCAGGTGTGGTCGTGGAGAATAATTGACAAATAATTAATTCCCAGAGGTCAGAGAGAGGGGACACCAAAAGCAATGGGCAAGTGAGTCTCTTCCAGAGAACAGCATCAGAGCAAGCACTCACTTCTCAATGCCAGGGTAAGTGGCCTGCAGAATGCACACCTATTAGATGTGAGAGGATCAAGAAACTTGCCTTTTTCATTCATAGGTTCCAAACAATGAAGAGCCCAATCTGGAGTTATGGAGAGTACGGTCCATCATATGCATAACATAGGTTTAACATAGGATGCAGTGATTGGATTGCATGTTCTTTCTTGGGGAGAGGGGTTTGTGTGTTCTGAATGTTAAGAAAATAAAAGAGATAATATTTCACAGCTAGAATGGCTGACTGGGGCATAAATGGTTAGTGCTTATCACTAAGTGTGTTCTCTGCTTCATAAGTACATCACTAGATTATGTTTCTCAGATTCCTTTACAGTTATGAAGAACTACACAACTAAGGAAAGTGAGGAGAAGTGATATGTCACCTCTAGATTTAGGTGGTTAAGAGTGATTGTGCCTTTTCCCTCATTCTTTTTCTCATTCATACTATTAAATGCAGAAAAAATAAATGAGATCTCAGGAGATGTTGGATCTATAGATGTTTTGTTACAGCCTGGAATGTTTTGTTACAGCAGTTTTCACATCTTACATAAGTGATCTTTAGTGTTTATAAGCCATTTTTAAAAGTTATTTTTACAGTTAAGTTGGTATCTATAATATTGTGAATGTGCTTACAATATTGGATTTCATTTTAACCAAATTATGTTGCATTAAATCCATGCTGTAGTATATTACTAGTTATATTTGTTTTATAACTTGATTTTTCTTTGTTAGTGGTTTAGGACTTCTTTCCTACTGGGTTAATTTCTGTATACTGAAGTTCCATTTATGGTATCACAAGAACAGTGGGGTTATATGTTACTAAAAAGTAAATTAATCAAATCTCAGATTGTACTTTTATGTGTGTAGTGCACAGTACCATTCCAATTGTAATTAAGTAATCTATATGGCATTATAATTTTTTGAAATGCATAATAATTTCTATTCATTGTTGGGGAGTATATCTTTACCTAGAAAAGGAACGCTAAAATGGGAAGAAGAGTAGTTGTTGAACTGAGATGTTATTGCTAAGTATCCTGAGGGCATACAAAAATTATTTTTAATAACAGATGCTCATTGAATTCACAATTGGACTAGTGCTCATTGACCATTCTAATGCCTTATCTAATACAACCTCTTCATTATTCAAATAGGAAACTGAGCCTTAGAGCAGTGAATTAATTTGCCCAAGTTCACAGAGGTAGAAAATCCAGAGCCAGGCCCAGAAGCTGGATCTTCTAATGTCTAACCCACTGTTCTTCCCACCACAACAAATTTCAATCTGCTATATATTATACTTCAGAGAAACTTAGAAATTTTGATTTTTGTGAGTTACGATGTCTATTTAAAGACGGTATTATAATTTTCCACTTAAATTAGTGTATATATTTAATGAAAATTCAATAAAAGCCCCAAAGGCATAATTTTAGAATCTGATAAATTTTATTAGAAAGATTAAGTAGATATTAATAGGGAAATGGAGAAAAAGAAGACTAAGGATAGGGTATTTGTCATACAAAATTTTTAACCTTATTCTAAAGTTACATAATTTTTTAAAAAGTGGTGACAATGTTATCACAAACATCAGATCAATGAGATAGAGTCAATAGTCTAAAAGTGGACCCTGCAATTAAGTTTGTATATTGCATGAGAAGGCAGTATAAATCAGACAAAATAAACAGTCTGTGATGATCTTCCATTTTTTATGAACAAAGCTACCTGAGATCTAGGCACTTCTTTTCCAAGTGAAAGATTATATTGAGGGGGAGAAAAATCACTTTTGCCAGGTCTCACATTCAGAGCCTCTTTGTTAGAAGCAGTGACAGTAATGCTGTTGGATTCTGTTAGAGGGTAGAGAAAACTTTGGTTTCACTGAATCAAAAAATTGGGAACTTTGTTGAGTTACCACAGACCTACCATTTCCACTGTCATAGAGGTTTTATAAGAGGGTCAGAATACCTCCTCCCCCACCTCCAAAGAATTGCTGAGAAATAAAGGAACGAGAAAGCCTTCTTAAAAGTCCTTCTATAGGCATTCTGAAAATTCTGTCTTACAGCAAGTATAACAGCCTAGAGAGGGATTCGTCCTTAATTTGTACAAGTCCCAAAACAAATGGATATAATAAGTTCATAAGGAAATGGAGAAATTACACTAGAAATAGCATTAGCTTTTAGAACACAGACACCAACTCCTATTTAGAAAAATAACATAAAGAACAAACAATTTGGAAAAATACTTGTCAATACTGCAGGTAAATGTGCAAAATAAAGGGTTAGTGTACAAAAACTTCATATAATATCAACAAGAAAAACAAAAAGCCCATTAGGTAAGTGGAGAAAGGATAAGAATAAGAAATTCACCGATGAATAAATATGAATATTCTAATATGTTACAGTAAAATGTAAATATTTGTAAAATTTATACCAAATTTTTGTAATACAAGTTTTTAAATGTTAAAACATTTGACCCATTCATCATCTTTTTCCTAGAGTAAAAATTTTTTAAAGAAAAGAGATTTACATCAGAGTATTATTGTTAAAACTGAAGTTTTAAGTTGACTCAGACTGAATTCAACCTGATTTAACCAATGTAGGAGAAATGTTAAATAACTTGCAATGGAATATTATTAATATGTAACTCTTAAAATGAGGACTGGAAAGATTTTTTAAATAATCTTTACTTGTTACAATAGTATAAAAGTATTAAAATATTTATGAAATAATAGCACAGGTAAATCTAAAAAATATTATGTACCAATATCTCCATTCTGTAAAAATATGTATACATAAAAAAGACTGCAAGAAAATATCTACCAAATATAAAAGAGTCAATACTGAATGCTTTATTATGAGTAGGTGGTAATTTCTTTTTTATGCTTTACCAAATTTTCAAAGTTTGCATTCATTACTTCAACAATCAGAAACTTTTAACGTTTGCCTTCCCCCAAACAACTCTACACATAAAATATTATTACAGAGATCAAAGCTACTCTATGAAATAAAAATTGCATGTAACTATATTCTACCAGCCATTATATCTTTAAAGAATGAGTAAGGAGACACCACAAAATTTTACAACCGGTTTTCTACTGTCACATTTCTAAAAATCTCCTTAGATTAAACCAAAGCTTCCTTTTATAATTAAAACCTTCTTTTCTTTTTTTTCAAGTTGAACATTATTAAAGCCGTGTTAATTACATATTCCTTATTGAAATACAAAACTTGAAATATATTTTACTTTGTGTGTCAAACTGTATGTCTCAGAATACCCAACATTTTAATACCCTGTGGTAAGGATTATCTCAACCCAGTTATACCCACACAGAGGGGTTGAAACATGTGTTTATCCAAATTCCTATTGGTCCCTTCTATTCTTATCATATTGTTTCAAAGGAGTTAAGATGATTATATCCACATTTTATCATTCTTCCTATTTACTCAGATTAGAAAATTTTTGTGCAAAACCTTTAAGTTGCATTGACAATTCACAAAGAAAATCCTCTTCTAGCACAGACAACTATAGGGTGGGTAGGAAGAGACAGAAAGAAATTTTTCAAGCCGGTATTTACAGAACTTTTAATAACTAATATGCATTTAGTATGATTTTTAAGACTTCTTGCAGGAAATTTGAGGCAATAATAATTCCAAAGTTCAGAATAATTCACAGTTAAATGCAATCTCAAGGGCAGCTATCTTTTATAAGAGGTAATATGGTTATTAAGATCATTTATATAAACTGAAGTTTTAGAAACTGCATACCATGAAAAAAATTTGGTGAGATACTATTTGTTGCTCTGATGAAATGAAAAAAGGTGTTTTCTCTTGCTTTATTAAACATAAGTAATATTTGTTCTTAATTGCAAGACTTCACGGAGTTTTTAATAAGCTAATGTGCATCATAAATCCTACTCACACATAACATATTATTTTCATCCCCAAACCCCATTTTTAAGAATAGCTTCAACACAGTGTCCTTTAAAAATCAGTTTGGGAAATTATTGACAATGCTTTTACTACTACTTTTAATGTAAGATTTTTTTCTAAACCTATTAACTTTTCACTACATTATGATTGCACATGATCTAAGCTAGAGATCATCTATTCTCCACTATCCCCACAAATAAATATTGTGCCAGTTTGTCTACTAAGAGCAGCCATACACTCTGGCTGTGGTATATTGAGAAGATACATGGGGAAATGAGGAAGAGCAAAATAGACTCTTAATTTGGCTCATAGAGTTCAAAACAGCTTTTAGAATACCACCATAACCACATAGCCAGGTACCATGGCAAACTGGATGATCATTTAGGATAAAAACAGCTCTAGAGAACCAAGGTGTTCCCTCAACGCATGTCAGCCTTCCCTCCCTGTTTTAGTACTCCACATCGTGCCAACTCAGCCATTCTCTCTCTCTGTCTATAGCGCCTGCTGTCACTTGCAAGCTGACCCTCATTATTCTCCTCTCTATTGAGGCATTTTCTTAACCCAGAGTTCTGCAACCCCATAGTTTCTGCTTACTGCTTCCTTTCTGCTGATCTCTCAGCAACTTTACCCCCTTATTGTCTTCAGCCTTCCTTTGAATGTCCCATTCAAACCTCACAAAGGAGACGAAAATTTGATTGGGTCTGCCAGTCTCATCCATTTTTAGGCAGCCCAGTTGGTAAAAGTGCTCTCTCCAGGACAACATACACTCTGCTAGCCAGACTCTACATAGGTGCCTTTGTGGCCGGCACACACTCTGGGACCAATTGTATGTGGTAAGAGTAGTGACGTCACCTGCATAAACAACCCCTCTGAAGGAATGAAAGAGCAGCAGGCACCTTGGACCTAGGAATCTCCAAGAAAAACCACGAAACTGGCAGATAACTCAGGATGTCCCCTTTTAGTATCATTCACATCTTCTTTTAGACTGCATTTAGTACATCCTTAACAATTTCATTTTTTTACTTGTATACTTTTATAGGGAAATAAAAATGTTTCTGCTTAAATTTGTACAGAGTATTGCTAAATGCTTTAAGGAAGAATAAGTACAGTAGATGGGATCCTCATTGAAACCTCAGTAAAAAATATAAAACAAATTTGAGACATCTGCTGTAACAGAAATTAAAGATGTCTCTAGATGATCCAGTTTAGTGAACAACTTTGAGCCATGAAATTGGATGATCAACCAGTTGCTTGAAATATTGCATTGATTAGGTATGCTTATTAATAAGGCAGGAGATCGTATACCTCCAGTAGTATTTTTGTTGCTACGAATTGGAGATGTAGAAATTACATCTGGGACTCAGTAAGGACAATTGTTTCTTTCCATAATCCTTACAGAAGAGTAGACCAGAGATGTTAAGGCTGAGAAGACACATCACCCTCTAACTCAGGACATCAATAAGACATATGCACTGAAATGGGTTGGGTACCATCTAAGGCCAAGAAAATGACAAGCTGGAATGTAAAAAGCCTTGTGCTCTGTCATCAATAGTTTGAATGCTCAAGAGAGGTCAAGACCCATAAGATTAGCCCCTTCTTCTGTCACACGAAAATTGAAAGGCTAGTTTAAACCGTGCTTTTATAATAGTGCTATAAAGTAAGGTCATTCTTCCATGTATGCCAATAAGAACATTCACATCTGCAGCAATTTGTGCTATGGTAAGCCGTAACAGTAAAAGAGCACTTGGTCATATATATTCTTATGAAACCCAAGCACCCAGAATCAATGAAACAGGAAAGTCACTGAGTAAGAATACATCCTGAAAAAGTGGCCCTGGCATTGGAATCATGTTAATTGAGTTACTTCTCCAGCTCAATTTGTACCATTGGTGGTAACATTTCCTCTGAGGGTGCTGGTGATCGATAATGTGACTGATAATGGTAAGCAAAAGGAGTACTTTTCTTTGAGTGGTGTTAGTGAGATGCCTCTGTGGTGCTGGTGCTTACAGGCTGTGTTTCACATAAGCCCAGCAATTCTACACAGTCTCTGCCTCTAACAGCAATGCATTATGTGGACACGGATGTCATTTTTAAAGGCAAAGATTCACATCAGTCTACCATCTTCACCAATCTAAATCCAATCAATGTTCACGGGTAATGCAAAATAAATGTTAATGAAACCCTAAGTAATTACAAATTCAGTTGCAATAACCCTATTAAATTTAGTGATTTATTTATGCATCAACCAGTATTGCATTGATTAGTTATGTGCTTGCATATTTTCCAAAAAGTGTAATGCTTCTCAATATCAGGCATATTTGGAATAATTCTATACTTGTGACATATTTGACAGACTTTCAGTGCTTGAAATAGTTAGTGTTTGCAGATGTAAAAACTTCTTAAACAGCAACCTAAAAGGAATGATACAAAATATCATTTCAAGGGCTAAAGAGTTTTCCACATACTTATTTAAGACATAAAGAGTCATTGATAACTATCTTTGGCTTAAGACAACTAATCTGAAATGGCTTCCACATAAGGAATACTGAAAGATCTTTTAGTAGCCTAACAAGTTATTGCTCTCATTACATCTGGTCAAATTAGAGTGAGTCAAGTTTGTAAAGGAAGCAAATAGGTTACATATTCAAATTGCCTTCCAGTTGACTCTTTATAAAGTGAGCTGGCAGCTTCAGCATAATCAAAGCTCAACAGGTATGAAGAGCACAAAACAATCCAAAACAAGCAGCATTGTTCTCTGGGATAACAATCTTTAAAGAAAATCAAAGCTGTTCTGAATGAATTGTAAGGAAAAAAAAAATTTTTTTGCAGTGATCAGAACAGAGGGTTGTGGTTCACTGGTTCTTTCTCAAAGGACTCAGGAAACTGGGAGGGGCAGCCACTTTCCACACTCCACAGGCCACATGGAAACTTGGCGGATAAAGAAATATCCCCAGGGCCAGTGACTGGTCAATTATGAATTGTAATTCAACTGTCTCTACAGTTGCTAGAGAAACCAACTTGGGAACCGTGGTACCTTTTGAGACATGACTAAAGAATGGCCATGGCTGGTTAGAATACAGTGCAAAGAACAGTGTTTGATCCATGTGTTGAACAGTGCAATGCAGACTCTTCCTTGCACTAACCAGCTGCTTGATCAGTAAAAAGAGGCACAGAAATTCATGCTCATGTCAGCATACCATGGCTCCCCAGTCCACAACTGACATATCTGGTGTTAAACTGAAAAATGGATACTTCAGAAACATGAATCTGCCACATTTCAAGGATATGATATCCGTTGAGAACAAATATGTGAAAACAAAACGATTCCATGTAGCAGGTAAACACCTTGACAAATATGAAGGCTTTCAATCATGTCAAACGGTTTTAAAAACGTCCACTTTGCCATCCCTCTCCAGATACTTAACGTTTCCTAACACAAAAATAGAATAAATACAGGAGAGAAATCAATACTCTGCACATCCAAATTGTTCGAGCCTGCCACTGCAATCAAACTTTCTTCTTTTTCTCTGCAAAGAGCTCAGAGGCAGTCTTTCAGTTCAAGGATGAAACATTCTCACCGCTCCGTCTGTAAATATAAATATAGATAACAGAAACATTAATTTCTTGAAAATTTAGATGAAGTATTGTTTTTAGCTGTGCTTTCAGTGGTGGTTTTCTCTGGCTAGATTGAATGATTCTTTTATAAATGACCTTGTCAGTAAAGCCGCTTATAATTGGTAACTTTTTAATACTTAGTAATTGGTAAAGAAGACCCTTTCTCATGGTTTAGTTAGAAATAATTTAATGTACACTTTTTAACAAGGATTATTTTCCTTGAACTCTAATACTCACGAAAGCTGTTAAATTAGCAGCCCTGGGGCCTGGAAACTTGTTTAGCCACAAAGCCCATAGAGCAGGAAAAGCTTTCTTTACACGTCCTGGAAAAACTATGTCTCCAAACCCAACTGATGAAGGCAGAAGGTTTTTAACAGATCCAGTTTGGGCAATAGCTTGCAATAGAGGGAACACAGCTGACCAGATGAGGGCCATCCATTAACTCTTTTCGAAGAGATTATCTAATTATTGTCTGATACCAAACAATCTTCTGAATAGACTTGGGGCTCCTTCTCCAACCTGCTTTGCAAGTCACTGATATTTTCCACATTATTTGCCTCTCCTCCACTTTAAAAAGATTTCATTAAAATCAAGCTGGGTTTTTTTCTCTCTTTGATGATCAGGGCTTCTTGGCATAGTATTCAGGGCCTTTATCCTCAGGCATCCTTGCAGTCTGTGGACTGTTCCCTCCCAGAACACTTATGAATTCAACAGCTGGTTCAGGAAAGCTGAAACTTTGGAAGACAATATTTATGGTTGGATGGGCTGAAACTGTTAAGTCTTTGGAAAAGTATTTTGAAACAATATTTACTGACTTCTAACAATGTAATATATGCCAAAGGTAAGACTTGGAGTAGCAGCAATTAGATTTTTTATGGGAAAAAATCCTGAATTTAATTATTTTTAAAAATTAAATTAAATTTTAGAAATTTAATATATAAAGACTCAGATTGTCACTTTTTATTCTCAAGTAACTGAGAGCATTTTTGTGTGATTTTTTAAATGTCAATATTTTCCAAATAGTTATTATTCTGAAGAAATTGTTCATAAAATGATATGTTAACAAACTTATTTATGTAATGAGAAAACAACTACTTACATTATTAGTTATATTTAATAACTCCTTTATTCTGCTTCTGGGGTGATATATGCCATATAATATTTTGAGGTCATAAGACATAATATCATATCTCACTATTTATGAAAAATATAATGCAATGTTTGCTTACTGTTTTCATTGAGTTAAAGGTTCAAATGTTTTAATTTTCTTTAAAATGTTCTTCACTGGAAACTATTTTTCTTACCACATGTAGCAAGGTCTTATATGCATATTGCAGGGAAAATAATAGTAGTAACAATAATAATAATAATAATGCAAGACCTAGATAAGAACATTTGGTTTAATAAATACTGAATCATAAATATTGAAAGAGCACACAAATATTCAGACCTAGGATGGTTATCCTCTCCCTAGTTTGACAATTACTGAAGAAAAACTTTTTCTTTTTTTTTCTATTTTTACTCAGGTTTATATTTAAAATGTGAAAATCTTAACTTTTTGTGACAAGAGCATAGGATGTATTCTGGTTAAGCAGTGGGAGTATGGCTGGAGAAGCAGACAGGAGCTATTGCACTGAGTTAAGGAAATTTATATTACATCTTGTTAGCAATCATGAAAGAATGAAAGATTATGCAAGAAAATGATGTATCTGTGTTTTCATTTAGAAATGTAACTATTGAGTCACTGTGGAAGATGGGTTAAAATTAAAGGCAATAAGAGGTAGAAGTTCTCCTACAATAGAAAATAATAATCTAGTCAGTAAATTGTAGTCTATAATAACTACAGACTATAATAATCTAGGCAAGAGATGATTAAGGCCTAAAATAAATAATAAGGTTTGAAGAGAGTTAGAATGTTTAGAGATATTTGAGATGAGTCACCAGATCTGATGACCCAAGATATGGGGTAAGGGTGAAAGGATAATTCAAGGATGACTTCAGATTTTGATTTGGGTGACTAGACGGATGAGAGTCATGGAACAAGGTAAGGAAAGTAGCCCAAAGAGCACTTACTGGGGAAGAGAGTAGGCACTGTCATGGAGGTTTTTGTGTGACATACTAGTGGGACATCCAGAAGACAACCAGTAAAACACACTGAATAAAACCTTCTTTCTTCATGAGAGAATAGATCTATTATTAGGGAGTCCTTCATTAAAATGTCTTCCTGTGAAAGTTCAATGTTTCTCCAGCTAGTGCTGGCACAAGGTACCATCTCAAAAAGAGTGCATTGGATTTTAAAGGTGAATGAATACATAAAGGAATGTATGCATTTACTTTGACATCTCCCACACTGATTACAATTATTTCTGCGTGCCTGTACCTCCTACCAGACTCAATTTCTTGAGAAGATGGCCTTGTATCTCCAGAATCTAGCAAGTGACAAATGAATAGAAAAAAAATCAAATTAGTACATATTTGCTGAATAATTAATGAATGAATTAGTTTTGGAGTTAATCACCCAGGCTATCTCAGAGTTTACTATTTTTGGGGTACTAGGCAAGGTAATTTAGGAAAGTCATTGACTCTTTCCATTCCCTGTGGTACTTTATTAGTTTGTTAGGGCTACAATAACAAAGTACCACAGAATGGGTAGCTTGAACCACAGGTATTTATTTTCTCAGAATTCTAGATGTTGGAAGTCTGAGACAAAGGTGTCAGCAGGGTTGGTTTCTTCTGAAGTCTCTCTTCTTGGCTTGTAAATAGTCATCTCTTCCCCATGTCTTCACATGGTCTTCCTTTTGCACACATCCATGTCCAGATTTCCTCTTCTTATATGGACACCAGTCATACTAGATTAGGCCCCAGCCTAAGACCGCATTTTGACTTACTTTTCAAAGACTCTATATCCAAATAGAGTTACATTTTGAGGTAATGAGCTTTAGGACTTCAACATATGAATTTTGAGGAGACACAATTCAGCTCGTAACAGGTGCCATTTAGAACTGCTGGAATCTACATGCCCTCACCACCAATGTTAAGACGTCTAAAGGTTCTGACTTAGACACTATCAAGCAATCTGACTTGTAACCACCTTAATGTTTAAGATTTTCTAGTTCCTTGGTATTCTATTAGTGTACCATTCAATTGGAGAATATAAGATATTTCACTAAGATTACTATGTGAATTTCTAAATATCTTTCTGAATACAAATTTAGAATGTGGAAAGATAGAAAATGTATAGTATAAGGAAAATATATTATAATATTTTAGTGAATCAAAATGTCACAAGAATATGCTGCATTCCTCAGAGTCAATATAATTACTTGGCATGTTTTCTGTATTTCATAAAGGAAAGAACTCATATTTTTTAAAAACAAAAAAATGGCGCAATTAAAAATACTTCTATATTCAGTGTTCTCATTTTAATGATGAAATATGACTTAGGGAGCGAGGGATTATTCTGAAGAACCCATGCCTTTCCTTTAACATTGACCTCAGGGCAGACATTTCTAGTTAAGTTGAAGTTTCAGATGTTGAGCTATTGCACTGTATTTCAGACAAAAGTAAGGCAGAAGAGGAAGAGAGGAAATCAGCCCCAGTGCATTTGGGGAAGCGAATTACCGAAGAGTGGATATGACAGAATGGGTGAACCCGCTGTTGGTTTCAGTGTTCACACCTTGCATTGGAAACAATGTTCTGCTTCTCATCAGAGGAAACTTGTGGGCCTCAGGAGAGTCATGAAACCAATTGTAATCTCTAATTTCTTAGGTCACATTTGTCCTTAGACACCTACGATTCTTCTCTTTTTCCTCAAATGAAGCAGTGTAAGCTCTTGAAACTCAAAATTTTCCCTATTAAGGAAATCATCCTACTGTCACTTGTTAATTTCTTACATCTCTATAATAAAGAGCTGAAATTTAATTTGTCATTAATGTAAGCTTTTTTCTTTTTTGCATCTAATTTTATCAATAATGTAAGCTTTGGGAGAAGAGAATAAGTTTAACCTGCTCATTGGGCCAACCTAAAATTCCTTTTTCTCAATCCTTAGCCATTTTACATAAACTACATTCCATGTAGCAGCAGGATGGATCTAAAATCAGCATGTATGTCAAAGAGAAGAATATTCACGTAGAGTAATTTATACAGGGAGCCAATTTAAACACCTCATTTAAATTTTATGAAAATGGTTTTTCTTGTCCAGCAACTGGCTGTGGAATAATGTTAGGAGGAGCTTATTTTCTGGCCCTAATTTTCTCTCTTTTTTTCACACTGTTTAAAATCTAGCCTCCAGCACTCTTCCATCCAAACAACACAAAACAAAAATAATTTTCAAACTTGGGTAACTCCTTTAAGCTAATACATTTCCCTTGCAAGATAATTGCCATTTGCTAAGGCAGAGTTGGTCTAATATACCTTCAAGTCTACTTGTAGGCTGTTAGACACTGAGGCTCATGTTGCTGCATCCTGCCCCCACTGTCTGTCAGGAATTAAGGCTGCTGGGTGCACAGGAGCCTAATCAACAAATCCAAGTTGGGCACCAAATCTCTGATCAGAGTTTTTTCAAAAAGCATAATTTATTTCTGTTTATCTTAGACTTAACCTGGCTCTAAAAAAAATTTAAGTCAAATTGAAGCAGGAGGGGGAAGAAAAAGCTTGAGGTTCATCTAAGTTCCTTCAGTCTACAAATTCTATGGTTGATTTTATAGCTTAAAAATAACTGATGATCTTTCTCCTTTTATCTTTAAATTTTCCATACTGACATAGCTCTTTCAAAGGCTGGCCTCTCGAAATCTTTCAAAAAAATGGTAAAACTAAAACTCTTCTTGATGACTAACTTTCATAAAGTAGAAGGCAATCTCTGCTTTGCCTTGTACAGATCCTAAAGAACAGACACATGCAGGAGAGAGGCAGATAACTAGCATCTGGCTGCCAGGAAAATGGACTCATTGGGAAGTCCCTCTGACTTCTGAGACTCAATAAAAAATGCAACTCACTGTTGAATTTGAAAACCGCAGCCAGGTCATCCCCATGTTGTAATAAGGAAGTCTTTATATTCTGATGACCATGGTGTTAAGCCTTGTTTGTACTTAGGCTTCCTTGCAACACTTTGACATTTCATCTTATTAAATGGTTGGGCCACCTTTAACTTTATACCCACTTTCTCCCGACTGCAGTGTTTGATCATAGATTTATAGATCATTTAACACAGGCGACAGCTATTTCACCAACAGCCTTGCTGTCATTAAGCAGCAGCTACTGTCAAAAGTTCAGGAACAGGCCCAGCAGGATGATGAAAAGAATCAAGACACAGTGCCTACCCAACTGTCACAACAACAGGAAGAAGCATCTGGTGCCCAGAACAGCCAGCAGAAAGGGCACCAGCAATGGCGGGCCTGAGTCTGTAGGCCTTTTGGAGTAGCTGCCCCTACCTCCCAGCTCTATCTCAAGGGACAAGCCAAATAATCCCATAAACTCCACAGAACACAGATCAGAAAGTTCTTTTGTTAGAAGCAGCCCCATGGAATCATCAATCTCAGTATCAGAGGAGGTTTTCCTGAACATCGAGACAGCATTTCTTTGTGAATGTAGTCTTGAGGGAAAAAAAAAAAATGTTTATCTTGCCAAAAAAAAAAAAAGTTTATTTTAAAGACATACATCTTTGCTTCTTGGAATCCACATTCACAATGGAACTGGAAAAATCTCTTTTCTTACATATTCATTTGTTATCTTTTGTTACATATTCATTCATTCGTTTTCACCATTTCTTAACACAGCTATGTCTTTATCTCCAGCACTGTTTCCTATCATACTGATACTGTGAGGACTAAATTAGAGAATGCATGCAAAGTCTCTTGAATGGTACCCAGAACAAAATACACCTTTGGTAAATGGCACCAATTTTTTTTTTTTTTTTTTTTTGAGACGGAGTCTTGCTCTGTCGCCCAGGCTGGAGTGCAGTGGTGCAGTCTCGGCTCACTGCAACCCCCGCCTCCTGGGTTCACGCCATTCTCCTGCCTCAGCCTCCCGAGTAGCTGGGACTACAGGCACCTGCCACCACGCCCGGCTAATTTTTTGTATTTTTAGTAGAAACAGGGTTTCACCATGTTAGACAGGATGGTCTCGATCTCCGGACCTCGTGATCTGCCCGACTCGGCCTCCCAAAGTGCTGGGATTACAGGCGTGAGCCACCGTGCCCGGCCCTAGAAAGGATTCTTTCACAAAATGTTGTGGGTACTGATGACAGAAGGCCCCAGGCCAGCCCACAAAATGATTACCTTTTATGAATTTGAAACTGTGTAACCTTTCAGGAATAGATAGAAATACATCCTGCTTTAAATATATCATATTTTTAAAAATATCACTGAATGAAAAATAAATGTCATTGTTAGTATCACGTACCTTTAACGCTGATTCTTGAGTAAAGCAGTAAGTTAAATGAAATACAAAAGTGTGCCGTGAAAATTTTACAGTGAATACATTTAAGAATTTTGGGAGTACATAACTTTTTTTGTATTTTAATGATGAACAAGTATTCTTTTAGTCTCATGTATTTATTTTCCTTTGATACGAACTTTTGTATTTTTTGTCACAAAAAGAAAATGAGTAATTTAAGGATAATGAAGAGTAATATGTTGGTTACACATAGGAACCATGTCTTATTTGTTAATACCAGTTCTAGCATATATCTGGATATATGTGTGTACATGTCTGTACACATATATAATATATTATATGTAAAATCATTATAACATCTATACATGTTTGTATACATGTATACATATTATATAGGTGTGTATATATGTCACAGGTGAAAAAATAGATAAACACATGGGTAAATAGATGATAGAGATATATGGTATGGTAAGAATAAAGGCATGGTAAGAATGTACAGGTGTTGAAAGGAATGGAACAGATGGTTAAAGCAAATTACTTGCTGTGTCAACTGACTTCAAGTCTTTAGGTATTTGTTGTGGGAAATATACAATGCTACAAATGTTTCAAATGATTTATTTCAATGTTGTGTTCAATAATTTATTATCACAAAAGGGAAACTCCAAAGAGAATAACTTTATACAAGATTGGTATATTTCAAGAAGTATAAAGAGAAAATATAAATGCTCTAAGGAGGATAGTAAAACTTCAACTCATAGCAAAGTTTCATTTTTCACATACGTAGTTAACTTAACGTCTCTCTTTGGACTAATTTTATCTGAAGAAGTTGACATTTTAGCAGCTAAAGAGCTACGCAAATAGAAGGTGTCAATGAAAGCAGATCCTCTCTAAGTGATAGAATCAATATAGGTATGTTTCAAACTTTTTTCAACTTTGCAGGTCCTCTTTATGAACTGATGAGATTCTAAGGGATTTATAAGAGAGTAATATAAAAAAGAAAATGTTAATTTGTATATTTCATTGACAATTTTATTTTTTTTTTTTTCTGAGACAGAGTCTTACTCTGTTGCCCAAGCTGGAGTGCAGTGACACCAACATGGCTCACTGTAGCCTCAAACTTTCATGCTCAAGTGATCCTCCTACCTCAGTCTCCAGAGTAGCTGGGACCACAGGCATGCACCACCATGTCCAGTTATTCATTTATTTTTTTAGTACAGACAGGGTCTCATTATGTTGCCCAGCTTTGTCTCAAATTCGTGAGCTCAAGTGATGTACTCACCTTGGCCTCCCAAAGTGCTGGGATTAAAGGAATGAGCCACTGCACCGGGCAATAACTGAAATGTTCATTACTGCAATATAGGTTCACTGTGAAGGCAGATATGATGGTTGATTAGACTAGAATAAAAACAAAGGTATTTGATTTGCATGGACACTGGAATTATGACTGTGGCCTGATAAATTACCTTCATATTTTATAATAAAACATTTCTCTAGCAAAAGAAATACTTGTGTCTGCCTGAAATAAGTACCATAGAACAAATACTATATATCTGTTTTATTTGTCTACCACATTATAGAATCAGTGTATAAGTTACGGTAGGGTAGTTTCTAAAATGATAACGAACAAACCTAAAATCACAGTTGACTAATACAGTGGTCTTTTTCCCATTAATGCTACATGGCCACCTCTGCTTGGCAGAGGGTTCAGCTCATCAAAAAAAACTCACAGAACTAGTTTTATGGAGAGTTCATTAGCCATTCTTCTAGGATTGCAGAAACAGAAAAAAAAGGGGCTTCACAAAGCATTCACTTACTCTTAGACTCTGCTCTGAAACTGTATCACCTTCTACCTGGAGTAAACTGAACTGCAAACACTGAGGGCAAAGTCCGCAAGAGATGTCCTACTTCTGACACCAAGACACGCAAGTTTAAGGCGTTTCTGAAACCATCCTCAGTTTCAATAATTTGCTGGAAGTACTCAGAAAATTTGCTGAGAGCTAGTCTGCTCATAGTTATGGTACATTACAGGGAAAAGGATACCAAATAGGACCCACCAAAGGAAGAGTTGCATGGGGCAGAGTCAAAGAAGGTTCCAAACTTAAAGCTTCCATTGTCCTCAGGACACATTACCTTCCCAGCATCTATGAGTGACAATATGCATAGAGTATTGCCAACCCAAGAACCTCACCCAGACTTTGGTGTACAGAGTTTTTATTGGAACCTCACTGAACAGGCATGATTGATTAATTGTCCATGTGGTTAAACTGTTTCTAGCACCGCACCTCACTCCAAGAAGGTCAGTCTCACACCCCATGCATGGTCTGAGAGGCCTCTATCATGATTTACCTTGTTAGCATAAAATATTCTGTGGGGTTCAAGGGGCTCATCATAAATAATAAAGATACTTGAAATCACAGAGGAAATTGTAAATATTTAGACATTATTCCCTAGAAGCCAGGGAAACGGCCAGATATCTCTTTGGGCAAAGGCAAATTCTTTACTACGCATTTTCACTCACATTTTATTGGCAGGCTCATACTTGAGCTCAACATGGAAGAAAAATATAACTTTCTTACAGGAAGGGGATACATTTTGAATAGTAATAATGCAGACTATCACTTTAATAATATAACCATTTTTTAGTTAACGTCTTTTTTATTAGTAACATTTTGATATAACTTAATTTACAAGTCCTGTGGATGTAGTTTAATTGCTTTGATTACTGGACAATTCCAGATTTCTTCACTGCTGATATCTGTCCCATTGGTTTGAGTGGTATATTCTGCAAATGGATAACATCATATAGTATCCTTAATTATTACTTGTCTATTTTTATTATTACTATTTATTTTTAGGATTTCTAACTAAAATGCGCATCACCTTTTGCTCACTTAGTCCATCATTAATTTAATTAAGAAATATTTATTAATGATCATCCTAAAAGGTATTCTGAGCACAGGGCTTCAGCCATGAATAAGACAGACATAGCATTGATCTTCTTAGAATTTATGGTCTATCAACTTTAAATTCTCTGTGACAAAAAGACACGGATATGGCCAAATAATATTGAAGGGATGAAATAATTAGCAAATTAACATTGGCAACCATTATAATAATTTATTAAGGTAAACATTAATGAATGTTAAAACAATTGAGTAAAAATTAGATGTGAAGTAAGATATGTACATATCCTCAAAGTACATCTCCACAACATATTTGTTAATTACAAATGGAAAAATAATAATAATGGAAAAATATGACAGATACAACCTTAACCAAGTATGGTTAACATTATAAGTAATGTGATAAATAGCATCATGTGGCTTATGAGAGGATGCACTAAAGACCAACATCACTTCTTTCATATTGCTACCGACGTTTATAATTTGTGCCTAGCTATGAGAAAATATCAGACAAAACCAAATTGAGGGCATTCTTTACAATAAATAGCCTAATCCCCTAAAAAATGAAAAAGTTAAAATGTCAAAGAGAGATAGAGCCACATTTGGAAGAGCAGAAAAAGGACCTTCAAAAATATGCTCTTCCATAAAATAAATAAGATGAATGAAAAAAAAATGTGAAAGTAATATTTTAGAACTCTGTAAATTAAACAAAGGCTTGCAACAATATGCAGAGTTTTTATTTTAAAAAAGATAGATGAATCACAAACTGACATTTTAACTTGCCATATTCTCACCCTTCTATTTCCAATTTTTGGTAGCCTTAAATTCTTGCAATCACAACAGTCATGAAACTAGCAGTCTAAAAGCTACTGGAAGAGGCAGAATTGTTCCTCAAAAGCCCAGTTCAGAGAAGTGTCATTATTTAACCTGTGTGGCAGTTTCCCAGAACCCTCACTTGCAGAGCCTGCCTTTGCTTGAGCTGACTTAGAATTTGCTCACTGCAAACAACCTTTTTTTCCCAGCATTAAAAAACCAAACCAAAACAAAAAACAATCAACAAGCATTGTTAAACATTGTAGCTGCCAGAGGAGATAATAACAGTTGGGGCTATCAGAAAGTTGACACAGCACTTAAAAGAGAAAAAAATGTGGAATGAGATGTTCATAGGAGACTTTGAAAAACACCTGCATATTCCTGAGTATCTAGAAAGCTATGTGCATGTGCAAGCCTGTAGTTATGCCCAGGTAACACCTGAGAAGGTTCTAGTCTGAAGAAGATCAACTATATTGCAGATCTCATATTTTCCTCTTTCTTAGATTTCATTTTCATTTCCTAGAAATATTTTAATTTTTTAAAGAAAGAGTAGATGGGCCAGGCATGGTGGCTCAAACCTGTAATCCCAGCACTTTGGGTGGCCGAGGTGGGTGGATCACTTGAGCTCAGGATTGGAGACCAGCCTGAGTAACGTAGCGAAACCCCTTTTCTATAAAAAATACAAAAATTATCCAGGCATGGTGGTACACACCTGTAATCCCAGCTACTCAGGAGGCTAAGGTGGGAGGATCTGTTGAGCCTAGGAGATCAAGGCTGCAGTGAGCTGTGATCATGCCACTGCACTCCAGCCTGGGTGACAGAATGAGACTTGTCACACACACACAAAAAAAAATGTAGATGAGTGGTAAATTTCTGGGCCATGCCTATCTGGAAATTAAAAAAAAATGTCCTTTATTTCAGTGTATCCTCACTGGCATGCTGAAACTGGCTTACATCACCTCACAAATGCTAACTTTATTTAGCATTTCTTCCCAATTCTGTGAGCTCATGTTAGCAGTTTGACCAGAGTGAAAGTATTTACTCTGTGAAAATCATCAAATCACGTTGGCATTTTTCTTTCTTTCTTTCTTTCTTTTTTTTTAAGAGCTAATTGTTAAACTGTTACCAGGATACCACTCCACCTACCAACTTGGGTATAGAATTTTACATTCAAAATTACTTTCAGTATATACTTCAGAAGCCTCGGGAAATATTCTTCTATTGGTCACTTAAATTTTTTCTTTTCCCCTATACTTTTTCTTTTTTCTTTGGAATGCCTTTGAGTACAGTTTATTTATTTCATGGAATGTCAGCTCCATGAAGGCAAGGCCTCTCTCCTATTCACTACCTTAAAAAATCCGTGAGGATATTATGTGACACATAGTGGGTTCTGAGTGTATATTTGATTAATGGCTGTATCAAATGTTGTGGGAAACCTCCTAGATTAAGCCTCTTTACATATTACACAAGTGTTCAATCTCTTTAATGTTTTACTCTAAGATGAGGTTTTAAGTAAATTCTACTCTTTCTATTATTATTATTACTTTGCATTTAAAAATTAAATTGTATTTATTTATTACTCATTGGTAAAACATATGCTATAAAATTCAAAGGGCACAGAAGAGGATAGTGAAAAAAAGGTCATGCTCCTGTCCCTCAGCCATCCAGTTCCCCTCCCCAATCTCTTGTGTGTCCTTCAGACACATGCTATGCTTACATGAGCAGATACATACACATATTTAAATTTTCAATAAAAAATGGAGGCATAGTGTACTTTGTTCTTTGCTTGTTTTTTTTTAACAAAATTGATGTATTTTGAATACCAACCCTTATCAGTGCACAACAGAGTTGCCTCCTTTTTTAAAAAAAAAAAATATTTATTTCAATAGATTTTTGGAGAACAGGTGATGTTTGGTTACATGATTAAGTTCTTTGGTGGTGATTTCTCAGATTTTGGTGCACCCATCAGCTGAGCATTATATACGGTAGACAATGTGTAGTCTTTCAATCCTCAGCCCTCTCCCACACTTTCCCCTGAATCCCTATTTCCCCGGAGTGAGAATGTACACTGTTTGGTTTTCCATTCATGAGTAACTTCACTTAGAATAATGGTTTCCAATTTTATCCAGGTTGCTGTGAATGCCATTATTTTGTTTCTTTTTATGACTGAGTAGTATTCCATGGTGTGATAGATAGATAGATAGATAGATAGATAGATAGATAGATAGATAGATATACACACTGTAGGCACTATGGAATGTATATACACACACACACACACATACACATACATACATGTATATATACACATACATATATATACCACATTTTCTTTATCTATTTGTTGATTGATGGGCATTTGTGCTGGTTCCATATTTTTGCAGTTGTGAATTCTGATGCTATACAAATGCGTGTGGAAGTATCTTTTCTGTATAATGACTTATTTTCCTCTGGGTAGATGCCTAGTAGTGGGATTGCTGGATCAAATGGTAGATCTGCCTTTAGTTATTTAAGGAGTCTCTACACTATTTTCCATAGTTGTTGTACTAGTTTACATTTCCACCAACAGTGTAAAAGTTTTCCCTTTTCTCCACATCCATGCCAACATCTATTTATTTTTATTTTTTTGATTATCATTATTTCAGCAGTCAGTTCTGTTTCAGGAGCTATTTCTTATTCTCTGACTGCTCCTTTTTCACAGTAGTATGTTTTTGTATTATGATGCAATGTCATCTCAATTCCCCTTAAGAGCGCCTTTGGAATCCTTGTAGTGTCCCTTTTCCTTCTTTTAATTTTCTCTGCTTCATCTGATGTTAGTGTTTCCATTTCTTCACCTTAGTCCCTTTTTTTCCATACTGCTGGTTTTCCCTGGGTCTTATGATTCTTTCATAGTTGGTTTTTATTTATAAATAAATAACTCATTTGATTAATATAGGTAATTCTCATAGGTTTCTTTTGTTATCATTGGCCCTACATCTTATTTAAGAGGACTGAGCACAAAGTTTGTGTGTGGATAAAATGCATTAACAGAAATATTTAATTTTTTAAAATTTTATATTATTAATGTTTGTGTGTACATAGTAGGTATATGTATTTATGGGTTACATGAGGTATTCTGATACAAGCATGCAATGCCTAATAATCACATCAGAGTAAACCATCACCTCAAGCACTTATCTTTTGTGCTTGAGCATATACTCTTTTAGTTATTTTTAAATGTACAATTAAATTTCTTTGATTATAGTTACTTTGTTATGCTAACAACAATTCTTTCTTTTTTTTTGTATCCATAGGATCATTCATTGTACTTTAGCAGAAAAGAGACTTGCCCCATCTCACTCTATACTAAATATCAGTACTAAGATGTCTCACTCAAGAATCTACATTGTATTCTGGGATATATACATATTTAAAAATTAGCTATCCTTTCTTTATTGATAGGTTTCATTCCAGATGTTTTTGCAGAAACTCTGCAAAAACCTGGTCCTGTGGCATTTTTTGTCCTCTTCTTCTTATGGCTTTTACCTTGGAAATTTTAAAATATTTTTTTCACTCCTATACTTTTTTGTACTCATTTCAATGGGTCTTAATGAGAGAAGGTAGTTAAAATGTACACTCCACTCTCTGTCTTGAATCATAGCATTGGCTTGCATCTTAATACCTTCCTCAACAATAATTTACATTCTGGCTATTGGAAAGTTTTTTAACTTCAAGGAAATAGATCCCTAATATGATGTTAGACATTTGTGAGAAAGAGAATTTGCATTATCAAATTTGCAGCAAATAGTATTGTGTTTATATTCTGGAATGTATCTGTAAGTGGAAATAGCACATCTTATCTTAACTTAATAGCTTCTTGAGAAAATTGGGATGTAAGAGAATAGTTTGGCAGCAGTGGATCTCATACTTAAAGAAACCTACTTAATACCAATATTCTATATAGTTTACTTATACCTATGACACCGAGCTCTCACACTGAAAAATAAAGGAATAGGCACATTTTGAACATAGTATATTAGTCTTAACTATAGAAAAACAAAGCTGTTTCCTTTGGAAACATTTTAACTCATAGATTTTTAAGTAACTATAATTGCTTTGTGAGTTATGACAAGATAAAACTTAACTAAAATCTCTAAATTATATCTGCTTGTTTATTGTGATTAGACACAAGAAGGGGTTATTGGCTGTTAAAATTCTTTATTGGCCCTTCTTCTAGAGTTCCTGGAACTTTTCTTCTATTAATAAATACTCTTAGCTCCAATGTAACTATGACAAATGATCATTGGCATATCTGTCTGTTTCCAGTAATTGAACAGGCAGTTTATAACTCCACATACTATAGATTGGTTGTGCGATAACAATCTAATTATATTAATACCATTCATTTATATTACCATCTTTTGATTGTGATGACTTCTTGGCTTCTGGCAAATATGTAAGCAATTACTTAATCCACACAGTACAAATACAATACTCTTCTAGATTGCTGCCACAATCAACATGTTCAGAACATAAGGAATTTTAAATCTGTCTTCAAGAGAACTGAATTTCTAAAGCTTTGATTCCAAAAAAGTGGTTATTTGGATCACACTACTAAAGTGATCAATCTGAACCAGTTACCATTATTGAGTTCAGAGTCTGTTTTTCACTTACAAAATGAAGAGATTATATTAAATATTATTTTGTGTACCTTTTAGCTTTAAAATTCTATGACTAGGATTCAAAGATGGTAACACATACAATAATAATATCCTTATATATTAACACATAATGTGCAAACACAAGAATATTTAAATTTGAATATTTAAATTTGGCCTTACATGAGTTTAAAATTGAGAAAACACTTATTGCTAAACTTTTACTCTTGAAAACTGTTAAATTGATATATAAATATAAAACTTTCTTAAAATCTTTCTTCAATTTTGGCAAAAATTTGATTATTTTTCAATATATTACTATGTAGCATATTATATGCCAGAAAATGATTAATAAAACTTGAAATCAGCTAGTAATTTCATTAAGTTAAGTGAAATGGGAAATCAGTGGCACAAAAGGTGAAAAGTAAATGCCTCTTTCATGTTCTCATTTAACTCATAAATAATGCAATTAGAGCTTTGTCTTAAATGTTTATTGAGACCATGCTCTTTCATTGAGAACTTTCAGACTTTGCTGTCCTAGTGCTTAAATGTACAATTTCATTAATATAGTTTTGGCATGAGTAATAAAATATAAATGTTTTACAGAATCCAAGCTCTAAGAAGGAACTGTGAAACTGTTCCTGTGTTTCTTAAAGTATTTCCCTCCAAATTAATTTAAATTGGCTCTGGAATGAGCACTGAAAATTTGCTTAAGGACCATAAGAGAAAGGTAATTATAAATGGCAGAGCATCTGACTTAGGGGAGCTATCTGGTGGGGTGCTTGGTGTTCATCCAAGTTTTCTCTAACAACTTTATTAATTATCTGGAAGAAGAAATAAACAGCATGCTAATTAAATTTGCAGCTGATAATAATTGGGAAATGTTGCCAACTCCAATGCAAAAAAAAAGAGAGAGAGACAGGGAGAAAGAAATGAAATAATGTAGGATGGGGTTGATCTTGATATATGGTCAGAAATATTTAAAAAACAAGAATGAAATGACAAATATAATAGAGAAAAAGAATAGAATGAAGAATCTTAATCATAAATCCATGAAAATAATACATTAACACTTTTAAAGATTTATAATATAGATAGTACTTAAAAATAAATATTGTAATCTTGAATGGGGTAGAAAATGCACATGGCCATCTGTAATGCTTGCATATGTAAAATCAGTAAATTTTGCACATGAGGGAAACCCTATCACAGAAGACAAATGAAATTTTAGTGGCTGAGATTTGGAGAAATCAATATAATGATAAGTGTAAGAGTGTTGTTTATTCAAGGGAGTCTGCTTTCTACTACCTAATCTCCATTTGAACACTTTGTCATCAACCTATACATAGTCTTTACCTATTCTTGAAGGCAAGCAATACAAATTTTTTAGGATCCAAAATTATTTGCTATTTGATGAACAATTGTATAATATGACATTTATCAAGCATACTGTCAAGGTTCTTTGTTCACAGAATAGTTTCTAGCAGATATTTCAGCTTAAATAGCCAGAAAATACAACAGAAAATTACAAGAATAGCAGGTAAATAGAAACCTACAAGGACAGGTTTCAGTCAAGTTGCAGTTTTTTCTTTCCTTACTTTTCATAATGTATTAGTCTAGTCATGATATACATATTACAGGAAGATTTCATAAATTAAACTCCTATAGTGTGTTAAAAATGGATCCTTTACACTCCTTATCACATTACATTTCAAGCATTTATTTGTCTCCACTATATGGTGAGATCCTTAAGGATAGAAATTGTGTCTTAAACATTTTTGCAATCTTCAGCCTCTAGAGCCATGCGTTGTATCTAGTAAATGCTCAGGTAAAGTTAACTGAATACATACTGCATGGTGATTTGGAAACCTCTGTTGATTGCTTATAAGCTCTGTTACATTAAGCTGATAGTTACCTCTTTGAGCCTCAGTCTTCTTATTCTTAAAAATTGAGAAAATATTGTATTTTACATGGATTTAGAAAAATCTGAATATAAAACATACGGCCTAGCCCATAAAATCCTATTTCCCCTCCCTTTTCTTTTCTTTCTGTAAATGAATTTCAACAAAAACAATCTAGGTGGAGATTTTTGCTCCCTAAATTAAATTGGTTCAATAAAAATTTATTTCAAATATTTATAAATATCAGTACTTTAAAAGAATAAATGCATCTAAGAAAATTGGTCTTACTCATATTAGATATAGTGGCCCTGTGTTTTTTAACATTAAGCTTTGTCTTGAAACTTGCAGTTTTCTTTTCAAATTGTATCCAAATTCTGTGTTCAACTTTATATGCGTTGTTAAGTAGGTGTTAAGTGACTTATCTTGACTTCTCATAATGATAATATGTGAAAAGATCTTCTGATTTATGTATTTGGGAATTTTAAGACAATTATTACTTAGAACACTATATGACCACTCCATAAAAATACACATCACCATAAAATAACTGCATATGGAGTATTTAATCCTGAACTCCTGAAGATGAAAAGTGAAAGTAGTTACAATAATCATTATTTTCAATTTTATGTAGTTAAGTGGTTTTACACAAAAAAATTAGCCTTCCAAATGACATAGTTATAATGCGTTAATGGTAGCATAACGTGTTATTACATTATGCAACATAATTTCATGGGTATTATGTATGGCATTTTAGAAACTCATGTACTTACAGTTATTAGAAGATACTCAATTTTTTTCAGACCATATTCTTAACCCTATTACTTAATGTAATCCTTGAGTGGTTTCTCTGCCTTTTGATAAGAGTTCTTTGTATGGATTGCATAACTTATTTTTTAACAGTATAACTTATGCTCCCCAATTTCTGCATTATCATCTTTTTGCCTTATTCTTATTTTCAACTAAATATTAAGAATATTGTCTTAAAAGGATCCCAAAGTCAAGAAGTAGTTATGGCCCAATGTATCTATTTTTTTATAAAGGCTTTGTTTTAAAAGTTGGCCACTTATATAATAAATATTAATACATTTCAATGGAATTAGATAGTTCTTTTATCTTTGTTAGCACCAAAAGTAGTTCTTTATTCCCTATAATTCATTCAATTATGTAACAGAAAATGATCATTTCTCAGGCTGGGCACGGTGGCTCACGCCTGTAATCCAAGCACTTTGGGAGGCCGAGGTGGGCAGATCACGAGGTCAAGAGAACGAGACCATCCTGGCCAACATGGTGAAACCCCGTCTCTACTAAAAATACAAAAATTAGCTGGGCATAGTGGTGCATGCCTATAATCCCAGCCACTTGGGAGGCTGAGGCAGGAGAATCTCTTGAACCTGGGAGGCAGATGTTGTCGTGAGCCAAGATCGTGCCACTGCACTCCAGCCTGGCGACAGAGACTCCATCTCAAAAAAAGAAAAGTATCATTTCTCAAGTGCTCAAGAGATAAATTTACATTCAGATAAGTTTACCACTCGCTGATTTTTGAGAGACTGTGCACAAAGTATTTACATATACAGACCTTTTCTTCAAACAGATCTGGATTCAAATCTCGTATTTGACTCTAAATTCCTGTGTGAATTTAGGCAAGTTAATCTCTTCTAGACTCACTTTATCTGTAAAAGAAACTTTGTATTTATCACTCAAACCTACTTTTTAAAAGAATCCATTGAAATAAGGTAGCTAAAATGTCTAGCACATGGTAGTTGCTTAGGATACGGTATAAGATAATATTATTCTAATTAATAACTTGGTAGTACTAACAAGGTAAACAGAGAGTTCATAGTCTTATGAAGTTGGAGCTAAGAGGATCACATAATCAGGTAATATTAAAGTCTGCTTTTAAGGACTGCCATCTAGTACTCACATAAATGAAAAACTGAAAACACAGATTAAATATTATTATCAACTTCAATGTAAGTCAGCGAAATAATTATTGTAATCAGTATATAAGCAAAGACTGTGGCTATTTGGAAGAAAGGAATTGAATGATTATGGTTGAGGAGGTAAAAAAAGGTTTATATGTTTGAATTTGGAGAATAAGCAGGAATTTAGCAATTTGAGAAGACTGAGGAGGTATTTCAAAGCAAAGAGAAAACTAAAAAAAGTCATGAAGGCGCTAAAATTATCTAACGTTTGCAAAGTGAAATTTTTCAGTATTCTATGAATGAGAAGTGTAGGGTTCAGGAAATAGTGAGAACAAAGAATGGTGGAGAAGTACATTGGTTGACATTGATGCATGATAAAATATATGTGACATTGTTTTCTGCAGAAAATGGGGAAATATGTGATGATCAAAACCATTCAAAAATGATTTAAAAATACATTTCTGTGTTTGCATGTGTAAATGGTATGTTCGTCTGTAAAGTTGTGGTAAAGTTTTAGATTCTATTCCCAAGAGCCCAGAGCCTGGCCTTGAGCATCTTACTCTCTATTAAGACATTGATTGCAATAAATGAAGGACCTATGAAAGGTGGTCTGACAGTGGCCAACGTGTTTGGAATGATAAGTTAGAAGGCAGAAGGTGGTCTGGACAACTGGGATAAGATAGTACTTCCAAGCCAAACAAGGGATTCATTTTTCAGTGGCCACAGAAAAAGGATTAGTGTTGCTCCTGGCTTCAGTATTCTCTGTTATCCAGTAGTCCTTAATACCAGAATGCCATTTTCACCTGAGTTGTTTCTTTTCATCCTCTCCTTCAGGCCACTCTGCATTTTGTGCTACTCCTTTCCTTTCATGTTTTTCCTTGGAAATGGAAAGAAAACGCCTGAAATAGAGGGTGACTCAAGTAACAATCTTAAGTAATCAACTCAGGGTATTGAATCAATTTGAGCTTTAAATTAGAGTCCCATAGTTTGCTTCTTACTTGGTGGGCATGAGGCCTCAGTTTCCTCATCTCTATAATGGGGGCATTAATACTTCCCTTATAGGGTTTCTTTGGGAATTAAGTTAAATAATACATGCAAAGAACCAAGCATAATTCCTAGCATATAGTATGTATTCAATACTATTAACGTTTATTATCATCTTAGTGGTAAAAGCACTAGACTAGGCATTGGAAGGCCTGGTTTCTTCTGTCTTTGCTACTTACTAACTGAATAAATTGGGGCAAGACATTTAACACCTCTGATTCTCAGATCTAAGTCTATTAACATCTCTGATACCTCACAAATATGTTGTGAAGAGCAAATAAATGGTTCATAGGACTGTTCAGATGTTCAATGTCATTTGAACCACAGAAAGTTTTATAAAAGGAATACATTGTTTTCATCAAAATAGCTGTTAATAATAGTAAAACCCAGCAGCCAAGCTTATTCGGAGGGTCACAGATTAAGGTCTGGTTGTTACAGAGCTAGTGACCCTGAGCCAGCAGATGTCAGCACACCAAGAAGAATATTAAGCTCTTTATATTGTGAAGCTTGCAAATTATCAGGTTTTGCCCACTTTGATTCCAACAATCTCAACTTCAGTAACCATATAATCCAAATATCTGAAGACAGCAAAACCAGAGAGATGTCTTAACTTTGTGAACAAAGCAGTAATGGTCTTGCCTAAACAGCTATCATTCCTCAGCAAGAATTATCTTCACCCTTACTCAGTATGGCTTAAGGGTATAGTCTTTGTGTCTCTTGTCTGAGTCTAATGCCGTACAATGAAAAGAGTGGGCCTACTTACGTCAGAATCCCAGCTAACCTTCCTGCCATAATTTTTTTTTTTTAAGTTAAGGATCAGTTTCCAGAATTAGTGGGTTAAATGTAAGCCAGTCTTTGGCCAGAACGCCATTTTTTTTTTCCTGGCCCTCATAAACCTCTAAAAAGAGGACCATGATGAAGCTTTGGGTTTCCGGCTACTAACATCAACTTGAACACTGTGTTAAATAGTCCTCAGAATTCACTAGTATTCTGCTTTCCCAGATGGAGCTTCTTTTGTAAAAGGACTAAATTATTGCAATACATACTTGCCATAGTGTTGTAATATCTTACCTCCCAGATACTTGGCCACTTCTTCAGTCAGTAGGTTCAGATATGAATGGATCTTCAGTTCAGTTCTTGGATTAGAGCAAAAGTATGGTGACTGCCCTCAGCCTCTTTCTTGTCAATTCGTGTCTTTCTGTCTTTTTCTAGTTGTTGATAGGAAGAAGGATTCTCATTGTTAACCTGTTTATTTTTCCCCTAGTAATTTCATGCACTATTAACCACCTCCACAACTCCTATGTGTCAAACTCACTTGGCTGCTCCTCCAACCTTCCCAGTTGTTACAACAACTGAGATCCCAGCTTTTGAAGGTTAAGTACCACAACCTGGCCTGTTGTACCTCAGGGCACCGTTATCCTTATGGAGGTTAATGAACCCAGCTCTGTGATTGCCTCTGCTTCCAATAGCCTTGTCCTATAGAGAGACCCAACACTGAACTTCCATTCCAACCAGTGTATTTCTGATGGCCTTGATAAAGGTATGTCCTCCAGGTCCTGCTGTGGAATATAATCCTCTGATGAATCTTCCATTCAAACTTGTCTAGTTCCTTCAGTCATATACCACCATTCAGGGTAACTCAAGTATTTCCAGTTCACTCAGAATGGGTTATCACTTTCTTCCAACTTCTAAGAGCCATTCAAACAACAAACGTGCCATATCTCCTCAGGTTTTCTCTTTCATCACGAAAGTCCTCCCAAGTCCATGATACTTTGCTTTTGCAATATTACATTGTAGCATCCTTGATCAAGTTCCCTTAAAATCTGCCTCCAGGGTATCGCCCTAACTACTGCCAATACATGTTTGCTAACTCACATAGCAACTTCTGGTTGTAACCCCTTTCCTTCCTCATCAAGACCAGCAGGTGCACAATTGATTACATTGAGGTTTAACCTGGCAGATGGCAGACAAGTGGGGAGGTTTAGTAATTCCTTAGTAGCGGCGCCTCTTGCCTTTTGGGTGAGAGGTTTCTGCATATTCTTCCAGCATGGGGAAAATTCTGGCTCTCACTCCAGAGAATTGGGTCACTTAGAGACAACTTTAAGAATTCAAAGGTTTTGCAGAACAAAAATCTCGAGAGCATTCCCTCAGATGTTTCCATTTCACATTGTAGGATCTCGGGTTTTCCTAACCAAGGCTCTTACTTTAGCAAAACAGACTCACCTTGACTGTGTATTTAAATATCTCTGGAGCTCTACTACCCTATCAGATCCTGAGTTTCATCCTCAGCTTTGTCTGCTTTACCGTTGTTGGAAATAAAGGTGTCTTTATATGCCACCATATTTACCTTGTAGGCCTCACTTCTTAGCTTTTAAATATTAGCCCTTAATTTCGCATGATCCCTATGGGCATCAATATAACTTAGTAATATTTGGCCAATTCCATTGTCCTTGTAAGCTTTATTTATCACTTATTTTCTAAAAGTTTGAATTATTGTACCAATAAGGATTTCCCCTCCACTGGGACATTCTCCCAGGTCACCAGTAGGAAATATTCAGGTATTGGGTCACCACTTTGTGCCAGGGACAATTTGTTTTCCCAACATACCACCTGTTTTCTTAAACTAATCCCCACTTACCTTTGTCAGCTCAGGTTATCTGAGATGCAGACAAGATGGTAGTTGATATGCAAGAGACTTACTGGGGGAAAAGCTTATGAAGGATAAAGGGAAACGAAAGAAAAGTAAGGAGAGCTTTCAGAAGTAGGTCTGATACCTGAGAAAGGAGAGAGGAAAAGAATGAATGGTTAGAAAGAGCCTCAAACTACAGTGCAGTTCTGGGACTGTTATTGCCAGGTTACTGAGGAACAGGGAGTAAAAGTTATCCACTAGAAAAATCTTTTTTCCTGAAATATTATAGTTTATTTTTTGATCTATACGATTTGTGCATTTGAGTTACATATAAAATTTTCCTACCTGCCTAGAATGTGTAGTGATCCCAAGTTAGTGCATATAAGCTGTCCATCACTCAAGTTATTTATCGTTCTATATGTTGGGTACATTCCAATACAGCTATTTGAAATATACAATACATTGTTGCCAGCCATACTCACCCTACTCTGCTATTAGACATTATAACTTATTTTTTCTATTTAACTGTATGTTTGTACACATTAACTAACCTCTCTTCCTCCCCATCCCTGTCCTCCAACACTCTCCCTTCCCAGCCTCTGGTATCTATCATTCCATTCTACATCCATGGGCTCAACTATTTTAGCTTCCACATACGCCACATATGAGTGAGAACATGCAATGAAAAAATTTTTTCAGAGAGCAGACATGGCTTTGTTCTGGTAACCCTGATATACTGAATCATTGGCAAGGAGCAGCCTTGCAGAACCATTCCTGGTCTGAACATCATGATACATTCAAAAGTAATCTCTAGTAGTGCTTAGAGGCTTTGAGACTATTATTACCTATTGAGCAGTTTATCCTATTTTTTTTTCCTATCCCCAGCCTTTGGCAACCACCAATCCACTTTCTGTTTCAATAGACTTACCATATTTTGTATAAATGAAATCACACAGTATGTGACCTTTTGTGTATGATTTCCTTCAGTTAGCATAATGTTTTCAAGGTTCATCTACATTGTAGCATGGGTCAGCATCACTTTCCTTTTAATGGCTGAATAATATTCATTTTTATTCCATTCCATATTCATATTATAATTATGAATATGAACAATAAATATTATTCCATAATTTGTTTATCTCTGTATGCATTGATGGGCATTTGGGTTTTTGTACTTTTTAACTATTGGGAACAATGCTATTATGAATATTTGTATACAAGTTTTTTTTGAGACTTTACTTATTCTGGTTATGTACATAGAAGCAGAGTTGCTGATTCATATGGTAATTCTATGTTTAACTTTTTTTTTTTTTTTTTGAGATGGACTATCGCTCCATTACCCAGGCTGGAGTGCAATGGCGTAATCTCAGCTCACTGCAACCTCTGCCTCCTGGGTTCAACTGATTCTCCTGTCTCAGCCTCCAGAGTAGCTGGGATTAGAGGCATCCACCACCACACCTGGCTAATTTTTGTATTTTTAGTAGAGAAGGGATTTACCATGTTGGTCAGGCTGGTCTCAAACTCCTGATGTCAGGTGAGCTGCCTTGGCCTCCCAAAGTGCTGGGATTACAGGTATGAGCCACCACGCCCAGCCATATGTGTAACTTTTTGAGGAACTGTCAAAATGTTTTCTACAGTAGTTGTACCATTTTATATTTTCACCAGTGATGTAAAAAAGTTTCTGTATCTCTACACCCTCACTGACATTTGTTATTTTCTGTTTATTATTATTATTGCCATATCAGTGGCTATAATGTAATACTTCCTTTTATTTGTATTTTTCTAGTTATTAATAACGTTATGCATCTTTTTGTGTACTTGTTGGCCGTTTTCGTATCTTTTTTAGAGAAGTATCTGAGTCCTTTACCTATTTATTAATGGGGTGTCTTTTACTGTTGAGTTGTAAGAGTTTTTCATATATATTGGATACTATTACCTTATTAGAGATATGATTTCCAAGTATTTTCTCCCATTCTATGGGTTGTGTTTTCACTTTCTTGATAATATTTTTTGATGTACCGAAGTTTTAAATTTTGATGAATACTAATTAATTTTTTGTTGTTGCTCATGTTTTTGGTGTCATATCTAAGAATCCATTACCAAATCCAAGTTTATAAAGATTTACACCTGTGTTTTCTTCTAAAAATTCTACAGTTTTAGCTCTTGCATTTAGGTCTCTAGTACATTCTGAATTAGCTTTTGTATACGGTGTAAGGTGGGGCTCTAACTTCATTCTTTTACATGTGAATATCTGGTTGGCCCTGAACCATTCATTGAAGAGACCATTCTTACCTGCACTGAATGGTCTTGGAACCCTTATAGAAAGTTAATTGTACATAGATGTATGGGTTCAATTTCTGGGCATGTTTAATTTCTTACTTTAGTAATTTGAATCATTTCTTTGCTGATCTTTTCAAAGAAGCAACTTCTTTTCAAAGAAGTTCTCAATTGTATTCCATTTGTTTATATGTCTGTATTCTAGTACCAGAATATTGTGATTACTGTAGTTTTTAAGTAATTTTTGAAATGAAAAAGTATGAGTCCTCCATTTTACTCAAGATTGTTTTAGCATTTCAGGGCCCTTTTTAATTCCACATAAATTTGAGGACTGGCATTTGCATTTCTGCAGAATAGGCTGTTGGAATTTTGATTGGGATTGCATTGAATCTGTAGTTTGTTTTGAGTAGTATTGCCATCTTAAAAATTTTAAGCCTTCTATGATAATATGTCATTCCATTTATTAAGGAATTCCTTATTTTCAATAAAATTTTTCTGTTTTAAGTAAGTTTTCAGTGTGTAGGTCTTGTATTTCTTTTGATAAATTTATTTCTAAGTATTTTCTTGTTTTACTTTCTCTTGTAAGTGGAATTGTTTAGTTAATTTTATTTTCAGATTGTTCATTGCTGGTGTAGGGCTTTCTATGTACAAAATCTTGTCATTTGTGAAGGGAGATAGTATTATTTATTGCTTTCTGTATTAGTTTGTTCTCACACTGCTATAAAGAACTACCTGAGACTGGGTAATTTATGAAGAAAAGAGGTTTAACTGACACACGGTTCCACAGGCTCTACAGGAAGCATGGCTGAGAGGCCTCAGGAAACTTAGAATCATAGCAGAAGATGAAGGGAAAGCAAGCTCGTCTTACCACAGTGAAGCAAGAGAGACAGAAAGAGAAGGGGGAGGTGCCACACACTTTTAAACCATCAGATTTCATGAGAACTCACTCACTATTACAAGAATAGCAATGGGAAGTGCACCCCCAAGATTCAATCACCTTCCACCAGGCCCCTCCTCTAACACGAGGGGATTACAATTTGAGATGAGATTTGGGTGGGGACACAGAGACAAACCATATCACTTTCCAATGTAAATGCCCTTTTATTCAGTTTTCTGGCCTAAGTGCCCTCGGTGGAATCTACAGCACAATGTTGAGTAGCAGTGGTGGGAGTGGACATTCTTATTTTTAGAGTTAAACATTAGTTGTCATGCTGTTTGGATGAACACAATTTTTACCTTTACATAAAATACTAATTACCTGCACATAAATTCTGTTATCAGAAGTCAAAAAACCAAGGTAAAGAAAATGGCCTTGGACTGGTTTCATACACTAGGATATTTAGTCAGCCATCCCACAATTATTTACTGTAATATCTAACTTTCAATGTAATAGGCATCTCTATACAACTGTCTAAGTTCTCAGGCAGCAAGCAGAAGTGTCTTATTCATTTTCTTAACCTTAACACCTGGCAGACCAGTACATAGAAAGTAGTTAATAGTATAATTTAACTGTGTTCTACACAATGTTGAGTAATATAGGAAATATAAAAGAAAATAAGTGAGATGGCCAGGTATGCTACAGATTATCTTTGGATATAATAAAAACTTTATGGGAGAGAAAGATAATTATAAATTATTTTCCTCTGGTAAGATTTTGTAGAAGAGGGAACTTAACCTGTGTCTCAATGGTGAGTAGAATTAGTCATGAGGGATGAGACTGGGGAAATTATTCAGAGAAAAGCTGTTACGCCAGTCAGGGTCATATATTTGGAATTGGTTGAGGGGAGCAATGGAAGATGAGTTCAAACTGACTAGGAGGTAAATTCTGTGTTAGAAAATAAGAAGAAATATTTTTTAGACAAAAATTTTAACAGCTTCTAAAGTTTTTTCCATATTAAATAGAGGATTCATTTTCTGCTGTATGAGACTGCATGGAATCCCATAAAATTTGGGATTTATTCTGGTTTGATGTTTGTTGTTTCTCTGTGGAAGTATGTGTGCAATCTGGGGAGGTATTGTAGCATAGTTAGTGTCTCTTCAAAATTTATATCATTTTATACTTTTTATTTTTTATTTTATTATCTCACATGCTTCTCATTTGTTTGTGGTGGGAATACTTAAAATTTGTAACTTATTAATAATTTTCAAGTAGGTAAAACATTGTTATTAACTATAGTCACCATGTTATATAATAGCTGTCTTAAGCTTTTTCCTCCTAACTAAAATTTTGTATCCTATTCTGTCCCATTGGTCTATGTGTCTGTTTTTATGCCACTAGCATGCTGCCTTGATTACTATAGCTTGAAGATATATTTTGAAATCAGGTAGTGCGATGCCTCCAGCTTTGTGTTTCTCTGTTTGTTTTTGCTCAAGATTATGTTGGCTATTTGGGGTTTTTTGTGGTTCCATAAGAATTTTAGAGTTGTTTTTCCTATTTCTATAAAAAGTGGCATTGAAATTTCATTTTGATAAAAATTGCATTGATTCTGGAAGTTGTTTTGTATAGTATGGGCATTTAAAAATTATTTATTCTTCCAATCCATCAATGTGGGATATCTTTTCACTCACTTGTGTTTTATAGTTTTCAGTGTACAAGTCTGTCACCTTCTTGCTTGCGTTTATTCCTATGAATTTTTTGTAGCTGTTATAAACAGGATTGTTTTCTTGATTTCTTTTTCAAATAGTTTGCTGTTAGTGTACAAAAATACTTCTGATTTTTTAATGTTTATTTTGCATTATTAGCCATACTGAATGTGTTTATTAATTCTAACAGTTTTTTGGTAGAGCTCTTAGAATTTTCTATATATAAGATTATGTCATCTGCAAACAGAGACAATTTCACTTCTTTTCCTACTTGGATGCCTTTTATTGTTTTCTCTTGCCTAATTGCCATGGGTAGGACTTCTAGTACTATGTTAAACAGAAGTTGTGAGAGTAGACATCCTTATCTTGTTTCTGTTCTTAGAGGAAAAGCTTTCAACTTCTCAACATTGAGTATGATGTTAGTTGTGGGATTGTCACATATGACCTTTATTATGTTGAGGTTCATGTTTTCCATATCTAATTTGTTGAGAGTTTTTATCATAAAATAATGTTGAATTTTGTCAAATGCTTCTTTAGCATCTATTGAGATGCTCATATGGTTTTTGTCCTTCATTCTGTTAATGTGGTGTATCACATTTGATTTGCATATATTGAACCATGCTTGTATCCCAAGGATAAATCCTACTTTATCATGGTAAATGGCCATTTTAATGTGCTGTGAATTCAGTTTTCCAGTATTTTGTTGAGGATTTTTGCATCTATATTCATCAGGGTTATTTGCCTCTAATTTTATGTTCTTGTCATGTCTTGTCTAGCTGTATCAAGATAATGCTGGCCTTGCAAAATGAGTATGGAAGTATTCCCTCTTCAGTGTCTTGGAAGAATTTGAGAAGGACTGTTATTATTATTTTTTTATTTTTTTGGGAACATATACATGTAGGGGCAAAAACAATAATCCTATTATTTACTTCACCCTCATCTAATGCCTCTTAGTAATAAGCATGCTTTTTTTATTATTATTATTATTATTAGACTTTAAATTCTGGGATACATGTGCAGAACGTGCAGGTTTGCTATATAGGTATACACATGCAATGGTGGTTTGCTGCACCTATCAACCCATCATCTACATTAGGTATTTGTCCTCATGTTTTCCCTCCTGTAGCCCCCCGACCCCCTGACAGGCCCCAGTGTGTGATGTTTCCCCCCATGTGGCCATGTGTTCTCACTGTTCAACTCCCACTTGCAAGTGAGAACATGTGGTGTTTGGTTTTCTGTTCCTGTGTTAGTTTGCTGAGAATGATGTTCTCCAGCTTCATCCATGTCCCTGCAAAGGACATGAACTCATCCTTTTTATGGCTGCATAGTATTCCATGGTATATGTGCTACATTTTTTTAATCCAGTCTATTATTGGTGGGCAATTGGGTTGGTTCCAGGTCTTTGCTATTGTGAATAGTGCTACAATAAACATACATGTGCAGTGTCTTTATAGTAGAATGATTTATAATCCTTTGGGTTTATGCAGCCAACAAACATATGAAGAAAAGCTCATCATCACTGGTCATTAGAGAAATGCAAATCAAAACCACAATGAGATACCATTTCATGACAGTTAGAATGGTGATCATTGAAAAGTAGGAAACAACAGATGCTGGAGAGGATGTGGAGAAACAGGGACACTTTTACACTATTAGTGGGAGTGTAAATTAGTTCAACCATTGTGGAAGACAGTGTGGCAATTCTTCAAGGATCTAGAACCAGAAATACCATTTGACCCAGCAATCCCATTACTGGGTATATACCCAAAGGATGGTATTATTTTTTAAAAAAAATGTTTGATACAATTCAGCAGTGAAGCCATCAGCTCCTAAGCTTTTGTTTGGTGGGAGACTGTTTATTATTAACTCGATTTCTTACTCATGATTGGTCTGGTCAGATTTTCTATTTCTTCATGATTTATTCTTGATAGGCTGTACGTTTCTAGGAATTTACCTATTTCTTCTACATTAGCCAGTTTGATGGTGTGTAATGGTTCATAGTAGCCTCTTAGGTTCTTTTATGTTTCTATGGTATCCATTGTAATATCTCCTCTTTCATTTCTGATTTTATTAATTTGATTTTTTTCTTATAAATGTTTATTTTATCTTTTCAAAAAATCAATTGCCTTATCATTATTTTCTGTTGTATTTATAATTTCTATTTCATTTATTTCTACTTTGATTTTTATTTTTTCCTTTCTTGAACTTACTTTCATCTTAGTTTGTTCTTCTTTTCCTAATTCCTTGTGATGTGATGTCAGGTTGTTTGAGGTCTTTCTTCTTTTCTGATGTAGACATTTATTGTTATAAACTTCCCTCTTAGATCTGCTATTGCTGCAGTCCATAAGATTTGGTATGTTGCGTTTACATTTTCATTTGTCTCAAGAGATTTTCTTATTTCTCTTTTGACTTTTCTTTGACTCATTGGCTGTTTAGGAGCATGTTGTTTAATTTCCATATATTTGTGAATTTGTAGAAATTCCTCCCATTATTAATTTCAGTTATATACCATTGGGATCATATGTACACTTACTATGACTTAAATCTTCTTACATTTTTAAAGAATTGTATTGTGGCCTAATATATTATTTATCCTGGAAAATTTCCTGCTGAGCTTGAAATGATTGTGTGTTCTCCTTCTGTTAGGTGAAATGTTCTATATGGGTTTAATAGGTCCATTTGGTCTAAAGTGTACTTCAAGTTCATTGTTTCCATATTGATTTTCTGTCTGGATGTCTATTATTGAAAAAGGAGTACTAAAGTCTCTTACTATTATTGTATTGTAATCTATTCCTTCCTTTATATTTATTAATATTTGTTTTATATATTTAGGTGCTTTAAGTTTGGGAGCATATATGTTTACAATCATTATATCCACTTAATGAATTGGCTCCTTTGTCATTATATAATTGCCTACTTTGTCTTATTTTACAGGTTTTGATTTAAAATATATTTTGTCTAGTGTAAGTATAGCCAAATCTTCTGTTTCTCGGTTTCCATTTGCATTGAATATCTTTTTTCATCCCTTTACTTTTAATCTATGTGTGTCCTTAATGGTGAATTAAGTCTCTTGTAGGCAGCATATATTTAGGTCCTATTTTTTATTGTATCCAATCAACTATTCTATGTCTTTTGATTAGGAAATTTAATTCATTTGCATTCAGTATAATTATTGATAGATAAACCCTTGTGAATTCCATATTGTTCACTGTCTTCTGGTTGTTTTGCAGATCTTTTATTTTTTTCCTCTCTTGCTCTTATTTTTGCCATTAGATGATTTTCTGTAGTAGAATGTGCTGATCCCTCTCTTTTTATCTTTTGTATATCTACTATAGGTTTTGGCTTTGTTGTTACCATGAGGATTACATAAAAATCTTACAGCAGGCTATTTTAAGCTGATAACAGTTTAACTTCAATCATATATAAAAATTATATACTTTATTCTTACAATAAAGTAAGCTAGAAAAAAAGTTACGAAAATCATAATTAAGGTAAAATATGTTTACTATTTATTAAGTGAAAGTGGATCATCATAAAGATCTTGATTCTCATTGTTTTCACATTGAGTAGGCTCAGAGGAGGAGGAAAAAGGAAGGGTTGGCCTTACATTCTTGCAGAGGTGGAAGAAATTGGGTGTATAAATGGATTATTGCAGTCCAAACCCATGTTGTTCAGAGTCAACTGTATTCTGAATTTGACAATGTACTTAATTTTACCAGTAAGTTTTATGCTTTCATATCTTTTCATGTTACTAATTAGTATTGTTTTTCTGTAAGCTTGAAGGATTCCCTTTAGCATTTCTTGTAAGGCCAGTCTAGTTGTGCTGAACTCCCGCAGTTTCTGTTTTTGACGGGAAGCCCTTATTTCTCCTTCATTGCTAAAGGACATCTTTGCTGTATATAGTTCTTTATGGGGAGTTTTTCTTTCAGCAGTTTGAATATATAACTCCATTCTTTCCTGGCCTGCAAGGTTTCTGCTGAGAAATCTACTGATAGTCATATAGGACATTCCCTTGTGTGTAATAGATTACTTTTCTCTTGATGTTTTTGGAATCCTTATTATGTCTTTGACTTTTGAGAGTTTGATTACAATGTGTCTTAGTGAAGATCTCTTCATATTTAATCCACCTGGGGTTCTTTGGGCTACCTTGATCTAATTGTTCATTTTCCTTTCCTGATTTAAAAACTTTTATGTCATTATTTCTTTAAATAAACTATCTGTATGTTTATTTTTCTCTGTCCTTTCTGGGACACCAATAACATAGATATAGATATAGATATAGATATAGATATAGATATAGATATAGATAGAGTCAGTTGATGGTGTTTCATAATTACCATAGATTTTTTGAAACTTTTTACTTCTTTTTTGTTTTTTGTTCCTTTGACTGAATCACTTCAAATGACCTGACATCAAACTCACTGATCCCTTCTTCTGCTTATTCAAGTCAGCTGCTGAAATTGTCTTTGGAATTTTTCAGTTTAGTCATTGTGTTCTTTAGCTCCATTTTTTAAAATGGTTTTTGTGTCATTGTTGAACTTCTAGTTTTGTTTGTGCATTATTTTTCTGATATCATTTAATTGTCTATGTCCTCTTATAGCTCTCTGAGCTTCTTTGTTAAAATTATTTTGAATTGTCAGGCAGTTTGTAACTTTTCATTTCTTTAAGGTTGGCTATATTTTCTTTATTTAGTGGTGTCATGTTTCCCTGATTGTTTGTGATACTTATGACCAGGCATTGGCATCTGCGCATTTGAAAATGTAGGCACTTATTTTAGTCTTTATAGACTGGCATCTATAGGAAGGACTTTGACCAGTCAGCTTATCTAAAAATTCTGGACAAGTCGTCTGATATGGTCCATGCATAGGCTTGCTGATAAATTCTTCAGGCAGGCTGGCATGGTAGCTGGGTAAGCAACTAAGTGGGCCTGATGCTTGTGTCTGTGCAGTTTGGCCTGGAGCCTAGGTTCACTGGGGCATACCTAGTGCTTGAGTCTGATGGGCTGAGCCTAGATCCCAGATCCACAGGGGGATGGTCTGGCACCAGAATCCACTGAAGTGGGCCTGTGACTGGATCTGCAAGTATAGGCCGGAAGCCTTGATCCATGAGTGTTGACCTGGTGCTAGGGTAGGTCTTAAACCTAAATTTTTAAGTGCTGACTAGATGCTAAGATGTGTCTGGTGCCTGAGTCCACAGAGATAGCCTGAAGCCTAAGTCTATGGAAGCTGGTCCATGCTGGAGTGAGCTTGGAGCCTGATTCAATAGGGGGTGGCATTTGAGCCTTAACCTGTGGGGCACAGCCTGTGTTCAGAGGTATATTGGTGTGGGCCTGGACTCTACATCCACTGGAAGTTGGGGACACAGGGACCAGCCTGGACCCTTGGGCAGCCCTGGAGTTGGGGCAGCCTGGAACCTGGGTCATAGAGGCCAATACAGAGCTTGGGTCTTTGGGGGCTGGCCTGGTGCTATAGAGGCTGGTCTAGAGTTTAGGGCCATGATTATCAGCTTGGCTCTGGGCTAAGCTTGAAATCTGGGTCTGTGGTGTTGGGCCTGAATCCTGAAGTGGATTACACCCTAGATGCTGTGTCCTCATGTACTAGCATGGTACCTGAGGCCATAGATGCTAGCTTGACACTGGGGTGGGTCTGTGGACTGCATCTGTGGGGCTGGCCTGGCATTGGGGCAGACCTGGAGGCTATTCCTCAGGTATTAGCTTTGAGCCTAAGGCCATGGAGGCCTGTGCCTGCCTGGTGTTGGTTATTACTGGGGTGGCCTCAGTGTTGAGGTCCTAGGCAAAGTCTGGTGCTCACTTCACTCTTTTTCCCATATGTAGAGAGGATCTTTGTGCTGTGTTGCCTGGAGATAGGGGAGAAGTAGTGTAGGTAATGTAAAACTGTCTTTCTTACCATTTTCAATATGCCTTTTCTTATTTATGTTTAACATCTATATGCTGTCATCTCTCACCTTGTTTCCTTAGCTCTTGTGGAGGTATTTTTAAGTGTGGATAGTTGTTCAAATTAATGTTTCTGCAAGGGACAAATACTGGAAAGTCCTATTCTACCATCTTGCTGATATCACACTCTAGAACTTTAAAAAATGTTTATAAGTTTTCTTTGACTATTTTGGATTATTAAAATTATCTTGTATTTGGAGAAAAAATAATATTAGAGGTGTTTATTCTAGAGAGGAAGCATATGGTAATGCTTAGAACTTGGACCTTTTATCAGACTGCTTGAGTAAAAAGTCCCAGCCACTAACTGTGTGACCTTTGACAAATTACATAAGCTATGTGTGCATCAGTTTCCTAACCTATAAAATAAGAATGATGGTATTCATCTCAGGGAGTTGCATTGAGGTTTAAATAAGTTTATACATGTAAAGTACTTACAATACTGCATGTCACGTAGTATGAGTACAGCACAAGTATAAGCTATTTTAATATTTGTTTGAAAATAATAATTGCAGATGGCTTAAAAAGTTTAGAGAGTCAATAAGGCATACATTGAAAATTCCCATCTCTGACTGAGTTCCTCTTCCAAGAGGCAACCACTATTTCCATATTTCTGTATACCTGTATTCATATCCAAGAATTGCATAGCTCTTTGTTTAATTTTTATGTCTCTCAGAACATGTTAGTGTTGTTCATATAGATCTTACACACTTCTTTTTAGACTTACTTCTTGCTGTTATATCTTTATGTTAATATTAAAAATGACAATCAGTCGTTATGTTTTTTGATCCAATATATCTGCAATATTAAAAAAATCTATTGACTTTTGTACACTGACTTTATAATCAGCCAATACACCAAATTCTCTTAATGTTTCCAACAATGTTCAATGGATTTTTGACTACCTTCAAGTAGAAGGCATAAGGGAACAAATACCTTAATAAATTCTAATTCTTGTAATGTCTCCATTATCACTTTCATGTTTGATAATAAAATTTTATTTAGATTGCTAGCTTTCCTATGTATTCTCACTCCATCCTGTTGTTGTTGGGAATGCTGGCCTCCCAGACAAGTCATTTTACTAAGACATGGAAAAATATAAAACCTTATAGTGAAATTCATTTTAATTTAATAAACAGACAGAAATTATTATTTAATAGAGATTGTAACTTGTCCATGTGGAAGAGGGTCATTTGCTGCATATGCAGGAGACCATCCTGAGGGAAGCATAGTGTTCCACAATGTGATTGACAGAGATGGTCTTTGTCAGTTGTTTTTCTTCCACATATTATAACAAATTGCAGTTTTCAACCTGTAAGATAAAAAGTGGGTTAATTTTTATAAAAGCAATCCATTTTTATAGTAGTTTTGAATAACATGAGGAAGGCGCTGAAAATCTATACTGGTTATCTGACAAGAAAGTTCTTAGAAGAAATGTGTGTTTTTATTTTACAAAAGGGCAAGTGTTCCAAATGTGTTGATCTTTTCTATGATCACAAATGGCTTCAGTGGTATAATAACTAGCAAAGCTTATTTCCTAAAAAAGTAAACACAATTATTATAGCTTTTAAAATACAGGCATTTTATATCAATGAATAATAAAGAAATTTTATTTTGAAAGAATATTTTATAAGTCCATTCTTGCATTGCTATAAGGAAATTCCTGAGACTGGGTAATTTATAAAGAAAAGAAGTTTAGTTGGCTATGGTTCTGCAGGCTGTACAGAAAGTGTGATGCTGACATCTGCTTGGCTTCTGGGGAGACCTCAGGAAACTTACAATCATGTGGGAGGGCAAAGTGGGGAGCGAGCACTTCACATGGCCACAGCAGGAGGAAGAGAGGGAGGCAGGATGGGCCACATATTTTTAAATGAACAGATTTCAGGAGAACTCACTCACCATTATAAGAACAGTACAAACGGGAAACCCACCTCCATGATCCAATCCCTTCCTACCAGTTCCCACCTCCAATATTGGGGATTACAATTGATATGAGATTTGGGTGGGGACACAGGCCCAAACCATATCAAATATATAATGAAAATGAATTTTGAAAATAGATATTTGGAGAGGATTTATCTTTCTGGGTTTTTGTGGCCAAAGTGATATATTTCCCGTAAAGATTGTCCATATTAGAAAATAAATAAAAACATGGAAAGAGAATTTGATAACATATTTTGAAATACCCTAAACAAAGAATTTCAGCAATGTAGAAGCTACTTGTTAAAAATATTAAAATGCTACTCAATCCAAATATGCAACAATAATTGTTATTAAACAGATGGAAATTTAAAAGCAACATTCAAATGAAAATTTTTGCATATGTTTGGATAGAATTATAGAACTAGTACAGTGATTTTATAAATGCATTTCTTGGCCAGGTGCAGTGGCTCACGCCTGTCATCCCAGCACTTTGGGAGGCTGAGGTGGGTGGATCACCTGAGGTCAGGAGTTCGAGACCAGTCTGACCAACATGGTGAAACACCGTCTCTACTAAAAATAGAAAAATTAGCCGGGCGTGGTGGCACATGCGTGTAATCCCAGCTACTCAGGAGGATAAGGCAGGAGAATTGCTTGAACCTGGGAGGTGGAGGTTGCAGTGAGCCGAAATTGCACCACTACACTCCAGTCTGGGCAACACAGCAAGACTCCATCTCAAAAAAAAAAATGCATTTCTTATGTAATAACTTTGTGAGGTATTATTTTCAATTACGGTAACAATTAAAACCAAATACTAAAACTGAATCTAGAGCCATTCTTTGGAATTGCTATACCTCTAAGAATTTAACCAAGATTTCAAAAAATAATGAGTATCATCTAATTACATGCAGTTTACCAAAATATTATAGTTGATACTATTTGTGGAAGCAAAATATGTCTTGCCCTATTGATAAATAAAATATTAAAATATTTCAATTATCTCTTATCTTTCTTAGCATTCTCTTTATATTTTAGAATGTATATTAAGCATAATAGTATATACATAATTTATATCTAAATACAAATATATTGAGAATGCTTGCTCAGATATTTTACTGATAGAAGTAGGAAATCTAAAAATTTCAATTGGTGTAAGGCACCAGTCAATGAGATCCTTATATAATGGAACCCTAGTGGCTCAAAAGATAAACATTTTTTCCAAACAGCCTAACTTACTATCAGGAGATTCCCTTGCTTAGAAAAGACTATAGCTTATCTATTGTAGGTTAAGATAATAGGGTACTTACATTTCTCCACAAGCTCAGAGTAAGAAAAATAGAAAGAAAAGGCAGATTTTCTATGGTTTTAGTTTGACAATTTATTAGGCACTTATTTAGACTGAAATATTTGGCCACAGAATGACAAAGAAGTAATACTAATCTAAAATGAGAGAAATGTTAAAGAGAACTTTATATGTATTTTGACAAATAGCTGAGATTAAAAGATGACACCTGATATTAAAACAAAATTTTACATATGAAATGTAACATTCCATAGGATAATGGCAATATTATATGTATTGAGCCTGGGTCTCTCAGCAGGCATCAATAGGGCATTCCATGGTATTTCAAGATCACTTCTTAGTAAGAAATTATTGCTAATTAAGGATTTACTTTTCCATTAGACGTGGACATGCAATGACAGAATTACACAAAGAGGATCATAAATGAAGACTTCAATATTTTACCACTACAGATAGTGAAATTCTAAACTTTTTAGCAGCAGGTCTCATGATATGCATATCACCTTTGTTCATAAGCTAAACTCTTTTCTCTCTTTCCACTTAGATTGTCAGTTTCTTGAGAACAGGAAGTTATTTTTACATCTTGGGTAGCTCTGTATAGAGTTGAGATTTGCTCAAAAACCTTTGCAGATTAATCCCCATTTCCCCTAGTCTTTTAGCAAATTGTTTAGCAAACACAGTATTAAAATTTGTTACTTTGGAGTATCGCCTTTGAGAAGGTAAGGATTTCTTGGCAATGAAGTCCACATAAGCCCTATTATAATATAATTGTTACCTCAAAAATTGCTATTATTTGTATTTCTGTCTAGATTTTTTTAAAAATGTACTTCTGTGCAGCTCAGTTTCTCTGGGACTTCATAGATTTCCTGGCAGGAAACATGTACTCCAACCTCTTCTTCACATTGTCAGAATTGGGTTCGGAATTCTCATTGCACCATATCCAACACCAAGAAGGGTTCAGGGGCTGAGATGCAGTTAGATGCTCCCTGATTTTAGTTCTGTCAGCTGTGAAGTCGGGCTAATACCTATCTCACGGGGGTATCCAGAGGATTAAAAAATAGATTTTTATAAAGCTCTTTGGAGATCCTTGGATAAAAGAGGCTGCCGAGGCACGCAGTTTTCTTATCTCCCCAGTTGCCACGGAGTCTGCGATTTCCCATGGCATGTGGTATCAACTGGAGAAAAAGCAAGGGTGAGCTGTGGAAAATAGGAGCCCCGGCAACTGGAATGGACAGATAGCACTAGCCCATGTGAACCGTACCGGCTGCCTCCTGGGAGGCTAGGAGATAGTCAGGATTGTAATTAATGGATGGAGATGTTGATTCTCTTTCCAGGATAAGTGTGGCATTGCAAATTGGTGAAATTACACAGTTGTATTCTGTAATTTTGTTTGACTAAAAAAAAAATTAACTAGTAAAATAGCCTCTAGGAAAACTCAAAGGAAGCATAACATCAAAATGTGTAATGTGAATAGCTTAGCATTGAACTTGAAAGGTATCCTGCAGTTAACTATTTCATTTATAGGCCAGGAATTTCTACAAATCAAGTTAAGTAAGCGTTTTTTACAAAGATCCTGCTGGGTTTGCCTATGGATAAAGATGTTGAACAAGGCATTGCTAGATGAAGAAAAGTCTTTAACTTATCCCATGGACATTGTTTTAAGTGTCAAAAGATGTGCCATATTTTGAAATCCTTTAATTCAAATAAGCCACATATTGGCTTTTAAAAAGCCATGAATTTCAACTATCTCATTTTATAAACACCTCTAAAAATCACATATTTCTCTTTCATACAGAAAAATTAATTAGGTATTTCCTATTGCTATAATATGACATAATGAATTTAATTTCATATATATGTGTGTATATATATATATATATACATATATATATATATATGGGTGGCAAAGTAAGATGACAGAAGGAATAATCCTTGTTCTTTCTTTTTCTCTGATGGTGCTAGAAATCACTGAAAGAAAATAAAATTCCGGGGCTAAATAAAAATATGGGGATAGAGAGAAAAAATCAATAAATACCTAAATTATTTAAAGAAAAGCTACTACCGAGTGTCTTACTGTCATGCATCATACCCTGGATCTGAAAGCAGACAGGTGAATTGTCTCCAGCCTGCATTGGTTTGGACACTCTCTCCAGCACGCTCATTAGCAGCTCCCAGTCTAGGCTCCCTGTTAGTAGAAAGGCAGGGATCACAGCAGGGAAGTTATATCTCAGGCTTCTCACATTCCTGCTCTATCTTAGCAAAGCTTTACAAAGCCTTTTCTGGCAGCTCATTAGTAGGTGCACTGATGCATAAGAGACAGTCATTAGAAGTGTTTTTCAACATTGGCTTTTGATCAGGTGACTAGTAGCATCGTGAAGACATTTACTTACATTGTTTTCCATAAGAGATTCTGTTGCTATATTGAGAATGACATACATAAAAATGTTGAAAACTAGCTTGACCTTTCTATGACAAAAAGGGAGAAGAAAAAGAAATTCCATTAGTTTCCTGAATCTTGCCTTTATACTGTCAACTATGACGTAATAGATGCGTGGACTATTCCCTCAGCAACTGCTCTCTTTTAGCTTTAATAATCTAACCCAAGTTCAAATCTATCATTTGATTTAGGCTTATGACAAGCGAACACTAGTGTGAACAAATAGAAATAAAACCCCATAAGCTTTATGGTAGCTCTTCCAATGCTAGGCATTTGTTTTTTCACCATAAAGGCTGAATTTCCAAATAAGGGCAAAATCCATCCATACACAACCGAATAAAGCATTGTTAAAAAGTTAGCAGACCAAATTCAATGGCTGATTAATCTCTAAAAAGCACTTCCATTGTAAAAAAAAAAAAATTTTAAGGCTCCAGGGACAATGTTTTTATAAGGAATAACTTAAGGCACTGCATGTAGTGAAAACACGTGGTCAAATGAACCACTGCTTATAAAATAGCACTGACTTTGGCTTTCTTTTATGAGTGTTCTGTTTATAAAAATAAAGAATATTTTATGGCTGATTGTACTTTTTCTACTAATTTTTGTTTCCTTGATGATTGTCTTTTACCACCAATATTCTCTCCCCTTCTCTCCAGAACACGAACTTTATCAGGCCTCTATTTGCTAAGAATTTTGATTTTATCAGTTCATAGAATACACATTTAGCCATTAGTTCCTTGTGAGGGGAAGAAAATCATGTTAAGCACATACCCTGACATGCAACTCAAAAGGATGAGAAAGTTTCTTTGTCAAACTTTACTGAAACAAAGTGCATCAGCTTAATCAGGTCTGTTCTTGGCAATGTAAGAACATGACATGCCAATTACATAAACTTTCAACTAAGTGAAGACTCCTGCTGACTAATTCAGTGTTGATTGTTTTCCGCTACTTGGGTTTGAGTGCTTGTTAAGACTTAAGAAAAAAAAAAGAGGGGATGGAAAGAGGGGGTAAAATTGTAGGAATTCTCTCCTTCCGTCAAACACTCTTATGATTGCCAGCAATTAGTTAAGCTTCTTGGCGGTAAAATGACAAGATGGAACTTGACCAAACACAATGTGTGGAGCTCACAGGCATCTGCCCCAGCTGAAAGACATTACAATGTTTGTTAACCTTGCAGGTCATTCCTGATTCACTTCTGCAGACAGAAAACAAGATTTATATAACACAGATCAATACTGCCCTAAGACTTTCGCCATTGAGGATGCTAGATTGAGGCACTTCTCTTTATCAGTTTACCATGACACTAATGTATTTTGCCTGTTTTGCCTGGGCAGTGATGAATCTGTTGGCAAGAGAAAACAAATAAGTTTTGTTGCTGAGAGACATGTTGTCCATGATTTGTCTCAGCAGACATGCCAACTTGCTGGCCAATTCATTTCCTATTTAATTTAAGTGGCAGATCTGTCTTCCCCTTTCAGGTATGTCTTTTATCTACTGCACAACCACACTGGCAGTGCTCTGAGACAGTCTGCAGTGGATCTCTGCAAGGATATTGACACAGCGGAGCCAAGAACCAAATCTACTATAATTTTCAGAAGAATCTCTTTGAAATAGAGAGCTACTATCTAAGCCAGTGTCTGACATGAAAGCTCTTTTGGAGAATATTTTAACAGCATTTTACAAATATCCATGAATTTGATGTTACTGTCATATAATAAGTATATAGCAATTGTCCTTTTTAAAATCAGAGCTTATTTCATATGTGGATAAATATTTGGTTTACTTTGTGAAACCAAGCAAGTATTAGTTAATTATGAAATATATGTGGCATTATATGAAAATATATTATTATGATGTGCTGTATGAGGGTCCAGTTCCCAGTTTTTTCATTACCTCCATTAGTTTTACTCACCTTTAAGACACTAGATAATATTTAAATAGCAGAAAAATAAACCTCAAGGTGGTTTATTTTAAAAGCAATGCTTATAAAGTTCAATTTTAAATGAAGCTGCTTTTAAAAAGAAGATAACATATCTATCACCAGGCACCCATGACACCTAACTAAATATTAATAGAAAAGCCATGGAAGAAATGACTTCACATTTCAAATCACGACAAAGCTGACGCATCAGGAAAATGTGTCCAGCGTGGAAACCATAATATAGGCACTCCTCAAACTCTGACAGTCCTCAAGCAATGGAACAGTTAACATAGCACAGCAGAGTCCACAAATGTGCCAGCTACATCTCTGTCAGAACACATTAATTATAGCAGTCAGTTTACCTTTCTCCTTCATAACATTTTTGATTAAAATTTCACACATTACAATGGTATGTGTCTTTTCTACAAGCTGTGAAATTTACTCAGTCATCAATGGGTTTGAATTTTATTTCTAAGAAGCTTACAGTACATAAAAAGTTGACTTATGATTCCTAAATAGTGAAATCAAAGCCAGTTTCTTTTGGATAGACTTAGAATTTTATGCCAGCAGTGGTGTTGCCAAGCAAAACATTCATTAGTAATATTGTACCCCCAAAAGCAATAACTTCTCTCATAATATGTTGGCTCAAAATTTATAACTGCAAGGCTTAATTAAGCTGTAGATTATGGTTTGAAAGGTATAGTCAATGTAATGAATCCCTGAAGATGAAAAATAAACAATAAAAGATAATCAAAACATTTATCTATTTAATGGATTTATATAGTTATGTTGTAAATGTTATTTAACAGATGTGCAAGTAATAAAATAATGCAATGATCATCGTGAACACATTCAAATCATTATTATCTAAATTGGCATATAATACTTCCTCCATGTTAACTCTTACAACTACAGAATATAAGTCCATCAATTTGAAATTCAATTATTTATAAGGATGAAGCACTATAGTTTTGGTTTCTATACTTTTCTGAATGGTTACATAATACAAGACTGTTCTCTACTTAAAAATCAAGGATTTATTAAAGTAATCCCAAACCAAGATTTCTCCAGTGTATCATCATTTATCAAGTCTAAAGATTTCATCTATGTCAATTATATCCTGGAATTACTCTTCTTGAGGGATTCAGTTTTTAATAACTATTTAAAATTTTGAAATATGCATATACCTATCTACCTCCCAGCTACATCGACAAATGTGAATGAAGTTTCAGCTACCCTAGAGTTGCTGAAGAATATCAAGCATTAATAGGTTTTTTTTTCACTTAAAAATACAATGAATGCCAAACATTTTTCTTACTGAAGCAAGTTTGTGATGAATTTAATAAATTCCTCAATGCCTGTGTTATATGAAAAATAAGCTTAAACACAAAAATGTGTAAAAAATAAGTACAAACACATTTCAGATTTTCTATTGAGCTTAAAAGTTCTTTGGATTTGAATTCCAGTGGGTATTTGTTGATCCTTCTTTCAGACAGGACACATTGCCAATCTTCCCATTATAAGAAGAACACACCTTTTGATAAGGAGCTATTTGGATCCTAATCAATGTCTTTGAATTTCAACAACAGTTTTACAAAATTTAGTAATCAATTTTGAAAATGGAACAATTTCAAAGGGAGAATATTCAAACACTAATGTTTGATAATGATGGCTATTATAGTATATCAAATTTAGAAAAAAACACAACTATTTGGTTGAATGGTAGGCCATTGATTCAAAACCTCCTAAGTGAAAGACTGTAAATACCTTTTAACCTCCATGAATAATTGGAGTTGAATAGTTTATGAGGTATAACTGGTCACTTCCCATAATACCTTCCCATTTGTAGACTTTCTAAGAGTGGTCATCCACAGTAACACTCCCTTACCTGAACTAGGAATGAAAATGTCTAGGCAGCCTTCTCTTCAAGTCACTGCCCAGTTTTCTGTGGAAGAAATCTTCCATTGTTAACCTAATTCCAAAAAGGTCACTCTAGTTAACCTATATCCTACATATTGAAATTTCAGCTCATTCTTTATTTTCTTTTCCTTGAACAAGATGAACTGCTAGTGACTATTCTCTGTAAATTTGAAGGAAAGTGGTAGGCTACCCTTCAGTCTTCCCTTCTCTAAATCATTTAATCTGAACTCCCTTTACCCTTCTTCATAAAGTATGCTTACAAATTCTCTGTTTATTTCCACCTTTTTTGTTCATATTTTCTTCATTTTTCCACATTTAGCTTAATGTGAAGATCTCAGATGTTAATACAGTCCCAACTTTAATACCACAGTGTACAAGCACTAAACTGGCCATAGAATACTAAGTTTAAACATATTGACAAGTATTAAAACACAATAGTAAATACAAATGAACCGCCATATATCCAACTTTCATATACTTTTCAAATATAATAGAGAGATTTACTTATTGAAGAGCAAGTGTTTATTAAGAATGTTAGCAGTCACCATAAACAGAAGTCACACCCAGACATTTACCAAGCAAAATAACCAACATCAATAATAATATGTGATATTCTTCATTTCCAAGAAAATGATACGTTTGGATATCATTGAGATAGGTTGGGGGAAAGAAGCTGTACATTAGCAAGGCTATTCTTTTGCTGTTCATACAGCACTAGGAAGGTATCATTTCCTGACTGTTAACTGTGCCACGGTCATTTAGGAGAGACACATCCTTTCCCACTGCTAACTGAACTTTGTTCTCCTTGGGAAATGTACACAGACTACTGCTTTTCCTTATTCTCACCAAGTTATACATGACCTGATTTCCCAATGTCCTATTCAATGAAATCCTGAATGCTTCCTTCTATTGCTTTGGTACCTGCAATCTTGGATAATGTGACTCAGATCTCCAACATTAGATGATCTAATAACACGTGGAAGCTTTGGTCCAGTAGAATTTCAACAGACTGGACTGGTTCCAGGACTCTCTCATTAAACGCAGGGCTTCGTCAATGAACTCAAAGAGATCACTATGGGTGAGTAATTCTAAAACTTTAATGTGTATCAGAATCACCTGGGAGGCTTGTTAAACCACACATTACTGAGCCCATAAATTCAGAGCTTTTAATTCAATAGGTCTGGGGTGGGGTTCAATAATTTACACTTCTAATAAGTTCCCAGGTGATGATAATGCTTGTGGTCTGCAGACTACACTTTGAAAACAATGGTGTAGGCTATTCCTAAACAGCCAAAATTCTAGAAGAGAGGAAAGTTTCAGGCCTTCATGGAAAACCAATGAAAACGAATTGAGTTTGTCTCTTCCTTCATTAAATTTCTTGGTTTTAACATATCCTTGGAGAATAATTTGGCCTCTAGAAATTCAGAATTTGTTTATGTCTTTGTGTTGTCCTCAGGGCAATATTTATATAGGCAAGGGTCAGTATAGATGAGGATCTAGTTTTACCTACATTATCTTCCCCTTTAGATGCCTTCCTTTCCCCCAGTTTTGTGTTATACCCCTACTCTCATAGAAACACAGAGGAAGCTACAACTCAGTAGCAGCATCTTCTGTAGATATGTGACTACGAGGACAACAAATGCCCTTTTATTCTCCAAACAGTTCAGGTAGCCAAGTAAGTGTCAAGAGTGCTAGCTTAGTCTTTCATTTTTCCTACAGATATTTATTAAGCTTCTCTATTTTGATACACCTGCCATATATATTAGGTAGAAAGATCAGTTTGGGGTCTTAAATGCATAGTTTTGGTGGAGGAAACTGAATAACTTCCACTTGTATCACTTTACTATTAACAAACCATTTTTGCTTGTATTATCAAACGTGATCCCCAAATATCCCTGTGAGGTAAAAATCAAATTTAATTACTGGGATTCCAGTGTCTTGATTTAGTCTCATGAAATAGACTTAAGACAAGGATTTTCATGCAAATAATTTATTCAGAATGTCATCTAGGAAGTATAGTGAGAGAAGGGAAAATCAAGACAGATACAGCAGGAAAGCCAATAAATTAAAGTGCATAAATGAGCAGGCTCCTACTCTAAAATACACGATATCAATTGGTCAAGGAATGATGATAATATTTTATCAGCAAAAGGAAGATTTTTAACATTTCTTAAATGCTCCAATAATGTTACTTTTAAAAATTAGCAATCGTTTTCCCCTGCCAATTTTTGCATCAAAGCTGACCAAGCCTCTCCCACTCTGGAATTTTAAACAAAATCTAATTAAATCAACAAAGTTCACTGGATGGGGTTAGGCTGTTTCCTGAACGCACATTACTCTGCTGCTCTGCCTGGAAGAGCTCTCAGCCTTGTTTTCGGCTGACTTTTTCTCCTTGCTGGCCCTTGATCACTCTTAATGATCCCCAGCTGTATCAGTTCCCTGCCTGCTTTAACCCCAATTGGCCTGGCCTCACATCTCTGCGGCATCTGGAGGACAAATGAAGCCAAGCTGACCAGCACCTCCTTAATGCAGTCTCAGATAATAGGTGGTAATAGACATTTGAATGATTTCTTTTGTTCTTCTATATGGGCTAAGAAAATTAATAATTCGTGCATTTTTAAAAAACTAGAAATTAAAGAGAACAATGCTGTGTGCTGTTAATCTGGTTGCTACAGTATCACTACTCCCCACCCCCTCACTCACTTTGTTACTTAAAGATGTTTACAAAGCTGGCAACATACAGCAGTGTCTATGGCTGAAAGGTTGTAGATATCTGTTCCGAATTGGCCACAGATGTGCAACAGCTTTCTAACCTACTTATTTCTAAAACTGACTCTTTTCCCAGGACACCTATTTAGGAAATTCGTAGACCATATTAGTAGTAGACCATATTATTTTATTTTAAAGTAAGTAGTAAGAAAGTATCAGAAAAGCAAGTGTTAGACATAAGATTGGCAGGGAGGGTAAGCTTGCCATATTTGACTATCATCTCATTATCAAAAATGAATCAGCACCATTCATCCTATGTACAAATATTAACAGATGTAAATTTTGCTAAAGACTGGTAGGTAGTCAGGCATGGTAGCATGCACCTGCAGTTCCAGTATGCAGGAGGCTGAGGCGGGAGGATCACTGAAACCTAGGAGGTAGAGGTTGCAGTGAGCTATGATGGCACCCCAGCCCAGGTGACAGAGCAAGAACCTATCTCAAAACAAACAAACAAACAAACAAAGGATGGGAGAGTTATTTGCAGTTAAGAAACTAATAAAAACTGGCTAGGCATGGTGGCTCATGCCTGTAATCTCAGCATTTTGGGAGGCCAAGGTAGGAGGATGACCTGGGGTCAGGAGTTTGAGACCAGCCTGGCCAACATGGTGAAATCCTGTCTCTACTAAAAATACAAAAATTAGCCAGTTGTGGTGGCAGGTGCCTGTAATCCCAGCTGCTCAGGAGGCTGAGGCAGGAGAATCACTTGAACCCTGGAGGCAGAAGTTGCAGTGAGCTAAGACCGAGCCATCGCACTCCAGCCTGGGCAACAAGAGTGAAACTCTGCCACAAAAAAAAAAAAAAAAAAAGAAGGAAGAAAGAAACTAATAAAACTATTAATAAGTAAATAGTCAACACTCACACAGACATACCTTGAATGTTATACATCTCAGCTAATGTAAATCAACTGCCTAACTTAGGTCAAATTATTAGTTTCTACTTGCACTGTCACACATTTCCCAACATAGATTCTCATTAGAAATTGTTATTGTTAAGAACCATTTATGTTTCTTAATACATCACCAACAAAAAGCAAACAGATACACTTTGTCCCTTTCCTTGGCTCAGGAGAGAGTTTTGATTTGCCAATAGTGTCATGAACAATGTAATCATCAACTTAAAAAATCAGTCTCTCCATGACTGGCTTAGTCTCAATATTAAAACATGTTTACAGAGAAAGGAGAAACCACAGACTTGAAAAGAATGTTTTAAGGTATCATCCACTAACTTTTCTAAGAATTTTGGTCAGCATGAACAATGGTAATATAATAAACAAAACTTAAAATATTTTACCTGACAGATACTGTTAATGTTCTCTAGTCAACTGAATATTGATTTTTTGCAAAAATAAAGACACAAGTGTGTTTAATTCAAGTGTCACCAAATTTATGCTTTTATTTCACAGGAAGCTGCCCATGGTGTGCGTCTATGTGTGTGTGTGTATGAAGTCTGTGCATTAGTGTTATTGTGTTGTATTCTAAAAGTATAAGTGTGTAGCTATACATATAAATACATACAGTATAAAGCCACATTATACTCTACTGGCCAAGACTGAGTTCCAAGGTATGTCTGTTCTTACTCGCTTTGAAAAAATCTTAGAGATTAGTATCTTCGAACTATGGTTTCAGCTGGATATACACTGATTTTGTGATGCCCTGTGAATTTATTTTTGTTACTTTGAGTTATGTGAAAAAACATGGAACCATTAAATAGTTATTGCATATGAGTTTAATCATTCCACTGCCTTTTCTATGGAAACCAGATCTTATTTCATATCCTTATGCTCCAAAGTCAATTTTGCACTTTGATATTTCTGCCACAATACCCCTGTGAGAACTGAGTTGAAATCACCAAGAACAGAATTCAGTTTGAAGTTTTCACATAACTGGCTGGCAGAAAATTTGCCTATAATCTTATGCTTGTGATATCACAGTGGGCTTCTCTGTGAAAGATTATCCTGTCAACACTGATTTCTACCACTGAGGAAGAACTGGTGGGTTTTTTTTCTCTTCTTCTTTCTTTCTTTCTTTTTTTTTTTTTTCTGTCTTTGTCATTAATAGATCAAGGTTGCTTTGCCCCTAGCCTCTGAGATTTCATTCTTCTGCCCACTTAAATCAGGTGTACGATGCAAAGTACTTTAGGACTCTGAAATGCAAAGACCTATGTAAATGCAAGAATTATTCATTCACCATAAGCTTATGAAGGCCAATGTCTGAACTTGAATTGCTGAAAGAATTCTTGCAGCAAATTGTTCAGAGTGCTCTTCACTCAGGTCTGCTGGGGATAATGTGTCCAAAGTAAATACCCAAAAGGCCTTTCTTCTACTGAGTTCACCACCTGAATTATTCTCTCTCTGTGAAGAATTAATTTTCTAAATGCCTATGAATTTCAAACGAGAAATTGCATGGTACAAATTAATAAAGAGTTTAGCTGTAGGGCAATCAGTAGCACTTTTTCTAATCACACTCAATATACCCAAAGTACTCTTTTAAGATTCTAATAGTTCATCAAATGTATTCAAAGTCATATGGGCATGTCATGACACAAATACTTTTATCAGAAAAACAATTCTGAATTAATAAAATCAGAGACTTTCATTGCCAGGATGTGCATAGGGAGCCTGTGATGAATGAGAACGAGCAGCATGTTTGCTGAAAGCACAAGGGAAACTCTTACCATTCCCATCCCCTGAACACACTGGTGTCAGTGGATGTTCTGAGAAAGTTGACTTCACTTTTGCTTTGAGTTAAACATTTACCTAAAATGATATCCTTAACAATTTACGCAGCACAGGATTAACATATTTGCTCCTGCCTCTCTTCTTCTTCTATAACTTCTACCTTTTTTTTTCCTCTTCCATTTTCTTTCTCTTTTATAACCTCAGATGTAAAGGAAAAAGTTAAATTTCTCAGTTTATGACACACTATCGTCTTCCATCTCTGTTAAATCTATTTGTTTTGTTCTTCATTGTCTTCATTTTTCTTTTTCTTTTCCTCTTCCCAATAGGCATGCACTCTAAATATAAAGGTAAATAGGTATGTAAGAATCCTTAAAAAGATTGTTTTGAGTACATCAAGATATTACATTTATGTAATGCCTGTTATACTATAGTCCTTATTTTTTTTATTTTCTAGGTTTTGTATGTTTGTTTTTTCACTCAGCCCTAAGTTTTAAAGTTTTTTCTCCCTCTAGTTACTTCTAGTTAATTTTTTCTGATTGCTGCATTGTATTTCATTCTGTGCATCTACACATTTACTTACCCGTCTCCTTATTGATGGACTCTTAGATTGCTTCTGCCCTCCCCGCTCAGCACACAGTAAAGCACCCTTGTATATATCCCCTTATGAACCTAAGCAAGCAAGAGTTTGTCTGGAGGACACGAGCAAGGGTAGGATTGTGAGGTCCCATGGTAGGAAACTTGCACAATGCATTTCATATGTAGTAGCATATTACTACAGGTAGAGAATCGCTTTCTTCTTCTTCCCTTTTTTTTTTTGAGCCTCTGTATAGTGGCACCATCATGGCTCACTGCAGCCTTGAACTCCTGGACTGAAGCAATCCTCTCACTTCAGCCTCTCAAGTAGCTGGGAATACAGGCACACACCACCACGCCCAGCTAATTTTTATATTTTTTATAGAGAAAGGGTTTTGCCATGTTGCCCAGGTTAGTCTCAAACTCCTAGGCTCAAGTGGTACTCTCACCTCAGCCTCCCAAAGTGCTAGGTTACAGGCAGGAACCACTGCGCCCAGCTGAGGTATTGCTATTTTAATTTGCATTCTTCTCCTTACTAATAGCAATGTTCTATCTGCCCATTTTTCTAGCTTGTTTCCTGTCTTTCTATTTTTATTTCATAAGTTCTTTATTAAGTGTAAAATATGATCCTGTTTTGTATTTTTGGAGACGTGTGTAAGAAATACTTCATTACCACAAGGATGTTATCCTATTTGGTAGTGACATTACTTTTAACATTTACATGAAAGCTTGTAGATTAATATGCCTAAGTAATACTATCTTAATAATCTTATATTTAGACCTTCAAAATTTTATTTGCAAATTTTACTCTGATTTACTTATAAACTATTATTTGGGTTTGGAGCTATTCCATGTCTTTTTATTCGGAGGCTTCCATTCCAGCACTAACCAGTAACTACTTTTTTTTTTTTGAGACATGGTTTCATTTCTGTTTCCCAGGCTGGAGTGCAGTGACATGATCTCAGCTCACCGCAACTTCTGCCTCCCAAGCTCAAGCAATTCTCCTGCCTCAGCCTCCTCAGTAGCTGGGACTACGCATGTGCACCACCACACTCGTTCATATCATTGGTTATTTTCATGTTTGTATTTTAAAAACAAGCATCTCTAAATAATATTCCCTGAGATTATATCTAAATGGTGATGGCAGGCACGGTTTTATAAAATCATCTTATAAGTGATTAGAAAGAACAATTTCATTTTTGACCCCTATAATTTCTTTCACAATGTATGAGAATTTCCTGCATTTGTGGAGTTTATGACTCTTGATTTGAGAAATTTTGTATTCTTAAGGACATTATTTAAAACTCAAAATACATACATAAAGGCTAGAAGAACAAAATTCGTAATAGTTACGAATAGTTTTACATTCACCCTTTCATTACTGTGGTTGTGACATGCTGAGACCAGCTGGGTCAGGGAGACCCTAACCCAGCGGCGCCAGAGGAATTAAAGACACACACACAGAAATATAGAGGTGTGAAGTAGGAAATTAGGGGTCTCACAGCCTTCAGAGCTGAGAGCCTCGAACAGAGGTTTACTCACGTATTTATTAACAGCAAGCCAGTCATTAACACTGTTTCTATAGATATTAGATTAACTAAAAGTATCCCTTATGGGAAATGAAGGGATGGGCCAAAATAAAGGGATGGGTTGGGCTAGTTATCTGCAGCGGGAGCATGTCCTTAAGGCACAGATCGCTCATGCTGTTGTTGGTGGTTTAAGAATGCCTTTAAGCGGTTTTCCACCCTGGGTGGGCCAGCTGTTCCTTGCCCTCCTTCCCCTAAACCCACAACCTTCCAGCGTGGGCATTATGGCCATCATGAACATGTCACAATGCTGCAGAGATTTTGTTTATGGCCAGTTTTGGGGCCAGTTTATGGCCAGATTTTGGGGGGCCTGTTCCCAACAGTGACAGAGTGGGAGAATGTGATTAGTGAGTAGTTCTTTCCACCAACTTGAAGAGTCCCATCACTGTCCTGCTCTGAGGGATGGAGGAAGGTGGGAAGAGTCTGTGAAAAAAGAACAGCAGGAATTCAGGGTGAAGAAGATGTGGACTGTGTCTCCAGTGAGTACTTACTGAGTGATTTTCTCAGTTGTGCATATGAGTTTGCTTTCATCCTTCCAAACACCATCACATGGATTTCCCTTGTGACAGCTAACATATAAGTGCAAGTACCTGTGATGTGGGGTGTGATCCATAACCATTGCATACAACAAAGCAAATGGGTCCACACAGTAGTGAACTCTTGACCTTGGGTTTACTAGCTATGTGTTCTCATCAGTTGAGCAACCAGCCATGGATATATACAGGAAATGTGTCCTGCTGAACTTCAATGTCACTTCTTGGTCAGAACTCAACCTGAGAGATTAGCCAGACAAATCTTACACCAGAGAGCATGAAAGAGGGATAGCAATACAAGATCATTTTCAGATTTGGGATAGCAATACAAGATCATTTTCAGATTTCAGTTCATGTATATAACACTGACTAATAGCAGCTTCATCTCTTAGAGTATAACACTATTTGTGGTTTGTGAGTATCTAATTTGTTTAAAATCATTATGTGTTTTCAGTTTAAATTCATTATGTATTTTCAGAATCAGTTTTTTTCACGGATCATGGATGAAAAGTCATCAACAAATAATTTTTAGTAATAACAATATAAAAATTGTTCACAGCTAGATTTGTTTCATCAACTCTAAAGTGCTTCAGAAATTATAGATGAACCATGAAAAACATCATGATTTTATTATATTTTACATGTTATAAATATTGTATTAAATAATTTTAATGCAAATATAATTACTGAAATATAAAATATTATGAATATTCTCTCTTCTTACAAGTGAAATTTAAATTACATTATACAAAGCAAATCACAATTAGACATATCTTTCTAAAACTAATTGTTGAGCAATATCAACATATCTTCTAGAAGAGAAACTAAAATATACTATGGGAATAATTGTACTTTGAATAAACTAAATTTTATTATAGTGACATAGAAGACAGTGTTATTTGGAAATCAAGATATATTATAGAATACTCTTCAAATTTTCAAAGGTACAGTTGGTATCTTGACTTATTAAAATGGTAATAAAAATTGTGAGGCTTTTGGGAGTTCTTTCATTATATTATACTGCCTCCATTAACTGGAATACAGAGGAAATGAGGAATTCTTACTCCAACCAGAATAAAATCAAGTTAAGTCATGTTAAAGAACCATTTGTGTAAGACAGAAATAGTTAAATATTAGCTATTTTATATGGTTCAATGTAATAACTTTGGCTTTGATTTTTGTTGGCTATTGGTCACTTTCCTATTTAAATAAACATAACTTCTTACATACAAAACTTGTTTATTTTCATATAACTTTTTCTTTAAAAATCAAGTATAAAAGAGAGGATCTTAGTTAGTGAAGCTGTCTGAAAGTTAATTCTAGCTATAATTGAGAGATTAATGTCTCGAAATCCGGATAGAAACTAAAGAAATCATTTTACACATTTACAATGTTTTGTAACAAACGTGGAGGACTGAGTATTGGTATTTGATGTGAAATTTTTATTAAAAGTTCAAATTTGCAGATTTTCCAAGCTTTTCAAGAATATCTGAGCATTCTCTCAGTACTAAGTTTAAAAAAAGTTATGCACATAACACAGACAGGGTAAGTTGACAGCTGTATAGAAAATATTATTTTATCTGTGTGCACATAAATGATTACTACATAAGTTTATATATAGAGTATGTAAGAAAAGTTGTTGTCAAGTAATGTAAACACATAAAGGTGGATAAAATAAGAGTAGATGACTTTCAAAATGGGATTTTTTTGCAGTATATTTAGTACTGTTCTCTTTCAAATGCTTTTTTTGTTTGTTGCTTTTGAGGCTGGGAGGTTTGGGGCAAGAAAGATCACGAAATAGAGGTGTGAAAATTCAGATAGCATTTAATTAGTTTAGTTAGACTGTTAACACAAACATAATGGATTTTCAGCCTTTTCTCTTTTTTATCCTCTGACTTCAGGCAATTACACACCATCACTTCTTGAAGAAATTATTGTGCATTATTTCAGAAAATTGACTACTTGCACACTTAAGCCCAATCTAATTAATTCAATTTATTAAAATTGTTTATTCATCTTAAATCTAATTGAGCCTACTATAACCATAATTGAGCTCATTCATATAGTATTATCTTTGATGTCAGTGTAATTCATCTTTTCCCCCATTGGTACTAGTAAAAAAATGTTGGACAATATATAATTTAAAAACACTAATGTTACCAAAGATAGATTACATGTAACCATTCTAATCTGCCTCTGCCTGGCTCTGAAAAGTAATCCACAATTGGATTTTGTATTTTATGTGAGTGTTTAAAATTTCTTTTTGACATTTTATGATTTACCTTTTATTTTTTTCTACTGAATACACTGGAAACATCAAAAAATGGGAACTGATTAAAACAATATATATTTTTGAAAAATAAGACAATGGGGTAAAGATGGGGACTTTCAGGAGTAATTCCTATTTCCTCGTATTATGGAAACATGTATAGAAACTTTCCTTATTCAGCATAAGGAACTCAGTTATTACCAAGAATGATAACTCTACCTTGACTTTTCCTTTTTTTCTGAATTTCAAAACACTGCCTTGCTCAAACCCATTTGTATCCAGTGTTGTTGTTACAAACTCACTCCTAGAGATGGGTATGAAAGAGATGCCCTAACATTCCTGAATCTTAGGAAGTCTTAGACTTCTGCAACAATTCATTCTGGCAACATTAATTTATTCAACTTTGTTACTATCTAAATTTTTAGTATTTAGTTTTGGAGAAAAGAAATCATCTGAAATACTCCTCATACTGTATATGAAAAAAAGAAATGCATAGTCTTACTGGGGAAAATGAACATGACATTTAAGTAAAGACACAAATATAATAATATTCTTGACATTACTACAACTGTCACATAGCTCTGAAAGAAGCACACTGTTCTCTAGTTTTCACAGTGATTGCATCAATAAGCTAGGAAACAACTAAATATTTGCAACCAGCCAAAGGATACATGTATAATCCTTGAGAGGGAGATAAACATGGCCATCTACAACTAGAGATACCCATTACTTTATGAGAATCACTTTCTCTTGGCTCAAAGTGTCAATAAATCTTAGAATATTTCTAAGATATACAACAAATATAACTTATTATGGTTGGCTGGTTTTTCTATGTACTAATATAATTGGCCACAATTATCAGGAGGAACTTTAATAAAAGGAAAAAAAATTACTCTTATGCATGCTCAGTGTTCCAAAGTATTTTTATAACACTATTAGAGGACTCATATGGATTATATTTCTTACTTCTGAAATAAATTACGGTTTGGATCAGGAAGGAAGCAGTAGGACTAGAAAGGGGAACACTATAAGAAACATTGCAGAAAAACAAATACTTGTATAAGACTAGGTGACTTACCAAGTCATATGCAGGGGATGAAAAAGAAGGACATATGAGAGATGATTCCAAATTTTCTCCTATTAGAGTGTGCTTAAATCTACTTTCTTTCTCTTCCCCATTTGGAACTAGGCAGGTAAATACAGATTAAACTCAATTTAAACTTCTGCATGATAATGTGCAAAGGCATTTCCACTAATTTTTAAAGAAGAAATTTATATGTTTTATTTAAGGTATATTGAATTTGGAATGATGGTGTTAACACCAGCTGGAGATATCCAGCAGGCAGGACTGAAGCTCAGCAGAGTGTGTGGTCAACCACCTCTTAGAGTTATGAGGAAGCAGATGTAACAAGACATTCAATAAGACACAGTGCCAAAGTTCACCATCACTTTTAGGGCTATTAGTTACCTAATTTAAGGCTTCTTCTTGGATTAATATTATGCCAATGACTAATATATTATTAAAATTTTTCTTTGATAAACAGACTTTTAAACAAAAAATAAATTATCCCTAAATACTTGATGTATATGAAAACCTTTGTCTAAACTCATATTCTCAAAAGCCAGGAAAGACACAATTTGAAAGAGTGTTGATAGTGACAAACTCAGTTATCTGAAAGACATATACAGGCTGCCCAGGTCTTGCAATCTATTACCACATAGCATAATGCTGTCTACATTGACTGGGCCAGAAATACTTCATTTCACTAGATCACAATCTTATAAGACAGACTTGTCATTTTAATTTGTCACTCTTTGTCTCCTATATCTCATTGAAGTCTCATCTCTTAGCCAAGTGCCATAGGCTACTTCTCTTAGAAAAAAAAATCCCATCACACTGAATAAAAAGAGGAAAGTCAGTAAGAGAAAGTTTGTGTCTAAAGACGCTACTATAGATTCCATTCCCACAGGCATAGCAGGTGGTATAAATACAATCTAAACTGAGACAGAAAAATGAATTGTTGCTTCTATTTCCTGTCTCCAGAGTCTCTGGGAATGTTATATCTTCTTCTTCTACACAGCTATTGATTTCATCAATAGCTTATCATCCACAGAGCAAAGAGGAAGGGGAAAAAGGAAATAAGAGTATAGGAGGGCTAACGTCTGATATGTGGTCTGAGCCTGAAAAAAAAAAGTGTAGCAATTTTGAATTAATAAGGACAAAAGTCTACCTACTCTAGATATTCTTCCTGTTGATGTAAAAAATAGGTCATTATTTTTTTTATCAAACTTCCAACCGTTATCAAGAAGTGGCATACAAATATGAGGCACTTTTATTAAGCATTTGTGGTATTCAATAAACACAATATAAATATCTTACTGCATTCCACTGGCTCATTTCTCCATTCCCCTTCATGTAAAGTTAATTTAATTTTTTCCTGATCAATAATACCCTTCTTTCCTTTTTTATGCTTTGGAACAGCAATCATGGGTCCCCGCTGAGATTCCTATAACTCTTTAAAAGCATCAGTTGGTTTCACCACCAGAGAACTGGAGATAGCACTATCTGTATGTTTAACATACATTCCTTTCATCAAAATTCTTTACTTCCATTGGGCTTTACTTGAAGATATTTTGCCTTCATATGAGGGATTTAATTCATGACAGCATTTGCCAATTTTTTTCTGCAGTGGAGAAGATGATTACAGAATGAGTACTTATTCCTCTGTCCCACTAGGCTTTCTTTTCCTCCTCTTCCCCTGCGTGATTCACTGCTTGGCCAGTGAACTCCCACACATTCAGCAAAGAAACAAGACTTCCAACATTACTGGAGACACCTGGGAATATGGCAGGGCTGTTAAAACTGGCTGGCCATTTTCTCTAAGACTAAAAAAAACCCTCCAAAAACAAGACACATCCTCAAAATAAATCAAAGTAACAGCAACAAAAAAATGATGTCTAATTTTTAAACTATCTGTCTAAAGTCTTTGTGCCATCCCTTACATTTCTTCATACCTCACTGAGAAACTCTTATATGGAGCTATAAAAATGAATAAAAATTAATGTGAAATGAAATGACTTAATGTCTGTGTGAATGCCCGCTAATAGTTTCATAAAATATTAATGAAAAGTACATATTTAAAGCATAATTTAAGAACTAAAACCTAATATTAGAATAATATGTATTTAATTGTTCAGATGCCTTTCATATATGTGCTACTTGTCTTAAACTATATGCTTTTAGAGGTTAAAGACCACATATGTTTAACCAGTTCTGCATGCCATTAGGTGCAGGTAAGATGCATAAAAAGGGCTTTTAGGTGATGATCTGATACTAAAATTAAAAGTGTGTGTATTAACCTAAAGAGAAAATGAGTAAAATAATGAGTAAAGAGAAAATGAGTAAAATTAGTAAAACAGAGCTGGATATTAAAGACCAGAAAACAGGATTTGTTTCTAGCTATCCTCAGGAGCAAAGTTTTTTGGTTTCAGTGCTTCCTCTAGCTTATTGTCGTTCTCTCACTCTGCATCTGCTAGTACTGCAGCATTACTGAGGCCTCCTCTAATTTATACTTTTAGAATATTGCATGAGAAAATACTGTTATAGCAAGTTTTACCCTACAAGGATGCAAAAAACAAAATTAATAAATTGAATATTTAATATAAGTATGCACAGGGAGACATTAAACAAATGTTTCTTGATAAAGATAGCTACATATCTGCATGTTCACCTGCTCAAAGAACTATAGAAGCATCAGGAAAAACTAGAATATGAACCATGTTTCTAACAAATGATAGAATCAATGCATTGTACAAAAATGTAAGCTGAAAAAAGAACATAAAATTTAAGTTTTCAAATTTCTTTTACAGCACATATTATTCATTTATCAAATGAATCTGTTCAGGTGAAAATGATGACATAAACAATGAGCATCATACAATATAGAAAACAAAACAAAGTAAGTGAGTAGTCATCAAAATTCTGGATCATAAAATTGTAGAATGAAGGACTTAGGTTTTTTCCCTAGTATATGGTAAGACCTCACTTAATGTCTTTGATAGGTTATTGGAAACTGCTACTTTAGGCAAAATGATTATAATGAAACCAATTTTACCATAGCCTAATTGATAAAAATGAGAGTTCAGTTCCTATAGCATATTTCTGGTCACAAAAACATCACTGAACTTCTAAAGACCCAAAACACTGCCAAGATTGAACACTGAAATAAATGTGAGCTACATATACATTTAAGAAAGATTAATAAAAAAAGTAAGACAATTACCCAATTTATGGTGAATCAGTGAGTGACGATAGTAATAGTGGTAGTGAGCTGAATCAAGGAATAAATGTTTGCGTCCCCAGAAAAGACACAAACAGACATGGGGAGAAGCCAAAACTCCACACAGACTGTGGCCCGCAGAGAATCCATCTTTCTCTCATCAACATTACAATGAAATGATGGTGAACTAAATGACGTTATTGCAAAACCTGTGTAGTATACATTTGTTTAAATAAGTGCCATAGGTAATATCAGTGTTCATTTGTAATGGATTTATTGAGATAAGTAATTTACATACCATAATAGTCACCTATATAAATGTACAATTTAATGATATCGGTATATTATTTATGCAGATGTACAAACATCACCAAAATCCAGTTTTAGAACATTTCTACTGCCCAAAAAGTTCCCTTGTGCCTCGTATGCAGTTAATCCTTACTCTCGTGCCCAAGTTCTAGGCAACCAATGATGTGCTTTTGTTTAAATATGCCTTTTCTAGACATTTTAAATAACTGGGATCATATAATACGCAGTCTTTTGCATTTGGCTTTTTTTACTGAGCATAATGGTTTTGATGGTCATGTATCAGTAGCTCATTCCTTTTAATTGCTAAATAAGATTGCATTGTACACATACACCACATTTTATCCATTTATTAGTTAGTGGACATTTGGATTGTTTCTACACTTTAGTACTAAAGAATAATGTTGTCATGAACACTTGTGTACATATCTTTGTGTGGGAGTATATTTTCATTTCTCTTGGGTAGACTCCTAGGAAATGTATTTCTGTTTCATATGCTAAATTAATGTTTACTTTCTAAAAAACTGCCAAAAGGTTTTCTGAAGTGCCTGAGGCATTTTACATTCCTACCAGCAATATGTGAGAATTCCAGTTTCTTCATATCTTTGCCACCACTTGACATTGTGTGTCTGTTGGATTACAGCCATTTGAATGGATGTGTCATAATCTCTCACTGTGGTTTTACTTTGCGTTTTTCTTATGACTAAAGATGTTGAGCATCTTTTGATGTAATGTATGCTATTCACATGTTTTCTTTGGTGGAATTTCTATTAATATATTTTGCCTTTTAAAAATTGTGTTGTATGTCTTCCTTTAATTGAGTTGTAAGAGTTCTTTACATATTCTAGATACAATTACTTTATCAGGCACATGACTTGCCAAATTATCTCCCGGTCTGTGACTTGTCTTTTTATTTTCTTAATCATGTTTTTTGAAACACAGTTTTGAACTTTGGTGATTTCAATATATCATTATTTTATTTTATTATGGATCATGCTTTTTGCATATCTAAGGATGCATAACCCAAAGTTATGAGGGTGTTTGTTCCATATTTTTTTCTATTTTTTTAGAGGTTTTATAGTTTTTACTCATTTAGATCTGAAGTCTATTTTTAATTAATTGTGGTGGTGTTAGAAGGAGTCAAAGTTTTTTTAAGTTATTAATTAACACATGTGGATATCCAATTGTCCCAGCACTACTTTTTTAAAAGGCTATCCTTTTCCCATTGACTCTTTTTGTCATCTTTATTGAGTTCTCTTTATTTGTAAACTCTAAATTCTGTTGCATTATCTATCTTCCTTTCCTTGTGCCAGTACTACACTGTCTTATATGGTTTTAATAAGTTTTTAAACCAGGTATTGTTGTTTTCTAACTTTGTTCTTTTTAAAAGTTATTTTGAGGCAGGGAATGGTGGTTCACACCTGTAACTCCAGAGCTTTGAGAGGCTGAGGCAGGAGGATCACTTGAGGCCAGGAGTTCAAGACCAGCCTGGGCAACAAATCAAGACTCTGTCTTTACAAAAAAGATTTTAAAAATTAGCTAGCCATGGTGGCACACACCTGAGTGCCAGCTACTCAAGGGTCTAAGGTGAGAGGATCACTTCAGCTCAGGAGTTTAAGTCTGCAGTGAGTTATAATAAATCATACCATTGGCCGGGCAAGGTGGCTCACACCTGTAATCCCAGCACTTTGGGAGGCTGAGGCGGGCAAATCACGAGGTCAGGAGATCGAGACCATCCTGGCTAACACGGTGAAACCCCGTCTCTACTAAAAATACAAAAAACACAAATTAGCCAGGCGTGGTGGCGGGCGCCTGTAGTCCCAGCTACTCTGGAGGCTGAGGCAGGAGAATGGCGTGAACCCGAGAGGCGCAGCTTGCAGCGAGCCGAGATCGCGCCACTGCACTCCAGCCTAGGCAACAGAGTGAGACTCCGTCTCTAAATAAATAAATCATACCACTACACGCCATCATGGGTGATAAGGAGAGACTTCAATTTTTAAAAAGTTTTTAACTACACTAGCACTTTTATTTTTCATACAAATTTTAGGATCAGCTTGACGATTTCTATCAAAAGAGTTTGCTGGCATGTAATAGGAATTACAAAAAGTTTCGAGATCAATTGGGAGAGAGTCGTCATCTTCACAGTATTGAGACTCAATCAATGAACATGGGAAAATCTCTCCAGTTATACCAGTCTCCTTTAATATTTCTCAACAATGTTTTATAGTTTCTAGTATATAAGTCTCTAATGGAGAATTACATTGAATAGATTATATATTTATATATATATTATATATATTTATATAAATATAAATGCGACAAATATGTGTGGATTCTTTAGGATTTTCTGCATAGCAGATAACATCTGCAAATAAAGCCAGTTTTACTGTTTCCTTTAAACTTTGTATGTTTTAATTTATTTCATTTTTTTCTCATCTTATTGCACTAGCTAGAACCTCCAGTACAATGTTAAATAGAAGTGGTGAAAAAGTGGACGTCCTGGATTTGTTTACACTTGTAGAAGGAAAGCATTTTGTCTTTTACCATTCAGAATAATGGTAGCTGTATGGTTTTTTAGATGCTATTTCTCATTTTATAAAGTTCCCATCTATTACTAGTTTGTTGAGCGGTTTTATACACATAGCTGATGGTTTGTTAAATGCTTTTCTCCCTCAGTTTATTTGATCATGTGCTATTACTTTTTTAGTCTGTTAATATGGGGAATTACATTGAATAGATTTTTAATATTGACTATTAAAATATTGCAGTTGGAAAAAATAATACAAAGAGGTTTCTTTTACCCTTTGTGTAATTCCACCAATGGTAACATCTTACAAAAGTAAATTACAGTACCACAACTAGAATATTGGCACTGATACAATCCACTTATCTTATTCAGATTTCTGCAATTTTAGTTGTTTTTATTTATGTGTGTGTTTGCATGTGTAGATGTTCAGTTCTATACAATTTCAACACATGTAAGTTTGTATTATCAAGCATCACGGTCAAGATGCAGAAGAGTTTAATCACAAGGGTCCCTTGAGTTACCCTTTTATAATCACACTCAATCTCCTCCTTCCTCCCATTATGCCCTAACCCTTGGCAACTCATACTCTGTTCTCTATTTCTGAAATTTTAACTTTTCAAAGTGTTACATGAATGGAATGAATAAATTACGCAATCTTTTGTAATCGCCTTTTTTACTCAGCATAAATTTCCAAAATTCATCCATATTGTTGTAGTTCATTCCCTTTTATCTGAGTAGTATTCCATGGTAGATATGTACCTCAGTCTGTTTAACTATTCACTCTTTGAAAGAAATATGGGTTGTTTTCAGTTTGGGGCTTACATGAATAAGACTGCTAAGAACATTCATATACAAGTGCTTGTATAAACATAGGTTTTTATTTTTCCAAGAAAAACACCAAGACAGCATTTTTCAGTTCAGTAATTGTATGTTTAAAGAAATTGCCCAGGAGAATGGCATGAACCCCAGAGGCGGAGCTTGCAGTGAGCCTAGATCGCGCCACTGCATTCCAGCCTGGGTGGGCGACAGAGCGAGACTCCGTCTGAAAAAAAAACACAAAACAACAACAACAACAAAACAAACAAACAAAAAACAAAAAGAAAGAAATTGCCAAACTGTTATCCAAAATGCTTTGTGAATATTTTCTTCCAGTCTGCAGTTGTCTTCTAAACCTAACGGAATCTTTCAGAAAGCAAGCTTTTAATTTTTATGAAATCCAACTCATCAATCTATTTTTTTTTTATGAATAGTAGTTTTGATGTCAAGGCTAAGAACTCATTACCTTGCCCTAGGTCCTGAAAATTTTCTGCTTTATTTTCCTAAAGGTTTTACAGTTTTAAATCTGAGAGTCTGTGAGATATTTTGGGCTAATTGTTGTAAAAATTATAAAGTTTAGAACAAAAATTGGGAGATTTTTCTATGGAGTTTCAATTGCTCCAGCATCAAATGTTTAAATGGGTACCATTCTCCACTGAGCCAAATTGCATTTTAAACTTCTGTTGTTTTCTACCACTTCAGTCAAAAAACTCTGAATAATTTCAATAGTTATCATTATTGAGGTTTATTTATTTATTTATTGTTTAGGTTTATATATGAGGATATTGTATATTTTGTACCTGTTCTACAGATACTTGAAAAGAATATATATTCTGCTGTTTTTAAATGGGCATTTTCTATAAATGGCAATTAGATCCTATTGGTTGATGGTATTATTGAATTCTGTATCATTACTGATTTTTATCTCTCAGTTTTCTATTTGTTGAGAAGAGTGTTGAAATCTCGAGCTATTATTGTGAATGTGGTTATTTCCCCTTTCAGTTTTATCTCTTTGCTTCACACATACTCCTCTGTTGTTTGGTGCATTCACATTAAGGAATACTATGTTTTCTTTATTTTAACTTTTGTTTTCTTTTTAATTTTACTTTAAGTTCTGGGATACATGTGCTGAACATGCAGGTTCATATATAGACACATAGGTATACATGTGCATGGTGGTTTGCTGCACCTATCAACCCGTCATCTGGGTTTTAAGTTCCACATGCATTAGGTGTTTGTCCTAATGCTCTCTCTCCTTTTACACCCTACCCCCCGACAGGCCCCAGTGTGTGATGTTCCCCTCCCTGTGCCATGAGTTCTCATTGTTCAACTCCCAATTACGAGTGAGAACATGTGGTGTTTGGTTTTCTGTTCCTGTGTTAGTTTGCTGATAATGATGGCTTCCAGCTTTATCCATGTCTCTGCAAAGGGCATAATCTCATTCTTTTTTATGGCTGAATAGTATTCCATGGTATATTTGTGCCACATTTTCTTTATCCAGTCTATCATTAATGGGCATTTGGGTTGGTTCCAAGTCTTTGCTATTGTAAATAGTGCTGCAATAAACATATGTGTGCATGTGTCTTTATAGTAGAATGATTTATAATACTTTGGGTATATACCCATTAGTGGGATTGTTGGGTCAAATGGGATTTCTGGTTCTATATCCTTGAAGAATCACCACACTGTCTTGAGCGCCTAGAAAACTCTGTTTTCTTAATAAATTGACCCTTTGTCATTATCAAATATTTACCTATCCCAGATAATTTGCCTTGTTTTGAAATCTGCTATATCAAAACAAGTAATATAGCTACTCCTATTTTCTTTGGATTAATCTTTACATGATGTGTCTTTTTTTTTTTTTTTTAGTTTTAAGCTATTTATACCATTATATTGGAAAGAATATTATTTTAGATATGGTCTCAATTATTTTCACAATTTACACTTAATGTAACTACATTCGATGGTTTTATAAATTTTGCTTACATCATCTAACAGAATTCAGAACATTTAAGAAGAGTAAAAGAATATGTCATATTTATGCATATTTTTGTTCTATCTGTTGTATTCTTCTTTCTTCCTGATGTTGACAGTGTATCCTTTTATCATTTCCTTTCCATTTAGAGATTTCTCTTTAGTCATTAATTTAGGATAGGTTGTCTTAGAACCTGAAACTGTTTGATATCTTCATTTCTGAATGATAATTTCACAGCATTTTTTTCCTTTTAGCACTTCAAAACTATTGTGCCAACTTCCTCTGGTTGCCATGGTTTGTTTTTAAAAAAACTGTTGTCATTTTATTTGTTTCTTTCCTATACAAATTACGCGATTTCTCTCTGACTAATTTCCACATTTTTTTCTTCTTTTTCTTTTCGGAAATTTGATATGGAGATGTCTTGGTATAGATTTCATTGAATTTATCCTCTTAGTGGTTTGCTCAGCTCTTGAAACTATAGATATATACTTCCTGGAAATTTGGGAGGTTTTTTAGCTATTGTTTCTTTGAATACTTTTTTGGCCACACTTTTTCTCCTGTCTCTGAGACTGTGATGACACAATGTTAGATATTTTGTTATTGTCCCACATTTTTTTAAGATCTTATTCATTGTTTCCATCTATTTTCTCTGTTGTTTGGATGGAGTAATTTTTATTGTTCTATCCTCAGGCTCACTGATCCTTTCTTCTCTTCTTCTTATTCTGATGTTGAGCTCATTCATTGAGTTCCTATCTCAGTTACTATATTTTTTAGTTCTAAGATGTTCATTTAGTCTTTCTTTCCTCTTCTATTTCTTTTCTCAAATACTTTTATATCTTTGATGACACTTTCTATTTTTTATTTGTTACAAGCATGTTCATACTTGCTAGTTGGAATTTTTTTGTTAGCTGCTAAAATTTCATTATCAGGTCATTCTAATATCTGTGTCATCTCAGTGTCCATTAAGGCAATTCCCACTGCTACTTGTACTTTTATATTTCTTATGACTCCCTAAACCCATTTTATCTCTAGGTAGGGTTAAATTCTTCTCCCACGATCTGGATTTTCAAATTTTCCATGGGGATGTGTGCTCAGAGGTAGGTTTTTCCCCCTTTCACACTTTGGGAATTCACAGTTTTTCATCTGTTTCACAGAATTTGCAGTGGCATGCCACTTCTTTAAAAGGATCTATGAATTCTTTTGGTTTTCCTAGTACATTTCTGGTGTGGTTCTCAGAGTAGAAGATCATGGCATGAATCTCCACACACCATTCTATCCATCCATATGGGAGCTACACATTAGCCCTGTCTCCTATTCACCTTCTTTCAACACTGCTCCCTTTCCTTCTTTTTTTTTTCTCCTCACTGGATAATTTCAAATGACCTGTATTTGTGTTTACTATTTTTTTCTTCTGCTTGACAATTTTCCTATTGATACTCTCTATTATATTTTTTACTTCATTCATTGTATTATTCAGCTCCAGAATTTGTTTTATTCTTTCTTATTTTTATCTCTTTGTAGACTTCATCCTTTTGTTCATACATTACCTTCCTAATTTTTTCAAGTTACCTATTTGTGTTCTCTTGTAGCTTGTTGAGCTTCCTTAATTCTTTTTTCTGGCAGTTTATGATCTCCATTTCTTTAAAATCTGTTACTGGAATGTTGTGTTCCTTTCATGGTGTCATGTTTTCTTAATTGTTTGTTTCTTGTAGCCTTGCTTACATGTCTTGAAGACTTTATAGACTGGTTTTGTGGGGGAAAAAATCTTCAGCATGAGTGGGTGTGAGAGTACTGGCTCAATGTAATGTGGTGGTTCTGACTCTGGTGAGGGAAGAGCATAGTCTTTATGTAGCTTCATTACCTGAGGTTAATATTGGCAAAGATGTCAGGGATCCTCAGTGGCCAAGGCTGTGGGTTTCTACAGCAGCAGTGAGGACTTTTTGGGTTTTTGGTGGCAAAGACTGCTAGGATCCTCCCAATCTCTCTCTCTCTCTCTCTCTCTCTCTCTCTTTTGGTTTATGGAAGATGTCATGGCCAAGAAGATTCTTCTTGGCACCAGTTGTAGCTTCCATGCATGCTCACATTGGCAGCATCACTGGTGCCAAATGTGTGACAACTGTGGAGCAGCCATTGAGCCAGGGTCTTGAGTGCAGGCTCATGTGGAAGGATTGAAGCTCCAGGGTCCAGAGCAGCAGTGATGCCAGTACCCAGCATGCAAGCACCCCCACTGCAATGTTAGTAACAGTGTGCAAGACATGGATGCTTATGAAGCAGTTCGGGTGTGGGGTACAGAGTGCAGGCAAACAAAGAGACATAGGTCCAGAATCCAGACATGGGAGCTCTCACGGTGGCAGTGGCTTTTCTTTCCTTTTCTTTTCTTTTTTGAGATGGAGTCTCACTCTGTTGTCCAGGCTGGAGTGCAGTGGTGCAATCTCGGCTCACTGCAACCTCTGCCTTCCGGGTTCAAGTGATTCTCCTGCCTCTGCCTCCTGAGTAGCTGGGACTACAGGTGCCCACCACCACGCCCAGCTAATTTTTGTATTTTTAGTAGAGACAGGGTTTCACCATATTGGCCAGGCTGGTCTCAAACTCCTGACCTTGAGATCTGCCTGCCTCCACCTCCCAAAGTGCTGGGATTACAGGTGTGAGCCACTGCGCCCGGCCTAGCAGTGGCTTTTCTGTCCTAGGCATGGGCTGTCATGTAGTGGCCACAGAGTTGGGGTCCAGAAAGGGGGTGTGTGTGGAACAACCACAGTTCCAGAGTCTGTAATGCAGATGGCCTGATGCATTGGTAGCTCTTTTGCCTGCCATGTGTGGGGCAGAGTAACTGTGAAGCCAGCATCTGGAGCATAGGTATACACAGAGTGACCATATCTCTAGTATCTAGGGCACATGCTAGCACAAAGTGGTAGTAGCTTCAGTGTTTGAGGCACAGATGCACATGGAAGGTCACAGTTCCAGGGTCTGGGGAGTATGCAAAGAGTGCAGGGTGTGGAATTGTCTCAGAGCAGTGTAATAGCGATTCCGACTCCTTCCTGGAGCTAAAGGGCAGAGTAGTGTTTCTCTGTCCAGGGGGTCTGCAACAGTGATGGCTGTTAATTACTTCACTGGTAAAAGGTGATGATATCCTCTGTGGAGCAGGCCACTGAGGTCTGCACTGATGAACACTAAGGACACTCTGCAGGGAGTTCAAAGCTGCCACAGGTGATGTTGAGGTACTTAGCAGCAAAGGCTGTTGGAGTCCTCTGCAAAGCAAGTCACTGGGCACAATAGTGGCACCCACCATATGGTTGATACTGAGAATTCTTACTCTGCTACTTTGTTCCTAGCCATCTGTAGATGTCTCCACTATGCTAATTTCCCCAGCAATCATATCTGTGTGGTTATTCATTGCTTTTTGCTCCATTGTATTGCTGCAGGTTCTTAACTGGACTCTTGAGCCCTCCTAAGGCTATTTTCATTTTTTGATAGCTGTCTAATTTCTGGTTTTTGTGTGGTGGAATGAAAGCTGGTATCACCTACTCCACTATCTTGCTGATGTTCCCATCATGAATTATTTTACACATATCTAAATAATCATTAGAAAAGTGTTCTTTGTTTACCCTATTTCTATTTGTTGTTGCTTACCCATGTAATATGAACTGTTTATGCTATAATATTATTTACTTTCCCCTGCATTTTGATTTTTAATAACTGTATAGTATACTCTTTTTGGATTTCCACATTCTATTTAACCAATTCTCTGCAGGCATATGCTTAGGTTATTAATGATATTTTGACATTAGAAATAATATAATGATAAATATTATGTACACACTTCTTTGTGTGTATCTCAATGACTTTTAGGATAATATTTAATAAATAAATTAATGAGTAAAAGGTTATGCACATTTTTAGGGCTTTGATACATGTTGCCAAAGTGCCTTCCAAACAGGATGTATTAATTTTCACCCTACCAGCTATAGACAAATAATTCCCATTTTCCTGGACTAATAGTTCTATTGTGTATTATTTGGGAATTTTTGATAGTTGATTCTATTTTTTTACATCTCCTTAGCTGGCATTTGTTAAAATGAAAAATAATGCTAAAAGATTATTGATAATGTCAGTTAAGAAATGTACAGTACTCAAAGACAGAGCATATGAAAGCCCTGGGCATCTGCATGCCATTGTACATAAGATATTAAGTGATTATTTGTTTATTTGTCCATTTATAAAACATATTGTAGAAGGATTAAACTGTATCCTAAAAGAGATAGTAACTTGTGTTATACTGAAGTATTTGTTATTACAGCATATGTAACAGATAATATTTGTTTACATTTTTAATTACTTAACATTTTCAGCCAAGAAAATCTCTGGGGATAATGCTTCATTTACAAGAGTGTCCCCGCAAAAGACAACATAATGTAATCACATATTACCAACAATTCCATGACAACGATGCAGTGGTTTTAAAATGACTTCCAAATAAAGGCTTAATTATAGCAAGCTATAAAAAAATTAAACAAGATACAATAATGGCACTAAAATTAAATTAAGGAAAAATAGCACAGTACATAGAGATGTGAATAGAAATGAAGATTCTGAAACTAAATACCTGGCATATTGTCCATTATGTTCTGAAATCCCATTGTTAGAGTCTAATTGCTCCTTCCTCAGAACTCACAATGTTGGGTACAAATGAATCATAAGGCTATACTCAATAATCAGAACTGATTCAATATATGGAAGAAAGAAGAATCTTGTTATTAAAAGTCATTCATACTTTTTTATTCTAGTGAGGTTGGTGGGGAGTGGAGTTGTGGGAGCAAAATTACATTAGTACAAGAGCAGGAACCACATCATCTTCTCCATTTTTTCAACATAACATGCACAACATTCACTAAATGGGCTGAAAGTATCTAAATGACAACTTTTCTTACGGTTTGGAAACATTTTTGAATAAATATATATTTTAGTATGTAGATATCTGGTACCTCGTGGTCCTAAAATTTTAAATAAAGTGAGGGAGCCATGGTGAAAACAATTCATAAGAACTTGGTGAAGTACAATCAGGAATATATGATAGAAAGCAGAAAGTTATATCTTTATGTTAGTAGCTAAAACACTTTTTCTAATATGCATGACATATTTCTGCTTTATGAATGTAGAAACCTAGTAATATCAACCTATATTTTCACAAAGCTGCCCTTACAAAGCAAAATAAGTAAGACAACCATTGTTAGTTATCTTGGATTCAACCAACCCACAATATATGAGATTTGAGCTGATCTGATGGCAATCTATTTGTAAACTCAGTATTCTCATGGCAAATACACTTTAAATAAAGTTCCTTAAGATGTTCATTTTTAAAGCATCTCTGGAGTGATAGAAGAAGGTTTCAGACAATGTGAGGGAAACTATGGAAGAGGAACTTGTACTATAGTATAAGAGGATTCAAGAAAATGTTATTGGTTCAGCTGGATACATTCATAGGATATAACTAAAATGCAAACTCCAAAAGGAGGGCCAAAACTATAATTTAGAAAATCATTTGGCTGCAACTGAACTTGTTATTGCTTCTCAAAAATGCACAAAGCTGTTTTACACCCATCTTTTCTTAACTGGCTGATGACAAAGGTCCATAAGAATTATCTCCATTTTATAGTTAAATAAAATTCAATGAAAAGCAAATGACTTCTCTGAGACATTTTTATCTTAGGCGAAACCAGAATACATGCTGCATTTATTCTGTTACTTGATGACACATGTTTGTAGCTCCCAGATTCCCTTGCATCACTTATTAAAATAAGTTTGCCAGGACCCAGCATAGGCCTTTTGAATCAGAATCTTCAGGGACGGATTCTGAGAAAAAGCATTTTATTCAAGGATCCAGGTGATCTTTATCAAAAAGCTTTGGCAAACTTGGCAACGTGAGCTTAATGCCATCAAGATCAATGATTTGACCTTTATGGGAAGCAAGTTTAAAGTCAAAGTGTACAACCTCCAATTTGAGACAGTAAAAAAGGCAAGATACAGCTTTTCTTACTCATAAGATCCCATCATCATTAACTCAACCTACAAGTACACATTTTACAAAGTTTGACTTTCCTAACTCAAAAATTCCTGCCTATGCAAACTGACCTAACAAGAAACAACATTCAGTTTTTTCCCAACTTTATCATTGAGAATAATACTACTACTAGCACTTATTGAGTATGTTCAATGTGTATGTTACCATTTTAAATATTAAATTCACTTAATAACTTTAACAACCCTGTAAGTTAGGCACAATTATTAATATTAACCCCATAAAGAAACTGAAGCAGATGTGGTTAAGTAACTTTCCCAAGATTATACCACTAATAAGTGCCCAAAGCACAACTTTGAACCAAAAGGTAATAGTGCCAGGGGCCATGCTTGTGTTCAGAATTATAATCTCTGATGCACCCAAATACCCTAAATTTTGTAGAAATAATTTAATTTCTCAAAAAAGAGAATTCTAAATGTGTAAAGAAACTTTTCCCAATAGAAAACACTAAAAAATTTTGGATAAAAAAGAATGTCTGAGATAGTGGGGAAAATAAGAGATTTCCTCAGAGGCAAGGAATCACAAGAAAGTCAATCTGCAGTAGCAAGGAAGCCTTGAGGCTTTTTGCCCTGAAGGCATTTGCTGACCTGTCCCGGTCAAAGGTGCCATTTGAGAAAACAGGGCAGGGCAAAGTTAGGACCAGAACTAGTTAGAGGTAAGATAATCTCTTCAAAAAGATGGGACCCCCAGAAGTATAAAGCCTTCTGTCAGTGATCTAAGAAACAACCTACCACTGTAAAGAACACTTGCCTTTTTAGCTTTGCTTCTGGGTTAATTTAGCAAAAAATGAGGAGAAAAGTTTCCAAAAAAATTCCTAATTGTAACTCTATACTGATAGGGTTTGGGAACTGGAATTCAAATTCCTATTTGGCCCCTGAAAATCTCAAGGCAAATGTTTAGTTTAAAATATACCTCAGTTAATTATTTCTCCAGGTTCCTAGTATAGGCATATACAAATCTTCTATGGAAAATCTATCTTTAAATCCAGTTCTCAAAGAATTACTACGGATAAGATTTCAAGACTTAAAAACACAGTTTCATAACTGAAACTGTTCCTAAAATATATGGTAAGAAGCCACCAAGAAAGAGTGAAAGCAGAACAAAAAAACTTCACAATCGTACTTACAAAGACTGAAGGTATGTGAACTAACAGATACAGGATATTAGATTAGAATATTTAACATATTTTTAAAAATAAAACATAGGGTCATTCATGTGATGAAGAAATGGACATTGGGAAGATTTGGAAAGATATCAAATAGAATATCTGGAAAAATAAGATGTAATTATTGTATTAAGAAGATCATGAGATAACTAAAAAGAACATTTAGACAAAGCTAAAGAGAAAATCATTAAATTGAAAGATTCTAAAAGTAGCCCAATATAAGACAGACTAGGTAAAAAGAAACAATAATTACAGAGATAACTGGTTTTTCAACAAGAGCAACAAAGAGAAAGAAGCTTAAATATTGTCAATCAGCTAAATAACTGGAAATAATGAATTACATATTTAGCAGAAAGAATATTCAAAGAAGAGAAAATAAAGATTTTTTTAATTAGGAAAATTGATCGTGCAAAGGTAAAAGACTCTCATGAAACAAAATCCTTTGGAAGGCTAAGGCAGGAGAATTGCTAGAAGCCAGGATTTAGAGACCAGCCTGGGTAACAAAGTGAGACCCCCAGATTCTAAAAAATATTTCTTAAAAAAACTAGGCAGGCATTGTGGCACTCACCTGTAGTCCCAGCTGGTCAGGAGGCTGAGGCTGTAGGACCACTTGAGCCCAGGAGTGCTAGGCTGCAGTAATCTATGATTATACCACTGTACTCTAGCCTGAGTGACAGAGTAAGATCCTGTCTCTTTAAAAAAAAAAAAAAAAAAAAAATTTAAAAAAGAAATTCTCAAGGATATACTTCCTTCAAGAAGAAATGTCTGAGAAAAAAAAAAAAGCAGTGGGAGTTGGGGGAGGAAAATGTTAAACTAGATATATTTACTCTATAAAACTATAATGAAAATAACTACTTTGTGGTGTTGGTATAAAATCAAGAAATAATAAAAATCCCATACAACAATAGCATATTAAAAAGCAGGTGATCAGATTTAAAACATTTAAATTCTAGCATTATTTTAGAGAATGACGAAGATTTTATTAACTTTAGATTTTGTTACATTTAACACACATGATTAAATATCCTAAATTAGTAAAATTTTAATGTATAACTTCCCAGTTGATCAAGAAAAGTGTAAGAGCAAATAACAACTATTAAACAATTCAAATGTTTTTGACGGAGAGAATCTTCTTTTCTTCATGTTTTCTATTTGTTTCCATTTTGTGGATGTTAATCTTAATCAACATTTTTACTCTTTTAATTTTAATTTTTATTTTCATTTTATTTTGAGACGGAGTTATGCTCTTGTTGCTCAGGCTGGAGTGCAATGGCGCCATCTCGGCTCACTGCAACCTCTGCCTCCCGGGTTCAAGTGATTCTCCTGCCTCAGCCTTCCAAGTAGCTGGGATTACAGGCATGTGCCACCACCCCCGGTTAATTTTGTATTTTCAGTAGAGACGGGGTTTCTCCATGTTGGTCAGACTGCTCTCAAACTCCCGACCTCAGGCCGCCTGGCTTGGCCTTCCAAAGTGCTGGGATTACAGGCGTGAGCCACCACGCCCAGCCAAGTTGCTGTTATCTTGAGGTCATTACTTACTTCAGCATAATCTAGTTTATCCTGAGTGATTCAACAAAGAAGGAACTAAACTGCTATAATTTCAACTGATACGACTTTCTACAAAGAACAGACATGACCTATTACAGACAAACTATTGGAATTTAAGAAAGAATTTTCTTAGGTGAAAAATATTAGAAAGTTCAATATACAAATGTATGAAAGTTCAAATTTATGTAACAGAATTACTCAGAAAGTGTCATTTAATATGAAAGTAAATTACAAAAGCATTTAAAAAAATAAGGTACTATATGTAAATCTTGAAAAAGATATGTAAGAGCATTATGTAGAAAATTAGAAAATATTATTGAAAGACATTAAAGACTTAAGCAAATTCAGAAGTACAGCATGTACATAGATAGAATCAATTTTGTAAAAATAGGAATTTTTCCCAAATTGGTCTGTAGATTGAAGGCAATTTCAACCAAATAATAGACTTTTTTTTCTAATGGAGGTTAATTAACTATTTCTATTATATATATGGAAGATTAAAGAGAAAGAGTATCCAATATACTACTAAGAAGTGCAAGATAGAGGACTTTGCTATTAAATATCAAGGTTAAGAATAAAGTTAACATGTTTAAATCAGTGTTATATTGATGCATGAATAGGGAGGTCAATGCAATACTGGAAGTAAGCACCAAAAGAGCCTCGTGAGTACATGGAGACTTAAGCAATGAGAGACCAGGATATTCAGATAGGTTGGAATAAATAGACCATCCCATGATTGGTATAGTTATAATTGGTATCTACACAGAAATAAATAAAAACAAAAAAATGCTACTTTAAACCTACACAAAAAATCAATTACAGAGGAATTAGGAACATACATTATCAAAACAAAATTTTTTGTATTTTAGAGAAAACTATTATCTGGTTAGAAAGTATTTTTTAAATAAAACACTAAAGCTCAAAACATAAAGGAAATGTAAAATTAACCTTACTAAAACTTATATTTTATATTCATTAAATGACACCATAAGAAGAAAAATGCAAACTATAAGTAGTACTGGAAGAAAGTAATTGCAAAACAGTTAAGTGACACAGAATTAACATTTGTAATACATAAAGAATTCCTACAAGTCAATAATAAACTCAGGAAAATTGAGCAAAAGTTGTAAACAAACATTTTCAGAAGATAAACAAATAGCATGCCAATGTATTAAAAAATTATTAAACCTCCTTAGTAATCAGAGAGAGGCAAATTAAACCCATAACGATGTGCTGTATATCATTCACTCACTCATTAGGTTGATAACAATTAAAACCTCAGTAAATATTAGTGTTGACTTATTTAGAGTAGGGAATCTCTCACATAAGGCTGGAACTACTAAATAGCATAAAATGTAAAACAATTGGCATTAATTATCTAGTAAATTCAAATGTGCACAAATCCTTTGACTCAGCAATTTTAATTCTAAATATATAGCTTAGAGCAACATATTTTATACATAAACACACACACACACACACACACACACAAAGGGAGAGCGAAAGAGAGAGACAAACAAATGTAAGAATGTTCACAACAACATAGTCATACCAAAAACAAACACATTTTTAAACCTGGAAACAATCTAGATATTTACCAGGAGTATAATGGATTAAAAATATGCGTTAAAAATTAGATTATTATTTGAAGTGAAAATGAATGACATGAGGATTTACAAATGGATAAATCTTTTTAAAAATAAAGTCATATCTCAGCACCACATCACACTTATTCCAAAATTGACCACATAGTTAGAAGTAAAGCACTCCTCAGCAAATATAAAAGAACAGAAATTGTAACAAACTCTCTCAGACCACAGTGCAATCAAACTAGAACTCAGGATTAAGAAACTCACTCAAAACTGCTCAACTACTTGGAAGCTGAACAAGCTACACCTGAGTGACTACTGGGTACATAACAAAATGAAAGCATAAAGAAAGATGTTCTTTCAAACCAGTGAGAACAAAGACACAACATACCAGAATCTCTGGGACACATTTAAAGCAGTGTGTAGAGGGAAATTTATAGCACTAAATGCCCACAAAAGAAAGCAGGAAAGATCTAAAATTGACACCCTAACATCACAATTAAAAGAACTAGAGAAGCAAGAGCAAACACATTCAAAAGCTAGCAGAAGGCAAGAAATAACTAAGATCAGAGCAGAACCGAAGGAGATAGAGACACAAAAAACCCTTCAAAAAATCAATGAATCCAGGAGCTGGTTTTGGAAAAGATCAATAAAATTCATAGACCACTAGCGAGACTAATAAAGAAGAAAAGAGAGAAGAATCAAATAGATGCAATAAAAAATGATAAAGGGGATATCACCACCAATCCCACAGAAATACAAACTACCATCAGAGAATACTATAAACATCTCTGCACAAATAAACTAGAAAATCTAGAAGAAATGGATAAATTTCTTGACACATACACCCTCCCAAGACTAAACCAGAAGGAAGTTGAATCCCTGAATAGACCAAAAACAGGCTCTGAAATTGAGGCAATAATTAATACCCTACCAACCAAAAAAAGTCCAGTACCAGACGGATTCACAGCCAAATTCTACCAGAGGTACAAGGAGGAGCTGGTACCTTTCCTTCTGAAACTATTCCAGTCAATAGAAAAAGAGGGAATCCTCCCTAACTCATTTTATGAGGCCAGCATCATCCTGATACCAAAGTCTGGCAGAGACAAAACAAAAAAAGAGAATTTTAGACCAATATCCCTGATGAACATTGATGCAAAAATCCTCAATAAAATACTGGCAAACTGAATCCAGCAGCACATCAAAAAGCTTATCCACCATGATCAAGTGGGCATCATCCCTGGGATGCAAGGCTGGTTCAACATATGCAAATCAATAAACGTAATCCAGCATATAAACAGAACCAAAGACAAAAACCATATGATTATCTCAATAGATGCAGAAAAGTCCTTTGACAAAATTCTACAGCCCTTCATGCTAAAAACTCTCAATAAATTAGGTAGGGATGGGACACATCTCAAAATAGTAAGAGCTATCTATGACAAACTCACAGCCAATATCATACTGAATGGGCAAAAACTGGAAGCATTCCCTTTGAAAACTGGCACAAGACAGGGATGCCCTCTCTCACCACCCCTATTCAACATAGTGTTGGAAGTTCTGGCCAGGGCAATCAGGCAGGAGAAAGAAATAAAGTGTATTAAATTAGGAAAAGAGGAAGTCAAATTGTCCCTGTTTGCAGATGACATGATTGTATATTTAGAAATCCCCATCATCTCAGTCCAAAATCTCCTTAAGCTGGGAAGCAACTTCAACAAAGTCTCAGGATACAAAATCAACGTGCAAAAATCACAAGCATTCTTATACACCAGTAACAGACAAACAGAGAGCCAAATCATGAGTGAACTCCCATTCACAATTGCTTCAAACAGAATAAAATACCTAGGAACCCAACTGACGAGGGATGTGAAGGACCTCTTCAAGGAGAGCTACAAATCACTGCTCAACAAAATAAAAGAGGACACAAACAAATGGAGGAACATTCCATGCTCATGGATAGGAAGAATCAATATCATGAAAATGGCCATACTGCCCAAGGTAATTTATAGATTCAATGCCATCCCCATCAAGCTACCAATAACTTTCTTCACAGAATTGGAAAAAACTACTTTAAAGTTCATATGGAACCAAAAAACAGCCCGCATCGCCAAGTCAATCCTAAGCCAAAAGAACAAAGCTGGAGGCATCACGCTACCTGACTTCAAACTATACTACAAGGCTACAGTAACCAGAACAGCATGGTACTGGTACCATCTCTCATGAATCATAAATATTATTACCTAGAACAGTGAATACTTTAGAAGGTTTTTAACTTACTTTCCCCAGGTCCATCATAGGAATCACTATCCATGGCAGCTATAGCCTTGCAAAATGTATTTCTTAAATAATGAAACTTGGGAGTCAACATGACTCCTTGATCCATGGGATGCAGAATAGATGTTGTGTTGGCAGGCATGAAAACAAGATTAATCTTGTACATCACCATTAGAGCTCTTGGGTGACTAGGTGCATTGTCAATGAGCAGTAATATTTGAAAGGAATTTTTTTCTGAGTGATAGTCCTCAACAATGGGCTTAAAATATTCAATAAACCATGCTTACAACAGATATGCTGTCATCCAGGCTTTTTGTTTCACTTATGGAGCATAGGCAGAGTTGATTTAGCATACTTCCTAAGGTGTATTAGTCTGTTCTCATGCTGCTGATAAGGACATACTCAAGACTGGGCAATTTACAAAAGAAAGAGGTTTAATGGACTTACAGTTCCACATGGCTGAGGAGGCCTCACAATCATGGTGGAAGGTGAAAGGCATGCCTCACATGGTGGCAGACAAGAGAAGAGAGCTTGTGCAGGGAAATTCCTCTTTTTAAAACCATCACCTCTCATGAGACTTATTCACTATCACGAGAACATCATGGGAAAGACCTGCCCCCATGATTCAATTACCTCCCACTGGTTCCCTCCTACAACATGTGGGAATTCAAGATGAGATTTGGATGGGGACACAGCCAAACCATATCATAAGGGCTCTAGGATTTTGGGGTAATAAATGAGCATTCATTTCAGCTTAAAGTCATCAGTTGCATTAGCCCCTAAAAAGAGAATCAGCCTGTCTTTTGAAGATTTGAAGCTCAGACATTTACTTCTCCTCTCTAGCTATGAAAGTCCCAGATGGCATCTTCTTGCAATAGAAAGCTGTTTTGTCGACATTGAAAATCTGTTGTCTAGGATAGCCTGCTTCATCAATAATCTTAGCTAGATCTTCTGGATAACTTGGTGCAGCTTCTACTTTGCATTTGCTGCTTCATCTTGCACTTTTATGTTATGGAGATGGCTTCTTTCCATAAACCTCATGAACAAACCTCTGCTGGCTTCAAATTGTTCTTCTGCAGCTTCTTTACCTTTCTTAGCCATCGTAGAATTGTAGAGTTAGGGCCTTTCTCTGGATTAGGCTTTGACTTAAGGGAATGTTATGGCTGGTTTAGTCTTCTACCTAGACCACTCAAACTTTCTTTATATCAGCAATAAGGCTGTTTGTCTTCTTATTTATGTATTCACTGAAAGAGAACAGCACTTTTTTTTTTCAAGAACTTTTTCTCTGCATTAATGACTCAGCTGTTTGGCACAAGAGGCCTAGCTTTTTGCCTCTCTCAGATTTCTACATACCTTCCTCACTAATCTTAATTATTATTTTATTATTTTATTTTTACTTTTGGAGACAAAGTCTCACTCAGTTGCCCAGGCTGGAGTGCAGTGGTGCAATCTCGGCTCATGGCAACCTCTGCCTCCCTGATTCCAGTGATTCTCATGCCTCAGCCTCCCAAGTAGCTGGGACTGCAGGCGTGAGTCACCACATTCAGCTAATTTTTGTACTTTTAGTAGAGACAGGGTTTTGCCATGTTGGCCAGGCTAGTCTCGAACTTCTGATCTCAAGGGATCTGCCTGCCTCAGCCTCCCAAAGTCCCAAGATTACAGGCCTGAGTCATCACACCCAGCCTTAATCACTGTTAGCTTTTGAATTAAAGTGAAAAACATGAAACTCTTCCTTCACTTGAATACTTAGAGGCTTTTGTAGGGTTATTAATTGACCTGATTTCCATGTTGTCATGTCTCAGGGAATAGGGTGGCCTGAGAAGAGGGAAAGAGACTGGAGAATGGCCAGCCAGTGGAGCAGTCAGAACACATACAGCATTTCTTAATTAAGTTTGTCAACTTATATGAGCACCATTTTTGGTGCCCCAACACAATGACAATATTAACATCAAATATCACTGATCACGGATCACCATAATAGATACAATGATAATTAGAAATTTTGAAATATTGTGAGGATTACCGAAATGGGACAGAGACATTAAGTGAACATATGATTTTGGGAAAATGGTGCCAATAGAATTTCTGAAGGCTTCCACAAACCTTCGATTTGTTAAGAACAACAACAAAAAAGCATTATCTGTGAAGCGCAATATAGCAAAGTGCAATAAAACAAGGTACACCTGTATAGGTTATGGCTACTGGCTTTAGAGCCACTACCACTGTCCAAACTATAGCTTGTGCAGCCTTAATCAAGTTTTTTAACTTCTTTGTCCTACAATATCCTCATCTGTACATTTTGGATTAAAATAAATTAAAAAAATTAATCTTAGCAAACTGTTTACTTACAACAATGCCTGGAAGACTGTAAGTACTCAATATTCTAGTTGTTTTAGAAGGAGTGGTTTTAAGACTTGCTATATTCCTGTAATGTTCTACATACCCCTTCTTGCTTTAGAAGGGATGATTTAAAAACATGCTGTATTCTTGTCAGAGAGCCAGGTACTAAAGCAGATTTATTATGAAGCTAATTAGAGTTGAATTTCAGGGTTCTGGACTTTCCAAGTCTCATCTACATTTTTTTATATTTTATTTCCTAAGAGCACACCCCAAATTGTATAACTCTGAGCCTGGTAAAACTTAGTTCCACCTCTGGTCAAGGTTGGTGGGCCCATTCCAGATAATTATTCATAACTATACTAGGATAATTTATTTAGCTCAGTTTACCAAGATGACAAAAAGAAGAGTTGAGAAAGATTGAATACTGAGAAAAAATAATTTATTCAGTTTACTGTATACAAAACTTTGAGAGTAACTGTTTTATTCTTATTCTATAAGAATAACTAATAATAGTTTTAAAATAGAGGAATCAGATTGCTTAAGCTCTTGAGTTAAAGACTGCAGTAAGCAATGATCACACTACTGTACTCCAGTCTGGGTGACTAAGCAAGACCCTGTCTCAGGAAAAAAAAAAAAAAAAGAGAAATGGATGATTATACAGGGAAGTTTTGACCATAATGAAGTGTATAAAATGTTATTATTTCAACTGATGACTACAGAATTCCTCTAAGGGTACAGCTATCTTTGAGAAAAGAGCACAAAATTTTTGGAGTAGTATGTGGGACTTCCAGACCCTGGCTGGCTGGCCCTAAACTATGAAAGAAAGAAATTGCTCTCTAGACATAAAAAGAATGGGAATTCCCCCAAGTAGTCTGCAAAAGAGAAATTGAGGAAGAGGAAGGGAAGAAGAAGAGTAGCTGCACATTGTACAAAGTGACTACTTCCAGAGAGCCTTCCAAATTTTCTTTCTGGAGTGATCTCAGCTCACTGAAGCCTCAACCTCCTGGGCTCAAGTGATCCTCACACCTAAGTGTGTGGAGTAGCAGGGACGACAGGTGTGGGCCACCACATCCAGCTAATTACTTTTTTAAATTTTTTGTAAGGATGGGATTCCACCATGTTGCCCAGGCTGGTCTCAAACTCCTGGGCTCAAGTGATCCTCCCACCTAGCCCTTCCAAAGTGCTGGGATTACAGGTGTAAGCCACCAGGCCTGGCCTCTCCAAATTTTCAATAAAGCCTTTAGAATTCATAAAAGTTGTGGAAGTGAATATTTATTTTTGGAATCTGAAGAAGCAGTTGAGTTCCTCTGATGAGGAACTGAGTTAGCTTATGAGGATGCATGGCCTATGAAAATGTAATCACCCAGGGAATACATACAAATCTCAGGGAAGGTGCCATAGTTTGTGTGTCCCCAGAAGCAGACACTGGGACAAGAACTCCAGTGCAAATTTTTTGTTGTTGTTATTGTTGTTGTTTGAGACAGAGTCTTGCTCTATTGCCCAGGCTGGAATGCAGTGGCGCGATCTCGGCTCACAGCAACCTCCATCTCCTGGGTTCAAGTGATTCTCCTACCTCAGCCTCCCGAGTAGCTGAGATTACTGGCATGCATCACCACGCCCAGCTAAGTTTTGCATTTTTAGTAGAGCTGGGATTTCGCCATGTTGGCCAGGCTGGTCTCGAACTTCTGACCTCAGGTAATCCACCCAGCTCGGCCTCCCAAAGTGCTGGGATTATAGACGTGAGCCACCTCGCCCAGGCTATAGTGCAAATTGTTTACTCAGAAGGAGAAAAAACCACCACTAGGCCAGGGAGGAACTGGGACAAGGAAGAAAAGGTAGTCAAAGACGTTCATTATTAAGCCATTTACCACTATGGATGTGGACTTCATCATGTTAGGCAAGAGGAGTTCATGTAAAACACACCCCTCAGAAGTATTTTCTGAGGAACTGGGTATGTATATATAATTATTTTGGGTCATTGTTTGAGGGCTATTCACAGAGGAGATTCCTTGGCACCTCTGACCCCAACAAATAAGATAAATATATGCAAGTGCTTGAAGCTGAAATTTGGGTTAGGGAATATGGGCAGGTTACCAACATCATCTCCTCTGTGGACTTTGGACATCCATTGGCTCTGAAATTGACATGAATTTCAAGACAAGTTCAATAAATTTCTGAAGGTCAGAGAAACTCTCACCGTCTCCTGAATGGCATGACAGTATTTTATTTTGCTTTAAATTTGTCCTCACAAGGAATTGATTCTTTGTAAGAAAGACTTTATACAGCGCTGCTTTGGCAACATATATACTAAAATTGGAACAATACCGAGAATATTAGCATAGCCCTGTGCAAGGATGACATGCACATTTGTGAAGCATTATATATACATATTTTTACAGGGTGACTATAGTCAATAATAATTTAATCATACCATTTAAAATAACTTAAAAAGTCTGATTGGATTGTTTGTAACACAAAGAATAAATGCTTGAGGGTGAATACCCTATCTTTCATGATGTGATTATTACACATAGCATATCTGTATCAAAACATCTCGTGTACCTCATAAATATATATACTACTATGTACCCACAAATATTAAAAATTAGAAAAAGAGAAGAAAGTCTTCATACAGATAGGCCTAGGGAATATGTTACTTGAGAGACTGATCTGTACTTTTCTCCTGAAACCTTCAGCTTCTAATGATTCTCTTCCAAATATCCATGTTCTATGTCCAAAGCATTTCTGGGGGGCATCTTAGGATGGTTTCTTCTTTGCATAACGCTATTAAACTAGTGTAAAATCTGTCACTCTTCAATTTTAATTACATAATCTTTTAAAATGGCATTTAATGACATCTAATTTATCCAAGAATTGCCTTTTTATTTTACTGCTGTTATTTCTGTTTCTCCAAGTCCATAATTTGCTGTACTGGAGTTTTATTCTTCTTGCTTTTGGAAAGAAAGACAAAAAATCCAGATGTAGTCCAAATATAAACTGTTCACAGAATTACATAGATACCATTCCATTCCCAGTATAATATATGTAAACACATGGACATCTCTCACTCCAACTCTAATTGCTTCAGAGCTTAGCTGTTGAACCATTTTAAATAGCATTGAGTGGTCTCTGCAGGCATCACATGTGATATATGTAAGTATTCAATACATACCTATAGACTGGTACGTAGACAGGGGAAAGACTATCACTTACTTCACTTATTTTGAAATGATACACAGGTTTGATAGAAATAGAAATGTAAATAAATTCAATAATTTGGGGAAATACATATTATTCTTTCAATAATTTCTCTAAAAGTTTTTAATTTTTGTTGTTTTTAACTCTTTCAATTATCTTTTTTTTTCCCTCATAGTTTCAATCCGAGTATTGAATTTTCTTTGGGCTGGTAACATTTTAGTTCCTTTCCAAGTGAACAATGACTTCTTTTTCTTCTACCTTTTTAATGTCCACAATAGAATCTCTAATACTGGGGGCCATCCCAGCCTCCACGATTATGAAGACAGCACTGGTTCTCTTCCTTCATAGTTCCACAAGGGTTATCAACCTGCTTTTTCTCTACTTCAGGTGGAAGTGTTTCTTCTGAACCAATTATCTTCCTATCTTTGTCCTCTGAAGAATCGGTTTTCCACTCCCAGTTATTTTCTTTCTTAGGGTAAGTTTTATGTCTGGGTCATTTTGCTTATTTCTCTACCCTCTTAAAAACTGAATTCCTCTGCCTTAGAGAATTCTCAACTTCATGTCTTATTTGACATGTTTAAAATTTCTTCGATTCTAAGGGAATTTTGTCTTACTGGTATGTGAGAAGCGCAAAACAGGTCATCACTTCAAAAACACAGAAACATATGTTACCTGAAGAAAGAACCCACGGCTGCATTTTGCAGATACTGTAAAAAAAACATCTTGTAAGTGAATTATCCAACTACTGTGTTTTATCTTCCCTTATCCACTACTAGGTACAAATTCTGGAAATTATTGAACTCTGAAAACACTTCACCAATGATTATGAAGGAGTTATTTTTAACTTGACCATTTTTGTAATTCATTGGCCATACCCTGATATTCATCTTCCTAACAACACTAAAGATGACTGACTACCTACAAGGAAACTGATTCTTTGTGGAAATAACTTCTAATAACTAAACATTTGTCTCAATAGCTTCAATTTTTTTAGGAAAGGTTGATAGTTGTCAAAAAAATACCTGATGTAGGAGGAAAGTGAAAGGACACTGTCATCTAGAGAACTGGAAGGGAGTAAATGATGGCCTTTGACCTACCCTTGAAAGAGTTGTTCTTGTATAATACAATCAATTAAGAAGAAGGAGCCAGGGTAATTCTATGGGTAAATACAGTCTTTCTTAGCTATGGGGCAAGGGAGTGGGGTTAGCAGGTGTGTGTATGTTGTAGGGGATTGCTTCATTCAGGCTTTTCCCCAAACTCCAGTCCCAGGAAGAGAGAATTCAAAACCAAGCAAAAATTGTTAAGACTTCACTGGAGTATCTATCCACCTCCTCTGACCTGAGAGTAAAATCAGGAAAGCATATACAGCAGCAAATTTGGCAAGGGAAGGCCTTGGCCTCATGCCCTATCCTGGGCTAGCAAGAGTACTTTATCCTTTACCCTATACATATGGAATTGCTATGGTTTCTTCAACCCTCTCAGTTGAGGCATTGTAAGTGGAATATTTTAACAGCCTTCCTAGAGTGATGGGATTCAAATCAATCCAGAGAAGCAGTGTTACACCCTGTTATGTTTTGGCTGTGTCCCCACACCCAAATGTCATTGTCAATTGTAGTTCCTATAATCACCATATGTGGTGGGAAGGACCAGGTGGAGAGAATTGAATCATGGGGGCTGTTTCCCCCATCCTGTTCTCATGATAGTGAGTGAGTTCTCATGAGATCTGATGGTTTTATAAGGGTCTTCCCCCTTCACTGGGTTCTCATTTCTTCTCCTATCATAATGTGAAGAAGGACTTGTTTGCTTCCCCTTCCGCTATGATTGTAAGTTTCCTGAGGACTGTCTAGCCATGTGGAACTGTGACTCAACTAAACCTCTTTCCTTTATAAATTACCCTGTCTCAGGTATGTCTTTATTAGTAGTGTGAGAACAGATTAATATACACCCACTCTGCAGGGAGGTCGGTGCAAAGCAAGCCAGGATAGCCTTGGATTGCATGGGCTACAGAGGGGAAAGTGTTGGTAGGTTGTAAGTGATTAGGCAGTGATTAGGTACTTATCGACCAAAGGACAGAAATTCAACTGTAGGGAATCCAGGCCTCCTAGTGGTTGATACTCAGCTGTGGTTTAGGTAAAACTTCCTAAATGTGTTACTCTGCTTTGTTCAATGATAACAGATTCACTTATATTTCTTTTCCCTGCCCTGTCCCCGACCCGCAGCCCTCGGCATCGTTTCTGCACAGTTAAGCAGTGTCTTACTGTCTGCCTTCCAGTCACTCCATACCCATGTCCAATAAAGAGCAGTGACATTATTCAACACACTTACTGAGAGTAAGAGACTTTGTAGCTTATAACAGCCATATTGATATTCATGCTTATTATTTTATACAGTTACAGGTGATACTAAAACACTTTTCAGTAAGAAGAATTCGTTTAACATCTAACCATCCAATATTAACCACTGAGAATAGAAATAATAGTAAGAATAATAAAACATGGGCACTGCCCTCAAAGAGTTTATAATCTAATGGGGGGCAGGCAAGTAAACAAATTATTATAATGTAGTGTGATATTAACTTACACAGAGAGCAGAGAAGAAGGGCCTCTAACACAGACTTAAGGTAGAAGGATAAGGAATAGAGTAAAAGGAAATTATTACCAGTGCAGAATTCTTGGAGGAAAATGTGCCTACTTCCTGTTCACAAGGATGAATAGAAAATATTCAAAATGGGCATAAGATGACAAACAAGGCAGAGAATCCAGAGAAAACATGGTATACCCTGGGGAACTGCTAAGTAGGGCTTGAACACAACATACTGGATCAGGCACAGTTTGAGCTGAGTCAGGAGGGACAGGCTGGCATGGGATCATGGAGAGCCTTAGACACCATGACCAGGATCCCAGCATCTAACAAGAGGGAAGATAGAGAACCAATGAATGATGCTGTGGGCTGAATTATACCTGCTCCCCCAGTCCCATGGGGTGAGTCCTCACATCCAGTGTCACTATTTAGAGACAGGGCTTTTAGGAGGTAATTAAGATTAAATGAGGTCATAAGGATGGAGTCCTAATCTGATGGGATTGGTGGCTTTATAAGAAGGGGATGAGAGAAATCTCTCTCTCCAAGTGCATGTGCCAAGGAAAGGCCCTGTGAGGACACAGCGAGAAGTTGGATCTGAAAGCCAGGAAGAGAGTCCTCACTAGAACCCAACCATGCTGATGCCCTAATCGCAGACTTCCAGATACAAGAACTGTAAGAAAATCGGTTTCTGTTGCTTAAGCCATCTAGTCTGTAGTATTTTATTACAGTAACCTGCGCCTACAAAGACAAATGATGTCAAACAAGAGAGTGGCATGTGTGTCACATGATGTGTATTAAATGAAGAGTGTGCTTAGGGTAGCTAGTAGATTGCAAAAGGAGTAAAACTGAAGGTGGAAGATCATTTAGGACAGTATCTACTAACCATCCAGATTACAAGTAAGGAGAGTTTCAACTAAGGTGTGGGCATAAAGACTGAGTGAAGACATTGGAGTTTGCTGAATTAGAGACACAATGGATGTTGTAGGTAAGCGTTTAAGGTCACAAAGTTAAATTATGTCTTATACTATGGTTTAGTTGAAGAAACCTTTTTCGACAAATTGTCCATTTGGTGTATAAGCCAGACCAGCTTAATCAGACGCAGGAAAGCTGCAGTGTGTCACAAAATGTTGAAAGCAAATGCAAGAGGGAAGACATCATGATCAACGACTTGCTGTGGATTCCTGTTCTTCTTAGAGGCTGTTTCATTCTCTCATGGCTCAGTGCAGAAGCCAGTGTCAATCCAAGTTTTAACTGTCTGAAAAGCTTGATTTCATTCTTGATGTTTTAATATTTTCTCTCTCCACTTTCGATGCTCCCCTGTGGGCTGTGCATCCCACTCTGAAGAAGACTGGCATAACTGATGTTGCCAGTCGGTGAGCTGAGTATGATAAAAAAAAGGGAGAGCACATTTTTAGGTGTTCTTTCCCTAGTGTATGTCTTTGTCAACTTTGTCATAGATCAGTTGGCTCTAGATACATGGCTTTATTTCTGAGTTCTCTATTCTCTTCCATCAACCTGTGTCAACAAATATTCTTAGTAGCCATAAATAAAGGGAAAAGTATTAGAAAATAATGTAGTAGGAAATAGAATAAGACTTCTGTAAAGTGTCTTCGTGGGACAAGTGTCCTCAGAAATTCTCCATAAAAAGGAAACAAAAAAGATATGATGGCTTAAGAGAATAAAAGATACAACAAGAATGTATTGAATGTAATGTTTCCAATAGAATAAATTTAAATATATAAATATATATATATAACATATGTATATACACACACGTGTGTATGTATATTTAACGCTAACAAAATACTATAAAATATCATTAGAGGATAAATCTAAAATATATAAATATCCAATAACAAACTAGTACATAAAAAGTACTCAATAAAATTAGGCACTTATAATTCTACATGATATAATTTACCGTTTTTGATTATTGGAAGTTAAAAATAATAGATTTAAGTACACAATACTTAAATTTTCACAGTCATAACAAATTGGAACACAGACAGATTTAGAAATCATTTTACAACCACATGTAGAAATCATAGGATCACAAAATATTAGTGCTGAGAGGAATTTTAAAGAGCATTTAAATGTTCCTTTTATAGATGTGGAAATGGCATAAATCTGTTAGGTTTCTTCTGAATGGCCTACATGTTGAATGGAGAGTTTGCCTCCCATGACATGTGGTATTTTACTGGAGAAGAAAGAAATAATATACAGTAAAGTGAAGAATTGTTTGTGGTTGACTTAGAATGTTTTACAAGAAATAAGAAGGGCATGTTTAAATTACTTACAAGAGAAAGTGTCCTAAAGGCAAGAGTAATTTAACAATGGAATAGCCACCCGAAGAGGTCATTGAGAAAACATCAATAAGACATTCAGAAAGAGATTAAATATAATTCTAAAGGGAATAATATAAGTGTCTGGCAATAACATGCACTAGGTACAGAGGTCTGAATACAATGACCTGTCATTTTCCCCATAGTCCCTGTGTCCATGATTCAAGTAAAATAATCATGAGAGCAAATAGAGGTAAGGTGAGCATCAAAGGGGAAAAATTGTGAGACAAAATAAGATATGACTACCAGAACTGACGTGGTAGCACAGAAGAAAACAATTCTTTCTGAGACTAAAAGCTTTCTAAGCAGCATTCTGGTGGTAGTTTTGGCTGCTTTCGTCTACAGGAGCAATGGCAAGAAACTCACTCGCCTTTCTGTCAAAATTCCCATGATTTTATTTTATTTTTCCTAATCTGTAACAGAAGCACTGTATGCCTTTAAGTTATTATGCCCGCATCATGGAAGGGATAGCCAGAGAAAGGAACTTCTACAAAACCCCAAATCTGGTCAGAACTAACATCCAATGCCCTTAGTAATTTATGAAGGTTTATGCTGGTAGCAATAATGTTACTATGCAGAATCATAAAATTAGAAAATGTTTTGTCTTAGTCTGTTCAGTCTACTATAACAAAATACCATAGACTGGGTCATATAAACAACAGACATTTATTTCTCACTACTTTGGAGACTGGAAAGTTGAAGATCAATCACTGGCAGACTCAGTGTCTGGTGAGAGCTCACTTCCTGGTTTGAAGATAGCTATCTTCTAGTTGTGTCCTCACATGGCAGAAGGGATGAGAGATCTCTCTGGGGTCTCTTTTTATAACTAATCCCATTTATGAGGGCTCCACCCTAACGACCTGATCACCTCCAAAAGGCCCCATATCCTAATGGCATCACATAGGGGGTTAGGATTTCAACATCTGAATTTGGAGGTGACACAAACATTAAGACCATGCATGTCTCAACTGAAAGTAACTTTAAACATCCATAGGCATAAAACGTCATGTAGGCTGGGAACGGTGGCTCACGCCTGTAATCCCAGTACTTTGGGAGGCCGAGGCAGGTGGATCATGAGGTCAGGAGATCGAGACCATCCTGGCTAACACGGTGAAACCCCGTGTCTACTAAAAATAAAAAAAAAAATTAGCCGGACATGGTGGCGGGCGCCTGTAGTCCCAGCTATTCGGGAGGCTGAGGCAGGAGAATGGCGTGAACCCAGGAGGTGGAGCTTGCAGTGAGCCAAGATCGCACCACAGCACTCCAGCCTGGGCGACAAAGCGAGACTCTGTCTCAAAAGAAAAAAAACAAACAAAAAAAAACCTCGTGTAATTGGAAAGCAGTAGCATAGGCTTGTTTATGCTCAATACTAAGGCGTGCATCTATATAAGAATAAAATCACACACACCATTATCCACATCAGAATGAGCCAAACACACTCTAGGAAAATATAGGTGAACATTATCTCACTGTGTGAAAAATCTTTCTAAGCAGGAAATGAAACCCAGAAACTATATGAGAAAATAATGTTGATTTTTGATTACATTAAAATTTTTAAATTTTGCATGTCAAAAATCAATACAAATAAGATTGAAAATCAAGTAACAAGGTGAAAAAATGAATTTGAAAATTATATTAAAGGCAAAAGTTAACACATGTACTATATACAAAGCCTTTGAAATTCACAAGAGAGGTAAACATTCAGTTTTTCCACACTGAGAAAATTTTCAGATAATCACTTATGTACTCTTGCATAGATACAAATAGCTGGTGAACATAAACTTCACAAATCAAAAATGTGAATTAAATATGACATATCTTTCAGTGATCAAGAGGTAAATATTCTTTAAAAATAACACATAATTTTGATGAGAATACATAAAACAAATAGCCATATACCATTGAGGGTATACAAAATGTATGAAAAGTTTCTGAAGAATAATTTGGGAACATAGATCAAAACCTTTGAATTTTGTATGTGTTTTCACCCAAAATTCTAAATATTTTTCAAAAGAAAGTAATTATGAGCAAGAAAGGAATATTATTACAAGGATATTTATCCTGTCACTGTTCAAGGCAAAGCAAAATGAGATAACTTTGATAAAGTTTTCCTGGTGACCCCTGTGTGGCTCCCCGTGCTTATTCTCTAATTCCACACAAATCACTTTCACTAAACAACATGTCTAGACTTTTATAAGCCTTCAGTATAAAAGTTCCTCTCTGAATTTTATGGGATTCATTTTATATTGCTAGACTCTTGGGTATCTTTGAGAAGTGATAGAAGAAAAAGTTTACGTGCAGTGTAAATAAGTGCTGTACAATTAACCATAGAAAAATAATTTCTAAAGTCCTGTTTTCCAAGACATTTTCCAAGACATTTTAAGAAAATATTTATGTTAGGTATACAAGTATCTAAGATATTCCCTGAATGGCAATAATTTTAGGCATATTCTTAATGTTTCCTTGTGATTATGTTTTTCAAAATAATTCAAGTTTAAGTTGCTTAAAAATAAAGCAGTATCAGAACTTTCTGAATATGAATTTGAAAACCCTAACTGAAAGGAGCATACAAAAGCCCCTTTGATGGCAATTAATTGAAAATGGTTTAGTGCTTTGGTATTTCCTTTTGGAAGATTCTACTGTTAAACATAAAGTAGAAAAATTTCTGTTCTTTTACCTTATATTCATGTTGTCACTTAACTCTAAGTGTTTAAATTATAAAACACTGAAATAAATATCATGAAAGGAAGAATAATCAATATAATTTTTTAAAGAGTATAGGATTTTTTCTTATTTCAAACATTTTTAAAAGAATGTTTGATTGCTTTGTAAGTTTGTTTCTTTAATTTTATTATCAAATGGGATCTTGAAACTATGGTGAACACTTTGTTTATATAGTAGTGCATATTCCTGGGAAGGCATGTTATCATTCTTATTAAGGTATGATTACTTATTAGGTAGATGGCATATATAATGGGGTTTCATTGCCAAAAAAAATCTGAAAAGAAGGAACCTGTGGACTTATTTTTATATCGGTTATTAAGTAATTAATTAAACAAATTTTATTGAGTTTCTAGTCTGATCTAGTCACCAGTTTAGGTAGGGAAGATATTGTTTCTGTCCAGAATGAGTTGAGTATAATATGAAGATGCTAATGAAATATAAAATTGAATAATTTTAATTTGAGTAATTATTACTTTTATAATGACATAAACAAAGTATATGGGACCCTACAAGGACTGCTCTGATTTATGTAGGGGTTTATTGAAGAAATCACAGAGACAATTGCCTTTGATCTGAGACCTGACATAGCAAGCTGTGTTCATAAGAAGGTAGGTGTGGTGTTAACATCACAGCTTGATCAGGGACACAGAGATTTAAAAGAACACAGTAGGTTCTAGAAATGCCAGTAGCTTAATATTGTTGTGCCAAGAATGGCAGAAGATAGGACTGGACAAGTTAGGTGAAAAATGTTCTTGATCTGTGAAGGATTCCTATGCTCACAACCATGTTGTGGTAGTTGAGAGGAGGGCAGACAAGCAGCTTGGGCCGGGGACCAGCCACACCATCTCAAGAAGTCAGATATTACAATCCTGTTCATCTCACCACATCTGTTTCATCTGAGGAATTGTCAGGCACTGTAGTTGGGAAGGTCTGCTGTGGATGATAAGAACTCACTGAGCAATAAGTAATAGAATTTATACAGAGATGTTTTCACTCCTTTCTGTGATTATGACTGCTAGGCTGAAACTTTTGGGAAGAACCTTTGGAATTGTGACCCACCTCAGCTATGCTTCACCCCTATTCTTGTGATTCCATAGGTTCTGTGGTAACTTCAAGCCATAGAATCAGTACAGGCTCTTGAGTAGCATTTCAGAGACGACTACTTGAGTTGGAATCATTGTAGCCCTAGAATAAAACAGTCCTATGTTCAAATCTTCACACCACCATTATTCTCTGTGTCCATTTTTTTCCTCTCTGAAAGTAGCTAAAATAACTTACTTTAACAGAGTAATTGAGGGTTATAAAAAAATGGGAAAATGGTCTGAGATTTAGTAGGAATTCAGTAAATGCTATTTTGATTATTCTGTTTCTCATTACTGGAGGGTGATGATAGATTCAACCTAGTCTCTATGTTATTCTCCAGGAGCTAGCTGGAGACTGTGGAGTTTCAGAAACTGCCTTACAAAGTGGGGCTTCAGTCAAGAGTCCTCTACAGCTGTGTAGCACCTTGACATTTTATTTTAAACAGAGTGAAAATGAAATATATATTATGTACCCTACTTCCCTAAGGAGCAGCTTTTAAGTCTTCTATCCCTACATACTAGCCTATGGATAAACAAAAAAAAAAATGGTGCAATATTTGTATTTTTATATTGTGGTAGAAACATCTTCAAAATTATTTGAGTATATTTCTAAATAAACCTCTGCATTACTGTTTCTTTTCATTGTAATGAAACTTACAGTAGAAAAAGCTATAGAAGCATATTTTCATCAATCTGTATGATCAGATATATGTGACCATAATAGCCTATTTGGGTTGTTTCCCCCAGTCTCCACATTTCTTTCTCTTTCCTCTCAGGAAATATGTATTTTATGGGCAGAAATGTGAAAATTTCATTAGAGTCAAAATGTAATAGTAGAAACATCCAACTGTACAGAAACACCCAATAGCAGAATGAAGGGAAATCCTGACTCCAGAATCCTAACCACTGAAAAACAGCACGGGTGTGGAATGCAGAGTGAGGCATGCAGGCAACAACCAAACTCTCACCTTAAATCACAACATCAAAATAATCTCAAACAGATTACAGGATTTGAACAACTCCCAGAATAAGCAGCTTATATTTCTGTTTCTTCTCTTCCAGGGAATACTTACTTGGTGTTTAAAGTTTATTTCATAACAGTACTGCGTTTGTTCTCCTTTTTCCAATGTATGGCCAAAGCATCTATGGGCAGATACAAAATAAAGTATATGTCATTGAAACTACATTTCCCTTAAATAAATTGCCTCTTATGAGATAAATAATAGGAGAAATTATCTAAAAGGATTGTATTAATTCTTATAAAGAGAAGAGAAAACACAGATCAAGGGTGAAAAGCTATAGGGAGAATTTTAAGTTCAAAGACTTTTTTGTGTTAACTGTAGATCCCCTAAGTTATACAATTCATAGTTTTTTACTGCATTAAACAGAGACTTTGTAATTCTTTTGTACATTCTTGCCACTAATAAAAAAAAGATAACAACAGAAAACAAATAATTATATGCTGTATTTATCAATTTATCATTTTATTCCGTTTTATGGTACGTCTCCTATTATGGGAACTATAGATTTTGCACCTGGCTCTGCTTAAGACTAAGCTTTATAAGTAATATATTTTCCCATTTTAATTAAAGGGAGCAGTTGTATTACTTGTGTGGGCTGAGGCATCAAAGAGGAAAGAATAGAATACATTCACAGAAAATGTTCTTACAATATGAAAGTTTAAGAGCCATTTTTAACCACCCTTGTTAACAGTGCATGTGTAGTTTATAAAGACTCATGTCTGGATATGACTAAAAAATAAAATTGCAAATTGGACACAAGTAGACAGAAAGAAACGCTGTAAATTACTGTGTATGTACAGTAATTACTCCAAGAAAATAAATGTTACTGTGACATTCTGGCCATGATCCCAGAAAATTCACAAATATTCCATTGTACTTCATTCTTTAACTTTAAAGATTGTGTTAATACTTAATTATATATTAATCAACAACATTAAAATGTGGGTTATAAATATTTTGGAGCAATTCAAACAATGAGCACTAAATGTGATAGAATTTCAGCTTTATTCTTCTCTGAAGATTCGTGTACATGCACACAGCTCATCTCCTTCGTGGTTAGGGCAGAGTAGTACACTTTAGTGGTCACTGATGGTGTGCTCTCTCTTCCCTTTGTTTTTCCCACAGGCATTAGAAAATATCAGAAGATTTCTGATGATAGCACTTTGAGTCCATGTGTTTATCTTTTCCTTCACTGTAAATCCTATAGAAAAGTCTAGGGAAATATATAAGTGAGAAAGAATTAAAGATAGCAAACCAGATTAGATATCATCATTGAAGCTGATTAAGTAAATTGTCAATTAATGGACAATAATCTGAATTTTAACCCTGATGCTATGGGTTGAATTGTGAAAATTCATATATTGAAGTCCTAAAACTCAGCATCTCAGAATGTGACTATATTTGGAGATAAGGTCTCAACAGAGGTAATTAGCTCGTTAGTGTGAGCCCTAATCCAGTATGACTGGTGTCTTTATAAGAAGGAGAAATTAGACACAGACACACACAGAGGAAAGACCAGGGGAAGACACAGGAGAAGACAGCTACATGCCAAAGAGGGGACCTCAGGAGAAACCAATCTGAAACCTTGATCTTGGACTCCTAGCCTCCAGACTCTGAAGAAATAAATTCCTGTTGTGTGATCTATCCCATCTGTGGTAATTTATTATGGCAGCCCTAGAAAACTAATTCACCTGTCAAAGGATTGACCTACCTCCAAACTAAGTGGAGGTGTTTCCCAAACAAAGCTCTAAAAACTCTGAAGCATAATAGTGGCTGGGAAGATGCCCCATAACCTTAACTTGGAAGGAGCTAAAAGGTAGCAGGAAAAGGTGATGGAGTCAGATTTAGCTGAGCCTGAAGCAAATGAAAGCAGCGTTTGTCCTCAGATTTCATTTAATGTAAACACGATGGCTCCTAATATGAGAGATAAGGATAAAAGAACGTGAGCCCAGAACCTTAATAGGTGGCTTTGGGTTACCACAACAAAAATGAGTTAAAACAAACAACAAAAAAGATCCAGAACTTCCTGAATTTCCATAGCATTCCTGGTTGTCTGGCTACAAGTTTCCTCTCTGACTTGATACAGACCCCCCTAAAATCCAACCAGCAGATGCTGGAGGAAACTTTGGGGAGCATGCCCAGCAGATAATACATTGAAAAGCTTTGAGAATTGTGTGAGAACCCTATGCCTTAAGTGATTTCTCTCAATGTTTTCTTGGTACAGGGAGATTGCATAGTGGAGTGGAGACTGAGTGTGTTGAGTACAGTAGAATTCAGCATCTGATGCGACACACTCTACTCATCAACACGTCCAACTGTAGACTAAGCACCAACAGGAAAAGGAAAAACCACAGAATCAGAGCTCTTAAGAGGGAGTCCATGATAAACAATGACCATGAATGGTCTTTTAATTAATTTACATCAAAATAGTAGTGAGTAGTAAATAAAGAAAAAAATATTTAAGAACAATGTATCTTAATGCTTTCTAATTTTAATTTTTAGATTCTAAGTCTTAGGTTCTAAACTCATTTCTAAAGCTCACTTTGAACTTTGCAAGTAGTCAATTGTAATTATTTTAAGGATTATTTAACTAGAAAATGTGTGACAGTGATATACTGAAATTGGTTTATCATAGCTCACAAGAATAAATTTATTAATAAATTATTAATAAATAATTATTACATTTAAATGATTAATAAATTGGTATTTAATATTAATGATAAATTAGGCATACTTTTCCTAATTCCACACTCAGTAGCATCAGTGCTGACATCTTGAAATTAGCCATTGAAAAAATATTTACACAGTGAAAAATCAGCAAACTCTAAAAATCAGAGTTTAAGAAAAAAATTTCCTCCAGAAAGTCCGCAGTTAGGCATTTATCAGTATGCCACTGCATGCATATCTCTGTTACATATAAATATATATAAAATTTCCTATAAAGTTTGAAATATAAAAATGGATAATCTAATTAGCTATAGTAATTAAAATATAAGATATCTAGGAATAAATATAATGAAAATTGTGCAAATATATATGAAGAAAGTCATAAAAAGTTACTGAAGGACAAAAGGACATACCAGGTATTTGACTGGAATTCTAAATTTTGTAAAAAAGTCAAATCTCCCCAAAAATAATTTCGTAAGTTTAATGTAATTCCAAAAAAAAATCTATGATTTTGGAGGATTGATTAAAGTTTATGTTTTTCATTTGGATAAAAGATTTGCAAAAAAATAGACAAAAATATTTGGAGAAAAATAATACTGAATTTCTATGACCAGTAATTAAAATATTTTATAGACTAATTATATTAATGGGATTTATAACGCAGAATAATGATTATATGCTTGGAACAGTATAGAATACAGGAACAAGTACATAGATATTTAAATTTAATATATAAATATGGTGGCATTTCAAATCCATGGGTGAAATGGTATATCCCTATATAAATAATATTGAAAGAATTGGCTACTTTGGAGGGGAAAAAACAGTTACAGCCTTGTCTCATACCACTGTAACTATTCTTTTGAAGAAGCAGAACTCATAGGTTGCAATTATAAACCAACTTTATCTTTTCTCCTTTAAATATACTCTGATGTCTGATAATATCTATTTACCCTTGTTGGCGGCCCTTCGAGACAAGACCCAAGTGGTCCCACGTTGTGTGCTTTTGTGTTGAGGAGTATAATGGAGGAGCAAGTATCTGCCTCTGATGCATGAGAAACACTAAGGAACCTCTGTTTTGAGAAATTCTGAGAATGCAAATCAACAATTCAGCAGCAACCCATCCCTCATTCTAATATCAAAGAAGTTAGTGACCTAAACATGCTCTTGAAGTTACGTTTTCCATCATGCATCAGACACTGATCCACCACATCCTGAAATTTCAGAGGGCACTCATTGTACTTGCTAAGTGGTCTCCTTAAAGCAAAGGGAGATCCATCTATACCATTCCTCCCCCAGAATGATAGTGAGACTCCTAGTCTCACTAGTACAGTAAGAGCTTTAGTCTCACTAGTACAGTAAGAGCTTTAGTCTCACTAGTACAGTAAGAGCTTTATCCAAAGACCAGACTCTCCTTCAGTCAGCGGCTCCTGACCCTCATGTATTCCTGATGTGGTTGAGAGGTCAAAGTCCTGCAACCATCACAATATAAAACTGTATGGCTGCATATGTCTGGCCTCTAGATACTTAAGAAATAAGGGATCTTTTATATCTTGGTGTCTGAACACCAACTTAAATTTTAGTATCACATTATATATATTTATGAAAGTAAATTCAAAATGGATTCAACATACCATGAAGTATTGAAAGTGTATATATGAAGACTTTTTTATAATCTTGAGTAAGAAAAGTGTCTTCTTACCATAAAGGGTAGAAATCAGAAAAAGATAGATTTGATTATATAAAAGACTACAGTGATGGATAAAGAATATTAAAAAACAAATTATAAACTTGAAAAAAATACTTGTAACGTATATAACAAGTAAATGGTTAATATCCTTACTGCACAAAGATTAGCACAATAATTGAAAATGGCAAAAAAGACATAAATAGGCAAGTCACTAAAGAAATATGCATGGCCTTTCAATATGTGAAAAGATATTAATCTCATTAATAAATGAATGCAAATTAAAACAGCAATGAAGATTTTTGTCTACCATGTTGGCAAATATAAAGATTGATATTTCTCAGCAATGTTAAGGGTATGGGACAACAAAAACTCTCGCGCATTGCTAAAGAAATGAGTATAATTCAGCAACTTTTTGGATGGTAATCTTGCACAATTTATCAATTATGTCACGTGTATTGCCTTCGACCCAGTGCAGTGATGCACTGCCCAGCCCAGCCCCCTTCAGAAATGTGGAACTATTTCCCCAGCTCCTGGGAGTGCTTCTACCAGATAGCCCTCAGCTGTCAATTGTCTTCAGGAATCTCTCTGGAGGAGAGAGCCACCTGCTCAAAGGCAGAACAGCCCTTCCTTGGGCAGACTGCAGCCAGTGACTAATCAATTCAGGGCCAATCTACTCATTCCAACTTGAGGTGACTCTAAGAGGCCATTCCAGCTTAAAATTTCCCTGGGGGAAAAGCAGAGATTTCAGCTTTCCTTGAGAGACTGTAAGGCAGTCAATACATCACTAATCCTGCTTCCTCCCCTCCCTTATATCCCACAGGTGTTGACTTTACCAGCACTCCTAAATACAACTCCTAAATACGATCTTCACCTTCACCTCCAAGTATGCTATTGGGAAACCTAATCTGAAATGACCAGCTATTCTATATCTAAGACTTTATCATAAGGAAATAAGTGCTAAGTGTATAAAGGTGTAAGAGGCAGAATGCGCCTTCACAGATTAGTATATAAAAGAAAAAAATACAAGCTAAATATCCGGTAATAGGAGAGTGATTAAATACATTATAGACATCAAATCATGAAGTTAATAAGCCAGTTATAGAATAGTATACATTTGACTAAAATTTTAAATATCCCATGTTTAGATTTATGTTTATATATTCATAAAAATGTTTGGAAGGATACTTCAAATGCTCAACAGTGTTTATCCAAGTATTCACCTACTCATACAGTTTGTATGTGCCCACACCCAAATCTCATGTCGAGATGTAATCCCCAATGTCAGAGGCGGGGCCTGGTGAGAGGTGACTGGATCATGGGGGCAGATTTCTCATGAATAATTCAGCACCATGCCTTTGGTGCTGTAATATGGTTTGGCTGTGTCCTCACCTAAATCTCATCTCGAACTGTAGCTCCCATAATTCCCATGTGTTGTGGGAGGGAACTGGTGGGAGATCATTGAACTATGAGGACATTTTCCCCCATACTATTCTCGTGGTAGTGAATAAGTCTCATGAGTTCTGATGGTTTTATAAGGGGTTTCCCCTTTCACTTGGTTCTCATTCTCTCTTGCCTGCCACCAGGTAAGACGTCCGTTTGCTCTTCCTTCATCTTCCACCATGATTGTGAGGCCTTTCCAGCCATGTGGAACTGTGAGTCCATTAAACCTCTTTCCTTTATAAGTTACCCAGTCTTGAGTATGTCTTTATTAGCAGGGTGAGAACAGACTAATACATGCTGTCTTCCAGATAGTGAGTTCTTGCGAGATCTGGTCGTTTAAAGTATGTGGCACCTCCCTCCTTTCTCTCTTGGTCCTGCTTTCACCACGTGATGTGCCTGCTCCTGCTTTGCCTTCCACCATGAATAAAAGCTCCCTAAGGCCTCCCCAGAAGCAGATGCTGCCATACTTCCTGCACAGCCTGCAGAACTGTGAGCTAATTAAACCTCCTTTCTTCATAAATTACCCAGTCTCAGTTATTTCTTTATAGCAATTCAAGAATGGCCTAATACAGAAAATTGGTACCAGAAGTGAGCCATTGCTATAAAGATACCTGAAAATGTGGACACAGCTTTGGAATTTGTTACCAGGTAAAGGCTGGAAGATTATGAAGGGCTCAGAAGAAGACAGGAAGATGAGGGAAGATTCAGAACTCCTTAGAGACCGGTTAAATGGTGTGACCAAAGTGCTGATAATAATATGGACAATTAAGTCCAGGCTGCTGAAGTCTCAGATGGAAAGGACTAACTTATTGGGAAATGGAGCAAAGGTCACCTTTGTTATGCTTTAGCAAAGAATGTGGCTGCATTATGACCCTGCTTTAGGGCTGAAATTGAGAGTAATGACCTAGGGCATCTGGCAGAAGAAATTTCTAAGCATCAAAGCATTCAAGATGTGATCTAGATGCTTCTAACAACCTATGCTCATATGCAGTAGCAAAGAAATTACATGAAGTTGGAACTTATATTTAAAAGGGAAATGAAGCATATAACTTTGAAAAGTTTGCAGCCTGGCCTTGTGGCACAGAAAACAAATGAACAAACAAACAAACAACCAAAAAATAAAAAATAAAAATTAATTAATTAATTAAATAAATAAAAAAAACCTTTTTCTGGAGAGAAATTCAAGCAGGCTGTGGAGCTACTACTTGCTAGAGAAATGTGCATAATTAATAGGAGCCTAGGTGCTAATATCCAAAACAATGGGAAAAAGGCCTCAAAGGCATTTCAGAGACCTTCACAGGGCCCCCTCCCATCACAGGCCCAGAGGCCTAGGAGGGAAGAATGGTTCCATGGGCGAGGGCCAGGCCCTGCTGCCTTACACAACCTTGGGTCTCTGCTCCCTGCATCGTGGCTGCTCCAGTCATGGCTCAGAGGGGTACAGCTCAGGCCACTCCTTTAGACAGTGCAAGCTGTAAACCTTGGTGGCTTCCATGTAGTGTTAAGCCTGCAGGTGCACTGAGTGCAAGAGTTGAGCCATGGGAGCCTCCATCTAGATTTCAACGGCGGTATGGAAAGGGCTGGGTATCCAGGCAGAAGCTTGCTGCAGGGGGAGAGCTCTCACAGAAAACTGCTACTAGGACAATGTGGAGGGGAAATGTGGGGCTGGAGGCCCTACATAGCATCCCCACTGGGGCACTGCCTAGTGGAGCTGTGAGAAGTAGGCCACCATCCTCCAGACCCCAGAATGGTAGATTCACCAACAGCTTGCACTGTGCACCTAGAAAAGCCACAGGCTCTAAATGCCAGCCCATGAGAGCAGCTCCAGGGGCTGAACACTGCAAAGCCACAGGGATAGAACTGCCAAAAGCCTTGAGAGCCCACCTCTTACAACAGTGTGCCCTGGATTTGGGACATGGAGTCAAAGGAGATTATCTTGGAGGTTTAAGATTTAATGACTTCCCTGCTGGGTTTTGAACCTGAGTGGGGTCTATAGCCCTTCATTTTTTTGGCCAATTCCTCCCTTTTGCAATGATAGTATTTACACAATGTGTATACCCCCATTGCTTCTTGAAGTATCTCTTTTTTGATTTTGCAAGCTCATAGGCAAAAGGGACTAACCTTATTTCAGATGAGACTTTGGACTTTGGACTTGTGAGTTAATGTTGGAATGAGTTAAAACTTTGGGGATTATTGGGAAGGCATGATTGTATTTTGAAATTTGAGAAGGACATGAGATTCAGGAGGGGCCAGGACAGAATGATATAGTTTGTATCTGTGTCCCCACCCATTGAAATGTAATCTCAGTGTTGGAGGTGGAGTCTGGTGAAAGGTGACTGGATCATGGAGGCAGATTTCTCATGAATGGTTTAGCACCATCCCTCTTGGTACTGTCCTCATGATAGTGAGTGAGTTCTTGTGAAATCTGGTTGTTTAAAATGTGTAGTCAACCCACCCCTATTGCTCTCTCCCTTGCTCCCATTCTGGTCATGTGATGTGACTGCTTCCCCTTCACCTTTCACCATGATTCTAAGTTACCTGAAGCCTCCCCAGAAGCCCAGCAGATGCCAGCATCATGCTTTCTGTTCAGCCTGCAGTACTGTGAGCCAATTAAGCTTCTTTTTAAATATATTATCCAATCTCAGATATTTCTTTATGGCAAAGCAAGAATGGACTAATTCAGAAAAATAACACCTACTAAATTGATTTGTTTTATTTTATTGTTGTTTTTGTTGTTTACAGAAAAAAGCCATTTAGATATTTGCAATACTTGGTAAACAAAAGCCAATGGAATCTGTTAATAAATACAAGTTGAATGTTTATGCTTGAATCTCTCTTTGGATAAAGAATACGACATGAAAGTACCTTTTCTAACTTTCATGACCTATGTAATATAGCTGCTGGCATTTTCATGCTGCATGTTCATAAAATGTTTTGATTTCCTCAATAGAAAGGTAATCTGTTAGGACAATTGCTTACATTTCTAAATAAATGTAATCATTCTTCATTTCATATGCTCCTTATTCAGACATATTTGGAGGCATCAACAGAAGATGAAAGGACACAAGACCATGACTTTAAACATTTAGGTTCAAATCCTGGTTCTATCTGCAATTACGTATGTAACCCTAAAAACAACTCTGTGTCTCTTTCCTCATCACATGTGAGAGGAGATTTGTGAGAATTCATATCTTCCTTATAGCTGCAACAACATCTAGAAAGATTCTTCTCTAAGAAGAGTTCCTTATAGCTGCAACAACATCTAGAAAGATTCTTTTCTAAGAAGAGTTCCTTATAGCTGCAACAACCTCTAGAAAGATTCTTTTCTAAGAAGAGTAAAGTGATATAGTAATATAAAGATAAATGGTAGCCCATGAGATTTAAATTGTTTTTGCAATCTTGGAAATCTGTGTTATCCTACCTGTCTCCTACACTTATCTATATTGGGAATCCTCATTCAACTCCAGATCCCATATAACATCTGTGAGCTGGGTGTTTTAGTTGAGCCAGATAGAGGAGTAACTAGTAGGTCCAGGCAATAGAGTACCAGTAATATTTCCAGGATGTAAAACACCCATGGCTAGGAGACAGGATTCTAGTATGGGCTCTGCCAGGAATTCCTGATATGGCCTTTACTATTCACTTGCCTCTTAGGACCTCTTTCACTAAAAATAGTAAATACACACGTACGCACATAGACACATAGTTACATATATACATACATTCACATATAAATGGTTCAGAAAATAATAAAGGCATAAAACAACATAATCTAAACTTTTCTTACAGTTCAAGAACACTTGAATAAGTGAACAGTATAAGTGAATAATATAATAATATCAACTTACACATAAATATTATATTATTATATATTATGTTGTTTTATGTTCTCAGGCATACTGCTCATCTTACTATTTGTATTTAATTTCCCTGAGCTTTAGCATCTTATTGAGTCAAATATGGGCCAATAGTTAAAGAGAAGATCTCTGGGTTCTCTCGAGACTCTAAAATCTCAATCTCTGTTTATGGCACACATTTCAGACTGTTTCATGTGGTGTGTGTGTGTGCGTGTACGTGTGTGTGTTGTATCTCCCCTTGACATTTAGCCCCAAAGTGATAGACCTCAAGCGGGGAGTCATTCATTCATTCATATATTTAGTAATTTGATGGTTTATTTTGTGTAAGGCACTGTGGTGAATATAAAAGTAAGACGAACGTCTTGCTTCCCTAGACTAACATTTAATAGGTATTATACAAATCGTATAGAAATAATGACAACATAAGATAGAAAATAATATGTATGAGTAGTGAACAAGAAGTGTGAAGTGTTTTGGACATTCAGAGTAAGGATAAAATGCTCCCATATAGGGGAGCTCACACATGGAAGGTTTCATCAAGAATATGGCCTTTGAACCAAGCCTTAAGGATGGAGAACAAATCATATCAAAATTCTTTGTATGTGGACAAGATAACAGAAAAAAATCAAGAGCAGAAGTTCTTACATCCAGAATTTCTCCCTCCTACTGGCAAGTCAAATCCTAAGTAAGTTGATGTTTATTACAGGCTTCAGAAATTTCTTGTCTTTTATTGGTAGTAAATCTAGTGAAAATGTAGTTTACTGGGTTTTTTCTTTGGGCTCACTTTTCAAAGAACACTATTTTACAGCCTAATTGATTAGTATAGAAAATCTAAATATCAATATTACTTTAAAGTTGACCCCAGGGTCTCTGAATAGGTGCACTTATGCCTTATTGATAAGCCTCTCAATAATAAAACTATTTGAATGTGAAACACATCAAACATTTTAGCTTCTTTCCTGTTTTATTGCCTCAATAGGCAAAAGTCTCTATACTCAATAAAACAAATCTGCTTTTGTTTTTATTGCCTTGTCTTTGAAATTGTGGCCCTTTGTCTTACAACCAATGGTGGAGCAGTTACATAGGAAGAAAAGAAATGGTCGTATTAGAGTACAATGCTTATTTGCTAGAAACAAACAAGCCAATTTTAGTGAAAAAAAACTGACCTAACTCTGTGCTAATTTCTTCAGACTTAGTAGCCATTCCAATTCTCTCTGACATTTAAAAATTATAAGGCACAGCAAAAAGAAATTCTTAAATGTCAGAATCCTCATAATTTCTTCAACTTTTGCCACTGAATTCTTAACTCCTTCCCCAACCCCCCACGCTGCCCCCAGCCTGTGAGTATACTGGGGCAGAAGAGAAGCTAGAAGAGGTACCATGTATATAGTTCTGCTGGTAGCAAGGCTGTTCAGTCTGACATATACCACCCAATGCAATCCTCAGGCCAGGTTCTCTGACAGGCTCCTTCAGAGTCATTTCACTGCATCACTGGGCCTATTTTAAAGGTGGAGTCAATGGAAGAAGAAAGTCTGAGAAACTGAGATACCACTATTCTCTTCCCAACATTTCTTTTTCATTAACCCATTAAGGTGACTATTTTTAGCTACTGCTGTGGTGCCACATTTGTCTTTAATCTAGTGAATTTTGATTCAAAAGGGGCCAGAAATCATATGGTGATTCTAAATGAGATGTCAGAAGCAGGGAATGTAGTAGTAATAATAAGAAGACAGAGGGAGGAAATTACAAGTAGAAAGAAGACAAGAAGGATGAAGAAAAGGAGAAAGAGAAAGAGAGCAAAGAAAGAGATATAAGGTTTACGACACACTTAGAAAAGGAAAGACACACTGGTGTCTTGTATAAATTGTGACCATAACACAGTGAGGATGGCATTGGTACACATTTTACATACAAATAACCAGTGATTGAGGCTCAAAGATGTAAAGAGCTTACCTTCCATCATACAGCCAACGAGTGGTAGAACTAGGATTCAAAATCCCACACAGTTTAATCACTGAGGGTATCCGCTTCTCAAAAGCTGTGGGAGGAAAGTAGTATCTCTAATGAAATTGTATTACGTTTAGAAAAATTTGTGTAAGTATTCTATGATCTAAAAATACTAACTCAGCACAGGATATATTGAGTATTTATCAGTATGATAACACCTCTTAATCAATACTTGCTAGTGTCATTGTCAAAGCACTGAAATAAAGGTGGAGATATTCTCTTCTGCTTTTCTTAATATTTTATGTGAACTCCCTTCTTATAAATTCCTATTTTTAAAACCACAAAATAAAGGAGGCCCCTATTCCTTTTTTCTTCTATCATATTTTCATATACATTCTTGGAGCTGATGTGTGTGTGTGTGTGTGTGTGTGTGCGTGTGTAATAGATATGAAACAACATCGCACTTTATCAATTATTATTGTTGGTTAACATCTCAGTCAACCTCATTTTCTCAGTTCTACCTTCTGAGGGATCCTGCTTCTTTTTTCAGGGTTGTTGCAGTTTTCATTTTTTATTTTTTTTTAACATTTATTGACTGTCAACAAAAAAGGCTTTATTTTCTACCAGTTTCCTCAATTTAGAAATACAATAATTATCGTAATGAAGAGTATTGGTTAACGTTCCACAAAAAGGAGATTTTAAAAAGGAATCCTTATTTTCTAGTCAATAAACCTACCCTGTTATTATAACAATATTTTCTCTTAATTTTTAAAATATTATCTAATCAAACAATTTAGAGAACCCTGATTTGAGGGTGACCCTTTATGTTAATGGAGACATTTTATATTGGCTAGTCAGAGGTAGACGAACTGTGTGCTCTGTAAATTCTACTGTAATTGTGTCCATTCTCTGATTTTGCTTCAGTTTGGTTGTTAGCTATAAAATTACTGGTAAGTAATAAAACACAGGTCAAAAGTATTAAACCCTTGTTGCAAATATTACCAAATCATAACAGGGAAATATCATCTGAAAGCCACAATTGCTAGCATTTACCTGTAAAATATGGTTTAAATAATAGGCCTCTTTTTTTTCTTTCTTGGTTTGGCTTATTAAGATTTTACATTTCTCCTATAACTTGCTATCCAAATGAAAGGGACTGTTTCTGGAAACCACTCTGGTCGATTCTGCTTGATAATAAATAATCTTTAATTATTAAATATTCATAGAGGGTTTTAGCCATTTTATTTTTGTCTGGCAAGGAATTGCATGCCATATAACCATGTGTCTCTAAAGTATAATGAAAGAAGATGAATGCTTGTAATACTCCCTGTGGCTAATTCTTTCTAATCCATTGCCCTTCTTTAAAAAAGAACAGTTGTGATCTTATTTATGATGTTTTAAGGCTCCATAGAGCTCTTACAAATGTTCACTGACTTGTAGTTCTATATGAGGCTATGGTGCTCATGCATTGGTCAAAACAAACAGGAGCAAAACAGTAGGGCACAGAGTGGGGCTTGGTCAAAACAGGGAAGAGCAAAGGCAAAAACTTGTATTGTAGTGATTATGTTGCCTTTTCTTCTCATTACATGATATCTCCCATTAGTAAAACTTACTCGACCAAATATTTGTTCCACCCTCCTCCTGTGATCTGACATCTCAGTAAATTTATGGCCAGCATTTCTCAACATGCATTTCTAAAGAACAGTTGGTTCAAAGAAATACTAGCAGATGTTACTTGAAAAAGAGTTCTGAGATCAGATAAGTTTGGGAAATACTAAACTATAGAAAGTTAAACAGGTTTCTTTTCTCAAGGGCTTCTTAGAGTTTTTGGTATGATAATATTCACTGTGAATCCCCACGAAAAGCATATAGATTTGCAAAACTTCCAGAATGCATTTGTCCTTTGAAACTTTTTTCACAGAATATGCTTATGAGAATAATGTTCCCCAGAACCTAATTTAGGAAACACTGAACTAAGTAACTGTAATGTGACTGCTGCGTGCATCTTTAAATATAGGAGGCAGGTAGAGGAGTAGGTAATTGGAAAGGCTAACTCTTCCTCTAAAACAATTGGCCAAAATACAAAATGAACTTGAAACTGTCAAAGGAGAAACAATTGATACAAAAATGGATACTTTTCATGGAAATACTTACTCCAAAGTGGTATAACACTCTCTTCACATAGATAGAATTAGCTTCATTCTAGCCTCCTGAGGTCAAACTGGTCACAAAAATCATGGTTTCTGTCTAAACTACCTCGAAAGATAAAGTTCTGTCACTGCAGATATCTAAAAATAAACTGAATGATCAGCTTAAAGCAAGGTGGAAGACATTGGGATTTTGGTTAGATCAAATACTTTAAATACCCCTTCCAACTTTGACAGTCTATGGTTCTAAGGGTATATATAGCTTATAATAGTCTATTCCTACAGAAAATGACCAAGCCACAGCTGGTAGTACATGTTTTCCTTAGAGATGATTAAGACAGTGCCAAAATGGGTTATTTTGTTTCTTCAAAATGGTTTAGTGGTGTTAATGGACTGAATGCTTGTGTACCCCAAAAATTCATATGCTGAAATTCTTTCCCCCAGTGTGATGGTTAGAAGGTGGGGCCTTTGAAAAGTAATTAGCATGAAGGTGGTGCCCTCCTGAATGGGATTAGTGCCTTTCTGAGAAGAGAGGCAAAAGAGATTATCTTTCTCTCTGCAATGTGAGGATACAAGAAGACAGCCATCTATAAACCAGGAAGAGGGCCTTCATCAAGAACCGAACTATGCTAGCACCCTGATCTCAAACGCTCGGCTTCCAGAAGTATATGTTTGTTGCTTAAGCCACCCAATCTATGGTAGGTATTCTGTTATAGCAGACTAAACTAACACAAGTGGCCATTACAGTGGCGGATGCTAGAAATTCAGGAGGCATTCACAGAGTGCATCTACCCACACATATTAGCAAGGGAAAAAGGTTTATATATATTTCCCACCTCATGTAGAAAATCTCAATAATTCTTTGCTCTAGAAATCTGAAAGGCTTCATTTGCCTCCACAAATTATAGAACTGAGTAAGTGTTCCCAATTCATGTACTGCAAATTTAGAATTTTATAACAACCTATCACATTACTACACAAACATGCTTATTTTGAAGGTGAAATAACTATCATCATTTATAATAGTCTTATGAATGATTACTATTTATTTAATATTCATAAATTTTTCTATGTAAAATTATCTTTTTATTCTATCTGGTAGGGAGAATGACTTAACCTGGCAGCATCTTTAGTCCTTCAACCATTTCCTGTTTTCTATAACCAGGTTCTAATGTTAAAGCATTCCACAGTCCACACACTCTACCCAGGGGTTAACCAGGAAAACAAGTTCAATGTTGTGTGTATGCTTTAACTGTATATGTTTCTCTCCATCCAAAAATCTACAGCATGACTGGAAGAAATTATTAGGTCATCTTAACTAAACCAATGAGGCCTTTCTTCTTTTATATTTTTTATTCAAGCCCTATAAATATCCTAATTACCTATTTGAGGGGGATTACATCTCCCTAGTTTATCGATCTTCCACAATGTCCCTCATTCCCAAATCATGTCTTAAAATTCAGCCTCAGAGTATTTTCTCCTCAAGTCTTGTATAACCTTTATCATCTTGTCACATTATTTAATGACGTAATAAGATTTAAAAACATACCATATGTGTGTATGTGTGTGCATATACACACCTACTTAAGCTCTCCTATTATCTGTGCAAGTGCTAGTAAGGGTGGATTCCTACCAATTTTCTTCTCCAATGGGTGCACACCATTGCAAAAGAACCTAGAACTAGGAGTTAGAGGACATAAATGGGACCAGTTGTTTATCCTCTCTGACATTCTGCCTCTTCATCCATAACTAATGGATGTGAGCCAGGAGCCATAGCTTGCATTAAACACTTGCTTAAAAATCTAGTACATTTTTTTCCTCTTGGATTTGTCCAATTATTTTATTCCTGCAAATATACCCTAGGCACTCTTGTAGACACTTAGGGAGGCCCGAGCTCATTGATCTAACAAAATAAAGATGAATGGGAAATAGAAGCTCAGGAGCCAGTGGGTCTTCCAGAATAACAAGTCATCTTTTTTTGGTCAGGGAAGAAAGAGAACTTCCAGCAACAGTTCCTAGCATAAACAGTAGTATTAGCATGCCAGAACCAAGTTGTGTTATGTCAGGCTGCCACATCAGACATTGTGCTTTATTTCTCCTTTAAAAGACTGACTGAATGGGTCTTATCAGTCTTCATCAGAAATGTCCACAGTCCATGCTACCTCTCTGCTCCATCCTAACCAAACATACAGTCTGTATCCAAGTCAATGGTTCTATGATCATAACAATTTTAAGCCCATAAGCTTAAGATAGTAATTAATCTAGTAGCTATTTAAAGGGAGTTTTGTTATATGGTGCATTAAGTCAGGGAAAGCCAGGTACACGAGGGATTCCCAGAAGTTTCCTCTATGTACATGTATTTACCTCAAAATGCTGTAATTAAATTCAGTGAAATACATGTGTGAAAATCCTTTGAAAACTACAAAGAACTATATAAGCATATAACACTCAAAACTACCTGACCCTCATTATCCACAAATGTTTAAGTGCTAAGTCATTTTTCCATAATTTCTTAGTAGATATTTTTAGATCTATTTGAAAACACACTAATTCCTTTAGTTACTAGAGAATAAGTCTTTTGCATTCATTATATGCAAAATATAATTCATACATCCATATAGTTGAGGCAGGATTTTTTGCTCCACAGTTCAGCTAAATCCAGGTTTTTGTCTCACAACCAGGAAAAATTAGGCATGCAGACACATTGAAAGCAAAAGGAAAGCTCTCAACTAAAAGAGGGGTCCTGCATGCAGGTTCCCCCTCACAAATTGAATACCAGGCCACCACACATGAGTTGAAAGGGCCAGGCTCCTCCTCTCCATAAGGCACAAATTCCTGGTGGCTCCACGACATTCTCCCAGTGCATATGCAACCCTTGGTCTGAGCCACCCCACATTGATTTATTTCAGCTTACTGCGCACGTGTTAAGGGATGGAATTTTTCACTGTGGTCATGTTTAGGCAAGCCCTCTGTGCACAATGACCTGGGCAGGTCAGAGGTTCCCTGAGGACCCTTCCCTATTTGCCTAGGCATTTGGCTGTCTCTTGTCTCTATTATAATGACATACTTATCTTCAAAATATGCTGCTAAAATTTTAACAAATTCCTTTAGTCATGAACTGCAAACTTAAAAAGTTGCCAGTAAAACTCACTTCCTAAACGATTGTTTTTAAATAATATTATTTTAAATTTTTCAAAATGTGCTTGATGTGGATTGCATTCTTTGTAAAATAGGTAATGACTTTCCGTCTATATCTGAGTTTTCTATTGAATACATTTGAAGTTAACAGAAAATATAAGGAATGGGTTATATACTTGCTTCCAAATTTGTCATTGTTAATCTGGCTATAGAAAGTTCGCAAGGTCCATTTATTTTCCTTAATACCTAGGAAATGCCACAAGATACGTATCATGTCATATTTGTAATTTAAATATCTTTATAGTCAAAAAATAAAACTATTGTGTGATTTTTTTAATGAGTCATGGAAGAGTACTGCATTACAGGCACAGAGTTCTATTAATGATTATATTATTGGGCATTAGATATAGGTAATTGTCATCATTTTCACACAAATACACAAAAACATTTTCATGCCCTATTTAATTACTTGATTTATCAGTGGACATTTAATAAGTGCCAGTCTAGATGCTGCCATGGGAACTATATCTCCCAGAGTGTACAGCATACAAAAAAAGATTGGCAGTGCACAAGGAAAAAGAGTAATGGTGGGTGTTAGGAATGAGAAGCTCAGGAAGCTTTTCATCTGAGATACTACTATGAACATAACACTCCCAAACTCCCTCTTACATTCTCTCACTCTCTAGATGTCTGGTTTGCACAAAAGAGAGCTGGCGCCATCTAATTTTTGTGTGGAAATCCGAAGATGTCCTAAGGGCATGTGAGTATATGTCGGTCAGAGTCAGGTCAGAAAAACAGAAACAGCATTTCGATAGGGAATTGGTTACCTGGGCACTGGAGAACTGGACTTTTAACAAGAATACATGGAGGTAACACAGACATAGTAACTTCAGGGAGAAGCTAACTCCCTAGGGATGGGGTAACAGAGAGAAGAGGTTGAAGGAACCAGATTTAGAAGTTTGGAGGGTGAATTGTATAAAGCTGGGTCCCCTCTGAGGAAGAAATGCTCTCCACGTAGTGCTGATGATTCTAAGTGAAAGTAACGGTGCTGGTTCCAGGAATACAGGGGGAAAGCTGGAAACTCTAGCCAGTTTCCAATACTCAAGGTGAAGGGTCATTGCCAGGGTGCTGGTCATAGGAAGTCATGTAAAACATGTCAGAGCAAGTTCCTTCTCCACCCCCCAGTTTTATAGTATCACGTTAGTGATACTATAGCAGAACTTAGCAGAGAAACAGCTTGAAAATGAGAGGTGAAATTTGCATGGTCTTAGTCCCAATATCACAAAGCACAATATGGAAGAGTAGGTTTCGAGCTAATCAGCACTGGGAACCTGAGAGTATAGATCTGAGGGCTGGCAGTACATCAATCCACCTGGAGTGCTGTTGGTTCCTCCAGCTCTTCCCTCTGTCCCCTACCCCTAATCCCTGGGGAAGTATGTGCCCCCTCCTGTTACTATCTCTGTGTTAACTTCTGTATCTTCCTGTTACCTTTCCTGCCCTCCAATACCAGTTTAGACAATTGTCTACTTGAAATTTTCATTGTTATGTTTTCCTGACAAAGACAGACTGCTTGACCTTCTCTTGCTCTCCTAACCTTACAAATCCCATAGGGTCTACCACTGGGTGGTGCCAGCCCTGGTCAAATGCTGTGACTTATGCTGATCTGTTTGCCTTAAAACCTTCCCTCCACCTGGGCCTGGATCCTGCCCAGTTCTCTTAACTAGTGCCTGACGCAGACTTCATCATCTCTTAATTATTCTGACTAGGTAATCCAACCTCAATTTACATCCTGTGTTTCCATCGAAAGCCATATTACTTCTAGCTTGATGGATTTCATTACTGATCAAGGCCTCACTTAAACAAGTGACATGTCTCATGGGAACTTCCAAAGACATTCATCAGAGAATTGCACCGTAGCCCTATCTAGCTGGCTCCTTACCATACTATTAGGAAAGCTGTATGTGGGTGGGTATGTCCTTGCACAGTGGAAGGATAAGTTAAGGTAAAATATTAATAATTAACAAATATATATATGAAATAAACTGGTTGTTACTTAGCTCATTAGTTCACATGCATTATTAGCCCATTTAATTTTCAAAATAACCTGTGAATTAGGTAATATTTTTACTTTACAGAGGAAGTTCAGCAAAATGAAGGAGTGTACTCAAAGCTGAGCCCAGATACAAACCCAGCCCTTCGTGGTTATAAAACCTCTTCATCTGCTGGCTTCTTGCTTTTCAGTAGAGTACCAGGGTCAGACTTCAGCCCACCTGGAAACTCACTAGCATAACTCAACTGATGTGAAGATGAAATATTGTCCTCGTATCCTAACTGACTGCCCCTTTCCTATATAATGATTGGAAATTCAATATTGACCCAATTCAACAAAGATTTTGTGAGCCTTGTCTATGAGGCAGGCAAGTGGTAATAATAGATAATAAACTTACTGAGGGCTTATTGTGTTTGGGGCATTGTTTCAAGAACATGAATGTCTCATTTAATTTTCTGAACAACTCTAAGATAGATCCATTATTAACAACCCCATTTTACAGATGATGCAATTGAAGCCCAGAGAGGCTAAATGATGTGGCTATGATGTCACAGCTAGGAACTGGCCGAGCCAAGATAAGAACGTAGGCAGCATGACTCTGAAGCCTATGGTCTTAACTTGTATGCTATATTTCCTCTTGTGTAAGAGGCTGAAGAGGAAAAAATGAGTCAGACATAGGGAAGAGGACCAAACACATCTAGAAACATAAGTAATGTAATAATCACCCTTGCAAAGGAATACAGACTGTAGAGAAAGTAGCAATTAGTTTTAGAGAATGAAGACAATAACTTTTGAGCTAGTTCTTAAGTATGGATTTCAGAGTTTTAGGAGAAGAATCAATAAGTCCTGGTGATGGGACACGGAAGAGAGATGGATGTCCAGGGTGGCTCTGTGGAGGGGCAGATCTAAGAAGGTAGACGTGGAGATTCATTTTAGACAATGTACGTTTAAGTGAGTGATAAGAATTAGGCAGCACCCCCACCTCCCCACCCCCACAAATGAAGGTCTAGATTTAAAGATAGGAATCAAAACTACATTATAGATTGAAATTTCCATTACACAAGTAAGAGGTGTCCATAGATGTGATAAGTTGTCCTAGAAAGAGTAGTAGAAACAAAGAAATAAGATTTTTCTCACTTTTTCTTCTGGGCAGTTACCTACTATGATCAACAGTAGGGTCAAGATAAAAAGGCATAGAACAGAAAGGAGAAGGCAGCCTCTGACATCAGGAACTGGTGGCCTGATATTAACATCTGAGCCCTGATGTGTTGCTATGAGCTGGCCTAGTACCATCAGCCAAGACTTAGTTCTCCTGTTGAATACAAAGGGTTTCACAGAACATCAATATCAGACAAGGCCACTCTGTGATCATGACAGAACTAGGCAATAAGACCACTCTGTAATCATACCTGAAAACAAATCATGAACATTTTCCAAACCATAAAAATGACCAAATATCTCGCTATCCTAGCTAATACTAGTTACTACTGCTTCTTTACCAAGTACAGTTTTAGTCTACCCTGCAGTTAAATGAGAATTATGGAAACACCCAGCCATAGAATTGTACCCACCTATTGACAGTACCCACTCCAGAGCAAACCTTCACTTACTTGGACCCACCCACACATCATGCAACTAAACTCTGAATCTCATAAATCCTTTCTAACAACATCTTACTGGATACCCCACAGTTCCTGTGGGCATATTTTCCTTCATGACAAAGAGTAATAATCACAACTTAGTCAAGTACAGGTATTTTCCTGGTAGTCTTTTGCTGGAGGTCATTGAGAGTAAAGAGAATTCCTAGATATATTTTCCTATTTTATCTGCTTTGTTTTAAGTAAGAAATTAAAGTATTAAACACTTTGCATTGGTACTCTTTTTGACTTGATTTAAAATAGTCAATATGCACTTAGCTATACAACCTATTTATTGACAAAATATCTGATTGGGATGATTATTTCACTGTGAAAGAAAACTCAAAACAGTAGAAGCAATAGAAAATCTTACTAATCTAATGACATAACTTCTCAAAATGCTTGTTTAAATTAATACATGAAGGCCAGGCGTGGTGACTCATGCCTGTAATCCCAGCGCTTTTGGAGGCCGAGGCAGGCGGATCACGAGGTCAGGAGATCGAGACCATCCTGGCTAACATGGTGAAACCCCGTCTCTACTAAAAATACAAAAAAATTAGCCAAGCGTGGTGGTGGGCACCTGCAGTCCCAGCCACTCAGGAGGCTGAGGCAGGAGAATGGGTTGAACCCGGGAGGTGGAGGTTGCAGTCAGCCGAGATCATGCCACTGCACTCCAGCCTGGGCGACAGAGCGAGTTTCCATCTCAAAAAAACAAACAAACAAAAAATTAATACATAAAATTTATCTTTAGTTATTACTAATTTCAAACACTCAAACCCTAACCATAATTTTTAAATAATAAATTCTTAATAGGTCTGTACACAATAGAGCTTTAATTTTTTGTCAGACAAGTGAAATAAAATTAGTTACAATTAGCATGTCTTGTTGAAATTGTCAGCCATTATTGGTTTCCCTCTGCTAATATTTTACTACTCTATTTTTGTTTCTATCATTATATATGAAAAGGAATATTTACATAAGAAATCTGGGCTGGGCGCAGTGGCTCACGCCTGTAATCCCAGCACTTTGGGAGGCCGAGGTGGGTGGATTGCTTGAGGTCAGGAGTTCAAGACCAGCCTGACCAACATGGTGAAACCTGGTCTCTACTAAAAATGCAAAAATTAGCCAGGCGTCGTAGTGGGCACCTGTAATCCCAGCTACTCTGGAGGCTGAGGCAGGAGAATGAACCTGCGGGGAGGTGGAGGTTGCAGTGAGCTGAGATCATACCACTGCACTCAGCCGGGGCAACAGAGTGAGACTCCATCTCAAAAAAAAAAAAAAAAAAGAAAAGAAAGAAAGAAATCTGGCAGACCATGAATCCTCCTTCTTTCAGTAAAGAGTTAGAAAAATCCCTTATTTTTCATTGTTCTTTGACATGATATAATGTAATCAAATGTGACTGATGCAATCTAACAAATCTAGACACAATATGAAATGCCACAGGAAAACAAGGGAAAGCTACTATATTTATCCAGCCTGAAGAGAAACAAAACTTCTCATGAAACATAAAAACAAAGGCTTTGGAAAATGAGCAAATAATACACTTCATGGAGTTTGTTCAAATATCTTATATTTCGCCTTTTTGAGATATACTCTATCATGGATATTATATGAAGTTTAGAAATTTTTTTCCCACTCGAGAGTAGCACAAGATGGGGCCTTTTCAGTTTTTAAACCTGTTTAAATACAATGGGAACCAGTGCTTTTGAAAAGACCTCTCTTCTGTGGTGTTCATGACTCGAAACCTGTGATTTCTCATAGGTTCCAAGGTAATTCTAAATGGACTACACTTCAGCTAAGCTGTTTTTCTGAGACTGTACCCTGCCTCTGAACTGTGCTAAAATAACCTTGCATTATCCTAATTAGGATTATTCACAATACACACATATTGCAAAGGGCCATTTTCATTTTCAATTAGTTGAAAAGGATTAGTTGCAGTCATACACATATGGTCCTGAATGCTATTATTATTAAACTCAATATTTTTTATTGCTGTTAAAATTATACTCCTTACCAATATAACTTAGCTAATGGAGTAAAAAGATGGTCTCTCCCTGACAAATCACTCTCTTCTAAAGAAAATTGTGAAGGTAACAATACCTAAACGGAAGAAAATATATGTGTGGTAAAGAGGCTGTTTAATCACGAGTAATGGCAAACCTAAAATTAGTTCCAATTAAAAGAGAAATGCATGGAAACTAATCTGAACGTAGCAGATAAAGGGTGGCATAAAGGAGAGATTATTAAGCAGAAGCATATAACAGGACCCCAGGTGCAGCACTTCCTCATTATACCTATTCTTGGGCAGCAATGTCCTGAGTGTACGGTAAACCACCGCACCCCCACCCCCCGAAAAAAAAAAGAAAAAGAAAAAGAAAAAAAAATACTCCAAGGAATAATTTTACACGGTTGCTACACTTGAGATGAACAAGTACATGTTTTTTGGAAGAAAGACCATAGCAACTTGGTTTTTACTTCCAAAATACAGCAGCATGTTAATTGCTTGATCAGCCAAATGAAACTAAATGTAATTAAGACTAGTGTGGGGTTAATTTGATCCATAATTATGTTATATAAAGTAAATGAAAATTGTTTCTTTCCTAAATTGCAATTCATTAAAATTACAGATATTAAAATAAGATACTATAAAATTACATGAAGCATGTACACATTAATAGCCATTAGTAATAGCTTGATATTTCTATCTAAGCAACAGTTTATTAAAATGCCAAAAGGTGATATTTGACCACTCACATGACTGGTTTTTTTACTCTGTTTTTCCATACTTCTAAGAAATATTTCTTTTCTTTTTCTTTCTTTCGTTTTTTTTTTTTTTTTTGGCTAATGAAGTAAAGTGTTCTAGTCTTAGTTTGTTTTTACCATTTTTCAAATGTCTATAATCTGCTAATAAAAGTACAAATCAATTCTCATTGAACCTTTATTAAAATAAAAACACAGGTACTTCATATTCGAAATGACATAGAGGTATGTACATTTCATAAGATGTCAAATGCATACAGTATAAGTAAAGTATTTGGGAGATTTTTGTTTTCAAAGCCAGATTCTGAATCACTGATTAAAATGATAGTCATACTATATGTTATATTTACGTAACATTTGGGTTTTAAGCTGATAAAACAGGATTGGGCATAAAAACATTAACTTAAGAAAAATGAAAGGAGGTAACATTTATTGTATGCTGTTTTGAGCATTGTGCTATGCGCTATAAACTATTTTTATCCCCTGGTGAAGCTGGTGTTATTGTCTCCCATTAACAGGTGAGAGAACTGAGGCTCAAGAGATTTAAGGAGCTTGCCTGAAGTCACTGAGCTACTTGTGGCATTTACTGTGAGGTGGGGGAGGAGTTCTTTTCTCTTAGACATGATGTCAAAACACAGAGAAGCAATTAATTTGCCTGATACAACAACATAGTATTTTAATTCCAACCTTATATTCTTATTCATTGAAGATAATGTGTTTATTTCTGTGAAACTAAAAAACAGAATATCGTAGCATATTATCTTCGTGCCCATTCACATGATATTAAATACAAGTTAGCCAAATAATCTTATTATTTTGAGTCCCTAAACATCTACAGGGCCTACTTAGTGGTGGAGAAAGAAATACAGATGGCAAGTGGAACTATCTTATTGAATAGTAATAAACATCTTACATGGAGTTCCACTGAGTACACATAGAAAAGGCCTATGTTTTAGGGTAAGAAAGCGTAGGCTGATTATTATACTGTTGAATTGGAAGGAAAAGAAGGAGTGAGGGCTGGGAGAAAGGAGTGCAAAACAGTAGAAAGTGTTTCTAGATTCTGTTGAAGAGCGCTGGCCTCCCTGTATGTGATAATGCTTTTTACCTTTACTCCTTTCAGGCCTGAGGAAAAAAGTGATGACTTGAAAATTTGATGTTGTAAAGAAAAAGCATTTGTAATAGAATTTAGGTGCAACACTCAGCAATAGCAGTCTATCAGTTACAGAACCAGAGATATTCAAACCAAGTCTAACTGGAACTTCAATATACCGCAATATATTTATTTATTGCTATGAAGCAAGTTATCTGCACATTCTTGAGAATCTTATATACTTTCTTTGTACAACAAACTGTCACTATATTACTATTAAAAATAGTATGCAAACATTCACAAACAATTCTCTGTAGTTGATTGTACTGCACTAATGACAACCATCCTTAAATTTTTTGGAAATCACCTGCATTTCTCTTACAGTTGAAGCCATGTTTCATAAAAGAAAAAATAAAACAAACAAATCATACTTAAGAAGTTGCCAGAACACATTATTTACAGTAAGCATGTATGCTTAACAAACCAAATATTTAATATTTCATGCATGAAAAATGGGCAGACATCACAGTCATTAGTATTCCAGGTGAGGCAGAACATGCAAATTTACTCAGCCATTAAAGAATGAGTCATATGCTATTTAATATAACAAAATAGTTTATGCATATTAGAGTAAACAGTGAAATCACAATAGAAAAAAATGGATTTGATTCAGATGTTGAGCTGCTATGTAAACCAATTATCTATCCGGAGGGAAACAGCTCTGTCTACAACTACTTAGGCTCTAGGGCCTATTACAAACCCTGGAGTGGGCTGCTGTTTCTGTTCTCCAGGGAATTTACCACGTCACACTAGAAATAGCTGACAATAATTAGAAAGCCTGCTTCTGCCAGTATTGCACACATTTTTAATACCTTCCTAAGTATTATGGGAGATAATACACAAGGTCTTTAGAATTCTAGTCATGCCACCCAAGCCATGGAAAGGACAACTAGACAATAGCCCCAAACTGGACTGTGACAGGCTAATTATTGTGGCTTCATTATAAAACCTCTTTTTACATAGGTCACCTGGGAAGTGTAATTAAAAATGCATTATTGGGGTATTTTTTATTGAAGCAATTAAATTAAAAAGCCAAAAAAATAATTATACGAGGAGCAAATAATGTTGGTCAACAGCGTTTATCTAAGAAAGAGAGAACACGTTAGTGGTTCATTAGCAGTAAATGTGTTAACGGGAATCTGTTTGAAAAATGAGCCATAGAATGGCTTTTAAATACGGAGATTAAAGGATTTATAATGTCAAGTTTAACACAGAAATTATAGATAGTATTATATAACTATGAGTAATAGCACCTTTAATCTGACTTAGTAAAATGATTTACATCATACTTTGTGCTGCTTCAATTGTATGAGTATTACACGTGCTACATCTCAGCTAGATAAGTTGCCTTATTTTTTTAACACACTTACGGATCTGTTCTAATTATATGGTACATCTAAATAATTAGATGTTAAAATATGTATCTTCCAGGGCAGAATTTTTGTCTTGGATATCCATTCTATGTAAAGATACCAAAACATGACACCAATTATTTAGGAAAAATTTTATAAAGCTGTAAATATATCACATTGAACTATTCCTCCCTGTCTCAAAATTCTATTGGTACTTCTCCCCATCATCATTGTTATTATCACCATCACCACTATAATGATCGTAATCACTAATAATTAATGAATGTTTATTACTTGCAAGGAACTAAACATTGCATATTGTATAGACTTTTACTTTCGATTCTCTAAATAACCTTAGGGATTAATAATTTATCTCTGTTTTTTAAATAAAGCTAATCAATTATATAGATATAAAATATAGGTAGGTAATGTATTATCTATTTATCTATAAAATGCAAACTCTTCTTCAATAGACTATCCTACAGTAGTGATAATTTTTACTTTTATGCTACTGGAAATCTTCCATACTTTAAGCCTACTTATATTTACTGAGTATTTTTCAGATAAATAAAAGCGAGACAAACAGCTACTAAGTCAGAATTTCACATGGTATTGCTTTGTTCACTTAGGAGAAGAAAATCAAATTCAGAGAGGTAGAGGAACATCAATTATGGAAAGCTGTGAATGCCAGAGTGAATAAATAAGTGGATGAATAGGTAAAAGACAGAACTTGAAAACATAAGTTTATTGGTATACATGGAACTCTTGATTCAAGAAAAATATTTTTATGGTTGACAGAAAAAAAGTTTCTGTTTATTTTCTATCTTAAGATTGAGTGTTGGTCATGAACTAGTTATTGGCTAGTGAGTCTACATTATATCTTGGTGTATTATGATTAATTTAATTAGTAGTTTTAGTATAATAATGCTGGATTAGAATTTTATTAGTGTTAATATTTTTCATATCAGTAGCTTCCATTCTTGAATATCTACTGTAAACCAGGCCTTGTGCTAAAGACTTTACATGCATTATCTCTAAGCGTCCACACATCACTGAATGAAATTATTCTCATTTTAGAGATGAGAAACTTGTAGTTCAAGAGGTCAAGTGACTTCCAAAGTCACGTTGCTGACAAATTGAGAAGCTCAGATTTGAGCCCAGTCTATCCAATTTCAAATGCATGCATTTTCCAGTATTACACTTTCATTAGGGAAGAGTTTATAGAAGACATTAACGTAATTTTGGATTTTTTTCTTTTTCATATGTTGTAAATCTTCCTTAACCCCAAATTTAAATTCATTCAAAATGTATAAAGCTCAAGTAACCAAAACCATTTTCTGAGTACTGTGTGCTGATAATTGAGACTTATCAGGATAGCTGTAACACATGATTTTGAGTTCTTAAAGAAAAAAAATAGATGATTAAGCATCACTGTGCATTCTGATTTAAGAATATGTCTTTAGAGTGTAGTTATTTAAAATTAGAAATCAAAAATCTATGAGTGATATGCATATGTTACCTTGGCTATTTATGCAAATCAGTACTCCATGTCCTCAATATTGAATACATGGAAAGATACTAATTTATGGAAAGATGCTAATTTATCATTTGTCAAATACTACAGCATAAACACGGAACTTTTACTGTGAGTACATATTTTAAACATATTAGCTTTTTATTGTCCTATGTTCTAATAGTACATTTATTATTTATTGTAGTAGCTGCTCTAAAATTTATAAAACAAATTGCATATATTGGATGTTGGAACATTACATGCTAATTGAATCAAAAGAGGGAACTACCATTCACTAAAAAGTTCCTCTTTAGAGTTTTCCTCTGGAAACCTCAAACTAATATATATGTCTTGGAGTAGGATGATCTATAAATTAGAACAGGGTTTAGGAATGTAAATAGAGCAATGTTAGACTTTTGAAACTTATGGTAAAATTTTTTTTAGATTACAATGAAAGAGAATTAAAAAGCTTTTTCCCCTTAAGATAAATAGCTGGTATTTGTAAAATCAGGTAACTGAATAAACTTTGGATCAGTACATTCTCTAAGTATCTAACTTCTCTTTACTAGACTGTTCTAGCCTCCTGTAACCCACCTGGGAATAATATACATTGCTTTAGATAGTCACAGATTGCACGGATGTTCAAAGAAGAGTACTCAATGCATGAAGCACTATAGAAAGCACAAAATTAATTGTAGAAAACAATTAATTTTCAAGGATTTGCACCAAAACCAGAAATATACAAAAGTCAAGGTGATGTGTTTATCACATCTATCACCCGACTCTATGCTAATGTTTCATAAACATGTCCCAGGACCCACTCAGTACACCTGGGACATGAAGGATCTGATGTTAGTGTAACATTTTTTGAAACAACCATTAACACCTTGTCCCATTCATTTACTGTATTTATTTTTCTTTGAAGTAGGGGATCATTTCTGATCACTCATTCAACACCTCAACTTTATTTCTGCAACTTTTCTCTTTGACCTTCAAATTTTACCAGTTGTCAAAATTATTTTTTATATACTGGCTCTGCTTCCCAGACTTACATAAATAGAAAAAAAAACTAGCTCTTGCTACATACCCGATAATACATGCAATGTGTTTTATATATCTAATTTAGTCTTCACAATAAGCTATGAGATAGGTACAACTATTATCTCTATTTTCCAAATTAAAAAAAAAGGCTCAGAAAAGTTAAGTAATTTGGATAGAACCACACATTTCAAAAGAAGTGGAGCTGGGATAAAACTAGATTTACTTGAGTCTAAACCCCTGTTCTTTTTCATTATGTCTTACTGCCTCAACTAGACTTCAAAGAAACCATCTCCTTTCTGGTACTTTTAGGCAGACATACTAGTAACAGATTCCATTTCTTAGAATCCATTTTATAGCCAATGCTGATTAGGAGAGGTTGCCATGCTCCCCAAGCTCAATTTTCTGTCTGGAAGGTGAACTAAACTAATTCACTTCATGAGTCTTACTGAATCCCACAGCAATATTTGAGATGTCCAGGCTGAATCTAGGACTCTATGATTCTTGTAACCTTGGTGGGTCAAAGTTAAGAAAGTATTCAATAAAACAAAACAAAACAAAAAAAAAACTATCATTTTAAAGCAGCAAAAAGTTTTTATCTGACAAGAGATAGAGATTTCAGGGAAGATTAGTTGTGAGAAACTCACCCAAATGGTCCTTTAAATATGAAATAGGATCCAAAGACCTTCTTTGGAAATGGAAACCAGAACTCCTCCAGGTGCTAGATTATAAATACTATCTATGCATGAGACCAAGAGAGCTTTAGAGAAAATATGTCTTCTCTGTGAGGCCCAAAGGTTTTGAAGAGATGTCATGATATTTACTGAACAGGATTTAAGAATTGTAAATGTTAGAAATTGATGGATCTTTTCTTATAAGAGAATCTATGAGACCTCAGACAGAAGTGGAACTTCATCAAAGTTCAGGCTATAAAGTGAGGCACAAAATTAAGACCAAAAAAAAAAACCAAAAAAAAACCCCCCAAAACCAGTTTTCCCTCCTCTAGTCCAGAATCTTTATGTTGGAAGTCCATTTTCCAATACATGTCCTATAGAAAAGCAATTAATTGAAAGTTTTTAAAATGTGAATTATTTGTCTCAGGTTTTCTTGGTATAAATTCTATAATCTACAAATGATGATTAATATACTTCCTTCTTACACTTAGTTTATATATTTTTCCTTGTGTTATCAGGTTTGCTGTAATGGCAAGTCATTTAAAATTACATGAAACAATGAAAACAGTGAATTTGAGCACCTTCTAGAAGAAAGGACTTGAGAAAGAGAGGCCACAAGGAAAGTGAACAGCTAAAATGTGATTATGTACTATGATGGTGATGGCTAGGACTACGGTAACAGCTACAGCAATCACAAAGAAAGAATATTTCTGAGAGGTTAAAGAATTGTTTGGCCTCAGTGATATGAGAAAATAATGTTAAATTTGTCAAAAAACAAATCTGCATTATGACATCAGAATAACCAGAAAATTTATCATATTTTAAAAGTAAATAATATATTCACTTAATTAAGGTAAAAGAAATTGACTAAAATTATTAGTTTACAAAGAGTATCTAAAGATTAATGAGAACAATAAAGATAAATTAACAGATATTAATATTTAAATGTTCTTCTGAATCTCCATGTACTGATATTTAACTTAATATTATCAAAATAATTCTTAATATTTCATATGTTCACATTATTTTTCCAGTTTCAAAGTGACTTTACATATATTGCCACACTTGATTCTCACAATGACCCTGTGAAATAAATAATAGCAGAGATATTCAGCATTCCTAGCTTTATAGACTGTACACCACCATCACTTACATTATTGATGTTCATATTTTCATCAATCATTTTATCGCTCAGTTCTGTGGTTTCTGCATGAACTTAAATATATTTTCAATACCAGCACATCAGATTTATTTTACTGAATGTGATCTACTATCTACAATACACAGATATTAAATGTCAATTTATTAAGTTACTTTTTTTAATCTATGAAGATTTTTTTGACATTGATGTTCTATATGATGGTTACAGTCTATTCCTAAAAACTGATATGGATGTTTGTGATATGATATGATATGATATGAAACTGCCAAACTGTTTTCCAGAGTGACTATAAAATTTTACATTTTCACAAGCAATGTATTAGTAATCCAGCTTTTCTGCATCCTTGCCAGCTTTTGATGTTGTCACTATTTTTTATTTTAGCCATTCTGACAGGTGTGTAGTCAGTTCTTATTGCAATTTTAATTGACATTTCCCTAGCGATTAATTTTGTGAAACATCTTTTTCATGTGCTTACTTGCCATCTGTGTATCCTCTTAGGTGAAATATCTGTTCATGACTTGTGCCCATCTTCTAATTGGATTGTTTGATATTTAATATTCAATTTTGAAAGTTTCTTATATATTTTATGCACTAGTTACTTGTATAATATGTGATTCCAAATATTTTCTCCCAGTCTCTAGCTTCTCATTTCTTCATCTTTACATGGGATTTGGCAAAGCAAAAGTTTTCTAATTTTGATGAGGTCCAATTTATCAATTTTTTCTTTTGTACTCTTGGGCATTTATCTGAGAGAAATGAAAATATATGCTTACAAAAAACCTGTACACACATTTTCATAGATTGATTTGTATTTATTTATTGATCTTAATGCAAGTCATAAATTAAAATAGATTTTTTGTTCCAGAGCCTAAGTCCAAGAACAATCTCACTCATTTCTCATATTGCTTTTCATCATTTCTATAACAGTTGTCTATCACATGAAATTCAGTAATTTCCCAATATATTTAACAAAAGATTTTGTATAAGTAATGCATGGTTTCTGGTCATATGGACAATTATTTTTGTTTATAGCATTTCTTTCTAATATAACAACTATATCAATTCAATAATAGCAAGCATCTACTATATTACCAATGATCAAAAAAAGTTCAATATATGATTTCCTTTAGCTGTTTAGTTCATTTCAGAGTAAAGATATAAGTGAATCAGTGCAATATAGTGTGATAAACGTTTTGGTAGAAATGAATCTGGCAAGGTGATGAGAGAAAGCATTACAAACCAACAGTTACTTGCATCTGGTTCAGTTGGTACACAAGTTTGGGTGGAAAAGAGTATTTCAGTCCCAGAAAAAAGTATACAAAAATGTAGAGGCACCAAGTAATATGAAACATTTGGGAAAATGCAAGTCATTGGCTCTGCCTATAGCATACAGGGTGAGTTGGGGAGCTGTGGGAGATGAGGTCTGTTAAAAAGTTATGCCAGGTATAATGTTAGCTTATTTGAGATCTTTCTTCTTTTAAAAATGATAAATATTTGAGGTGACGAACATGTTTATTAGCCTGCTTTGATCATTCCACAATGTACGTATGTATCAAAACATCACTTTTTACCCCACAAATATATGCAATTATTATTTGTTAATAAAAAATAAAACTTTTTAAAAAGGTATAAAGATCAAATTTTATTCTGTAGTAAAAGAGAAATCATGAAAATATGTTTTGAGTGTGGCAAAGCTAATATCAGATTTAAATTAAAAAAACTACCATTAACATGGAGATGGAATTAGAGAAAAGTGAGATTAGAAGCAGAGACAATAGCTAAAAGACTATGGTCAAGACCATGTGAGAAATATGGGATGTATGGACGTGACAGTTGTGAGGATGTGTTGAGAAAATATTTAAAAGCTATTTAGAAAATAGAAATGACAAGATTGGTGACATATTTTACATGTGTAGTGAGGAAGAGAAAGGGATCGAGAAAGACTCACTGGTTTTCTGACTTGAGTTTCCAGTGAATCTATGGTTCTTCACTTGGATAGAGAATGCAGGGAAAGAGACAGTCTTGCCTAAGGAGGAGAGTGTGGACGGTGGATTTGTTTGAGACTTGTGGAGTTTGAAATACCTCTTGGACATGTAGGTGCTCTAGCCAACACCTCTTAAATTTGAATGTGCATATGAATTATTTGGGGATCTTGCTAAAAGGCAGGTCTTGTTTTAGAAGCTCTGTAGTGGGTCTCAAGGTTTTTCATTTTTAATAAACTCCCAGGTGATGTCAATGTCATTGATTCTGCAGAGCATACTTTTTAGGCGACATCTTTAACCCTAAGTGCCAAAAGGATACCTGCTGATGATAAGGTGAGGTTTGCAGAAGGAAAAAAGAAAAGAAAGAAAAAGAAAACAAGAGGGCAAATTGGGGCAGGTAGAGCAGAGAGAATGAAGAGGCTGTGTGAAAGTTGAGAAGAAAGATAAAGTAAGGAGAAAAGAGGTGCTGATAAGTATTAGTGTGTCAGCAGAAATCACCTTTGTTGCATTTTAGTAACACCTATACCAAAGGATGCCTAGTCCTCCTCTATCTAGAAAATATTATCAAGTTATTTAAAAAACTTGTTAAAGCCTGCCAGAGCGTAGGTATCAAAGAGTCAACGTGAACAGGAGAGATGTGAAGCCTATTTTTCAGAACTCAAAGCTTTAATTTTATTTACCCAATGAAATGAATGCTATAGAAGGATATACTTGGTACATTTACAACAAGATCGTCAATGCCTAATAAAGAGTAATATTAAAATCAAAATAAATCTTTTAATTGCCAGGATGAAAATAAGGGAAATTGAAGACACCTAAAGCTATTTCTCGTACTAGAGAATTTTAGTTTATAGCTTAGTTTGTTTTGTTTTGTTTTGTTCTCAACACCAGGCTACATTCTCACTGGCTTAGTAGTTTTTAGTGTGGTCCTGCCAGAAAGGTGGTAACCTTCATGACCTCTCCAGGTCTTTCCAACCCTTGAATTATTTGGCTGTTTGCTCCTCTGTTTCTCCTTTTATCTGTCCAGGCTTAACTGGTCTTTTTCTATTGCATTCAACTAAAGAAATACTAAGCATACTACATTTTTGTAAGCTAATAACTGTTATTCATTTTCATTTAATTTTTTTATCAAATTGTTTCAAAGTGTTTTTAAGTATATCTTTTAAGGAGAAAATAACCAAATGCCCACAAATATGTCTCATTTTAAGAAGCATGCACTGATCTATATAGTTCCTGTCTAATCATCTAACCATAATCATAGACAAGGAAATTACTAGGTTAATAGGAGAAAATGATAATCTATCAGGAGGGAATCAATAGTATGTTATTTTTGGCATTGTCTTATTCAGGTAATTTTGTTCTTTCTAACATGTTTTCTGGTACTAAATTATGCCACAAGTTTAATTTTTACTAGGAAAAATATATATAAGGTAACTAACCTATAAAAGAAGTCCATACTAAAATGTAATTATGATTACTGAGACATTCTAGCAAAGCCATAAATAACTATTCCAGTTTTTTATTCAGATGTCTCAAAGTGTTTTACTATTTCACAATAATTAACTCATTAATCCTTATATTCTCTGTGAGGTACAGATAAATAATCTGATTAATTTTATTTTGCTGATGTTATTTTCTTTTAAAAAACAAAAATGATTATCATAAAATGACTTGCTACACCCTTGTGTTTGAGGGAGGGGAACTAACAAATCTTGACTCTTTAGTCATCACTAAGACCATTTTACTATCAAGACTCAGTGAATAAATTTCTGAGAAGTGAAATTGACTGACAGGTTTTTGTTGTTCTTATTGTTTAAGCAGACCATGCTGTCAGCAATATTTCTTTCATAACTCGTTTATTGGGCTTTCTTTCTAGGTTGCCCCATTACCAAGTTTTTCTCCTTGGGCATTCTTCCCAGTTGAACATTTTCCCTTAGTATGATCACAAATTGAATGCTTTCTTCAGGGATGCGTATCTTATTGTGTAATATCAAATTTTATTCCATATTGTCTAATTTTACTTTAAAGTTAAATTGTTTGTTCTGCCCAGGGGTCACTAAATTGAATATTACCATTTTTATTCCCTTTCTGCCATGTGTGTGTGTGTCTGGGTGTGTGAAAATCATTCTGGTTAGATTTAAGAAGGAATGATCTACCCCAAACCACTTGTCTATACGATGTATCTCTGGAGCATAACCTACTAGAATGCAAATTTGATTTTTTTAAGTTGTAATAATCTAATTACTTCTTCATATGCAAAATTCACTCTCTTCTTAGATTTTTTAAATGTGGTGACTAGATAAGAATATCAATGAATTTAACTTTTAGCCAAATAAGTCTTTTTTTTCTGTTGTCAGAGCAAGCCATTCTAAAGCTTTAGCTATTAAGTGTAATGATTAATTACACCTAATAATTTAATTGTGAAGATAAAGAAACTTAGAAAGTAAGGAAAATATGGAAGAGAAACTTTGCGTGTGTATATATAGGGATTGAATTCAATTAAGAAAGGAAAAATAATCAGAAGATATGATGAAAAAAGCAATAATGATGTGGCATTTCTAATTACCATGGAGTGGAATACTGGAAAGCCCATGTGAAATATCTTTTTCCCCCTCTCCACGTCACAGGGAATGTAGAAAATTATCAGAAGGGAGCATCTAGTTACTTCCTTTTGGGGGGTGGGATGAGATGGGGGGAGTATGTAGTAGGTTCCTGTTATTCTGTATTATATTTTTTTAAAGTAAGTTTAAAAGTGCTGTTTATATTGGGCTTACTCTGTTGTTATATCAATTACTCTAGCTATTAGAAGTCATGTCTTAATGAACTATAGTTATGGATAGTTAGAGAGAACTTACTCCCACTAATCATGTTTCTATAGTTCTTTCTAATAAGTTTTCAACTATACACATACCTGTGTGTGAGTGTATACAAATATAGTTGTTCATCAATGCCAAACAGCAAGTCATTTCTTGCCTATACTATTACATGTTGTGATGTTTAATTTTATGTGTCAGTTTGGCTAGGCTGTGATAACCAGTTGTCTGGTCAAACATCAGTCTAGATGTTACTGTGAAGGTATTTTTTAGATGTGATTAACATTTAAATAAGTGGGCTTTGAGTAAAACAGTTGTTCTCCATAACATGGGCAGACTTCATCCAAACAGCTGAAGACCTTTAGAGCAAAAGAGTTTCCAGCTTGCTATCCTGGGGAATTCAGAATTCAAGGCTGCAACATCAACCCATACCTTAGTCTCCAGCCTGTCAGTCTGCCCTATGGATTTCAGACTTGCCAGTCCCTACAACTGTGTGAGTCAATTTTTAAAAATCAGTCTCTTTCTCTCTCCTCTCTCTTCATTTTCTTCCCTGTTTCTATGGAGAATCCTCACTAATACACATGATCAAAAGGTGATTTTAGTGTCATAATGCAAATGATATTCACTTTTGGATTGTTTCACTCTAGATGAGAAGAGGAATAATAGTCTATGTTCATTGCTCTGTGTCAGATAACATGAATAGAATCATTTCAAAATAATTTGTACACAGATCGTGTTCTTACTGGCATCCTCTAAGACTAAATCCTTATCTAATGCCTAAATTACCTACCTATCTTATTCTCCCTTCTACTACCTATATCAACAGGTTATCCTAATAGTGACATAAATCCAAAAGTTCTATAGTAGCTAAATAAAATAAGTTCCGACCTGCCCATTGCCTAGTACTAAAAGCTCTTCAGAATTTGAGCTGCACAATTTGTTATCTTCTAAATTCCCAGCATCAAATTTATAATCTAGTAAGGCCAAATTATTCATTGTCTCCAAAGATGCGAAGCTCATTTGTGTATCTCTTTTTTTCTGCTTTTTTTTTTCTTACTTTCTCACTATAACGATCTTACACTGCTCCTCCATCTACCTAAATCCTACCTGATATTGAAAACCTAGCCTATGGTTCATATCTGCCTGAGAATTCCCAGACTATTCTAGTTCACAATGAAGACCCCCTTATTTGAATGTCATAGCATGTCATTGACTGTCATAATCTCATGAAATCACAGATTTTTTAAGGATATCAGAAGTCATCAATTCCAGCCATTATCAAAACCATGAAATATCTTTACAACATTCTCAGCAGTGGTCTTTCACTCCCTCCTCTACACCTTCAGTGATGAAAAATTCACTACCTCCTGCCCATTCTATTTTTATGAACAGCTCTAAATACTAGAAAAGTATTCCCATAAACCATATTTCTGCATTGAAAGAAACATCCAGGGAATGAAATGTTTTCAATGAGACAGAATTTACAATATAGTATGTCAACCTATAAACCACGATAGTATATAAAAATTATTATCTGAGAGTAAATAGTAAATTTTGTCCAAAAATATCAATTGAACACTTTATATAGTGAGGTATTTGTCTCCTTTTTGCTATTTTAATATTACATAATGACTTCTAACTATACTGCAGTCTGGCCACAATAATATGCTCATCTGGACAGATTTTTTTTAATTAATCACATGCTACTTTACATCTCCCCTTGTCTTCATTGTCTACCAAACTAGATTAAATCTCCTTCAGGTCAGACACTTAGAGCCCTTGTTTTTCCATTTGCACCTAGGTCAGTGTAAGGAACATCAGTTGTTCTCTTATAATTACTGAATTAAATTTAAAAACTGACTTAAGTAAGCAAAATGTACACAGCAGAAACCATCTTAAAGTCCTTTGTAGAATCCAATTTTAAGATCAAGCATAGATAAAATATCCCTTGCCATTTGTTTTGCTGCATTCCCCTTTAAAAATATATACCTATCAATAAATGGTGCAGTTCTTTATTCAAGAAAAAAATTTGATGGGCTTTTCTTCTTGACTGAAAATGTTTTGGGAATGAAATTGACAGATGCAGAAAACAGTAAAAATATTGTATCAAAATCTTGAAGTAAAATTATGAAACAAGCCTACTTAGCTATCTATTTTCAAATGAAGAGGCAGCTAGAACTGAATCCTTGGTTCCAATCTGTAACCTTAAATATAAGTGGTTCCTATGTAGTAACCTCTTGATTCCATCCTCTGCTTTACTGCATTGTCTTATAAATAAACCTGAATCTAGTGCTTCTGGATTTGGAGAACATTGTATAGCATGCACATTTAAGGTTGTTTTTGCTTGTTGATTGTTTTTATCCTCTCTTGTGTATCAGAAGGGAATTGAGAGTCATTCTTTGTACATCTTCTTTTCCCTCTGATAATCTTGCAGGCTGGATTGGTTAAAAAGAGAAAGATATAGAATATATAGAAAATTGTTTTAAAATTGTCTAGTTGAAAAATATTCTAAAAGAATAAAATTAGTTTAACTGTATCAGACAAGGAAGAGAATAATTAAATGAATAATAGCCAGGATGATTGACAAGATGACATACTAGGTTATTGTTCCCATCTCTAATTTTAGTTTGTCCACGGGATTTTTCGTACTGCAATTAAAACAAATCTCCTATGAGTTAAGCATTTTTTCTTTTATGTACAGCTGATATGTAAATATTTCTCAAAATGTCCACCAACAATATTTCTGCCAATATAGCCAATCAAGTTTCATTCTTTATTAGTCTCCAAGGAAACCGCTACAGTTTCAGCAATAGACAGCACAGAATGGAAAGAAAACAGAATGTTTTAAAAAATACACTTCTGTCATTATTTAATCAAGAAAGCTGGATATGTGCAATTTTATTGTATGAGGACCACCTTAAAACTCACTAGGCTTCCTATAGGTGAGAACACTACTTAACTTTATAAGTTTTTATTTTCATAGAAAAGGGATGTTGCAGAAAAGTCTTAGCCTGGTTGCTCAGATATGAAAAATGACAAGTATATTTTGGCAGTTTTGCTTATGCCTGCCTCTTCTCAGCCACATTCTTTTTTCAATTCCACTATTCAGCAGCATAACCACTGTTTTTTTTTTTTCTAGAGAAATCATTACTTTGGAATTGTATCTCCTATACAGACACTTTAGATCTGCTAGTACATCCAAAGTCTTACGTTTTTATTCTCCTATTTGACTCTAACTCCATAATCCCATCTCTCAGTAGTTTCCCTAAATTCCCAGTGGGGAGAAAAGCATTTGCCCAGCATTTCCAATGACAAAAATGATTATCTTCCCACTAAAATCTCAAGTACACACACAAGAAGATGAGAAAGTAGATCCTCCTAGATGTCCTGTCAGGAAGCACAAGCAGGCCTTGTGTACTCTTGCTACCATCCAGTATTCAGTTGTTCCTATGTTACATGTGTGTGTATATGTGTGTGTGTGTGTGTTTGTGTGAGTGTGTACATGTGCTGTGAAGCATAGAATGTGACATAAGCAGATAGAAGATAAGTGCAAAGAGACTTCATATGAGATAATCATACCATCTTTCCATATTCTCACTGGCATGTAATTGTGGTAGCTGCAGTGGCAATCCCTTTTGACTTTTGCTGCCCTATACCAGGTGAGAACTAACAACAGAGCAGCCATAAAGCAGCACCACTTTCCTTTCCACAAGTGCAGCAAGGAAGATGCAGCGCCCCTCATTCCCACCTTATGACAGCAGTACCTGAAGAGTAAAGTTTTTTTTACTCTCTGGGCCCTCCTCCAGGTGAGAGCCAAGAACAAAAACAACCTCCTGCAGCAGCAGCAGCAGCAGCAGCAGCAGCAGCAGCAGTACGGGCAACTCAGGAGGCTCTCAAATGCTTTGTCTTGCAGCTTTGCCACTAAGCCAGCCAAGAAATGGAAAATGGGCAATAGCATAGAAATCTAAAACCCCAGCTTTCTTTCCGGAACACCAGAAGGGGAAATCCTTAGAAAGAGAGACTGGGGACAGGATCACTGAAAGGATGCAGCTGGAGAAAGGAACTTTTTGGATCTGTTATTAAATTCTGAGATTACCCCCAAGCTGAACTGAACATGAATGAAAGCAAAAGGCATCAATGCAGCAATGACTTAAAAACTGAATTACAGAGTAAAACACTGCACAGGTTCCAGACTCACCCCTGGGTGATGGATGTATAATCAGGGAAGACCAGAAACAAGTTTTGGAAAGTAATCTGACATTGGAACCAGAGGCCATAGAAGAAAAGTTATGGACTTGAAATCTATAACTCACTGAATTGACTGCTTACTTAAAAAAAAAAAAAAGAAAAAGACAGAGAGAGAGAATGAAAAAGTAATGTTTTCCTGATGTTAACAAGACCAAGAGTCTTATAATAAGATAGAATTCCCTGTTTAAAATTTTCAAAATTTTAGGATAAAATCCAAAATTACCCAATGTACATAAAACCAGGAAAACCTAAACAATTTTTAAGAAAAAACACAATCAGCAAATGTCAACCCTCAGACAACTCATATGTTGAAATTCTCAGACACAGAATTTAGAGCACCCTTTGTAACAATGATGTAAGAAGCAAGTGAAAATACTCTTGAAGCAAATAGAAAAAATAAAAGTTCTCAGCAAGGAAATAGAAGCTGTTTAACAAAACCAAACAGAAATTTTAGAAGTAGAAAATATGATTTAAAAAATTACAAATTCACTGAGGAGTTCAATAGTAGAATTGAAAGAATTAGTGCACTCAAAGATAGAGCAATAAAAATTATCCATTTTGAAACATATAAAGAAAAAGTTTTAAAAAGTTTAAAAAAGAGTTTATAAATGTGACCAGAGCCTTAGGGACCAGACTATATCAAAGTCTTGCATTCATATCAGAAATGTCTCAGATGGAGAGGAGAAATTTATTTGTATAGAAAATATACATAAAGAAATCATGACTAAAACTTTTCCAAATTTGGTGAAAGGCAAATTTACAAATCATATAAGCTTAGGAAACTAAACCCCAAACAGGATAAGTTAAAAAAAATCAAAAACTAACAAACAAAACTTAATTCAGCCAGAAGGGGAAAGAAAAACACACAGTACCAAAAAATGAAAATATGAATAGCTGCAGATGTCTTACTGGAAACCATGGAGGCCATAAGACAATGAAATAGCATTCAGAAAGTGATGAAATGAAAAAAAAAACTGTCAATTCAGAGTCCTATATCCAATTAAAATATCCTTCACAAAGTAAAACAAAATAAGATCATTTTAGGATGAAGGAAAACTGAAAGAATTTGTCACCAGTAGAGCTGCTTTAAAAGAAATGCTAAAAGAGGTTCTTCAAATGGAAAGGAAATAATTAGAGAGAAACCTAAAACACCAGGATTGTAGCAAGAGAGACAGAAAGGGCAAATATCTGGTTGAATAAAATGTACGGGATAGTCAGAGTATATTTCTTTAAGCCAGTGACATTTGGGCAAAACCTTGAATGAAGCAAAGATGTGAACTATATAGATATCTGGATGAAGCACTCTCCAAGCAGATAGAATAATCAGAGCAATGCGACTAGTCGGAATGCTTTTCTAGTAATACAAAGAGGCCAGTGGGAAAAGTGGAAAAGTGGTCAGAAATACATTAGAAGTAAGCACAAGTTTTTCTCATTAATTTAGATTATTTGTTCAATAGACAGAAACTTTTGAGTCCACATAAGAACTTTGGATTTTATTCTAAGTAGAAGCAGCATTTGAAAGGTATTATGCAGAAAGGGATATGATTTAATTTACATTTCAAGTACACCTGTCTGGTTGCTATATGATGAACAGACTGCAGAGGGGCAAGACTGAAAGCAGGGACACCCTCCAGGAGTATTATAGAAGTTGAGGCAAGGGTGATGGAGGAGTGGATTAGGTGTGTAGCATCAATGTGGTTGGTTTGGGATACATTTTGAAATTTGAACTGACAGGATTTACTTAAAGATTAGATTAAATTATGAGTGTAAAAAACATCTAAGAATTGGCTCTACATGTTTAGCCTACATAATTAAGCCAAAGAAAGTTTAGAGGGAGAAGATTTTGGGGGAAGTATCAAGAATTTAGATTTAGAGATACAAGTTTGGGATGCTCCTTGGACATCCAGGTGGAGATGTCATGTAGGCTGTTGGATATATGAGTTTGAAGTTTAGGAAATAGATCAGATAAAGGACATACATTTGGAAATTATTATTATATAGCAAGAATTTAGAGCAAAGGGTAAGATCTCTTAACAAGTGATTATAAATTGAGAATACTGAGGCCTTGCACTCTCTAATTTAGAAGTTTAAATTAGAGGATATAATAGCCAACTTGCTACTTGGTTACTGATGTTTTCAATATGTGAGAAAGTTGTCAATTAAAAATCTAACAACAACAATAATAGGATAGCAAACACTATAGGAATAGCTGAAATGTGCGGTCTAAAATAACAATGTAGTAGAACAGAGTAAGTTGTTTACATAGAATGAACACTTGATATCATTATACCAACCTCAAATTAGCTTAGAAGCTGTCTGCAGGTTTTGTCCAGGAATCCCAGGAAGACCAGTCTTCATAAGGCACTCACCAATCACACCACTATGTAAAAGGAATGAAGTGAAGCACTTTTAAATATATTAATCACAACAGTTCTTCAGGTAAAGTTATTCGTATCTAGGTAACAAAGCCAGACGCATTAAGGCTAAGTGACTTGCCCAGCATCGCATAAAAATGATTTTTAAAATGGCAGAGGTCAGTAGAAGGAGAGATTTAAAAAAAAAAAAGGAAATGAAAAGGCAACTGGATGAAAATCTAGCCTATTGAAGCAGGAAAGCACAAAGAAGAAAGAAAAAGTCGGGGGGAGGGGATGTGAATACTTATGCAGCTGGCATTTCCTGATGTTCAGAATTACAGATTTATATGTGGTTTGGCTCTAGATAAAGAACTCCTTTCCCAGACAGGTTAGGGTTTGTGTGGTGGTGAATCAGGCCTAGTGGGGAGAGGAGATTGAAGTGGCCCCACATTCAGGTTTCTCAGAGCTGGGTCTGGAGATGTAAGAGTGGTTGGAGCAAAGTTGGGCCTAGCTGTTATGAAATCATATTCAGCATCAATTCCAACGTGCCCAGGTGGACAGTCCAGAACAGAATTAAAACAAAACCAAACAGAAAAGATCTTTCCTGTGAATTAGTTACAAGCAAGTAGTCATAAAATGGTTGCCTGAAGGTGTAGCCTCAATTGATCCCTGAGGCAGTGGCTTGTGAAACACATCACTCTAATAATCTTGCCTGCTTTACTCCTGGGCAAGGAAAAGTTGTTTCAGATAGAAAGCAGTGCTAACCAGTGCCTGGAAGAGTAAGTAGGTGCTCAATAAATACTTGTTTAAAACTAAATAAGTAAGTGAGTAAATTAAAAATTGCCAGACTGTGAGCCTCAAGATCTGTGCTTTAAGCGTATTTAATCTCCTAATATGTGGGTTATCTTGGGCTGATCATTAAGTCTCATTTTTGAAGAAGTCAAACAAATTTACCAATCAAAATGAAGCACCCGTTGATTAAGAGAAGCAAGTGAAACTTTAATTATGAAAATACTGAATCCGAATCAATACACAAATAGAAGACATTATATTTATTATTTGGAATCCATTGAAAAAAATATACAATGCCAGATCAAGGAAAGATAATGGTTTGTGAGAAAAATCTTGGCTTTAGTAATAATTCCTCCTGGAAGAAAAAAGTAATGGGAATTAATTATAGTTGATGAAGGATTAATAAATATGGTTTATGTTACGAATATCAGAATGTTTAGATAATAGTATAAAAAGGAAAACAAAACACACTTTAGACATTTTTATTTCCAAATTTTTTCTCTGCTTTTTCTCCTATAAAGGAAGTGAGGCATAAAATAATACTGTGGTAATTGACTTATCTCAAAAAGTATAATATAAAACATAATAAAGTGATATATACCAAGTGATCTCTGATAGTTACATTATACCTCTCATATTTAATTTATATTTCCCCCACAAGTTACCCTTTTCCAACCTTTACCATTTATAATTTATCATATTTCTAATGAATTGAATCTCTTCAGTTATACATGGTTTCCAGAAATGCTTGGTAACAATGCAGTTGTTTTCTGCAGAAGTAGTTTTTGAAAAACAGTCAGAAATTCCTAAACGTGCTTCTAATAAGTGTCTTGCACCCTCAGAGATGTCTCCTGAGCTGCTGCCTAAGTTAACACTGAGGAAGAAGATTTAATGGTCTGTCTCTTGAGATTTTTCTGTTGGTTCTCAGGAATGAAGAAAGTTTACAATAATGCCTTTATTAAATGCTTGTGTCATGCTTTGTTACTGTTGATGTTTTAAAGAAAGACAATTTTCCACAATTCATACTTAATTATGTTACACATAATTGTATGTGTAACAATTATCTTAAGAAAAAGAGAGGAATTTCATTGAACATCCTCTCAAGTTGTAAATATACTGTTATTTATGCAGATACATAAACATATAGATTCCAAACATGCTCCCTCCATTATTAAAAACACTAAATTTCACTTCATCTAGGAAAGATACTTCTTGCACTAAACTGCATGACATTTGACACCTACATATACTACAAATATCTCATGCTGTCGTAATAATTTCGTTTTCTAAAATTACTTCATCTCCATTACATACATTGTTTTTTTTTCCATCGAAATCAACATTCCTAATATTAGATTGCAAGGATGAAGAAGATAAGAATTTATGTCAACCATGCTATACATAAAACCCAGCAGATCATGAGAATGGGAGTGACTAATCCGTGCTTCAGCATAACGCTGTAGCCACCAGGAGGCTTAGAACTGTATCCCACTCTACGGCGCAAGCATGTTACTTGGCTTGGGCCAAGGACCTGACTCAACCAAGCTCCCATCCTTTGAAATGAAAATTTGTGAAATTTCTGTAAATGTCACCTATGAATCTACAAATTGCCCCCTGAAAAAGACATTGCATTATGTCAGTTAGATTTATTAGGTTGCAAACAAAGAAAATGACAACCTAGCTTAAGCAGAAATGAAATTTATCAAAAGGATATTGTGTAGCACACAGAAAGTATGAGATAGTTGGCCAAGCACACTCAAAAAAAGCAGCGACCATGTTCCAGGTAATAGGAAATAAAGAGCAATCTCTCCTGGAAGGCAATGTTGTTGCTTTTTAAATCATCATAACATTTAACTCAAAATTCATATTCCCAGAGGAAAGAGTCCTATGGACCCACTTCGGCACATCATTGGTTAGAGGACATCAAGTCCCTTGATTTAACGTTTTCCTAAGTGGACTCATAATGAGGAAGAGTTCTTAGGCCCAAGAACAAGGGTCTCTTATTAGATAGATTCAATTACATTAATTATAAATTAGATTATCTTAAATTGAATTCAGAAAAGAAGAGTTGATTCTAAAAAACAGAGGAAATATAAACATAGGGCCTTTCATTGGCCATCTAATATACCATATCAATAGACTTTTAGTAATATGGGCACATTTTTATTAAATTTAGGATTAATATTACAAATGAAAGTTCGTTTTCAAGGAGTGGAAAATAATTGTGCACTGATCAAGGGAACTGGTGATTCAAAAGAAATTAGGTTCATGTACATACTTGTGTTTATTGATTTACCCTAAAGTACTGAAAACAACCAGAGGAAATATTTAGGTATACTGGATGTGCTAGATTTTTCAAACAATTGAGAAGACTGGTGTGCTGTTTGTGACAGTAAAGCCAACCCTAAACTTCAATGGCATATAATGTTATTTTACCCAACAAGTTTCTCCTCCAAATTGCCTCTAAATTCCACCACCAGAGAACCACTGCTTTGGGCTGAATTTTGCCTCTCTCTTTCATTTATATGTTCATTTGTTTGTTTGTCAGCACACAAAAGCCCCTCTTAATTACAACCATCTATCAGGAAGGCATTAATGTTGAGTGCTAGTTAAATGCCCTTCTTCCTCACAGAAGGCAGCAAGGACATCTGGGGTGGGGCAAAGTTCATAGTCAACCAGAGGAACTGAAGAGGAACAGAGAAGAAAAGTACTGGAAACAGGGAGGCTCTCCCCACCCAACAGCCACTGCTAAAATTTTTTCAAGTTGTAAATAGATTGTTATTTATGCAGATACATAAACATACAGATGCCAAACATGCTCCCTCCATTATTTGTGTTTACTTAAATACACTAAATTTCACTTCCTCTGGGAAAGTTATTTCTTGCACTAAACTGTATAACATTTGACACCTACATGTAATACAAATATGTAGGTATCAATTCGATCAATTTAATAGATTTCAGTCGATTAAACTGCAAACTTGTTCAATATTTATTTGATATAAAATCTATAGCCCTTGATTTTTATACAAAATCCCTCCCCAAGTTATTTAAATCTTTATTTTGCTTTTGCTTAAAATACAGACCAACTATTTCCTGGAGCTAATTAACCAAGGCCTGTTACACATGTTGGAGACTTGACAAATCATTTGCTTTCCCTCACCTCAATTATGTCAGAACCTCTTTAATTTAACTTCAAATTATTGGCATTATTATAAAAATTATGAATTCAATCAGAATTATCTCATTGTTAATATATTGTAACATATTAATATTGTATTAACATATCTGCATTTATTAACATATTATGGTTTTTAATATGATAAAACATAGTAAACATTTCTAAAATTTTTCACCTATATCCATCGCAAAACTTAAATTTCATTACTTTTCAGTATGTTACAAAATACAACTTAACATTGTGGAATAGCCTGAATTTCTTACGGCAAAATTTTCTTTGGGTCACTGAATTTAATTAAAAGAAGGTAACAAGCTTGCACCTAAATACACAGAGCATGTTTAAGACTGTCTTCATAATGCTTAAACACCTTCTTAAGAATGAACAAAATATGCAACACCTTATTTGTGTACATGATCTTTCTAAAAATCTCTTTTCACACACTGAATCAACTGATTATTTAGCTTTGTCATAGTAATGATATTTTATTTTTTGATATATATATAAAACCCAAGATAAAAATAAAAATACTGTATATGTATATATATACATAAAGAACCTCTAAATAATACTTCTCAAGAGTAAAGACATCTGGGTATGCATAATTTTGAAGTTTAGTCGGGTAGTCCACAATATGCATTGTTCAAGTCTTTACAGTAAATCATATGTTAACACCAAAGTAAAATTTCATTGTAAAAGCAAGACTAAGAAAATAAAAGTTTAGCAACAGTTATAAAGTTCCAAATAATTTTAATGTAACTTTTAAGTTTGAAGGGGAGCGTAACTATTTACTGATGGAACATTCCAAACTGCATCGCCCCAGGGCTGAGAGGCAGCGCCATTACCTATTGTAGTTTTCTTCCGTCTGTCTCTCACTGTCTAGATTTTGATTTCAGATTTGTCACTTTCTCTTCCAGAGCAGTACACTTTTTTGACAGTAGAGGGCACTTTGAATTTAGAGAAAGCTCGAGAAATCTCTTCCTGAATCTTCATTCAGAGAGCTTTTGTTTGACTATAAAGAAATAAAATACAATTTTAGTCTACATTTTAAATGATGCATATTTTTAAACTATGTGATGCAAAAGTTTGTTTCTTTTATATGAATCAGTTTTTCATTTTGTTATTTTATAAAAATACTGTAATATGAATTTCATGCAATATTGCTGTATCTAGAAAAGATTAATGATTTAATAATATAACAAATTATGATCAACTCATGAGTCAATAAATCTTTGATTTTTCTCTAATGAAAAGAGACAATAAGGGATAAAACCCTATGTATACATTAAGTGAAACCTCAAAAAAACCACCAAAATCCTAAAATCAAAGAATAAAAATATAAAATATCTAAATGAAATCAGACACAAAAATTATATTAACCCAACTCACCACAGATATATAAATGCTTTCTTCTTCTTCTTTTATTGAAAAAATATTCTTAATGAAATATAAATTTGTATTTAATCTTATATATCATTTTATAAAAATTCCTTAATAGTACATTGGAAAAAACATTACAATGATCTATCTGACAATCAATTCACTTGTCTTTAAGAAATTTTTTTCAAATTTTTATAAAATGCTTCAAAGTGTTGCTGAAATTTATGTAAAATAATTTATCTAAATGTAGTATAATTGTTTTTCTAATATAAATTAATAACTTGATCACATTTATTAATGTGACTATACAATCTTACTTGTAAATATTCCACTCCATTTCAAATAATCAAAATATAAAATTAATGCATTTTGAAATTTCAAAATAAACTGTTACTTCTTTAATATTCTTTTGTTACCACATCAAATAATTACCTCTTCAAATTTAAGGCACTAAGTTCTTTAACATTAAAAAAAAAAAGTGTTTCCCCATTTAATTGAAACCAGTTACCCTAAGTGTACAAACTGAAAATTTGAAGTTTAACTTATTTGTTTGGTCCAACCAAAAATGCATCTACATAAGGATCATTGTGAGTCTAGTAGTTTCTGGCCTATGGAGAAACCCCCAGTTTTGCCTTTAAAGAGTTTATACTTAAAAACAGAAGAGGAAAAACATAAATCAATTTAATTTTCCAGCAAGTGAATAATGTGCCTAAAATCCTCGTGAAAAGCCCAAGTACATAAAGAAATACATAATTTAATGGGAGAGCTAAAGTTAACGTATATGAAATATTATAAGCTTTTGGATAGAATTTAGCAATCATTATAAGATAACCTTACTGAAGGTAAACAAGATGGCTCTAAATGCCAAAAAAAAGTACAATCAGTTTTGCCTAAGTATTTAATAGAAAGAAATCTACACTTTTAAGAAAGGTTTGTTGATATTTGCTTATCTAAATAAGGAAAATAAAGTTGAATGCTTCCACTCACCCTAACTTTCAAAAATATGAGAAAAAATAATATAAAGATGTATGTCTCACATATGACCTTGCCCTGTGTAATTTTCATAAGTGAAAAGCAAATAAACAGCAATTGTCACTATTCTAAACACACAGCTGCGTTCCATAATATTTATCCTTACTCCTTCCCTCATTTATTATTGCCGGTAAATTATGTATTTGTCACTAACACTAGCTGAATAGATTTGAAACAGTAAGTGTAACAGGCTCAAATGGACAGTGCCTATTATCTTTTCCCTTTTCTCTCCTGCCCTTTTATGGCCTATAACTTCATTCAATCTGTAGCTACATTTATGTTCCTTTTACAACAAAAAGGGTCATAATGCTGTCTCTGATAATACTGAAATTGCCTAATTTGTTCGTCTTCTTTCAACGCCTTGGAAATGGTCACCCTCTCCAGTTATGCCTGGGTTTGTCCCCATCAACTTTGAAAATTAAGGTCCTGTTTAGTCACTGGCAATCGCACCACCAAAACGCCTTCGGGCATTTTGTTCAGCCAACAGGGTGATAGAGGCCGAAGAGGCCCAGGTCTGGCTGGCTCAGGAAACGCACTCCTGAAGCCGCAGGCCCACCTACTACTACTAGAACAACCCCGGGTGTCATTCGCGTGCCTCTCGGTGCGGTGGGGGCGGACAGTTGCGCCAATCCCCGAAGCAAGGGAGGGAGCAGCGGGTCAGCTGACGCTGAGAAGGCGCGAGTGAAGGAATGAGAAGAATTTGCTTGCTCAGAAGATGGGAGCGATAGGGACTCCCTACTCTGACTCCTGGCGCGGACAGGCGTAGGGAAGAAGTCGAGCCTCCCCACAGCTGTTGCCACTCGGGCTGTCGCCGCGGCGGCCGCTGTTGGCTGCCGCGCCGCTGGGACTGAGATGACTGTGGCTGGGCCGGCCACGGCAGCTGCTTCTGCCTTGACTGCTGCCCCTGACCCTTCTGCTGTTTCTTCCTTGATTTTAGCATCAGCTTTTTCTTCTTCTTCTTTTTTCCCCACCCCGGCAGCACCTCTTGTAAAAAGCAGAAATAGCCTCTACATTTGCCAGAGAGCGTGGGTGCAGGGAGGGGAGGCTAAGGTGGAGTCGTTAGGGTCTCTAACGAGGCTTGGTTCCTGGGGCCCCTCCTGTCTTTTCTCCCGCTCCCGTTAGCATTTTCCTTCCTGCGGTAGCAATGCTTTGTCAGCCTCGTGCTGGGTAGAACTCCCGCGTAGTCTCCTCCTCCTTTCCCACTTGCAAGGAGGCTTCACCCCCTCATCCCCTCCAACGAGGAGAACAGTATCAAAGGTATAAAAGGGAAATAAATGCTCCAAGATAACTGTATATTTTGCCACACAAATTTGAACTGGGTTTCGCGTAATAGAAAACAGATCTTTTCAAGTCCTGGGACAATAAAATAAAATTCAAACGGATGGATATGGCGGGTTGGAGAACAATCAACAGCTAATTTGGAAGAGCACTTCTTGAGGATTTTCCTGACCTGCCCTTGCATGTGACTTCCCTTTTCTAAGATCCTCTTCCCCTTTCAAGGCTAAAAGCTGGGTATGATTCAGCTCATAAAAATATGTCACAGCAATTGGAATTTACCCTTTGACCTTCTACTCCCTCACTGCCACCTCCTCTACACACACGCACACACACAGTCTGCAGTTCACTAACTAGCTCTATTTTCACTAAACAGATGGCCGCGTTGCTGATGAAAACTGCCTTTTTGTACAAGATAAAACTTCTAAAAATCTTTATGATAGGACCTATTTACAAAAAGAGCCGAAAGCCACATTTTTGGTGATGCATATGTGAATTCTGAGATAGTTTGATAAATAAACAAAGCGATAAATATATTTTATTTACATAGGCACAAAAAGAAAACTATCAGTAAATAGTCATCTTCCTTTAACACCATTCTTCTTTCTGAAATTTGTTTTTGTGGACCAGTTATGAATGATCATATTCAGTATTTAACATTAAGGAGCATATTATTTCAGGGATCCCAGTGGCTAGATTTAAAACATGCAAGAAAGGGGCAGAAAGCTGAGCCTAAAATGTATGAGGAGTGTTTTCTAGTTTTTCTAAAAGCCTGTTCACCTTTCCAAATAATTTTTCCTTGCCTTTGTGCGGTGAAAGCCCCATTACCAGCTATGAAAAAAATAGTGCTAAGTGTTTTGTACAATTTCTTGTGAGTGCGAAGCTCAAAAAGCCGAGAAAATGGGCAAAACACTGAATCAGGCCACAAGGGCCAGTTCAAATGCACAGAGAGACATTTTTACTGCATTATTTGAACTATTACTAAATAAAATGCTTTCTTCCTTGGAGCTTAGCTAAGTACTAATTTTCCAAAACATGAATACGACTTCTGGTGAAAAGTTACAAATAATTTAAATGCCTGACTACAATATTGTGCCCTCTCGAATTAACAGTGTTCCCTTGGCCCTTCCCTACATACTGAAAATAGTGCAGGCCCTCAAATCACATTTGAAAAACTTAAAATGTCCAGGAAGTTTTTGAATCCAGAAGTTTGAGAACATCATGGACAAATTTAAACACAGTTTTCTCCATGAATATGGTGACTAGAAATGATGAATTGAAACCGTTTCTGGCAATTCATTACCAGATGCCTAAGAAATGACTAACTGTCACATTAAAAAAGAAATTGACAGCCAGGAATTAAGTCATTTTTAACACTAATATGATTGTGATTTTTTAAGACAATTATTTCTCCCCTCTATGTTTGAACGTGCTGATAATACTGACATAGTCAAATTCAGAGCAAAGAACATATAATAAAAATAACAATATATAAAGCATAAGAGAAGGTGTTTTCTGAGCTCGTACCATTTTCTCCATATCTAGAGAAAAAACAAGTTTCCTTCAGCAATTAACATTTGCTAATAATATTTTTATTTGGCAAAGCATAGAAGGTGACCATTTAACAATATCCATTCAGTCTTTAGGTAACAACAGTTTCTCTCTGTTGTTTCTTTACAATGATCAAATTTCTTTGAGTTTCTTCTTTTTTATACTTTCACTTTTGTTTAAAATTAATGGAGCTAAAAACTTACAGATAAATTCTGCAAATATACCTAGATACTCTTTATCATTGTAAATAGCTTAGTGGTGATCTGCCATTTTTCATGATAACTGGGCACCAACTGCTGGTTAGAAATATTTTTCATGGAATTCTTTGTACTTTAAATAAACTACTACTTCAAGATCTGCCATGTGTCCCTCATTCATCTTTAGGGCACAAAGTTACATGTAACTTTTTGTGAGCTTTGATTTTGAAATATTTGTCTCATAGGTGCAATCTCTAGCAATCTTTTAACTCAGTGCAAGTTTATTAATGACCTTCAGCAAGTTAAGGCAGAAATGTGTATTTTAAAGGTTTATTTTATGATTCATCTTATGCAAAAAAAAATTTTGAAAAATTGAATCTACATTTATTTTCTGCTCTTTTGACCCAGTATTAAAAAGTCTCCATGTGCATTTCACATAATGAACATCACAGAAGGGGAAAAATTGTTGTTTCCTTTGGCATTTCTCATCTGAGGTGGTAGAAAAATATGCATCTGCTTTTCCCGTGGAGAGGGAGATAATATAATAACCTTCTGATTATATACATAAGCAAAAACTGATCAGTTTCTCTTGTGGTTCATTTTTTAAGGGCAAGTTCCAGTTGGATTGTGCTAATGCACATATTCATGAATCTCTCCAAACAGGATTCACTGCTCTCCAGGGAACCCTTGAAGTATGCATCATTGTTTCAATGAAGTATCTTCATTATAAAACATAGAGCCTATAAAAGGTGAATACCATTTGCCACTGCTTAATATAATCGCTGGTCTGACTTTCTTCCGCTATATTTTTTTCCTCCCTTGCTTCCTTTCTTTAATCCTTTCTTCCCTCTTTCATTATTTCCTTTTATGTTTTCTTTCTCTTTCTTGTAACAAATAGAAAAAATGACAAAGAATCATTAGAAATATTAAAAATTAGATAAAATAAGGAAATGCTTTTGTTTTCAAAATCAAACTTAATTTCTTTCGAAATGTTATATAGATGGGGTATGAAATTTAACTAACCCCCCCCCCAAATCCTTATATTTGTGCAAATGTTTTATTTGAAACGAAGGAGCTTATGGAAATTTTTAGTCTCTGCATATGCATAAGTTTTTTGTGTCAAAAAAGTGAGGCCAAAGGTGAAAGGTATAGTAAGTAGGTAAACATTTTTAAGACAGGCAATGAAAGGTACTATAGTCACAACAATGTGATGAAAACAGGCACACAAATTTTTCATCTCATTGGGATTATTGCAAACGGAACAACATCTTGAACTAGTCAACCTTTTATTTATGTATGTTTGCGCCAGATATATATCCTAACATTTCTCCTTTTCTTCTCTTTAGATTCCTTCCAGACAACCTGAGATTTAGGGAGTTCCCCTAATGTGCATGTTACAAAGAGGCCTTTATTAGAGAGGACATGAATGGAGTTCTGAGAAAGACTACAAAAGCCCGACACTGCAATTGGGTATAATGGGGTGCTTTATAGGGAAGGAACACTGTCTTTTGGGTATGAAGGACAGTTTAATACAACATCTATTGCAAGGAAACAAAGGAGTTATGTAGCTCACAAATTAGGGTATTCACATCTAGATATACTAGTGATGGAGTATAGAGAACTTGGAATTCAGTGTAAAATGATCTTGTCATCCAACATAGTACTCAGTGGAATGTGGCATTCCTTGGATGTAAGTTGTGTAGTCATCAAAATAGATTGTACAAATCACAAATAACTGTCACTTTGTGACTCTATAGCAATTAGCAACCAAAGATAGTAATTCTTAGTGGCACTAAAAATAAGATGAGACATCTATGATTAAGCAGGAAGTGAAAAATGCAATTCAAGACACTATATATTCCGATTTTCTTAAGTCTCTCACAGAAAATTAATAGAGGATAATATTTTTAAGAGGAATAAGGGGCATAGCACATACAACATGGAGCCAGTGATTTATTGTTGAAGTTTAAGTGATCACTTCGGACAGTCAAATCTCAAATCTTTACTGTCTGACATGCCATGAAGTGGTGGAGGGAGTGGAAATTGAACAAAGATTCAAGAACACAGCAGCATGCTATAGGAACTCTTTATCTAGTGGACAAGCCAGTAGGCAAACTATAGTAATATTCTCCCTCCTTGCTATTGAAATTAGCTAGTTCTATGTTGCTAAATCGACTGAATTATGTTCCATCCTTGATTTACTGTGGTGGTTGCTAACACTTGATACTGTTGACCACACACTCTCATTCCTTGGCTTTCCTACCTTTCACCTTCATAATTTTGTCCCAACTCATTTTAGCCACTTTTACATCCTGTTTCTTAGACTCCTTTTCCTCTGCCTACTCATTAAGTAGAGGTATTCCTCTAAGTTCTGTCCTCAACCCTTTGCTTGTCCCATTCTAAACTTTTCTGGCTGGGTGACCTCAGCTATTCTTGTGGCTTTAATTATCTATCCTCTGAAGCTGACTCTCCAACCCTAGCCCTGATCTCCCCCTCTGAGCCCACAGTTAAGGAAGCCCACACTTTCCTGAAAACCACCCAGATACCCCACAAGCACTCTAAATTCAGTGGGTCCAAAGCTGAATGCATGTTATCTTCCCCCGTCTCCCACATTGAACCTATTATCTTTCTCCTGTGTTTCCTTATCTTAAAGTGGTATCATCACCCAAACTGTTGCTAAAGTCAGAAAGGTATGAACCATTCTTTTCTTTCATGTCTTACTACCAATCAGTCTCTAATTCTTATCCTAAATCTACAGATTTATCTCCATCTCCATTACTACTGCCTTGGTTCAAACCACCATGATCTATCATTAGGATTGTTGCAATACCCTTCTAGCAGATCTGCTTGTCTCTAGTCATACTTTCTTCAAATACTATCTCCTCAGTGTTCTTTCTAAAATACAGGTCTGGCTACAAATACAGAGGTATAATGTGTTATTTAGGGTGAAGGAGAAAGCTAAGAAGATACATAACATTATGCCTAGTATGATCTTGTGAATATTCATCTAATCCATGAGCAAATCCTGCTGGGTTAAATAATATTTTCTGCATGAATTATTGCAATAGTTTCTGAATGATCTCATATGTTAGCCCTTATTATCCTAGAGTCTATTTTAAGAGAACAGAGAAATACTGTTGATACTTAAGTCAGATTTTGTTGACCATCTACTCAAAAGCCTCTAGTGCCTTACATTTCAGTCAAAGTAAAATCAAACTCATAATGGCCTAAAAGGACCTACACGACAAAGCCCCCTGTGGTGACCTATCTTACTTCATCCTCTACCATTCTTCCTCTAGTTCATCAGACACTCAACACTTAGCAACATAAATGAAGAGAATTGTATAGGTTAATGTCAAGGTGATCCTGGGACCACTTCCAGGCTCTGCAGCTAGCCATCTGGCTTGGAACTTTAAGCAAATTATTTTATCTCTCTGAGCATCAGTTTCTTCATGTGTAAAACTAGAATAAAATGCCCATTTCAAAGGGTTGTCAATGGTATGTAACAAGATATATGCCTGCCATGTAAAGGTGATGTAAAATTTTATTCTTTTTCTTTATTCAATCACCTTTAAAACCAATTCAATAAGGAGCTCTTACTTTGAACTAATACACATTCTTCTTGAAAACAAAGAGTCATAATTAATTTATAAAGCTAATGATTTGTATTATAGTCTAAAGTAGGGATCGGATTTCAAAATAAATCTTTGTAGTTTATTTTATCCTCAGAAAATTCATTGAATTGCCTTCATTTATTACAATATTATTACAATTATAAATTTCAAATGTATATAATTCTGTTATTGCTTATAATCTTGTGAGAGTTTTCCCTTTTTAAAAATTTTCTAAAAATTTTAATAAAAGAACAAAATTCTGACATAGCATATTGAATACATATGAATTATATTGGAATTTCTTCAATAGATTGCTAAAATATATTCATTATACCCTGGAATATCTCAATTATTTAGGTTAAGGAATTTGTAGCAATGTCATGAGTTTCATGCCATACATTTAGAGGGAAAGAAGGTAGGGCTGTGTTCAAATCATAACACCAGCCTTTACTAGCTTTGTGACCTTGGGAACATTATTTAACCAATCTGCACCTTAATTTCCTATCTATAAAATGGAGTTAATAAATACTACCCACTTCCTAGGAGAGTTCTAAGGATTAAACAATATATACAAGTAAGAGAACACAATAATGGTAGTTAACGTAGCAGAGGTAATGGTAATAATCATGGTGGTTGTAGTAATATTAATCTCCCTTACAAGAGTAGGATTCTTGAAAAGAATGTTGAATGATCTTGAAAACACTGTATTATTGCCCACTGCATTCTTTTAAGGGGAAACACTAATATTTCTTTATCCTCTAACTTTTATAATTTTCCTAACAGAAAAAATATTGTAGTAATATGGTGCCAAAGATTTTACCAAAAAAAAAAATAGGGATAGATTTAGAGCATTCTGTTATGGAGTGTAAAGCTGTGAAACATTGTTTATTTGGTATATACTGGAGAAAAATGATACATAAATCAAACTATAAAAACCTGTGCTATGAGCAGCAGTAGTTTCTCCCAGGAGACAGTAAGAATATAAAACAGAGAAAATAAATATTAAATTAAGCCTCAGATAACTATGGAAAAAGTCTAATCAAGGAAGTTACACTTTCGCTGCTCAATTTCTTTCTGTATGTGCGTGTGTGTGTGCGTGCATGCATGTGTACATACACTTCTCCATATCTCAACTTTTCATGAAGATAATTGTTTCGTGAAAAATATTTACCTAGCAAATCCGACCATCAGCAAATCAAAACAATCGTGGGAAAGGGGACAAAGTGGTCAGAAAATACCTGGAACGGGAGGTTGGCACACATTTTTATCCAGTCTTTATAGGTAGAGACACTGCCAGCCAAAAATGCATTTCCCATCCCCCAAACAGGACACATAATTATTAATGTGGCAAAAAGCTGTGCTATGTATCAAAAATGTACTCTGTAATTTGCTTGAATTTCACCACATGCATTGCAATATTTTACTACCAGATCACACAGTTCTTACATATGAATCAAGCATCAAATATACTTCTGATAGAGTCAAGAAATCATCATGAATGAGGTAGTATTATTTGAAAGTCAAAGGATGGCACTCAAGCCTCTTCAGCCATATTCTTCTGAGGCTGAGATTCATTGTCACATCAAGGAGGCAGACATAGAGAGACTTGGTTTTTAACAATATACGTTCCATTTTCAGCTCTGACACTCACTAGTTTTGTGTACCAAAAACAAAAACAAAATGAGGCAATAAACAATTCACAAAAAAGTAAACAAAAACCCATTCACTGCGTACCTGTTATGCATCCTGGTGTCCAGTGGTGGTAAGATACACAACATGTGTTCGCTGACCTCCACACCACAATGCAACGGAGGAGATACATATTAAGTAAATGCATCCCTTCACTTATTTATTTTACGCATATTTATTAAGAGCCTCTTATACATCAGGAACTATTCTAGGCAACAGGGGCAGAACACTGAACGGAACAGATCACCCACAAAACAAAAACAAAAACCTGACCTCATTGAACATATATCCTCGTGACCAGAAAACAGACCAGAAAAAAATACATAGTGAGATATGTGATATGTTATAGACTTATAAATTCTATAGAATATAATACAGGGAAGGAGAATGGAGATTCAACTTCTAAATATGTTGGTCTCAGAAGGTCTAACTGAGAAGATGACACACCAAGAAAGGCCTGAAGAAGGCGAGAGAAAACCCGGAGAGGTGTGTGGAGGAAGAGAATTCCAGAAAGGAATAATAACCACAAACACCCTGGGGCAGGAGCATGTGTAATGTATGTGAAAAACAGCAATAAAGTCCTGTGTCCAGATCAGAGAAAGCAAGGGGACAAGCAAGAGAAGATGAGATCAGAAAAATGGAAGAGGGGCCAGATTGTTCAGCACAGTTTAGGTAAGTTTGTGAACAAAATATGGCACAATCTCTCTTGGTATTACAGGGACCCAGTGTGTTAAGGATCGAGTGTAGAGAAAGAAGGACAGAGACTGGGAGATCAGTAAGGAACAATTGCAGCAGTCCATGAGGGAAGTGATGATGGCTTGACCCCTGTTGTTGGAAATTAAGTTGTTAGAAGTTATCTGACTCCGGATGGATTGTGAAGATAGAGTTGACTGCATATACTGATAGATAGGAGGAATCGCTCTAATATCACTTCATGAAACATGCAACAAGAGTCTGAGTCTCTTTTTTTCTTTCCTTTTACCCCTTCTAAATATGCATACACCACATATTAATTTTGTGTGAGGGGTTAGGAAAGACTGCAGGAAAATGGCATTTGACATTGAAGAGTCACTAGAGTAACTAGAAATTTTTTATCTGGGAGAAAGGAAAAAGACAATTCAGGGTTTTACAATTAGTAAATCATTGGAAAATTTAATGAAAGCACCATCAATGGAAGGTGGAAAAATTATGTTTATAAAACATTTGAGGGTGTTGGTTTGTGGCCTGATAGGGAAAGTGTGAGTGTTTACATGTATGTATGTGGGCTTGGGCCAGGAACTTTTATTACCCAATACAGAAACTAAATTAAATGATTTTGGTTGAGAAAAAAAAAAAGAGAGAAGAGGGATGCAAACATGGATGCATTCAAGAGCAAAAGAAAAGAGATGTATTTAGAGCTTGTTCTATTAGTCTCTATTTCTCAGCTCTGCTTTCCTCTGTATGTTGTCTTTATTCTGCTGATAGGCTCTTTTCAGGAGGCAAGTAAAATTATTGACAAGAACTTCAGCAATAAGAGGAATTTGTTTCTCCTGGATTTCAGTCTTTTCCACTAATGGCAGAATTCTCATTGCAAGGGAAAAGGGTAACCTGTTTTGTTCAACCTGCATCCGATGCTCATCACTGTGCCTCATACAGATGCTATAGAATGGTGAAGAAGTGATTTCCTACAGGAAAATGCAAATTCTAGGCAGATAAAGCAATAGATAAACACTATGGTTGGCAAAGTAGGTTAGGGCAATTAAAGAGTCTGGTAAGCCAAGTGAAGAAGTCTGTATTTTATTCAAAAAGCAACCAACCAGGTATTGACATGGTCAAGTTTACCTTTTTAAGTCAATGGAAATAAGAAGAGAATGGGTTGGGAAGGAGCTAGACTCAGTGTTATAAATTGCATTGCTGGTCATAATTCTTAATTCATCCCTGCACCTCTAACCTTTGCCACATGAAAGAAGAGGCAGAATATCTTTCCCCACTCTTTGGCTTGGCATACATATCAACGTGACTTGCTTTAGCAATAATATAGTCAAAAATGATATTGAACAAGTTCCTCGTTTAGGACTCAAAAGGCCTGTAGAATTGTTTCTCTTGCTAATATGACGATACCTTTGCCATGCCAGGCCTGTATGCTTGTTCTAGGAGGAGAAAGCCATATGGAGCAGAGTGAAGCTTATCAGATCAGCTTATCCTAACAGATCAACCAAATGAACAAGTAAGCCCAGCCAAAATCGGCAAAACCCCCAAGCCCAGCATAGAAAGCTGACCCACTGACTCATGAAAAGAAATTATTGATGTTTTAAGTACTTATATGTTGGGTGACTTGTTTTAACAAAAGTGTAAGTTTGGCCAGAGTTAATTGGATACCTTCAGGGCTCTGATATTGGAGGCTGTAACAATAATGGGCAAGAAATTACAAGAACTTAAATAAAAACTGCTGCAGAGGAGTGGGGAGGGGGAATCTGAGACCTAATAGATACTTAGGAAGTATCTTAGGATGATGAATACGTCTCCAATTTAGTAGGAGGGCAGAAATAAAAATTTTTTTAGGAAAACATAGAATTGGAGATGGCAATGCTGAGTTGGGCCTTAGAACTGGGGACTTCAATTAAGCAAGAGGACAGGAAGCAAATGAAGCTGAAGAAGTTGATAATATCACTAAGAAGAATACATAGAATGTGAGAGAATCAAGATCCTGGAAAGCACCAATAATAAGAAATCATAAAGATAAGAGAAACAGCAAAGAGCTGCCTCACTGAAGCCAATGGAGAAAGCATTGGAATAATGAGATTTTGAATACCATGATTAATTGTTACAAGGAAATTAAGTAACACGAGTGCGGAAAAAAACGTTGCTAGTTTGGCAATTGAGAGGTTATCGGCAACCTTGATGAGATAAACTTCAACGCAATGGCAAAGAGAAACCAGATTGGGAAGAGTTGAGTATCAGTAGGAAAAGGCGGCAAGTAGTAGAAATGTTCATTAAGTTCAGTGGTAACAGAAAGAGAGAGTTGGTTTGATGTGATATCAAGTCCAAAGAGAGAATAGTGATGCCTAATGAGCAGGCCAGAGAAAAAAAAATTAACAGTGAGGGTGACCTGAGAATAAAATTCAAAAATTTGTAAGGCCTAAATTAGACAATAATGGTACTAATAATAAGTATAATTTACTTACTGAATATAAGTAGGGAACTAAAAATAATAATACATAGGATATTGAGATCCTTACATATGTTATCACATTTAAAATCCTGTAATGGCCTATGAGGTACAAAAAAATTATTACAGATGGGAAAACTGAGGCTTAGAGATATTAAATAGTCTTACCAAAATCATATAGATTGTAAGAAACAGAGCAGATTTTTGACTCAAGGACACTAGTTCTTTTTAATTACTCTAAAATATTTGGTAATTTATAAAACACTATAGAAATGAGTATATGCGTGCATTGTGTATTCACACACATACATTCACATACACATACATAGAGGGAAAAGGCAGGCTAATTTCACTTTACCAAAACAGCAGCCCCTAAATAATTTCCCGTAAGTTAATGGAGAAATTTGAAGGTAAGAAGTGTGAATCAACTGAAGGTTGGAGATACTATATAGCATTTCTCTGAAGATGACTAAATGGAAGTATTGCGTTTTTCTTTCTTTTTGTTTTGTTTTGTTTTGTTTTGAGAGGTAATCTCACTCTGTCCCCCAGGCTGGAGCGCAGTAGTGCAATCTTGGCTCACTGCAACCTCCGCCTCCCGGGTTCAAGCAATTCTTCTGCCTCAGCCTCCCGAATAGATGGGATTATAGGTGTGTACCACCACACCTGGCTAATTTTTGTATTTTTAGTAGAGACGAGGTTTCACCATGTTGGCCAGGCTGGTCTTGAACTCCTGACCTCAAATGATCCACCCACCTCAGCATCCCAAATTGCTGGGAATACAGGCATGAGCCACCGCTCCTGGCCACCTTTTTCTTTAATAACTAGGGACATAGCCAATTCAACTCTGAGAACACTAGATCTAGGGAAGTTCCCATCACTAGCACTATAGTCATTTGATTATAGTAGTTGAGCAATTGAAAATGGATTACTCTGGTTTATTTTGTATAACACTCTGAATTTTTGAAAACTAATAACTATTCATCTACAAATGTGCCATGTAGAAAATAATAATTTTAAAATATTTGTCTATAAGCTGACACACTTAACACAAACTATAATGAAGAGAAATGAATTTTCTTTTCTTGCAGCAAATGTGATATTGGATATTGTAGGATCCAGAATCATTACTTACTGTCTCAGATAAATAAATGTTGCAGATGTTGTGATTGATTTAGATGTCTATTGACTCCATGGTGTACCTTGAAAGTTGCTTTTTAAAATATGACTTTTTTTTGAGTAATTTTAGATTCCTGGTAAAATTAAGCAGAAGGTACAGAGATTTTTTGATATACCCTCTACTCCTACATATGCACAGTTTTTCCTACTATCAAAATCCCACACCATAATAATACATTTGTTTCATGAATGAATCTCTCATACATTGACATTATTATCGCCCAAAGTCCATAGTTTACATTAGGGTTCACTCTTGTCGTTGTACATTCTAGGGGTTTTGACTTTGTAATCAACTTATAAACTTTATAATAGCATGCGTCCAACAGAACAGTATGATACAGAGTAATTTCCCTGCCCTAAAAATCCTCTGTCCTCCTCCTCTCTATGCCCCCTCATTAACCTCTGGCACTCACTGGTTCTTCTACTGTCTCCATAGTTTTGCCCTTTCCAGAATTTCATGTAGTTGAAATTATACAGTATGTAGCCTTATCAGATTGACTTATTTCACCTAGTAATGTTCATTTAAGATTTCTCCATGACTATACATGGCTTGATAGCTCACTTCTTTTTAGTGCAGAATAATATTTCATTGTCTGGATATACCATAGTTTATCCACTCACCTACTGAAGAACATCTTGGTTGCTTCAAAATTCTGGTAGTTATGAATAAAGCTGCTATAACATCTATGTGCATGTTTTTGTGTGTACGTAAGTTTTCAACTCCTTTGGGTAAATATAAAGTGCAGTTGCTGGGTCATATGGCAAAGAACATGTTCAGTTTTGCCAAATTGTCTTCCCAAGTGGTTTCCACTAACAGTTAATGAAAGTTGCAATTGCTCCACATCCTTGTCAGCTTTTTTGTATTGTCTGTGTTTTGGGTTTTGGCCATTCTAATAGTAGTATTCTTATCTCATGGTTTTACTTTACATTTCCCTAGTGACATATGTTGAGCATCTTTTGATATGCTTATTGGCCTTCTGTATACCTTCTTCACTGAGGTGTCTGTTTTGTAATTGGGTTGCTAGTTTTCTTATTGTTACTGTATATTTTAAATAACAGTCCTTTATCGGATATATCTTTTGCAAATATATTCTCCCCATGGTGACTTGTCTTTTCATTCTCTTGGCAGTGTCTTTTACAGAGCATAAGTTTTTTATTTTAATAAAGTTTAGTTATCAATTTATTATTTCCTGGGTCGAGACTTTGGTGTTCAATATAAAAAGGCATTGCCATATTCAAGGGCATCAGACTTTTTTCCAATGATATCTTCTAAGAGTTTTATAGTTTTTCACTTTATGTGTAGTTCTGTGGTCTCTTTTGAGTTAATTGTTGTAAAGAGTATAAAGTCTGAATCTAGATTCATTTTTTTCTTGCATGTGGATGCCCAGTTGTTCCAGCACTATTTGCTGAAAAACTATATTTGCTCCATTCTGTTCAATTTATCTATTTGTCTTCCCTTTTGCCACACTGTCTTGATTTCTGTAGCTTTATATTGTTTTGAAGTGAAGCAGTGGAAATCCTCTGACTCTGCTCTTTTCCTTTAATATTGTGTTGGCTATTCTGAGTCTTTTGCTTATCTGAATAAACATTAGAATCAGTTTGTTAATATCCACAGAATGACTTGTTACTCAATGACTTGTTGAAATTTTTATTGAGATTACATTGAATCTACAGATGATGTTGAAAAAACAATGACATTTTGACAATGTTTTTCTATCCATGAAAATGGAATATCTCTCCATTTACTTAGTTATTTTATGATTTTATTCATCACAGTTGTGTAGTTTTTCTCATATTGATCTTATATGTATTCGTTAGATTTATACATAAGTACTTCTTTTTGGGGGTGTTAATGTAAATGGTATAGTGTTTTTAATTTTAAACTTCACTTGATCATTGCTCGTCTATAAGAAAGCAATTGGCCTTTGTATATTACCCTTCTATCTAGCAGTCTTGCTACAATAGCTTATATGTTCCAGAAATTTTTTTGTTTATTCATTTGGATTTTCTGTGTCAAGGATCATGTCATCTGTGAACAAAGACAGTTTTATTTATCCTTCTTCCCTTTACTTCCTTGTCTTGTCTTATTGCATTATCTAAGACTTACAACATGACGTTGAAAAGGAATGGTGAGAGGGGACATTCTTGACTTGATTCAGAATATAGCAGTAAAACTTCTACTTTCTCACCGTTAAATATGATGTTAGCTGAAGGTTTTTTGTAGATGGTCTTTGTCAGGTTTACCAAGCTTCCCTCCATTCCTAGTTTGCTGAGAGATTTTATTATCAGTGGGTGTTGGATTTTGTCAAATACTTTTTCCACATCTATTGATATGATCATGTGATTTTTCTTTAGCCTAATGTGATGAATTACAATTGTTGATTTTCAAATGTTCAACCAACCTTGCATACCTGGGATAAATCCCACTTGGTCATGATGTTTAATTATTTTTTTTACATTGTTAGATATGATTTGCTTCAACAAAACATTTGCATCTATGTCCACGAGAGTTATTGGTCTTAAGTTGTTGGTTTTTTTTTCTTGCAATGTCTTTGGTTTTGATATTAGGGTAATACTGGCCACATAAAATGAGTTAGGAAGTATTTCCTCTGCTTCTATCTTCTGGAAGATATTATAGAGAAATAAAATAATTTCTTCCATAAATGTTTGATAGAATTCACCAGTAAACCCATCTGGGTCCAATGCTTACTGTTTTGGAAGGTTAACTATTGATTCAATTTTTGTAATTGATATAGGCCTATTCAGATTGTCAACTTCTTGTGTGAGTTTTGGCAGATTGTGTTTTATAAGGAATTGGTCTATTTCAACTAAGTTATCAAACTTGTGGCCATACAGGTGTTCATAATATTCCTTTGTTACCTTTTTAATGGTCAATGGATCTGTAGTGATGTCTCCCTCTTTCATTTCTAATGTTGTTAGCTCATATTTCCCCCCCACCAAGCTTTTTTTCTGTAGTCTGGCTAGAGGCTTATCAATTTTATGAATTTTTTCAAATAATAACCTTTTGGTTGCATGGATTTTCTCTATTGATTTTCTGTTTTTAATTTATTTATTTATGCTCTAATTTTTATTATTTCTTTTCTTCTGGTTAGTTTAGATTTTATTTGTTTGTATTCTTCAAGTTTTCTAAGGTAGAAACTTAGATTTTTGGCTTTAGATATTTCTTCTGTTTATATATATATATGCAATGTTATAAATCTAAGCAGTGCTTTCTCTGTATACTACAAATTTTGATAAATTATGTTTTCATTTTCATTTATTTCAAAATATTGTTTAATTTCTCTTGAGATTTCTCCTTTGACCCATTTATTATCTTGAAGTATGTTGTTTAATCTCCAAGTATTTGGGGTTTTAAAAAATATTTTTTCATTGATTTTTAGTTTAACTCCATTGTAATCTGAGAGAAGACATTATATGATTTTATTCTACTCTTTTAAATCTGTTAAAGTGTGTTTTATGGCCCAGAATAATCCATCTTGATGACCGTTCTATGTAAGATTGAGAAGAATGTGTATTCTGCCATTCTTGGATTAGTGAATTGATGTCAATTATATCCAGTTGATTAATGATGCTGTTGAGTTCAATTATGTCCTCACTGATTTTCTGCCTTCTAGATCACTTTATTTCTAATAAAGGGGTGCTGAAGAACCCAACTACAATAGTGGATAGATTTATTTCTTCTTGTAGTTCTATCAATTTTTGCCTACATATTTTGATGCTCTGTTGTTAGGCATAGGCAAGTTAATGATTGTTATGACTTCTTGGAGAATTGATCCCTTTATTGTTATGTAGTGCCACTTTCTATCCCTGATAACTTTCTTTGCTCTAAAGCTGACTCTATTTGAAGTTAATATAGCCACTCCCACTTTCTTTTGATTAGTGTTAGCATAGTATGTTTTTCTATATCTTTTTACTTTTACTCTCTTTGTGTCTTTATATTTAAAGTAGGTTTCTTGTAAACAACAGGTTGGGTTTTGTGCTTTGATTTACTCTGACAATCTCTGTCTTTTAATTGATGTATTTAGACCAATGAGATTTTTCCTTAACATCAGCTATACTCTTTTTTTAAACACTTTTTTAGTGGTTGCCATACAGTTTGCCATATACATTTACAACTAACCCAAGTCCACTTTCAAAAAACACTATACTGCTTCACTGATAGTACAAACACACTATAATAACAAAATAATTTTAATTCCTCCATCCTGTTTTTGTATCATAACTGTCATCCATTCCAGTTATACATAAATATATAGAGATATATAACCATGTATAATTAAGTACATTTTTGCTATTATTATTTTGAACAAACTAATTCTTGGATCAATTAAGAATAAAAATGTAAAAGTTTTTGTTTTACCTTCACTTATTTTCTGATACTCTTCTTTTATTTATGTAGTACAAGTTTCTGGCATACATTACTTTTCTTCCCTCTGAAGTCTCTTTTAACATTTCTTGCAGGCCAGGTCTATTGGCAACAAATTCTCTCATTTTTTTTTATCTGAGAAAGTCTTCATTTCTCCTTCACTCTTGAAGGATGACTTTACAGGGTACAGAATTCTAGATGGGTATGTTGTGGTTGTTTTTCTTTCACAATACTAAATATTTCACTACACTCTCTCCTTGCTTGCATGGTTTCTGAGGAGAAGTCTTATGTAATTGTTATCTTTGCTCCTCTCTAGGTAAGGTATTTTATCTTCTGACTTCCTTAAATGCAATGTTCTTTGTCTTTGATGTGATATACCTAGTTGTAGGTTTTGGGTTTTATTGTTTTGTCCTATTCTTGTCATTTATTCTGCTTGGTGTTTCTTTGAGCTCCCTGGATCTGTGGTTTGTTGTGTGATATGAATTTGGGAAAATTCTCAGTAATTAATGCTTTACATATTTCCTCTGTTCCTTTCTCTTCTACTTTTGTTATTACCATTCTAGATATGTTATATCTGTTGTAGTTGTCCCACGGTTCTTGGATATACTCTTTTGGGCTTTTCCCATCTTTTTTCTTCATGCTTTTCCATATTGGAAGTTTCTATTAATATTTCTTCAAGCTCAGACATTTTTCCTCAGCCATATCCACTCTACTAATGAGCCCATCAAAGGCATTCTTCATTTCTGTTACAGTGGGTTTTGTTGTTGTTGTTTTGTTTTGCTTTTAGAGACAGGGTCTCACTCTGTCACCCAGACTGGAGCGCAGTGATGCAATCGTAGTTCACTGATGCCTTGAACTCCTGGGCCCAAGTGATCTTCTCGCCTCAGCCTCCCAACGTCCTGGGATTACAGGCATGAGCCACCACACCTGGCTTTTTATAGTGATTTTTGTCTTTGGTATTTCTTTTTGGTTCTATCTTGGAATTTCTATCTCTCTGCCTACATTGCCCATCTATTCTTACATGTGTCTGCTTTATCCATTAGAGTCCTTGGCCTATAAGTCATAGTTTTAAAATTCTGAGTCTGATAATTTCAACATCCCCGCCATATCTGAGTCTGGTTCTGATACTCTTTCTGTTCTTTCAAACTATATTTTTTGCCTTTTAATATGCCTTGTAAGTTTTTTTTTTTTTTTTTTTTTTTTTACAGCCAGACTTCTTGTACTGGGTGAAAGGGACTGTGGTACATAGGCATTTAGTGATGTGGTGGTAAGGTATGGAGAGAGGGGGGGTGTTCTATAGTTCTATGATTATGTCTCAGTCTTTTAGTGGGCCTGTGCCCCTGAACTGTGAACTTCACAGGTACTTCTGAGTCAGCCCCAACTTAGATGGGGCAGGATAACTACAGTGGGTAGGAATTGGGTCTTTCCCTTTTTCCTAGTCATTTAGACTCTGACAAAATCCCAATAGTTTGGCTCTGAAAAAATAGTTTCTCTTGAGGGAAGTCCTTGTTAAGAAGAACAGAATGTCCTGTCATATTTCAAAATGATTCCTTCTCTCTTTTCTTGTCTGAAGCATGAGGAAATTTTTCTCCAATATTTACTGTGAGAACCTGGTTAAGTTCCTGGAGGTAAACTCACTTAAGTGTAGGGCCTCTTCTATGACTGGGGTCCCCTGGATTTTTTTAAATCTCAGGAGTGTCTAGTCTTCACCTCTGGCCATTCATCAAGGACAGTTCATGTTCTCTTACCCCCAAAACTAGTTCTTAAGGAGGTTTCTGCTAGGGGGCTTCTGCCCTAGTAGTTGTGATTATCTGTATCTGCCTGTCTGTCTCCAATTTTGGGGGGAGCAGTTTGCCTTGTGACTTCACCTCCTTGATGGACCAAGAGCTGTTATTCCATTTGTTCAGTTTTTTTACTTGTTGTTAGGATGGAGTGATAATTTCTATACTCCTTACATGCTAGCCTTGAAACAAACATCACAGCTGTTTTGGTTTTTTGTTGTTGTTGTTGTTGAGACAGAGTCTCGCTCTGTCACCCAGGCTGGAGTGCAGTGGCGTGATCTCGGCTCACTGCAAGCTCCGCCTCCCGGGTTCACGCCATTCTCCTGCCTCAGCCTCCCGAGTAGCTGGGACTACAGGCGCCGGCCACCACGCCCGGCTAACTTTTATTTGTATTTTTAGTGGAGACGGGGTTTCACCGTGTTAGCCAGGATGGTCTCAATCTCCTGACCTCGTGATCCACCCGCCTCAGCCTCCCAAAGTGTGGGATTACAGGCGTGAGCCACCACGCCCGGCCCACAGCTGTTTTTTAGATAAACTGGAAACATTTGTTCAAACATTTGTCTCGCTCTGTCACCCAGACTGGAGTGCAGTGGCGCGATCTTGGCTCATTGCAACCTCCACCTCCCAGGTCCAAGTGATTCTCCTGCCTCAGCCTCCCAAACAGCTGAGATTACAGATGTGGGCCGCCATACTTGGCTAATTTTTGTATTTTTAGTAAAGACAGAGTTTCGCCATGTTGGCCAGGCTGGTCTCGAACTCCTGGCCTCACGTGATCTATCTGCCTTGGCCTCCCAAAGTGCTGGAATTACAGTCATGAGCCACCACACCTGGCCTCAATTACATTTCATAAAGATAATTTTAGAAGAAAAAATGTGCTATTGAGTTGTATTTTATTTTAATTTTATCTAGTTGCAGTTTTAATATTTATTGAATAATGATTACAGACAATTTAAATTGATATTTATAACTTTATAATACCAATCTCAGATATAAAGCAAGTCATATCATCATGCCATCATATTCCTTTACTATTGGTCATTTCTTTACTATTTTAGTTGAAAACAACAGAAACTTTCTCTCATTATCTTAAACAGACAAGGAATTTATTGGAAGGCTGTAAACACAAATAATATCCAGAAAGACTGGGACACAAGGCCTGGCAAGAATCCAAGACAGGAAAGGCACAGCCCAAATCTTCTATTTCTGTTTAGAATGTCACCTAAGGACACCTAAAAACTACAGAGGATAACACTGCTAAATCCTTAAGTCCACCAGATTTTCTATAAAAATAACCCTGATCAGACTGATTGCCTTTGTCACCTGCTCACAAGATTCAAACTCTCAGATAGAAACACCTGACTAGGCACACATAGCTCACTTGTCCTCCTCTCTGGAAGGAGGTAGAGGTGAATTATTTGCCAACACTTCTATCATTACCATTGGGTTCCCATGCATTTGATTATGCCTTCCTGTCCCATTTATAGAGACCAGAACTAAGCAGCACAGCCAAAACAACAAATGCCTCTGTACTTTTTTATTTGACCATGGGGAAATAAGTTGGCATTTCTAGTCTAAATAAATAAGGTGCTGAAATGTACAGAGTCCACTCTTGGCATAGGATTTGACATAAACAGTATGCGTTAAATAAATGTTTGTTGAATTGAATTCTGTGTAAATAGAGGCAGTATTACAAATAATGAAAAATGTTGCAAACTGTGAGCATCATTTACATTTGCCATTGGAATTTACTATGTGATTTTTATAACAAATTTACCCCTAATTGTGCTTAAACTAGTAAAAAACATAAATCTATATTAGTAATAAAAATAAAACTAGCAATTCTCTGAGCTTATACCACCCAGTCATCATGGAGGAAGGTAGCTCAGAAGCCTGCTGAGTGGCATTAACCATTTACACCAAGCTTGTTCAACCCACGGCCTGAGGGCTGCATGCGGCCTAGAACGGCTTTGAATGTAGCCCAACACAAATGTATAAACTTTCTTAAAACATTATGAGGTATTTTTGCAATTTTTTTAGCTCATCTGCTATGGTTAATGTTCATGTATTTTATGTGTGGTCCAACACAATTCTTCTTCTTCCACTGTGGCCCAGGGAAGCCAAAAGATTGGACACCCCGATCTACACAGAGATAATCAAAGGCTGGTTAACCAAAGATTAAGACATTTCCAAGAGTTTATTGTGGTTGGAAGGACCTCTAGAGTCAGAGGTTTGGGCACAACTTTGAAGTTGCTTATCAGAAGCTTTTTAGAAAATATCTGAACTTGTTTGGTCAGAAAATTGGGCTGTAAGCCCCATGATACTACATATTTCTCATAAGGTATCAAGAATGGATAGGTTTAAATTAGGTTGAAAATTTTGCAAGAATGGCACTTTTTACAGTATTGCAGTATTTCTAACTGCCACCTATCCTAATCCCAGGCCATGCATGTATAGCTTCATGAAATGTGCAGCATCAAATAAATTACCAGGCTTTTTGAACTTTGAAAAGTGACAAAAAAAAATAAGAAAACTCTTGACTTGAGAGAGTTAAAGTTTAGATATTCCTTTAGAGTTAAGCCAAATTGCTCAACCCTTATCACAGTGTAGCTACCCAGTGTGAAAGCCTTAAATAAATAAGTTATCTATGTAAGCTTGTCGCTTCAATTTTTATAAGTGTTCTTTTTGTCTCTGGGCCCATATACCATATCACACTTACATCTCTGTCTTTCTATGCTACAGGCTACAAACTGTATTACAGTAGAGTTTCAAAACTGCCAGGCATCATGAGAAAGGTAATATGCACATAAGGGAAAACCACAGGAGCTTATATCTTTCCCTTGTATCTCATTTTCACTGGTTCTTCAAGTTGTTCTGTTTGTACACCCAGCCTATACCATAGGGCAGCACCCTGATGTCTGTCTAAAGAGTCACTTGAAGAACAAATAGCTAAAAGCTAGTTTGGACTGTAAATCAATATGCCCCTGCACTAGTAAGGTCTTTTTTGCATTTGTTTTTAACTGGGATTGAAGTTTAAAATAATTTCCATGAGAATAAGAGTTAGAAACTCTCGTCGTTAATCAAATGCATTTAATTATAGGATAATAATTGCTTCCAATAAAAGAAAAATATGAAAATATTTGAACTTTAGCGGAGGATGAGTTGGGAATATTCTATCAAAAGAAGAAAATAAGGATTAATGAATCTAAGAAAAGCTAAATTTCAAAAAAAGAGAAATTGTAGTTATTCATTTCTTGCAAACTTTCTAGTTATTTGTCATGGTGCAAGTAAAAATAAACGCATGTAGGAAGCATTCAGTAATTTGTATTGAGCACCTATTTTTGCCAGGAGCTTGTATTCTGTGCTGATGATATTCAAATAAAAAACCAGTCTCCACTTTCAAGAGGTCGCCTTTTACTGTAGGGAAACAAAGATAAATATACAAATAAATAAAACATACTTCATTTTAAAGAATATTATCTTTATAGGAGGTGTGAATTATTTTTTTAAAAGCTGATATTATTCAGAATTACATATTTTAATGTTTCCATAGAATTAGCCAAGTATCATTTTATTCAATTTAACTTTGGAGAAAAAAACCAATCTCAAGCTCTACAAATCTAGGTTCCATACCATTTTGCATCATCAGGGCTTGGGGGTTTGTTTGTTTTGGTTTTTACCTGGAAACCAAAAGAGAAATTCCATGTCTCCTCACATTTCAGAAATCTTTTGAGTAACAACAAGATTGTATTTTCATATCTTTCAAGAACAACAACGGTTTAGTTAGTAATAGACAGTTGACTTAGATACAATCCGGTCCTTGCCTGGGAGATTCTATCAATAAAGAGAAAATGAAACACACTAAGAAAAGGTGTATGACTCACATTTTGGGAAAGTAGCTGTTGTTAGTTTCAATTTTCTTCAATTAGGATGGATGTTAGTCAGGATGTTAACCCTGTCATTCTGGCTTAAGTCCAACTTGGGTAATTACATTCTGCCTACTTAGATCTTCTTTGGGCCCAAAGACATTCTTCATTCCCACTTCACACTGTTTTGTGATATTGCTGCACATAGCTAAATAGATGCCACATTTAACCCTGGGGATGGTGGCATCTCTGTGGTGAAACCTTGATCCTTCTGCAAAGTATCAGTATAAATTCACTTTTAGGGTAAAGGTTTTAGAACACGTAATGTAATAAAGTAAAAGAAGCCATATGGCATTCTTAACGGAAGATACAGGGAAAAAAAATCCAATAGAATGAATTGTCTCTGACAGGGTCTCTGCAGTAATGGGAGATTCTTTTAGCTGGGCCTGGCTGCAAATGGAAGATCATTATCACCAGATCTTTAAAATACCAAAAGCAAAATATGAAGAGATTTAAAGTCACCTTTAAAATCACCCCAAAAGTTCAGTCTCAATTATCTACAATCAATGTCATTCTCCTCGACTAGAAATTGGTACCAGAGAATAAATTCTAAAAAGAGGAAATTTTAAAAGTACAATTGATGCTGACAGTTTATCAATGGAAGTGCGTTGCTAAACCACGCTCATCTATGCACCAACCCTCTGTTTATTTCTCTGCTCCACCTGCTATGCACTTTTGCCACATTTTTGTAGGGACACCAGACATTGCTCAAGAGTAATTACTACAAATACTTAAAACCCTTCCTTCAGGATTACATTTAGAGATATGCATTGAGCTCCATGTACTGTAAGATGGCAAACATTTTTACAAACATTTAAAATTCCCAAGGAAAACAAGCTTCTCTCTGTAATACCTATGAATAAAGCCACTGAGGATTTACATTCCTTAAATTTAAACAACTCCATTTTAATGATAATAAATATATGTACACTGTTATACAATTACCCATATAACATGATTATCGATTTTAAGACATATTAAGTAAAGTATTGACAAACTGACAAGAAAAAAACATGAAATGCCAGTAAATAATTGGACAACGGATCAACACAGGTGACTTATAAAAATAAAAAGAGGCTGGGGCCGGGCGCGGTGGCTCACGCCTGTAATCCCAGCACTTTGGGAGGCCGAGGCGGGCGGATCACGAGGTCAGGAGATCGAGACCATCCCGGCTAAAACGGTGAAACCCCGTCTCTACTAAAAATACAAAAAATTAGCCGGGCGTAGTGGCGGGCGCCTGTAGTCCCAGCTACTTGGGAGGCTGAGGCAGGAGAATGGCGTGAACCCGGGAGGCGGAGCTTGCAGTGAGCCGAGATCCCGCTACTGCACTCCAGCCTGGGCGACAGAGCGAGACTCCGTCTCAAAAAAAAAAAAAAAAAAAAAAAAAAAAAGAGGCTGGGCGCGGTGGCTCACACCTGTAATCCCAGCACTTTGTGAGGCTGAGGTGGGCAGATTGCCTGAGGTCAGGAGTTCAAAACCAGTCTGGCCAACATAGTGAAACCCCATCTCTACTAAAAATACAAAAAAAATAAAAAAAAATAAAAAAAAAATATATATATATAGCTGGGTGGGCATGGTGACATCCACCTGTAATCCCAGCTACTTGGGAGGTTGAGGCAGAGGAATTGCTTGAACCAGGGAGGTGGAGGTTGCAGTGAGCCGAGATCGGGCCACCGCACTCCAGCCTGGGTGACAGAGCGAGACTCCGTCCCCCAAAAAATTAAAAATATAAATAAATTTAAAAAACACAGGAAATTTATAAAAGTAGAAAAGGATACATATTTAATGTCAGGAATTGCAGGTAAATAACTAGCATAAAACATTTTTTGGCAATTAAACTGTCAAACAATGGCAACACTCAATATTGAGGATGCAATGAAGTAAACACTAATACGTTGTTGGTTAGAGCATGAGTTAGTACAATCCTCTTGGAAAACAATTTGATAACCTTTAACAAGAGCCTGAAAATGTCCTTTTCCTAGTAATCCCATCTCTGGGAATCCATTTTAGAAAAATAATCCCTTAACCAGATGAAGTTTTATGGAAAAAGATGTTTATTGTATCAAAACAAACAATCGCAATCAATCAATCAATAAGTAAAAGGAACATTAAATGTCCAACAATAGCCTCCAGAGAACTTATATTTATTTGAGGAGATAAACAATAAATAATAAATGCAATATATAAGTTATTTATATAGTATGTTAGAGGATTATAAGTGCTAAAGAAGGAAAAAGAAAAAGTAGGGCAGGGTAGGAGGGAATGGAATTGCTAAGGAGTGGCAGGCTGTGATATTCAGTAAGGTAGTCAAAGTGGGCCTCATTCAAAAGGTGATATTTGAGCAAAGCTTAAAGAAAGTAAGAAAGATAGCACCACAAGCACCCATGGAAAGAGAATTCCAGGCTAGAGGTAGAGCCACAGCAAAGGCCCTTAGGTAAGAACGTGCCTGTGATGTTCAAGGAATGGCACAAAAGTCAATATTGTCCACGCAGAGTGAGCAAAGGGTAAGAGGAGATTAGTAAGGCAAAAGATAGGCAGAGCATGGAGCATCTGGGGCATTGTAATGGCTACACTTACACTTGGAGTGACATGGGGAGCTGGAGATGTGAGTTTTGGGCAGAAGAATGCCATATTATAACAGTGTTGATCTAGCTGCTGTGTTGAAAATAAAATGTTTTGGGCAAGAGCAGAAACAGAGAGGCCTGTTAAATAAGATATTATGGCTATGCAGGCAAGAGATGATGGTGGGTTGTATCAGTATGACAGCAGAGGAAGTGATGAGAAGTGATCCAATTATTAAAATGTTTTACTATTTACAATTTTACAGTTTATTTACCCCAAACCTCAGCATCATGCAGTATACCCATGTAACAAAGCTGTACATGTACTCCCTAAATCTAAAATGAAGGTTGAAATTATTATTAAAAAAAATTGGAGACAAAAGTCAACAGAATTTTTTAATGAATTGGATTGGGGGAATGGGATTAAAGGAATAGGAAAAGTGAAACTCATAGATGACTCTAATGTTTTTGACCTGAGCAACTGGGAAATCAAAGTTGAGACCCATCAAGGATGGGAAGGCAGAAGGAACAAGATTCAAAATGAGAGAGATCAGGAATTCTGTTTTAGGCATGTGATGTGAAATGTCTATTAGATATGGACAGGGAGGTGTTGAACAGGTAGTCAAATATATTAGTCTACAGTCCACAGCAGAGGCCTAGGCTGGAGATACAAATCTAAGAGTCATCAGCTTACAGTAAGATTATGAAGTGACAACTCTGGATGAGATCACCAGGAAAGTGGGTGTACACAGAAAGGAGAAGTGATCCAATAACAGAACCCTGGGGTTCTCCGGTTCTCCAGTATTAAGAGTTAGAGTAGAAGAGGAAGAATCAGAAAGGAGGAATCAATGAGGTAGGAAAGAATGCATGATGTTCCTGAATTTGAATGAAGACAGTATATGAAAAAAAGCAGTGATCAACTATATTAAGTGATAGTGATAATTAAGATGAAGACTGAATTGATAATGGGGTTTAGTAATGTAGAGGTCACTGGAAACAGATTAAAGCAATGTTTGTGAAGTGGTGGGAATGAAATCTTGTTTAGACTGGGTTTAAGATAGTATGGTAAAAGAAGAACTCAGCCATCGATATCAAAGACAATCACTTCAAGAATAAAGTATTTTTATTGTCTATGAATAGCCCTGTTAGTTACTATCTTTCATTCTATTTTCTTCTGTTTCAGCTAGATTTGGAAAATGTATGCCTAAGTTGCATAATGGCTCTAACACAATTTTATTTAGCTCCAACATAGAAGTATGTAAAAAAATTTCTGCCTAAATTTCATGCCCTCATGATTAGTAGTTGAATTTACTGCAGTGTCACTCATATGATCTTAATCAGTATTACTATTAGAAGAAAAACAAATATACAATTGGCTTTGCCCATTCATAAAGCTTGAAGCATTTAACTATTCTTATTTAAATATGCTGGAATCCCATTTCAACATTGAGCCCTGTGTGGAGCATTAGCTTTGGTATTTAGGACTCACTTCTTAGGTTTCACATCCATAGAGGAAGTGTGGCAGAGGAAGGTAAACCCTATTCTGCAGAGGCTGCCCTGAATACCCAGGTATCATCAAGCCAACACAGATGGAGTAGGGGAAATTCTTTGCCAATTCTAAAAAAATAGCATTCTAGGCCAGACGCAGTGGTTCATGCCTGTAATCCCAGCACTTTGGGAGGCTGAGGTGGGCGGATCACCTGAGCTCAGGAGTTCGAGACTGCCTGACCAACATAGTGAAACCCCGTCTCTACTAAAAATACAAAAATTAGCCAGGCGTGGTGGTGAGTAATCTCAGCCACTTGGGAGGCTGGGGCAGGAGAATCGTTTGAACACAGGAGGTGGAGGTTGCAGTGAGCCAAGATCGCACCATTGCACTCCAGCCTGGGCAGCAAGAGCGAAACTCCATTAACAATAAAAAGAAAAAAAATCAGCATTCTTAGGTATGGCACTCTCATCTCAAATTTACCCCACCTAGTGTCCCACCAAATACTTTAAATAGCCTCTAACACTTCAGCAGAGATCAAAAGGAGGCCATTGATTCAGTTCTTAAAAGCAGTGGGGGTGTTGCTGGGAATGGGTAGGACAAAGTAGCAAAAAAAAAAAAAGAAAAGAAAAAAGAAAATTATAAAAAGAAGAAATTTAAAAGAACAAACTAAGGATACTAAAACATTAAAAAAAAATTTATCTACTTAACAGCATGGCGTGTGACCAATCCTTCCAAAACTAGCTTATACACCATCACTAGAATTCCTATTCTCCTTATAGCCTCCAGCTCACTTCCTTAAGTTGCTAGGAAGAATTTCACAGGCATGATACAATCTTTATTTACTTCTGTTCGACTGTATTCTAAAAGGTATTTGAGGTACCTGAAGTAACATGACAACACCAAGATGGAAATCAAAATAAGGCACAAAACAAACAAAAACACAAAAATAAAGGTATCAGGGCAAAAGGAAAATCATATAAATCATAATTATTCTAATGATAGGTTTTTCATGTGCCATGTACTGTTAGACACTATAAATAAATCATCTTATTTAATCTCAGCTACTCTGTAAGGAAGGTATTTTTAGTTTCTTATTTTCAGATGAGAAAACAAAAACTTAGAAAATTCAACTCACTGGCCTAAGGTCACAGGGCCAGCAAATACCAAGAGTTGAGATTCCGGTCTCTGGTTGGCTGACTCCAAAGTTGATACTCGTAACCATCTAGTGGTTAGGTGGCCTAAAATGTCCATCATAAAGTCTTGTGCAATAAGAGGGTTGGGATGATGTTTGGACTAACATTCCCAGTGGCCAGAGCAATGAGGAAAACAGAACAGCTACAAGATGCAAATTGAGATTAAACAAACAAAACTTTAACTTAGCAAAAGCAAAATCTTCACTCCTGTCCCCTCATACATCTCTTCATGTATTCATGAAAAGGGTATGTAGAATACAGTAGAGTCTATACTCGACAACATCCTGTAGCAAATACAGGATCAGGTTCTGTACATTTGTTCATCAGGTGTCATGATGTAAGCCAATGCAAAAATTCAAAACAGAATTCCTTAATATCATTTGTTGTAGGTTGAAGAAGCAGCAAGGAGATAGTGCAAGCTGGTTATGGAGATCTCTGATGCTCTGGCTGGGTCCAAAGGTAACATTTAGAACATCAGAATGTCTCAAGAAGTGAGTCTCAACTGGTAGCACATTTCCTCACCTGCCTGCCCACCCCACTACAACCAGGTAGAATAATCTGAGGAGGGAAGCATGAATCATGAAGAAGCATATTCAGGATTAAAATATTATTTAATATTCATAAAATTTAAAGCACATTCTCATATACTTATAAAACAATACCTATGGAATGTAAAGCTAAGTTTTTAATTGATAGGAATATGCACAAAATATTTACGCTCAATAGAAAAGGTTTTGAGACTCTGGGAATGAATGTTTATTAATGAGAGCTTAGATTTTTAAAACATTGTGAAACACTGATTTTGATTAATAGACAGACCACATAATCTTTGTCTGGTACTCAGTGCAGCAAATATGAGAGTATATTTCTGGTAGGAAGTTGGAATGCTGAAATGTTATGTTGCTGATTAAGAGCAGATATGTATGCTTTAATAATTAGACAAGCTGAAAATAAAGTTTTTCTCCACTCATGAACCTTATTAAGCTTAAGTTGGGCTTGAATATAAATAAATTGTCACCCATATTCACATAAAATTGGGCAACAAGAATGCCTATGAACAGAACAAAAATTATTTTTAAACAGTCCAGGGTCTTCTCTAAAGACAAGTGAACATTTGCACTCTTGCATATTTTCTCTTTCCAGATTAACATCTTGAGAAGAATAGTCATATTTAGATAGCAGTTCTGTTGATCAGCATTTGGGAGCATGACTATTTAAAGAATACTCTGATTTTATAAGACCTCATTGTCACTTAAAAATACATTTTCTTCCCTAACTTTTCTTTAAACAGAAATTATTCTAAACCTCAATGTCTTCATCCTATTTTGCAGACAGTGTAGTTTTCCATTCTGTACAGTTCATGGAAATAAATCTGGCAAACCTGGGGAAAATCAGGTAATTTTAAAGAATTTTTTAATGTTTTCTCACAGACATGGACAACTTGAAGTAAAGAAAAAGTTCATGAAAGAGAATAACATTACCTTAATCTGCTAAGATCTAGGCCAATAGATTTGTTTCTTGATTGTGGTAGTAGTAAACAGACAGTGGCAATGTACCCACAAATCCTTGTGTCTATTTTGTTTGAAGAATGAAACAAAAAAATGCTTGGAAGTTTGGTAATTTCAGCACTAACTCTCTTTCCATAGACCATACATTTCCAGCCCAGAATCCAAAGGCCAATTTTCTTGCTATATACACCATTCTCGCTTTGAATCTTCGCCGATAGTGCCTAAGCCTGAATCTGAGCCTGGTTCCCTGGTCAGAAGTTATAGTTTTACTTCCTTTGGTGAGAATTACACAAGAAAACCACCAGGGTGGATGGTTAGGTGGCATTACTGAGCAAAAAGGTCTCCTGGATCTTACATTTTCTCAGTGGCTCCCTCAGCCATTAGCAGTTGCTCCCACTACACACACATGTCCACATCTTCCCATGCTTCTCCAAACAATGGCAGCCTTTACAGAATTCTATATCCAGGAATCCTTCACTAAGTGAAATAGACTCCAGGGCCTTCAAATGTAACAATTCAGAAGTAAATCTCAAGTTTTATTTAATGAACAAAAGGTATTAAGCATTTCTGCTTTACTAAGAACTCTGGGGCAATGCCAGTGTCATATAGTTTGTTGAAGAAGTTGTCACATTACATTTGATTTATAGATAGGAACCAAATTTCTATCAACCACAGTGACACATTTCTAGTCATTCTCCGGTATCTGTTTGGAGACTACACTGGCATTTCCATATCTCCCTCCTGGCACTGATCAAATACAAGTATCTAAACCAGACTTTTTTCTTTAGTCATGCCAGTGGTAACTTGCAACTGTGAAATACCTCTGAGCCAATTATAGTTCACCAACCTAGATTAAAGCTAAATTCATAGTTACTACACACACACACACACACACACACACACTATTCCCTTCCTAAATACAATTGCTCCTTCTTGTGGCACATGAATTTTTAACATCATGTTAGAATTTTCTAACATCAATATCAAAATTTGTTCTCCCTGTATTTTTGTCCCAATGCCATATTCTTTCTCTCTCTCTTTTTAATTTTTACTTTAAGTTCTGGGATACATGTGCAGAATGTGCAGGTTTGTTACACAGGTGTGTGTGCCACGGTGGTTTGTTGCACCTATTGACCCATCCTCTAAGTTCCCTCCCCTTGCCCCCAACCCCCTGACAGGCCCTGGAGTGTGTTGTTCCCCTCCCTGTGTTCATGTGTTCTCATTGTTCAGCTCCCACTTATGAGTGAGAACAGCCAATGTTTGGTTTTCTGTTCCTGTGTTAGTTTGCTGAGGATGATGGCTTCCAGCTTCATCCATGTCCCTGCAAAGGACATGATCTCATTCCTTTTTATGGCTGCGTAGTATTCCATGGTGTATTTGTGCCACATTTTCTTTATCCAGTCTACCATTGATGGGTATTTGCATCGGTTCCATAACTTTGCTACTGTAAATAGTGCTGCAATAAGCATACGTGTGCCTGTGTCTTTATAGTAGAATGATTTATATTCCTTTGGCTATATACCCAGTAATGTGATTGCTGGGTCAAATGGTATTTCTGGTTCTAGATCCTTGAGGAATTGCCATACTGTCTTCCACAATGGTTGAACTAATTTACATTCCCACCAACAGTGTAAAAGCATTTCTATTTCTCTGCAGCCTCGCCAGCATCTATTGTTTCTTGACTTTCTAAAAATTGTCATTCTGACTGGTGTGAGATGGTATTTCATTGTGATTTTGATTTGCATTTCTCTAATGGCCAGTGACGATGAGCTTTTTTTCATGTTTGTTGGCCGCATAAATATCTTCTTTTGAGAAGTGTCTGTTCATATCCTTTGCCCACTTTTTGAGGGGGTTGGTTTTTTTTGTAGATTTGTTTAAGTTCCTTGTAGATTCTGGATATGAGACCTTTGTCAGATGTGTAGCTTGCAAAAATTTTCTCCCATTCTGTGGATTGCCTGTTCACTCTGATGATAGTTTCTTTTGCTGTGCAGAAGCTCTTTAATTTAATTAGATTCCATTTGTCAATTTTGGCTTTTGTTGTAATTGTTTTTGGCGTTTTTGTCATGAAGTCTTTGCCCATGCCTATGTCCTGAATGGTATTGCCTAGGTTTTCTTCTAGGGTTTTTATGGTTTTGGGTTTTACATTTAAGTCTTTAATCCATTTTGAGTTAATTTTTGTATAAGGTATAAGGAAGGGGTCCAGTTCCAGTTTTCTGCATATGGCTAGCCAGTTTTCCCAGCACCACTTATTAAATGGGGAATCCTTTCCCTATTGCTTGTTTTTGTCAGGTTTGTCGAAGATCAATCAGATGGTTGTAGATGTGTGGTGTTATTTCTGAAGTCTCTGTTCTGTTCCATTGGTCTATATGTCTCTTTTGGTATCAGTACCATGCTGTTTTGGTTACTGTAGGCTTTTAGTATAGTTTGAAGTCAGGTAGTGTGATGCCCTCAGCTGTGTTCTTTTTACCTAGGATTGCCTTGCCAATTCCGTATTCTTAAGATCTGTCAACACTTTGCATTATCTTACGATCTAGGAACATGCTTTAGAAATATATTATATATCAACATTTGCCCACCTCCTAGACTTTAGGAGAAACTAAACCATGTTAAGATTTATTGTAGCATCGTCTGATGACACTGAAATCAGAGGCAGACTGCAGAACCAATTGAGAAAATATAATTTTTAACGGAATTTGTTATAACAATAGTGTTGTCTGATGGCAATCCTTTCTCCTCATTCCAGATTCTAATCATTTGATTGTCTCGGTGGGAAAAAGTAAAGACCCATTATGTGGATCAAGGTGTCAATAAACCTCTGCAGTAAGCACCAGTATGCAGTCATGCATCACTTAATTATGGGGATATGTTTTGGGAAATGTATCCTCAGGTGATTTCTTCATTCTGTGAATGTCAGAGTGTACTTGCATAAACCTAGCTAGGATACCCTACTATACATCTAGGCTATATAGTATGGGCTATTTGCCTCTGTGCTACAAACCTGTACAGCATGTTACTCTACTGAATACTGTAGGCAACTGCAATGCAATGGAAAGTATTTGTGTATCTAAACATATCAAAACATAGAACAGGGACAGTCAAAAGATGATATTGTAGTCTTGGGAACCACCATGATAGATGCAGTCTGTCATTGACTGAAATGTCATTATGCAGCAGTGCATGTCTATATTTGGCTTTTCAATGCATTTCGTCTATGACCAGACACCTCTGCCATCATGTGCCATCTTCTTCACACCTTGCTGAGTATCTTCCAGGAATAATCTAACTCATCTTAGGGTTCTGCTCAAATAACTCCTCTATTCAGCAGCTTTCCTTAAAGGCCAATTCTCCCACAGCTCCTCAAACAAAATTAACTGCTTCTTCTGTATTCGGACAATACATTACATGGAACTCTATTTAGAGCACTTTTTACACTATGTTATGTCTCGTAACCAACACATATCAATATTCTCATGTTCAGGAAGCTCCATGCTGTTGTAATGTGTCTGAAAGTAAGTAGATTTTTTGTTTTTTCCTTGTAGACCATGAGGACAGTAATATGTCTTGTTATCCTGGATTCTTCATTGCCAGGCATCATGCTTACTATAGGCTAGGAGCTCAGTAAACATTTGTTTCTACATTCTCCCTTGCTGGTTTTGCTTACAAGAAAAACAACTGTCTTGTCTGACCTGTATTATTTATTCAGCATCCTCCAAAACTATGGTGCTATATAAACTGAGCAGAGACAGGGCCCAAAATGTAGGAATAATGGAGAAAAAATAGTTATTTCCCAAAATGTAATGGATTATTTAAAAGACCCATGAAAACAACATATGTGCTTTGTTATTCGTCCTGCATTGTGCAGACTTTCTAGAGCTTCATTTAATTATTTTATAAGAAATATTAGCAAATAACAATTTATAAAAGGAAGAAGTTAGTGAGTTTCAGATCCAAAAAAAAAATGAACTGAATTAGTTTATATGCTGGCATTCTCTCTTTAAATAAATATTAATTATTGACACCAACCTCTATATTACTGATCTATTACATAACAATGATTACATATATGTGTATGTGCCCACCAAAGATGTAAGTAATACTGATGAACCAGCAGATATGGAACATTTACTAAGGTATAAAATTGAAATTGCTGTGATATTAAAGCCAGAGGTAAAGACACACATGATTAGCCACTTAGAATATTTTTTGTCAGGATTTTTCTACATAAAAACTTTCCCACTGGATTCATTTCTGAATATTCTTTTAGTTGGTAAAAAAGAAAGTAAGAGATCAAAGTTCTTATAAAATACCAAGAATTATCTGTGGCATATATGCCCCCATTAGATTCTGCAAGGTGACTAGATTAGTTGTTAACATAGTTCGAAGTGGTGAACCGAGTAGGAGAGGAAGTTCTTTTGCCAATGTAACATGAGCTGAAGCTTTGAAGTCTATATTCTGAAATTCTTCACTCTACAAATTATAAAGTGGTCCTTAAGATATAACTCTATCTATGTGCAGATATATTAGAGTAGAATTCAACACTAACTTTACTTGTCTACAGACTTCAAATATTATAGTTTTATTGTACTTATTTTATGGTGATGAGTATATGTAAATGTTTATTGTGTGTGTGTGTGTGTGTATATATATCTATATATAAAAACAGGTACATGATGATGGTATATTTTAATATGCTAATCTTTTTTGTCCAATTCACCAGCCCACAATACTCATAAAAATTGTCAAACTTGGCTGGGTGCAGTGGCTTACGCCTGTAATCTCAGCACTATGGGAGGCCGAGGTGGGTGGATCACGAGGTCAGGAGATAGAGACCATCCTGGCTAACACGGTGAAACCCCGTCTCTACTAAAAATACAAAAAAATTAGCTGGGCGTGGTGGCAGGCACCTGTAGTCCCAGCTACTCGGGAGGCTGAGGCAAGAGAATGGCATGAACCCGGGAGGCACAGCTTGCAGTGAGCCGAGATCGTGCCACTGCACTCTAGCCTAGGTGACAGAGCAAGACTCCATCTCAAAAAAAAAAAAAAAATTGTCAAACTCTACCAACTTATCAACATCTACATGCAGATTAGTTTTTTAAAATATTTTCTTTTTTTATATTTTACTTTTCTCTTTTTATTTTATTTTTAAATTCAATTTTTATTTTAAATATAGGTGGTACACATACAGGTTTGTTATATGGGTATATGGCACCCAGGTAGTGAGCATAGTATCCAATAGGTAGTTTTTCAACCCACACCCCTCCTTCCTTACCCCCTCTAGTCACCCGCAGCGTCTACTGTTCCCATGTTTATGTCCACATATGCTCAATGTTTAGCTCTCACTTATAAGTGAGAACATGCAGTATTTTGTTTTTATTCCTGCATTAATTCACTTAGAAGAATGGCCTTCAGCTCCAGCCACATTGCTGCCAAGGACAAGATTTCATCCATCTTTATGGCTGCATAGTGTTCCATGATGCATATATATCATGTTTGCTTTATCCAATCCACCACTGATGAGCATCTACATTGATTCTATGTCTTTACTACTGGGAATAGTGCAGCAATGAACATACAAATGCATATTTTTTTGGTAAAATTATCTATTTTCCTTTGAATACATACCTAGTAATGGGATTGCTGGGTCAAATGGTAGCTCTATTTAAGTTCTTTAAGAAATCTCCAAACTACTTTCCACAGAGGCCGAACTAATTTACATTCCCAACAACAGTGCATAGGCATTCCTTTTTCTCTGCAGCCTCACTAGCATATGCTGTTATTTTGACTTATTAAGAATAGCCATTCTGATTGGTGTGAGATGGTCTCTCACTGTGGTTTTATTTGCATTTCTCTGATGATTACTGATGATGAACATTTTTTCATGTGTTTATTGGTCACTTGCGTGTTGTCTTTTGAAAAGTGTCTGTTCATATCCTTTGCTCATTTTTTAATGGGGTTGTTTTGTTTTTGTTTTTCTTGTTGATTTGTTTAAGGTCCTTTTAGATTCTGAATATTAGATCTTTGTCAGACGCATAGTTTGCAAATATTTTCTCCTATTCTATAGGTTGTATGTTTACTCTTTTGATAGTTTCCTTTGCTGTACAGAAGCTCATTAGTTTAATCAGGTCCCACTTGCCAATTTTTGTTTTTGTTGCAGTTGCTTTTGGGGACTTAGCCAAAAATTCTTTGCCAAGGCCAGTGTCAAGAAGGGTATTTCCTAGGTTTTCTTCTACAGTTTTTATCTTTTGAGGACTTACATTTAAATCTGTAATGCATCTTAAGTTTTGTATGTGGTGTAAGGAAGGGGTCCAGTTTCAATCTTCTGCATATGGCTAGCCAGTTATCCCATCGCTATTTATGAATAGGGAGTCTTTTCTCCATTGCTTGTTTTTGTTGGTCTTCTCAAAGATCAGATGGTTGGAGGCATGTGCTTTTATTTCTGAGTTTTTGATTCTGTTCCATTGGTCTACGTGTCTGTTTTTGCACCAATAGCATGTTGTTTGGTAACTATAGACTTACAGCATAGTTTGAAGTCAGGCAGTGTGATGCCTCTAATTTGTTCTTTTTGCTTTGGATTGCCTTGACCACTGGGTTTATTTGTTTGTTTGTTTCATATGAATTTTAGAATAGTTTTTTTCTAATTCTGTAAAGAGTAATGTTGGCAGTTTCATAGGAATAGCATTGTGTATGTAAATTTCTTTGGGCAGTGTGGCCATTTAAACAATATTGATTCTTCTAATTCATGAGCATGGAATATTTTCCATTTATTTGTGCTGTCTCTGACTTCTTTCAGCAGTCTTTTGTAGTTCTCCCTGTAGAGATCTTTTACCTCATTGTTTAGCATATTCCTAGATACTTCATTTTATTTGTGGCTATTGTAAATGAGATTGTGTTCTTGATTTGACTCTTGGCCTGGTCACTATTGGTGTATAGAAATACTACTGATTTTCGTACATTGATTTAGTATCCTGATACCTTACCAGAGTTATCAATTCTAGTAGCCTTTTGGTGGAGAATTTAGGGTATTCTAGGTATAGAATCATATGGCCATCAGAGATAGTTTGACTTCTTCTTTTCCTATTTGTATGCCTTTTCTTTCTTTATCTTGCCTGATTACTCTGGATAAAACTTCCTAAAATATGTTCAATTATATAAATAATATAGCATTACTAAAATTTTTAAATGTGTATGTAAATGATTACTGTTAATCCTACCAACTCAAATACAATTATCATTTTTGTTCAAGTCCTTCAGGTCTTTTCACCTTATACATGTTGGCATAGTTATAATCATTGTGTGACTATGCCATTTTTCATTCTTTTCCTCCACTTCAATATTCCCATCTTGCTGTACAGTTTGTAACAATATTTTTTTTCTGCTATGGTCCTTTTTCTTCTTATTTTCTATTTACTACAAAAGTGCACGATAGTTGTAAAATGAATAAATAAATAAGAAAAGGTATAAAGAAGGAAGTAAAAATCCTTTGAAATTCTGCAATCTGGAAACAAACAACCACAGACAAAACTTTGTTGAATATCTATAATATCTTATGATTTTTAAAGAATGCAGGTAGAATACTGACTTTCTCAGGTTGGTTAATTGAAATGCAGCCTTTAAGGATTTTTTACTTATTACTTGGAATTATGCTGCAAGTACACTTGTGGAGGGATCCCACCAGGCCCACCACCCCAATGAAGAAAGCAAGGGAAGGAAGTGGTTCTTTTTACAGAGAGTTGCTGTGACTCTTACTACATGTATTGAGTAAAACTAAACTTGCTATCCAGGCCCACATAAATGTAAAATGGATTCATGCACAAACCAAAAGGAGGAACTTGGGAGCTGGGTCTGGGAAAAGACAACAAAGTTTGTTAAACCTTAGAAGGAAAATAAAGTGATGAAAAAGCGAGCAGCTGGGAGAAAACACTTTATATGGGTTGGTCAGAAAAGGCCTTGCTGAGGAGGTGACACTGGACCAAGGCCACAATCAGCCATAGGGAAAACCAAGCAATGTCTATTCCAGGACAAGAATAAGGCACACATCTGCAAAGTTCTGGAGCTGAGAAGAAGCTTGAGCTCAGTGAGTGTGAGGTGAGTTGCATGATATGAAGTTAGAGATGGGTTCACAGAAAGAAATTTAGATTTCATTCTCAACGTGGATAGCAATTGAATGAATTTAAGTAGAAGTGTGTGTGTGTGTGTGTGTGTGTGTGTGTGGCAAAATCAGATTTACGATTTTACAAATTCACTTTGTCTGCTTTATGGAAAATGTTTCGTAGTGAACAAAAATAAAAGCAGGGAGACAATTTAGGAAGTTCTACTTGTCAAGAGATGTGGTTTAGACTAGGGTTATAGTAGTGGAGATGCAGGGAAGGGAGCCTGGCTTCTGCAAGATTTTCTAAGTGATTATAGATTTTTATCCCCCTAAAGGTTTTGAAACTCAGAAACCACAGAATGGTACCATTAAAAGAATAACCGAGAAGCTAAGGTTTCTTACAGAAGGTATCAGAGGCTTGGAACATCAAGGAAAGCCCAGATACTATCATGCGTAGAAGGATTCTGGACTAACTCATGAAAAGTAAATGAGGCTGCCATGTGGGAGAAATGCAAGGAAATTTTCATGTTTGAAGGCCATGAAATAAAATAAGTAACACATTTTAGTTCTCAAAAAATATTGCACATGTGTGTTTGTGATATTATCCACTGCAGTATTCCCTCAACACCATTTTTTCAGCCCAAATCATTACTATGTTATCAACGTGTCCTCTAAAATAGGACATTGTCACTACTGTGCATTACTTATTGCTTAACAATTGCACTTGCTACAGAGGAAAACTAGGATCCTAATCATGGTGGCTCCGATCATTTGAAGCAATGGGCTAAGAATGTCACTCAAAAGTGTGACCTCATTACTGGAGACTTTGCTCCTAAGTTCAAGGGAAGTTGGGGCTGTGTAGACTAATTTCAAATTAACAAGCAGAATGACAGGGCATCTTTCTAGAAGTTTTAGATTGGCAGTGTGGAAGAAAGTTAATATCATTTAGCTCTATTTCAGAAGGTATATTGAACTTGGTTTTTCGAGGCTGATTATACAGTCAAATAACCAGTGCCTTGGCTTCTCTCTTTTCATAATACTAAAAGTAAAGCATTCCACTTTTCTTTAAAAGCCTGATCTGGACTTCATATTTATGTGTGATAGCTCTCTTGGTTGAAATGAACATAGCTCACTCTCTTCACTTAAATATGTTAGCAATTTGTTTTAAGAATACACACAGAAATAGCAAGAAGTTCCACCATATTGCCAGGCCTTAGGGAGACAGGAATGTTTTCATGATCCAAATGTAACTGTAGTTGTCTGAAATCTCTCTAGTAGTTCAGAAGAACTTTACAATGGTCTGCAGAAGTAGGCACTTATTGATCTGTATTTTAATGGCAGTATTACTTTTACATCCCTTCGTTATGCTTATGTCTTTACCCACTGCCAACTGATTATTTTCCTATATATCTGGCTCAGATTTCTGAGAAAGAGAAAATGGCTGGGCCTGCTAATTACTATAGCACATGTCTGGGTAGAGCTTACATTAAAGGACAAATCATAGCCACTAGCTAGTTCATTCTTGGGATTAGAGGTCTACTCTATCCCCGTCAGCTATATGTTCAGGCCCATGGGATCAAGTACAAAGGTAGCTACAAAGCCTGTTTTTCAGCCAAGGATTTTGGCAGAATGATGGCTATTAAACTGTAGCATACATAAAAATCACCTAAAGGGTTTAATTTTGATGTCAACTCCTGTGACTAAATGGCAGGCATTCCTCTTCAGTAGTTTTGTGGGAACCCAAGAGTCTGCTTTCCTAATACAGCCTTTTCCTTTCAGCTCAAATAAGAAAAATTACAATAAATTATATTAAATAGTTGTGTTTCTAGGTCAAAGCAATTAAATATTAACAAATGCATATGGTTCAACTTAATCAGAAGGTATTACCCACATAAGATTCTTCCTCAGCTGTTCCCTTACCACTTACTCATCTTATTCTTCAATATTTTCCAAACCATTTGTGCCATACTATTACTTATAGATATTTCCCCTTATCTTCAATACTGTAACTGTATACACATACTCACACACACAACAATGTTCCTGCCCATTTACTTTGCTGAAAATTTAATCCCTCCAAGAATTATTTCAAGAATACTTTTCCTAATTCTAAGCACTTATATGTTATTTGTCATCATGAATGCATTTTTGATGTGTGTTCATTGTATACAATTTCATGGTCTTCAGTTATTTTCTTTGCATGCAATCTGTGTTTCTGATCATACTTTATACCTTTTTAAAGGTGTGAACACATTTTCTATTCCTTTGCCAAAATGTAATTCTCCTCACTTCTTGTCATTAGCAGTGTGCCTGTTCAAGAAATGCCATTATTGAGTTGACTTAGGACCAGAGAACCAAAAAGCGATTGAATATTCAAACTTACAACTTTTGTAATTTGTAAACATTTATACATTATACTACTGGTTAGAAACTATTATGAGAGTTGTAGAGAGAGAAGAGGCTGGAAACACATACCTGTGTTTTTCTTACTATAATTACTGTGATTTTATATAGTTTTGTGATAGTGCAACGTGGATTGGCTATATTGATAGATTTGTTACTTATGATTGGCCTTTCAAATGCTATTTGAAAATCATTAGGGTTCAGTACTTGGTGAAGCTTTCAAAACTTCACCTATTTCAGATGATATCGAATTTCTAAATACAGATAAAGATTTACTGCTTAAAAATACAATTAGCCTGTAGTTAAATCATGTAGTTCTGGACATTTTCAGTATTCCCTACCTAGGAATTTTCCAATAATATTTTCTAAAGCTGATTTTTTTAGCAACTCCTGCTTAATCTTTTATGACTAAAGATTATATTATAGAAAATTTTGAGGGTGAATATTTTGGGTTCATGATCACTCCATTTTGCAGACTAGTGCCTAGGGGAAAACATACAGTTAAGTAAACTGTGTGAGTCTGACTGGGGAAAATAAAAATACTTCTGTTCAAACATGGGTTATCTCTTTTCAAGAGAAGCTCAGCTTCCTTATCAAAATTTTAGGTAAATAATGATTATGTTAATGCAAATGCATTTAAGAGCTCTCTAACCATTTGGCAAAACGAGGCTCCCATGTGAAAATAAGCCATTGGCAATATACTGTGCCTTCAGTTAACAGAGCTTCATTTTCCCAAAAGAAAATTCTCAATAAAGAGAATCTGTTGCTCATGGTTTATGAAGTCAACAATATGTGTAGTTTTAAAAAACAATGGCAATTCTTATCTGATGACCATGAAATGCTGCATGTATCATTTAGAACTGGGCATTAGTTCTGTGATTCTTTGATGCTTCATTCCCCTTCTTGACCTCAGCTTAATTTTAACGTGGTAGATCTTGCTGATATTTTTAACACTGAGTTTCAGAGATATTAAAAATAATGAAAGCATATAGCCAAGGGGTAAAAGGGGCTACTGTTTAAACAAAGGAATGAACTATTTCCATATTATGTTAGGAAGCAGACCAAGGAAAAAGAGTGGATGTAACAAGGAAGCAGATTTCAGCTAGAGAGAGAAGAGAAACTTAAATAATTCAGGATAATGAATAACAGACTAGATTACCTATCCATGCACATTGTCCCTTCACTTGAATGTTCCATGAAAAGATGAGATGGCTTTTGCTCAAGGATGGCATAAAAAGGAGCTTTGCATTGGGAAGGAGTGTGGACCACTGGATAATCCCTAAAGTTTCTTCTAACTGAGAATCTACAATTTTGTGAGACACCAAGCACAGTCATGTACTTATTCGTAAAAACATCTCTTAATACATTTATTGTTTCCTTCCAAATCTTCCCTTTAATCTTCAACCTAAATTCATAAAACTGGCACAGTTTTGGTACTCTGTTTGATTTGATTTGTTTTGTTTTGTTTTCCTAAGGTCAGACGTAAAAAGTATCCAAGTTGTTCAAATTCTTTCTTCGTATTGGTTTTTCATTTACAACTTTTATCCATTTCTACAGTAACATCAGAAGTTATTTCAATTAAATTCAACATATTCTTTCTAAACTCCTAGAAAGTAAATACTGTGCTAGACATTGGGGTTGTGGGGTAGGAAAACATGATTCAAGCTGCATAGTAGGCCTGACCACACTTAACTAACCAAACTCTAAAGTAGTAACTCTCTACCTGAGCATCCTATCACCTTTCTTGTTTTCTTATAACGTCAAACTGATTTTTCTTGCTGGTTTCTGCCATAGCTTCTCTTTTCATTTTTGTAACTTCTTTAGCACAAAGTTATTTGATATGTGAATCCAGAAGCATGAGAATGTTATGAAATAAATTCTGTAGATACCAAGTAGCATTTTAAAATAAACTAAAATAAGATAGAAATATAAATTGAAATAAAATAGAGTAAACAAGGAAAGAAAAGAAAATATTGGAGTCCAGTGAACATGATATTTTTGTGAAACTTCTATGTTAGTTGTGTTTGTGCATTTGTGTGTGTGTGTGAGATGGTTACTATACAAATATGTTTATGTGGGATATGTAAATATATCATGGTGCAAAATATACTTCTTAATGTGCATTTCAAAAAGAAAGGTCACGGGAAAATAAATGTCTTGTGGGTGGTTGGAAACATTTGATATTTTCAAATTCTTGCCACTTTTGAATATGTACATCCATATAACAAAAAAATCCAACCTCTGTGCCCATAAATGGGATCATGGAGCCAGATAGTAAGCATCTGACTAATTTAGAGAGAAATTTGTTGCAGTACCTGGAGCCATGTCCTTGATTCTGCTTTATTGTGAATCCCATTCCCTGCCCAGAGTTGTCCGCATGGTATCTCAGCTGGGTGGAGAAGCCTGGTTCCTGCTGCTTATGGATGTTTGGGAGTTTACTGTACATAGTCATAAAGTATGCACACAGTCAGTGACTTTATACAAGCTCTTCCAGTTGTGAACTCAGCATTTTTCTTCTTTAATTCTTCCCACATTACCTGGTATAGAGTCCTGGATACAGAAAATGTGCAATAAATCCGTTCTGAAAATAAAGATCACAGGACATTAAAAAGTTTTATGGCCTTAATATTGGCCTTATACCAAAAGTTGATGTGTAAAAGGCTTTATATGTCTATGTTTCTAGGATGTTCACAATAAAATGAGTAGCACAAAGGTGCCACCATTTTTCCAAAAAGGGAATGATACTCAAAATGTGCTCTCCCTCACAAAATTCTCAAAAGACACGCAGAGAAAATACAAATTACTATTTTGATTTAATTTTTTGTTTCCAAGGAAATAGTTAAACTCCAGTTTCAGAATATCCTAAGGAGCCACTGCAAAGGAAATCATGGAGACCACTTGCCAATATGCCCTCACTATGCTTTCCTGCAGGCAGACATGCATGCTGTTTTCATGGTGTTTTACACACACTTAGCCTCCTGCAGTACCTCCACCTGGTTCAAGCACACTACACATCTAGGACAATATAGCTCAGCAGATCTATCATTTGGGTCAGCCTCCACATGACCATAAGCTTACTCAGGGAAAATTACTATATCTGCTGTTGAATGCAACATTAGTCTCGTGAAATTAAGAAGTGAATGAAAACCTTTGGCTTGTGAGTCAGAAACATCCAATTCCTAATTATTTCTCAGTTATCAAGGTATGTAGTCTCTCTGAGCTTTGATTTTATCAAGGAAATGGGAATAAAATGTCTAATAAATGCATCTGGAGGGACATACGTTATATATGTATGTATAATATATATCTGTATATATTATATTTGTATTATGTGTATATATGTGTATTATATATATACACATATATAATATAGAACATATATACATATCTAACATATATAATATATAACATATATATGTTAGTTGGTACATGATAGCCTAGACACTTAGCAGTGCCATAGAATATTATTAAATACAGAAGCAAGGCTAAGATGCTTCAGGGACAAGACTTTAAGATTTGTCATGACTTGGAATAGCAATGTCTTGAATTTTTTTTCATCCTTTTAAAGATTTTGGCCATGTAAAACACAAAGGTTAGGGATAGGTGATTTAAAAAAAACAAGAAAAATAACATATAGTTGCCTTTCCAATCTGCTTCACGATATAAATTCGGGCTTTAGGCCAGGTACATATGACATTAAAATTCAAACTAATTCAGTATGCTAGTATTCATAGCATTTCCATATTATTTTTGACTCATTTTTATAGCATCATTTAATATTGTCTGTCATTGGTTTCTTTTTTTTTTTTGGAGACAGAGTCTCACTCTGTCACCCAGGCTGGAGTGCAGTGGTATGATCTCAGCTCACTGTAACTTCTGCCTCCCAGGTTCAAGTTATTCTCATGCCTCAGCCTCCCAAGTAGCTGGGATTACAAGCGCACACCACTATACCTGGCTGTGCGTGTGTGTGTGTGTGTGTGTGTGTGTGTGTGTGTGTGTGTGTGTAGTAGAGATGGGGTTTTGTCATATTGGCCTGGCTGGTCTCGAACTCATCACCTTAAGAGATCCACCTGTCTTGGCCTCCCAAAGTGCTAGGATTATAGGCATGAGCCACCGCACCTGGCCTGTCACTAGTTTCTCTAAACAAAAATGAATATTTCCTCCAGGAGGATGTTAGTTTTTTTTTTCTCTCTCTTTGCAAATCATGTCACCCAAGTCTTTCAAATAAGTCTCCAGTGTCTGAGGAACCCCTCAAGACTTATGCTTTTATCCTTTACCTTGAGCACCAACTGTTATCAGAGGTGCTATAGGAACTATGCTCCAAAAACAGTCTCACTCATATCTACTAGATCCGAAACGTGTTCCAGACTTTCAGGATCAGTAATGAACTGTCAGCTTAGGCCTGTGCAAGGCAGCTTTATGGCAGCTCTGGGACTCAGACCTCCGGAGGTGGGTTTCATATGGTTCTGGCCCACTTTGGTGGCAGGGCAAATGCTAAGACCACACTTAGACACAGTATCTTCCTGAGAGTGGACCTTTGGGAACCAGTCACTTCCTCAGGTAGAAGGACTTTTAAAAATTTTAGAAGTGTCATTAGCTATGTCTGAACCCTAAAATAAAATAGAATTACTTATACAAAAAGCTATTACCTGTATTTGTGAAATGCATCTTACGTGCTTGGAATAAGTTACACTTGATATACTGACTAATAAAAAGAATTTAGGGTCAATTCAAAATGGACAATTTTTGGAGCCTAAAACCGATCATCTTACCAATCTATATTGTAATTGCTTGTTTATATTCTTTTCTTGCACTATGCCATGAAGCCCTCCAGTGGAGACAAAGTATTCATGTTTTTTTTTTTTATCCTCTGTAACTGTCAAATCCAGAGATTCAAAGGAGCTTTGACGGGGCGCTAATGCAACAAAAAGAGTAACACAAAATAAAAATTGGAAGATAGCTTCTGCTTTTAATGGTTCCATGAAAATTATTATAAGCAACTTTTAATGTTAAGCATATTATTTAATTATATTTATTTGTTCACTTAAAACATGTTGTCAGTTTTATATTAAATTTTTGGTTAATCAGTATATATTAATGAATTTAATAAGTGACCAGGAAGCCTGAATCTAGAAATAACTCAAGAATTGCACAATTAAAGGAAAACTGAATTTAGAGTTGGGAACCCAAGATCTGATGCCAGTTATGCCACCTACTCATTGCATAACAATGGAAAGTAATATCTGCTCTTTGAATCTCAATTTTTATATCGGTAAAATAGAGAAAATTATATATTTCCTTGTTTATGACATAGGGCTGCTGTATCAGGTGAGATAACAAATGAGAAATCATGCTTAATTCACCAATAATTACCTATATCTAGCCACAGAGTAAAAATCATGATTTGCAATTAAAGTAAGCTATTTCTTTCACAGTGCCAACAGTCATGTCACAGTATTTTAAGGAATGTTAACTCTCTTCATTTATAATAGAAAATAGTTGTGTTTGCCATAGTGACTAATTGAAATCAAAATAATAAGAAGTGTTAAGGAGATGCTTCTATATCACCCACCCCCAGCAGAAGCAAAATGTTAGAAACTGTCATTGTCTTCCTGCCTATATCACTTTGGTTTCCTCAATAAACATATTGCATGCACTGAAGTAATGCTTTACTTGTAGAAATTTTAGAGAACAAAAATAGACACAATGCCTTCCTTGGAGACATACAATGATCCAAATAGCTACAAAAACCACGGATTGACAAGCTGATCAGGAACTTATATAATGGACAGATTAGACAGATAATATAGGAACCAAGAGCAAATCTAAATATGACATAAAGAGCAATAACAAATAATATGACTGAAGTATTTATGGATGACATGACATGATGGAGCTTGTGTGAAAATAATCCAACATCAGTTGCAGAAAAGTGAGTAGGGACAGTTGAAAGAAGATTGTTCATGTGTTGATAATTGTCCAACCTGGGTGATGGAAGTTCATTATATCGATTAGTTTGTTTGCTTATATATATTTTAATTTTTCAATAATTAAATTTATAAAAATGGAATTAACACAAATTTAAGAAGAATTTCACCCCATGCAACTACTAGAACTAGAATCACTTAAGATTTGCACAAACAAAAATACACATTTTACATACACTCAAGCACACAATGAAGTAGAGCTATACATATGGTATGGTTGAATTCTCAATTATAGAATGAGGGAAAAATGCCCAAATATAGAGAAACTCCAGACCCTAGAAACCTGCTAAAATGACAGTGAGTAACAAATTTATTTTCCACTGCAATAAGGGCCATGTATAAAACAATGCTGTTGTTGGGTGATACAATAATAGAAAAGAGCTAATAAATTGAGATAGAGGGCTTAAAGGGGTCATTCATGTGGGCAGACTCCACTGCGGCTTTTGTCTGATGGAAAATCTTTCCCACTGCTAAATCTGAACACTCCCAAATGGCATCACTCAGGTTTAAAGGACTTGTGTGCATGCATAGTTGATTATAGGCTATTATATTACATTAATTTTAATCTGAAGAAGATTTAAGGAGCTGTTTGCTTCCAAGTGGACAAGAATTTCAAAACTGGAAGACAGTTTATAATGTCAAGGTAACAAAGAACACAAATATCAGGTATGGCTGGCTATCGAATAGTGTTCCTCTCTGTTGCACTTAAACATTTTTTAGCATGTACCTTTGAGTCTATCGTTATTGCTGCTAGAGTCTTGGGGGGAGAATTAAAAGAATTGTTCTTTAAGAAGTGAAAGCCTTCACTTTAGAAGGTGACAGAAGAAAAGTAACAATATCTCCACAAGCCATCTGCTTCTCATGTTGACTAAGGAGGTATTAGGAGTCAGTGACTAATAACTACAGTGGGGAAGTATGTTCTTAAATATTCTATGGTAAAGTATACCATATTCTGTGAAATAGTAAAAAAAAAAAATGTTGTTTTGACTGTCTAAGGCACACATACACACACCTCCCTGCACCCCTGGCTAATCAATGGCTATTTTAAAATCACAACATAAACACCAAATGCTAGGTAGGAATCACCGATGCTCAGGTGTGGTTTGCAATCCATATGTACCTTATGGTAGAAGCACGTGGTATACATTAAAAGTCTGAGTTGATCCTTACGAAACTATAATTACTTTCTTCCTAGAACTTTCCAGCCATCACAATATTATAATTGGAGAAAAGGGTATGTCCTCTGTAGAACACATGTTAACAGTAGGCATAAAATGTCATTCTACAAAATTTGTCTTTGAGAATGTTCCAATTTTTCACATCTCAGAAAGCAAGGTAGATTCTGGATTCTCACCACAACCAGGCTCTAGTGATCCCAAAGGAATCTATGACTTGAACTGGCTTTATGTGTACAGAGACCATTTAATCTTCTGAAGCTCTTTCTAGGTTATCAACTTCTTGTCAACACTGAACAGTGGCCAAAGTGTATAATACAACCTGAAATGTTGCTCTACTTGAATGCTTACTTAATAACACTATTTCTTCCTTTCTTGTACCTCTGCAAATGTAGTCTTCTATTTCTAATAAAACAAAAATTTACACTACCAAAAAAGGGTTGAAAATCTGAATTTCATGACATTTTTTAAAAATCAGAGCAAAACCAAAGGCATCTGTCTTCATTATTTTACCACATAAAATTAATTAGATTAAATGTTTATAACAAGAAAGTCTTTATTATACAATAAGATTCTAAACCACAATACAGAGGGGATACATTCTGAGTTTGACATTTACAGCTTTTATGTTCAATTTATGTAATTATCTAAAATGCTAAATGTAGTATATTAATGCTCAACAATTTTTTGGTAGAATTTAGTCAGTTACTAAAAATAATTAATGGTCAGCTTCATTAGAGATATATGCCATAGGAAAAGAGGGAAACCAATGCCAGAATCTCAAGATAGACAAGCAAGGCCTTACTTTGATTACAATATTTGAGTGTGGTCACAAGCATGACATTCAGAGACTGAGGTGGCCTTCTCTCAGAACACAGTATTTTAAAACGAAGCTTGATCTGAGACAGCTAAGCTGACACATAGCTTACAGATGCTAAATCCTTCAGTCCCTAAATGTTCAGTTATTACAATGGAAGAAAAGCGTGTGCTTCTATGAACTGTAACTGACACTAATTGTATGTGTCTGTATTTTATCCTCACTGGCTCTTCCTGGAGGGAGGGAGGGGGGACCTGTCAGAATATAAAAATTGAAAAGGGGGAAATATTTACTATATTATTTCATGGTAGCCTATTATACTTTCAGAATGTTACAAAGCAGACAAAACTACTCTTTGCTCAGAGATCACATGGTAACAGAGGGGAACATATCTTCCAGAAAGTATCAATATTTTACAAGTTGTTTGTTATATGTAAATCAAAAGAAGAAAAGTAATTCAAGTTTCATATTCTCAAAACTTGGTATAGTTTGAACTACTAAGACGGCCTAGGGAGAGGACTTATCTGTGCAAAAAATAAGTAAATTAAAATGCCCTACATCTGAATCAGAAGAAAATAAGTTCATTTTTCACTTCTACTCAGAAAATATTAATTTCGGCAACCCCATTTGCTGTGATTTTTCAGCCAATGTGGATTTATATTGGAAAATTAATCAAAGAATTAGGCTCTCCAAATATCCAGTAAACATTTTCTTTAAAGGAAGTGTGTGTGAGCTGCACTTATTAAAATAAGACACACATATGGCTAGAAGTGGTCTCAGAATTTGTCTAATCTCATTCCTTGCTCCACTCCACTACCAGTTTCACAGCTGACAAAACACAAACCCAGAGAATGTTTATGACTGACCCAAGGTCTCAAAGCTAGTACAAAGCCAGTATTAAAGTTGAACTGTGCAAATGTGCATACCCCAAAATGTCTACCCTTTTAATGAGTACAATATTGCCAACACTTTATTAAAATTTTAAAGCATCTTTTAAATTTAACTAAAAACTTAGTAAATTATTTCCAAATGCTCTTATAATTTCCCACAGCTGCCCTTTCCCATCTGTGGACCACTACAAGAAACTTTAGATGTTGGAAGATGTAAATGACACCCAATCTCAGACAACATGAATAGATAGCAAGATAGAATTGTAGAAGTCTTTCTTCTTCCTTATGAAAATTGTGCTGTTTCTATACATACATGACCATGAACATGACTGAGCCTTTAACAAATATTGTCCAGAAGATCTGAAATTGTATTTACTATACAGCTGAAACCTTCACAATAAAGCTTTGCTGATTTTTTTAATTACTGTGAGATTTCCCCCCTAGTTACAGCATATCCACTTCCAAGGTTAAGAAACCACATTGCTTTTAATAAAAATTCACAAAAGAAAAATAGACTTCACATCAAAGTAGCACGCCTTGTAAACCTGGGATATATACAATTTGTTTTTCTAAAGGGCAGTGACCTCATTGAAAGAAAGGTTAAACCAGACTTTAAGATAATATGTTTATGTAAAAATAGTAGAACTGTATATTTTCAGGCCTTATTCATGTTGGGATTTAATCAGAATCTAGAGAAGATTAAGGAAATTTTCATATGTAGAAATGAAAATTGACTAAGAATTACTCTCTCCAAATATTTTATGTGTATACACACACACACACACACACACACATTTCAGATTTCAGGAGGACCATAAGTGGTGGCATTATTTAGCCTGAATAAAGGAATAAAATATCATTCTACATGGGCCTTAACAGCTACATGAAGGACTTCATTATTAGGAAGACATAACCTTTTAAAGCTCACTATGGCTAATGACGACCAAACTAAATAAAAGAGATTAGATTTGTGAATAGAATTCTTTAATTAGACATGGGGAGATTGTAGAATTCTCACTGTGTCAGTGCAGTTTCTCTAAGAAGCAAACAACGTGACAGAATTAGATATGCAAGAGATTTATTGGGGAAAATGCATGCAAATGACAAAGAGGGAACCAAGCAGGAGCAGGCATAGTGAGCTTTCAAGCTATGGTGCAATTCTGACATCGACACATAAAAGGAAGGAGGACTGGGTAGCAGAATCACAGTTCTGAGAGTGTTTCAACCAGGCTGATGAGTCCCAGAGAAATTATTGTTATCAAGGGGGTCCCACATGGCAGGAATGGGCTGGCTCTCATACTCCACCATGCTTAGTCATTGGCTAGGAGCACCCCTGAAGGGTATAGCTTTGGCATGAACATTGAAGCAGATATGAAGGTGTGGCCACTGGAGATTGTCTGCCCACTACTTCCCTTGCAACAACTTCTCTTGAAGGAAGATCTAAGCAGTGCCTCTCCACAGCCACAGCTCTGACTTTTCAGATTTTTAAAAATGTTTTAAATAAATAGTGATTTAGTTTTAAAAGTGTCAGGGACTCAGAAAGTGAAAGCAATAACTTTGGTGATCCCTTCCATCACATTCATTTTTGTTTTCAACTTTTATTTGGCAATATGTTTAAACAAAGGAGATCCATTTTTAAACTCAATCTCAGTCTTCTTATTTTTTATAAATTAAAAACGTTTTGTTCATTCGTGTTAAGTAAGCATTTCATGACAGCCAGTGGATTAAATTAAAATAAATTTGAACTCTTATTTGAAGATGGATCATCAGCAGAATGCCTTTTGTTCTTCTAGATTGATTTAAAGCAAATTGCTCTATGTATTACAGCAATTTTAAATGTATTTAAACTTTTTTAAAATTGAGAATTATGTGAAATAGTCTAACATTTTAAGTTTAAACGAGGCAATTAGCTGGTTACAACTGGAACTACCAGGTCCTATTTAAAATAATGAGGTCTGACAGTTATGGAATCTGAATTATTCATTGATAACTAGCTTTTCCTCATCTGCAAACCACGGCTAGCATTAATAACAGAGGTGTAAGTGTGATAACCGGAGTCTGACATTAAGAACACACACACACAAGTGCTAAATTCTTATTTAATTAAAAAGGATCATGATAGCAATATTTTTCCTAAGAGAAAATCATTAGGCAAAATGTGTTTTCTCATATGTTTTATCTTTCCCTTTCTCTAAGGTAGATTTTGCGTAAGGAAATAATTGGTTTTGGTTGCATACAACAAAACAATTTATATTTTAAATATAAAGAAATATGTTTTTAAATTGTTGAATCTTTAAAATGCAATCCGTTTAGAGTTCTAGGCCCCTAATTTATAATCCCTAGAAACAAGCAAATTATATACTTCAACTTTTTAATTGAAAGAGAAAAGTAGACCATAATAAATTACATGCAAAAAGGCAAATAACTCAATTGATGATCATTTAATTGAAGTGAATACTGTGATCACCATGAGCCAATTTACTTATTGGCAGCACGGTTCAAAAATAATAAAATAAATCAAATTGTTGCTCCCCATAATTTTGCAGCAAAGAAAGAAAACTTGCAAGAGGTCAGTAGGCATAAATCCATATTGTCCTTTACAGTCAGAAATGGTGCAACTAAAGGAGGGACTACCCTCGTATGCATGTGGGCATGGGCAAAGCTAAGAGGCATGATTATAAACTGTTCCTTTCTACATTGAAACATCTTTTAAAAAGGAAAATAAGCAAAAACAAAAACAAGAAATTCCTCAGTTTGTTACTCTGGTCACTGTGTGTTCCTCTCAACACTGGATCAGAATGAGTAATTCAATATCTAATTTTCCCACACCGATACTGAGGTAGTCTACTACCTATAATAATCAGGTTGACTATATATCCCACTCTACCTAGGAAAGTCCTGGCTTATGCCCGTTGTTTCAGTGTAATTATTTTAAAATATACAATGAACTTGTTCATTCTCCAAATTATACCGATTTGGCCATCCTAATAATAACAGTAATAAAAATGCCCACTAACTGAGGACTTACTATGAGGCAGGTTCTGAGCTAGAAGCAAGCCTAAGCATTCATCTTATTATTATATCCATTTCATAGTCGGAAAAACTGAGCTTTTGAGAGATCAAATAACTAGCCCAAAGTAATACATTTAAGTCAAGAGCCAGGATTCATACTGTGCGCAGCCTGAATATAAATCTATGCTTTTAATCATTATACTATATTCCTACTGCTCTGCAACTTATGAAAATTCATGCCGTACAATAGAAAACTGTAAACTGAGTCATTAACATACTTCAGATACACCCTGACATCATACACATAGCAAATTATATAAAGTATGAGTGGCAAAATAATTTTAAATTGAGGAATTTCCACAAATAAATATATACACCAAAATAGGATGAAGTAAAAGAGCTCAGTTAGATACTAGGGTCAGAAAATCTTATGTTTCAAGTTTTCTCCCTGGTATTCATCAGCAGCACAACCTAGAAAAAGAATAAGTGACTCTAGTTAAGCCTGGAGTTTCCCAAGAGTCCAAGTAAAGAATGTTCCAAAATGGGCTTTTAGGTATGTCTCTGTTACTGGATTTATGGCTCAGTGCCTATGCATTTGTAACACAGTGGTCTCTTTAGTAAGACTTACAAAAGAAGGATTTGAGAGATGGCTTTTTTTATTAGTGCAGATATATACGCCACAACCTGATTTTTTTTTCTGGTACAGATGTCAGTTACAGTATACCTATCATGCTCTGCAGATTGTGTCATTGGTCAAGAAATAGAGAAACCCCAATATAATGATGAATAATCAATGCGTCTGGCCTTTAAGTCTACCCAGAGGAGAAATGAAACACTGATATAGAATCTCACCCTGAAGGAAGAAAAACACTGAGGGTGGAAAAAGAGGGCAGGATGAGCTACCCTTGGAGGAATATAAATAGTGGAGCTGTCTAGTGTGGGGTTCTGCTTGGTTTGGTATAAAATGTTGTAAGTGAATGATACATGAAGTTTACATCATAGTTTCTTTTTGTAATAAAACCATTAATATAAAATAAAATAAGTAAAATATAAGAATATGATTTTAGTGGGTTTTTTTTCTTTTTTGACAGCTGCCCTTCTGCCCCCCTTTGTCTCCCAACTGAGCGACACAGCTTGAAGCAGATGAAGGAAGATTTCACCATGGTATGTATTGCTAATGATATCTGGGCAGGGAATTATTATGGTTTATTCCCGTGCTAGAGTCTAGATAGACTATCTTTTAAAAAATTAATCTATATATTTGTTGTTACCTATCTCCCTAATTTTTAATTCTTGTCTCCCTTCTCTTTCTCTCTCTCTATTTCTTCTGTTGACCGCATTTGTCCTCTAAAAGAAAATCTGGCAGAGGTATTTAAAACACCAATACACAATCCCACTGATTATTTTATGCTAATGAATGAACTATCTAGCAATATAATATTTCACTTTTTGTGCCCTCCTGGTGGTAGCATAAGATAAATTCTAGAGTATCTTTAATTAACTAAAGGAAGCAGAAAGAAATCTCTGTGGATTAATAATATTTATGGCCCTAAAATGAACAAAATAACAGATGAAGGTGGGAGGGGTCAACTAAATGGTAGACAAATCTTAGAGAGTTAATTAAAACAAAACTCATGCTTATTTTGGCCTCTTTATCTGCATAAGGTATTGATGCCAGGGAACAACAAATAAGAAATTTTTAACTGTTCTCATTCTTCCTCCCAGCCTATGTAGTCTAAATATTTCACCCTCCTCCTTCCTTCTACCCTCCATACCAACACACATTTTTCTATACGTAAGCAATTAGTCTTAGTCTCAATGCCTTCTTAGAAAACTCCAGACTTTCTTCACAATGATGGTGACAAAGCTCCTCAGGTAGGGGTCCTCAAGATTTGCTTGGGTTTGTAGATTGAAATGAATCACCTACTTGAAATAAATGAAGCTACGTGCATACCAGATGTTTGATTTCCTTGTTTCTGAGGGTTGAGGGAGGACATCATTGAAGATTCTTACAGAAAAAAAATCAAAGCCATTCATAGAAAGAATTTGGCTGTAGTTATTTTTCTAAAGTCGTAGTAAAAATCAAGTTGTCATTAACAAACTGGTTATCAGAAATAACTGTTGCAAAGATGAGTCAGAATTCACAGATGGCAGGGGCCCAAGAAATCTGAGGTTGCATAAAAGAAGGAATAGCAAACTGGTCAAAGACTCACTGATGGGATCAGCTATTTGGTCTGTAGTAGCCGTCTTGGTCTTAAGATCAAACAGACAGCATCGATTTAGTTTTTGACTTTGACTGAATAGGGACAAAGACAATGGCAGACACAAAGCAAGTCAATACAAGTCTAGGATAAGACTTATATCCCTTAGTGGAATTGTAAATTAATTTCTATTTTCTTTCAGTGTTTTTGTATTTTCAAAATTTCATATAATAAAATATATTACTTTTATAGTTATTTGTGCTGCTAAAGATATAAAAACAGTAATATAATATATCAATATCAAAAATTATTAACAAGTTAAAGAACTGTTCAAGCCTGGTGCTCATAAAGAAACCTGGAGCCCTATACCGGAAAATTAAAATAATGTCATCTTTCAAAAGAGTTGAAATCTTTGCCACCTGCTATAGTTGTCCCGGGAGGCAGGTTAAAATTCCACAATAATTGATACCCCTTTGCTGAATAACAAAGAACACCCAGATTCTTTCCTAGGTTAAACATTAGAGGGGAAAACATCTTTAAATAACCATGATTCTGCCTGGAATAAATCCCGTGTTTTCCAATTAGGCCCAATTCCTAACCTGCAGGGTGGAGCCTCAGTGAGCAACTAGCAGTATGAAGTTGCTACAACTTCTGGCTCCTAGAATCCCCCAAAGACAAGAGCCATTTAAGTTCAGCCTTAAATAAATTTGGTTCTCAATTCTATAATAAACATACTTTTCTTCCCCTTTCTAGAGCCCAATGAACTCATGCAATTCAGTGTTTCTCCAGAAAAACTAAGGCTTCCAAGAAAGGTTGTGCAAGTTGTACACAAAGGTACTCAGCCCAGGGGGAATTTATGGGGCTAACATTGAGTTCACACTTCCCCCCATGAATTTTTGTGCCCTGGCTTGAAGCTACATCATCCTGGGGGAAAGGATGCCTTTCTGTAATTCATCTACCTAGAATGGGTGCTTTTTTGTAATTTATCCTTGGAAAGAGAACCCTTTATTAATTCACAAACAGGTGCTACATGTGCTAGTAGTGATCATGAGATAAATTCATTTGACGCCTCTTAGTTCTTCACTTTTAGGCATCCCCAAATCTGTACATCTTTCAATTCATTATTTCAATTCCTCAGACCTATGTTCTATGCCCTTGGGGCTTTATTTGGAGACAAGATCTGAAAAATAATTCAGACTAAAGTATTAACAGTTAATAATTTAATGTGTTTGTCCTTCTAGGGAGCCCTTTTGCATTTTAATTGAGGACTTTGACCCAGTTCAAAAACACCAAAAGCCATAGGAAATTTAACTACTGGGATGGCTGGTGAGGAGGATGTCTGCCTTTAGCCTTCAAATATTACCAACATGAAGACTTGGTCCCTCCAAGTGTTCTTTGTAATGCAACAATATATTTGATTCCTTCCTAAATTTCGTCCAGTGGCTAAGTACTCCAAAATGTTTGGGTTGTGCAATACCATCAGTTGAAGATATTAAAAATGAATGAGTGAATGTCTAACTATATAGAAAAAGACTTTTAAAATATTTCAATTAAAATTCTGAGCAATTACAACTTACATGACTTTAGCCAAATCACCTTACTTACTTAAACAATATAGGATTATTCTGAGCAATAAATTAGACATTTGTAGCAAACCCTAGCAAAATGGCAGAAAATTAGCAGGCACATAATAGGACGTATGAAATTGGAAGCAGAAACGTTCATTGCTCTGATGGATCCAGTACTACATATATTACTACTAATAATACAAATAACCAAAAAATGTGTCATCAGGTGGGATAATTTTAATGGAAAAAAACACAATTAGTAATATGACAGCAGCCATTTTTAAGGTCTGCTCCTAAATTTATTTCTAGTTCTACTAAGTTAAGATGAAAATCAAAGAATATGGGCATAGGTATGTTTGGAAGCATCACCAACCATTGTAATAGGCTTACCATAGGAAAATATTTCCTTAACATTAGAATTCCTTCTTGGCATCTTCCCTCATGAGACTTGTTCTTTCCCTGAATTACTCATTTTAATTGAGAATTATAAAACCACACAGGGGGTATCATCATGCTGAGATCAAAATGACTGAAGTTTTCATAGACTTCTTTTTTTGTCTGGTAGGTTGATGATAGCATGCTCCAGCTTAATTTAATAGATAAAACAGTTCTGTTTCTTAACTACAGAAAAATAGATGAAATAGCATTTGCTTTTCATAGCCAAGGTCTAAATGATTTTATTTCTGATTTTCATTTTCCACTAAAATAGTCACAGAACTTTCATCAATAAAGTGAGCTATTTCTTAACATTTTTGTTAGAGTCTAATTTTTAAATTGCATCTATTAAATCAAGAAAAACACATTCCCACTCATATTTCCTATGGATGTCTTCATATCCAAAAATTTTCCATGATCCCATTGCCAAATTATACTGTGAAAACCTCATCCTATAAACAGAACAGAAAGTCAATAAAATGTGTAAAGAGAAAAGTTAATGGTCTAACAAGATCAGTTTACATCAAAATATTTAACTCTGACTCAGAATTAACACCTACTATACAGAATACAAACATAAACATTTATATCTTAAAACTAATCTCACACACAGCATGAGGTTGCCCAAAAATGAGATAGCAAATAAAACTTTAAAAAAAATTACTAGGTATTAAAATCTTGGAATTTCAGACATTTTGAAGAGTGATAAATAAGTAGCAGCTATAGAAATGATGTGGTTCATCCTTTTTATTCTTAAAGGTAAGGAACCTGCGGCCCACGAGTCTAAGTATCTTGCCCCAGATCAAAAAGGGGTGAGTGTCAGAGCCAGAAGACCCCTGGTTCCCTGATTCTTGTTTGAAGCTTTTTGCAGTACATTGTGAAGCTACTTCAGATCTGGATTCTACTTGAGGACAGTATATGAAAGGACGTGTTGATGGAAAGTTGAAGTTAAAGGACAGTAGGCAGAAGCCTATCAGAAGGTAAGAAGGAGAAAACAAGCCAGCACAAAAATCCTTCTTCCCCATTCAATCACTGAACTTTTCTCAGACTCCTTTGATTCCTTTTTCCAGTCTTTGCATTTGTACCTCTTTAAAAGCCTTCTCATGACTTTCGAAGAAGTCCCATTCATATTAATTTCCCATTTGTCAAATGGCCCAACTCCTTTAAAATCTTTTTCAAAATGTTATCTTTTATTGGAAACTTACTACAATAATACAAAAATACCTGACATTTATTGAATGGTCTGCCTGTGCTCCGAAGTGAAGACCACAGATTGATGGCCACCTATCACCATCACATAGCTACTCCTCCCTCACAAAGCCAGATATGCACTGTGACTGTATTCTTCCTGTGGCACTGACTGTTCTAAAGAGCGTGGAGTTTGAAGTTAGTCTAAGCTCAAGTCCTGGCTCCACATCTTAATAGTCATGCCTCATTGGGCATGACTATTGACTTTGTTTAGTTTCCATCTGTGAAATGGAAATAGTAATACTAAAGATTTCATTGATTAAGTTAACTCCTGTAAAGCATTTAGAATTGCCACTGTTTAGTTTATCTATTATCATTAGTTTATATTTAGTTATTCAACTAAATTCCACATCTAGACAGAAAGCTCACTGAAAACAGGAACCATGTTTGACTTACTTTGGTATGTTTAGTTCCTAGCATAGTGTTTACTTAAAAGAGATTGTGATTTGTAATGCAGTCTTTCTGGCATGCTTAACAAACATATTTCCTCTTCCTGGGCATACAGCTAAATTACAGTTCCTGGCCCTTTGCAGCAGGACGAAGCCACGTGACCAGTTCTCACCAATGAAATGTGAACTGAAATGTCACTTGTGACTTCTGGGCTACAGCAGTTAAGAATGAGTATGCTTTCTTCATGTTTGTTTCCTTTCTTTCCAACTTGCTGGTTGGATGTTAAATTCCATGTATTGGAAATGGTAGGGCCTCCATTAGCCTGGCTCTCCAAATAACTTTGGGCCCCCTCCACTCTTTGCAACCTGCACTGAACTATAAGATGAGAAAGGAGAAAACGCCTTTGATATGTTGAGCCACTTAAATTTTGCAATTGTTCATTACAGCAATTAGCCTTCCCTGGTTAGTAAAGTCCCTGTGAGCCAGGTATACCATGTAAAAGAAGAAAAAGGTAAACAGCCATTGAGAAAGGGGTTCTTGTTGTCAGTCTTTCTGGCAGCACTTCTTCCAGAAATCGCTTTTTCTTCCCAGAATCACAGGTATAAAGTACGTTAAGCCTCTTAATATATTTTACGAGTGTCCACAGAAAATTTTGTTTGAGCAAAGGTTTTTAAGGTGAGTTTTAAAGCCATTGCATTATAGAATAAAATCTGTTCTTTTCTTTATAATCATAGCATATTTTAGACATTAAATCAATATTAAATAAACAATGCATCAAGCTATAAAGAAACCACAATTTTTCTGTCTGCCTTATTTGAACCTTAAAAAAGATAGACTTTAATGTAAAAGATTTCATCCTAGTATTTTATTATGTAAAAGCACACAAGATTTCTCAGTTGACAACCTAATGACCTGGCATTCAAAGCTCCTCATCTTCTGCCCCACCTTATGTCAATCTTGAAGACAGTATGGTATCAAGATTAAGAAGTCAAAGTCCAGCACTCAGTTTCTCAGATCTGAATCCTAACCCTGCCACTAGATCTTTGCATAATCCTGAGCAAGTTATATAGCCTCTCAAGCCTCAGTTTCCTCATCTGCAAAGATAGAAATGTTTAATAAAGTTTTTAAGGGCTTAAATGGATTAAGGCATTGACTGTTCTTACAACAGTGTCTGACACAGTATGATCAGTAATGTTGTGATTACACAACATTCTCTAATCAAATTTTGCATTATAATTTATGCTTGAGGGACTATGCTGGGTATATAGGAAACACAATTAAATATAATACATAATTTTTGCCCACAAGAACTCATCAGGTCAGGCAGAAAGTCTTAAACTGGGAAAACCTCCGTTTCAGTGGGTGCACGATATATGCTTAATTTAATTGAAATTTTAATAGGAAGGCTTATATTGTGTTTTAAATATAGCCTTTGAAAGCAAGCCTCATACCAAACCCCTTTACATAAAATGTTTATGAAGTTAGATTTTTTTAACTACATATTCAGCATTTTACCTGAAGGGAAAAAAGAACTTTTATCTTCAGATATTTAAAAATGTTTAGTATCAGAAGCAGCATTTCAGATAGCAAAAGTAAATATCAATTAGCCATATCCTAAATGTGAATCTTGCTAAAGCTTGTTAATCTTGCTAAGTGTACTTGTTAGATATGCAAACAAGAAATAAACTACATGGTATTTTTCTCCACAAACATTATTTTCAATAGTAAATTTTTAGAGCTCTATTCACTCTAAAATTAAATAAGCAAAAGAAGAGCTTTCCCCCATATTTTATTCCTTTAGAATATTTTAATAAAAGATTGACTTCTGTTGTGAACATTTTCATGTTTTTTAAATTCCAGTATCTTTCTCTTGATTTTACCTTACTACCTCTGGTTCTATCACCTTGAATCAGAACCTTCTTGTGCTGTTTTTTCAACCTTTCAAATGCTTGTAGACAATGATGAAGGTAGGGAGAAAGCCAGCAAACACAGTTCCAAGACCTCTTTGCCCCACCAGCACGCAACTCATTTAACAGTATACAAATGATTTAACAGTAATCCCAGCTGAGTTCCCAGAGGAAATCATTTCCATTCCCACCACTGCTTGCAGATGGAGGTCATGTTTCCCTCTCTCCTTAGTCACTGCTCAGCCAAACTATTCTATTTACATAATTCTCCCAGTAGTGTTAGGTAAACTTTTTGAAATCAGAGCAGTTTATAGAGTTGCACATCCGGAAACGGCTGTGGAACAGGACTGAGGAGATGCTGGGCCAGGGTATGGATGATTGTTTTGTATTTGCCCTGTCCTGGATATTCTCTATTTCCCTTACAGATTCTGCCTGTGTCCTTGGAGGCTGACTTGAAAAACATTATTCTCCTACTTTTTCTTGGGTTCAGTGAAACAGAATACCTGAGGGCAGAAAGGAATTGGAGTTGGGATATTCATTCCCCGGCTCCTTCCCTCCTGTGCCTCAGGTTGACAATTATTATATGTACAACTACATCGTGTTTGAGAACTGTCTCATATCTACCGATATTCCCTTCAGATTCCAGTAACAGTTCCTTCTTCTTCCCTATTTAGGATTAGGTCACAAACATCTCTCCTACCATGGCAAGCCCTGAGGTGGTTCACCATGCCTTGTTAGTTTCCCTTACCCTTGCCCACTTCCTTGTAAAGCGTCCCTTCACTAAAGTATCTTCAATTGCCCGTTACGCATGTGTTCTCATTTTCTTGCTGGGATCCTGGCTGATGTTGGCCTAAAAATGGATTATACTGAGAATATCAGATAGCCTGTGCCAGGTCAAAACTGGTGGGCACTCTAGATTATATCTAAATAACCAAAGAAGAATGGAGTTTTCTTTCTGAGTGCTGAATGATGCGTTTGCAATACTGGGAATCCATAAGTAAGTGCAAGTTTAAGACAAGACTGGTCCAAAAAAAAGCAATTAGAAGCCTGTATTAATCAAGGTTCTACAGGGCAGTAGAACCAATAGGAGATATATATATATATATATATATATATATAGAGAGAGAGAGAGAGAGAGAGAGAGAGGGAGAGAGACAGAGAGAGAGAGACAGAGAGAGAGAGAGAGAGATAAGAGGGGATTTATTGGGGAAACCGACTCACACAATTACGGAGGCTGAGAAGTCTCATTATAGGTCACCTAAAAGCTGAGAACCAGGGAGGCTGGTAGCATGACTTAGTCCAAGTCCAAAGGCCTCAGAACCAGGGAAGCTGATGGTCTGACTCTCAGTCTAAAGCCAAGCGCCTGAGAACATGGGGTTTGGAGGGGTGGGGGAGGGGTGCAAGTCTCAGAGTTCAAAGGCTGAAGAACTCAGAGCTCTGATGTACAAGAGCAGTGGACAAAGGGCGTCCTAACTCTAGGAGAGGGAGAACAAATTCACATTTCCTTTGTTTTTTTGTTCTATCTGGGCCTTCAGTTGACTGGAAGGTGCCTGCCTATATTGAGGATGAATCTTCTCCACTCAGTCCACTGACTCTCATAACAATCTCCTTTAGAAACACCCTCACAGACATGCCCAGAAATCATGCTTTACCAGCCATCTATGTATCCCTTAATCCAGTCAAGTTGACACCCAAAAGTAACCATCACAAAGTCTATTAACTTCAAAGCTCCTCAAAGAACTTATCATTTCTTTTCAACATGGGTTGAGACTCTTAGACAGTCCCCTCAAATGCCAGCAAATACCTCCATTTGATAAGACCAGCACGTGGAAAATGGAAGTGATACTGGGCTGAGAGCTAGAAACCCTGGTTCCAGTACCAACTCTTTCACTAATAAGTTGTATGACCTTGGTTGGTCAAGTCACTTCATTTTGTGGACTTCGGCTTCTTTTTGTCTTCAATAGGACAAAGCTGTGATTCATGGCTTTCCAATTCCTGCCACATTCAGTGTAGGCACAGTCCTTTCTCTTAACAGTAAAATATACTGGTGAAGTACCAGCCTGTTCATAGTGCAAAATTCTGAAGACCACCTTTTCATATAGCCCATAAACCGTTCTACATTGTCTTGAGTTATAGTAAACAAGGGAAGAAGGGGCCTGCCCTGCAAAATGGTCACTGGTGTCTGCTCAGCTTATATAGGCAGTGACTGTGTTTTACCTCTGACCCTTCAAAACTCTATGATGAGGTGGTGTTTGTGAACTGAGGGTCATGTGCGAATTGGGACTCTCCTGGCCTGGGAAAGGTGGACCAACACTAAAGTAGTATTATCTGATGCCTGCTCGGTGGATCAACCACCTCAGTAACTGATCTAATAGTTCCTTTCCTAATAAGCTAAGCCTTTTCACAACTCTGTGTTTTTCAATGTAGTATTCCCACTGTCTAAAATGCCTATGTTCATGTTGGCAAATTCACCTCTACTTTTAAGCCCCATTCAAGTATCACTCCCTCTGTAAAACATCTTCCTGCACCCCCACTTCCTTCTCTCGTCTCCTACAGCACTGCCTCCTCTGCTCCTCCCATTTCTGCTATCATCCTATCACATTACTTTGTCCTTATCCACTTACTTATAGCACCCTGCCACCAGTCCCAGTGGAACATGAGTTCTTCTGTCTCACCTGTAGTCCACAACACAGAGTCTAGCATAAAAATCTGTACCATAAATGTTAAACATACTAATTAATAAATGTAACAAATGAAATCACCTTTCCAAAGATAGAACTGAAAAATGTACTTGCTTTGACTTTTTAAAAAATCAATGACTCTGCTTTAGAATGGATCCACCTTAAAAGGGGAGGTATGGCTTGCCTGGCCAGGAGCAACAACAGCAATAAAACAAGAAACTACAAATGATAAGATGACCTAAAATTCTCCGTGGCAGAAGACAACTGTAATTTTTTTAAAAAAAGCTTTTCTTGTGTGTAGACATAGAGCTGGGAATAAGAAAACTATAAGGGGAAAGAGATGAACTGCATTTAGGAAAATCCTATTTGGTGGTGGTGGTGGTGGAGATAGTGGTTGCTGTTTTTGTTCTCTCAAAGCCTTCCAAAAGTTGAAGAGAATGGACTGAGCTAGAGTGGAAATGAAGTCCGCAGACATCTGTCATTACCTCTGCAAATTTTTTACTAGACCTAGGGTATGCTGCTGCAACTATTCTAGTACAAAATACCCTCAAATAAATAAATTTTTTTTGTGGACTTACATGTTCTTAGCTCTAGGAATAAAAACATTATTAAGACATCGCCACTGTCCTTGTCTTTGAGGAGCACATAGTCTAGCTTGGGAAACACACTCATAAATAACTTACTATAGTTCAAAGTGACAAGAACAGTTACAAGAACAGTATGAAGAATTAGAAACAGATGAAGAAATGATTAATTCTCAGTGATGGCACTGGTCATGAACGTTTTCAGGGGAATGTGAGTTTAGAGCTGGTTGTTGAGGGATAAATACACATTTGCAGGAAGAGAAGGAAACAAAAACAAGATCTGTCAGGGACAGAACAAACCCATAGAGGGAGATATAAAAGTGCACACTGTAAGGTGTAGAAAGAAATATGGCTAGGGATGAGGTTTAGAAAAGTGAGATTGGAATGATGTTGGTGGTCTTTGAACTATGCAAGAATCGTTGACAAAAGCCTTTCTCTATATTAGGCATTTTGTGTTCAAATATGAAAAATACTCTCTCATGTATGAATTAGGATAAAGCAAAAAGTAAATGATTGTTATTTTTCTTGTTTCTGTTTTACTTGTGGTTTCTCTGATTCCTTCAACTCTCCATTAACTGTGGTCTTAATCCCAATCTTTCTCCTTGTCAATACATCCTCTTACCACAATCCGATTCACCACCTTAATTATTCATCTGTTAACTATATAAACACAATTTTAAGGTGAAATAAATTGTACATGTGTATGAATCCTCTACTCCCTTGGTGACACTACTTTATGTTTTGGGGGTATGAATCCAAACCATTTTAGTAACAATTTATTTGCTTTTGAGGATCTTAAGGGTAGAGAGTCAAGTGTTTTGTTTAATAACAAAACCTCCTATGGAAATTCTAAAACCTAATCTAAGAATTTTTCATATGGCTGAATATTGTTTGCTAAGGTCAAAAGGAAGTTTAGAGTTGGATTATTTTAATATTAATTATTTTCAATAAAGAATATGCTAGGTCTATTAATAATTTCAAAATGAATTTGTTATTGATATATCTTAAAGTTTTTAAAAAGGAGTCCTCCATTCTGTTAAAACATTTGCTTTCATTTCTTTTGTCTTATCGCTATTATTGCCATTATGTATTTGTAAAGGGGTAGAATAACATTTTTTCCCTCCTACTGCCCCTCTTCTAACTACACAGAGTCATAATAAAATGGGAGAAATACTGCTCAGTGGCCTTTTTTGTTTTTGTGTGTGTGTTTTTACTTTTCTGGAATATTTTAAGACTATCAGAAAAAAACTAAGCTGATACTCTGCTCAGATCTTTGCTTTACATTTTATTTTAATGTATTACTGCATGACTTGAAGAAGGAAGCTAAAAATTGTAGAGTATTGTCAGGGGCAATGCTTGCAAAAACCAATCTAGTTTCACCACCCCTATTAGCTTTTCCACTTTCCATGAAAAAATTATTTCTGTCAATATTTTAATTTCAACTAGACAGGGTGGAAGGAGTGAGTGACATCGAAGCAGATGGTTGTCAGAAAACTGATGACTGCATACAGTGGTGTGATTAAGAATTACAGAATAAATATATGCAGCTAGCTGTAAATACCTGGCATACATACATACATATATATATATATCCCTATGGAACTCAATCTTACAGATTATATTATAATTAATAAAATACTTATATTTTGATAGTATATTTTAATAAGTCACTAAACTGTTACATAAGTATTAGCTATGCCTATAAGGTCAATGAAAAAGGTGAATATAAATATGACCTTAAAAATCATTATTCAGCTTCCTTATTAACTTTCTAAACACCTTGAAAGATGTCTGTCAGCTGCTTAAATAAAAAGAAGTGTAATTAGAATCATACAGATTATTTGCCTGTGGTTGTTAGGGTCAGAGAGGACTCCCCCAAATCAGTATCTATGCCACATTGCATCATCAAATCAATATAGAATTTTGCCGTTTTTGAATAGCTTGGTTTTAGGGGTCAAACATTGGTGTGGGCAAGGAATGTCTATGCATAAGTGCTCAAACTTTTTGTCTATGACCCATGTTGTGGGTTGAACAGTATGATCCTAAAAAGATGTTGAAGTTCTGACTCCCAGTGTCTGTGACTGTGGCCTTATTTATAAATAGAATCTTTGCAGATGATCAAGAAAAAGTGAGGTCATTAGGGTGGGCCTTAATCTAATACAACTGTGTCCTGATAAAAAGGAAATATTGAGACACAGAAAGACATACACGCAGGGAGAATGCCATGTGAATATGAAGGCAGAATTTGGGGTGACGCATCTATAAATCAAGAAATGCCAGTGATTGCCAGCAAACTACCAGGCAGTAGGAAACAGGTATGGAATATATCCTCCCTCACAGTCTCAGAACCCAGCCCTGATGATACCTTGATCTCAAACTTCTAACCACCAGAACTATTTAATTCTGATGCATAAGCCACCCAGGTTTTAGTACTTTGTTATGGAAGCCCTAACAAACTAACACAACCCACAATCAGAAATGCATTGTAATCCACAATATCCACATATATAGAACATACATATAGCAAAGTTTTTACAAAACAGTATTTGCCATTACTACATGTGATATACTCTGACATTTTCTATTCTACATATTTTTAAATTTTTGCTGGCCTACAACTCACAAAATTTATTTTTAAAAGATCAAGACCCACAGTTTGGAAAATATTAGCCTAATACGAAAACAATATTGAGCTGCCTTTAGTTTTATTTAGGTCCCTTTTATTTGCTGTGATTGAAACAGATCTGAGAAAAGACGAAGTTTTAACAGAGCATGATATGCATCGCTAATGAAAAACATGAAATCTACAAAACATTCACATGTCAAAACTATTTACTAGAGTCCTTTAAAATCAGCACTAAAACTCCGGGCCCAAACTGATAAGCAGTATTCTAAGTAGTCCTCAAGTTGTATATTGTTCTGACGTCAGCAGGTACAGTCCAAGGAATAATTCTTACCCCAATCATTTTGGCTGCAGTTTACCTTGAACAGTGTTGAGCAGGTTTAAGAAGGTTAAAGTCTGTGAACAGTGGTTAAATCACTAATCAAATTTTAGTAATCTCTTGATCAGAAGCGATCTTACTTTTTAGCTCACAGCTGAAGAGGTGTGGCCTCATTGGAGCCTCTATTTCTGAATTTGAAGCCCTCTATATCCTATCTAGCTCTTTCCTCTCTCAATTCTTTGTACTTTACAATTATTTTTACTCCTTTCTATGGTAAGCCAAATGTTGCTGCATAATAAAAAACACAAAATATTAGTGGCATACAATAATAATAAGCATTTATTTTTCACACATCTTCAGGGAGGCTAGGGTATTTCAGCTGGGCTTACTCACATGTCTGCAGATTGTTGAGGGGTCTGTTGAAGTAAGCTTGTCTAGGCAGAATAGCTTTAAGCTGTGAGGCTAGTTGACCCAGGTCTACTCCATATGGGTCCAATCTGGGGCTCATACTGCAGCCCATTCTGAAGCAGCAGCTCCCCAGGGGATGGTCTTCTTATGGCGATGGTAGAAACACAGGGGGTACACCTAACCACACAAACACATTGTATGTCCCTTCTTGCATTGCTTCTGCTGACATCCCATAGCCAAAGTAGATCATTTAGCTGATCCAAAAGTCAAGAGTGGGAGAAACTGCACGGTCACATGCTTTAAAATGTGAGAACTATGAGTGATGAAGTGGGCAAACAGTTCAACCTACCACAACCCCTTTCCCTGTAGGCTTGTTTTAGAGAAAAATATTAATTTTTCCAGACTCCTAAGAAAACAAATATGTGTATAAACCCAAGTGGGAGAAACAATGACATAAGTGACTTTCTCAGTGACTTTTTCCTGCTGATACATTGTCGTGGGATATAGAAGGTTTGTGTTGGCAAGGATGTTGGAATTTAGCCTAAGAATATTTTTAACTAAATTTTTTATTTGAGATTTTTTTTTTGGAGGGTGAGTTACAATGTTGCACGTGTCCCACATGTATACCTTAGTGAAATTTTCTTAAATCTGAATAACGTTCCAAACTCCTCTTTATGGATTGCTTTCTGAGACTTCAGAGAATCGTCATTTTAATTAGGATTTTAGAAGAGAGGGTAATTTAGCAGTAGAACAGGCCTTGGTAAATTTGCAGTGTTTGGGGCTTGGGGAAGGCAATACAAGAGTACCAAGTTTAGGGCATCAGAAGAGTGAAGGCTGTAGGTAAGTCAATTGTGCAAAAGAAACACAGTGAGCAATTTTGCCTGACAGAAATTTAATTAACTTAGCTACCATGACCATGTTTTTGATAACAAAAATTAAAGTGTTTCCTATAGCGGACCTTTATATTTAAAAATATTTGAAGATACTTTATGCATATCTTTTAAAAATGTGTGAGAATCACATTTTAGAAATCAAATCCAATTTAAGGGGCTTTAATTAAAATATCAAGGATGTTCATCCATTTCTGATTGATTTTGATTGGCATCAATTCTCATTGTGTTAGTTTTAAAGTTCTCTGAAACTCCTCTTCCCTGCCAAATAAACAAACACTGTATAAAGCAGCACTTTAAAACCACAGAAGGGAGCGGTTGCTGTTTAAAGGAGATATGAGAATCTTCTTTTCTCTCTATCAAGAGTCTCTGGCCATTGGGGGAAATAAATTAAGAGTGCATTACAAAAAGCAAGAATTTACATTTAAAACATGTATTAGAGAAAAAAATTAAGATATTCAAGAAATCTGCTTATTATAATTAAAATGAAAGTTTTAATTTTAGTCCAGTATATAAAACCCACAAAACTCAATTCTATGTCAATATGAGTTAAAGGAGAGAAGAATAAACAATAACAACTAAAACAGAGACAGATGAGGAAAGAAAGACCAAAAACAGAGTCAAGAACAGGAAAGGAAGCAGACACAGAAGAGATGAGAGTGGGGTACACTGAAAATGAGGAAGGAATAAAAAAATTAAAATGTGGCCATAGTTGAAGAGAAGAGAATCTATAAGGAATAGAGAAAGAGAGTAAAGAGAGTTTAAGGGTGTTAAGGACCTACCAGTGTCTAGAAAGTGATAAAGGTATTACTTCATATTAGATGCTGTAAAATAAACATGTATGTTTTCATTTCCAAGTAACAACTCAAATCTTAGTAAAAGAATAAATGACAAGTTAATGGGTTGGAAATAGATTAACACGTATATGATTAATTAAAATAAGCAAAAAAAAAAAGAATAAAGAACAGATGGGACAAATAGAAAATGATAGGTGTAAACACCAATGTAACAGCAACTAACTTAAATGTAAACAAACTCAAAACTTCAATTAGAAGACTGACTAGATTAAAAAATGAAACTCAAACTTGGAGTACTTACTAAAAACTGAAATTTAGTAAGGATGTAGAAAAATATAAAAGGATGGGGAAAAGATGTATCATGTTCACACTGACTGAATGCAAGCTGGTGATGACACACTGTTATCATGTGGAATAAATTTTAAGATAAGAAATAATATTAGGAACAAATAGAAATATTTATTAAACATATAGAAGCCAACCCATCAGGTCAATATAACTATTCTAAAGTTGTATGCCTCTAATAACATTCCTTCAAAATGTATAAAGCAAGAATTGACTGAATTAAAAGAAGAAACAGGAAAAGCCACATTCATCATGGAACATAAGCACATTTAAATTCATAAAATGAACATATGAAAATACAGCATGAATACAGAACATGTGAACAAGATTAACAACATTGACTTAATTGACATATATAGAACACTGAACCCAACAACAATAGATATGTGTTATTCTCAAGTGAACTTTTTAAAAACTTATCCTCTTCTGGGCCATTTAGCAAGTCTCAACCAATGTTAAGAATTAAGTCATTAGAATATATTATTTGACCAAGCTTAAAATCATTAATAATAAAAGATAAATAGAAAATTTTCAACTGCCTGACAATTACGCAAAATAATTCTAAATTGTATGTATGCCAAAAAAGAAACACAGTGAAACTTCAAAATATTTTGAGATAAAACATATGAAAATATGATACAACAAATGTAAAATCTTGGTAAATCTCACTTTACATAAATGGATAGCCTTGAATACATACATAAGAAAAGAAGAAATGCTAAAAAACAATGATTTAAGAACTCATCTCAAGAATGTTTTTTGAAAAAACATAAGACCAGGGCCGGGTATGGTGCCTCACGCCTGTAATCCCAGCACTTTGGGAGGCTGAGGCAGGTGGATCACAAGGTCAGGAGATCGAGACCATCCTAGCCAACATGGTGAAATCCTGTCTGTACTAAAAATGCAAAAAATTAGCTGGGCATGGTGGTGGGTGCCTTTTATCCCAGCTACTCTGGAGGCTGAGGCAGGAGAACTGCTTGAACCCAGGGGATGGAAGTTGCATCACGCCATTGCACTCCAGTCTGGACCACACACTAAAACTCTGTCTCAAAAAAAAAAAAAGAAAGAAAGAAAGAAAGAAAGAAAGAAAGAAAGAAAGAAAGAAAGAAAGAAAGAAAGAAAGAAAGAAAGGAAGAAAGAAAGAAAATATTTGCCAATCAAATCCAGTGATACATAAGAAGATAGTATAGCACAACCAATTTGAGTTATGGGATGCAAAAATAATTTAATATACTATACTACACTGATAGAATAAGGGAAAAAATCCTATGACTATTTTAATATACTATATAATAACATATTAAAGAGGAAAATTAGATGGTTATTTCAATATACATTCATGACAAAACTCAACTGTATATTGACAGCGGAAAAGAAATCCTGACCTTCACTTCATATCATACTCCAAAATCATTTCCACATAAATTGTAGACTCAAAAGCGAAAGGAAAAACAATATAGCAATCTCAAAGATGACACAGGAGAAAATCTTCATACCTTTGGGGTAGACAAATAAATCTAAGTCAGCCCAACAAAATGTACTAGCTATAAGAGAAAAGATAAACACATTTCACTTTGTTAAAAGCAGAGACTTCTAGAATGTCTTCATTAAATGTGATGCATGAAATATGTTATGAAGACACATGTATAAAAGATGTTTCCAAGAAGGCTCAAAACAAATAAATAAAATTAGGAAATTTTTATTTATGAATAGATACAAAAAGAACAAAATGGAAGCCACATTTTTATCAGCTTGTACTTCAAAATATGTAACTTATAAAATCAATAGAAAAATGACCCCATAGAAAATAGAAATATGGGCAAAAAATTCAACAGACACTTTCCAAAACAGGAAATGCATTTGACCAATGAAGTATGAAGAAAAAAAATCTACCAAAACCAGCCCTCGGCTTCTTTAGAGAAGTGAAAATAAAATCTACCATATACCACTACACACTCAACAGTAGAACAGTTAAAATTTTGAAGATTAAAAATATGAAAGTAATAGTAAATGTTTGTAATTCCCATATTCTGCCAGTGGGAGTGAAAGTTTTAAAAATTGTTTAGCAGTATCTATTAATGCTGAGCATACACATTAACAACCCAGGAATTCCACCTTGGATTTATATCCAACAGAAAGACATACTTATGAGAGCTAAATACATGTACAAGAATGTTCACAGCAGATTTATTCATAATACCCCCAAACCGAAAATAACCCAGAGGTCCATCCCCTTTAGAATGGATAAATAACTTGTGGTATTTTCATGCAATGAGAATGGACATATACTGACAGACTTTGCAAGATGAATCAGTCTCTTAAACACAAATCAGACACAACTTCCAGTCATAGAAATTCCAATCATAGGAAGTTCCAAAACAGCAAACTAATCAATGGTGATACATGTCAGGATAGTGATTATTATTATTGGGAGAGTAGTGAACAAGGAAGCAGGAGGGATTCCATAACTTCTCTTCTATTTCTTGATCTAGGTGGTTGGTTACAAGGCTGTGTTTATTTTGTGAAAAATCTGAATGTGATTCACTTTTCTGCATATTTATTATAATTCAATAAAACATTTACTTAAAAATTAAAACTGTTAAAGAAACCTGCATATTATTGCGTTATGAGAAGCACTAAAATATAAATTAAGAAATCACCCATCTTCACTTCTACCCACACACATTTACCACCCACAACGTAGTAAATCTAACAGCAGTGTTTAATATATGTGACAGTTTCTATGTATTGGGATAAAAGCATTCCATGAATTAGTACATTGCTTTCCTCAAGCTATCCTATGAATAAGTATCGTTATTATCCTCTTTATACCTATGGTCAAACTCAGGTTTAAAGCAACTATGTAATTTGTTCAAGGGACAAAGCCCAAGTTATGTTAATACACTTCTACCAACTTTGCTCAATGCTCAAGCTGATGGTTCTAACAAACTGTTCACAGTGAGAGCAATTGGCTAGGAGTGAAATATTGTGGAAGATAAAAATCCCTGGTCCTAAAAAGAGATGGAGAAAGGGGGATAAGTTTTGCTTCAGTTCTAATTGCATCTAGAGTCTTGGGCATAAAAACTACCATGTTTGGTGTTTCAAGTGTGAGATCAGAGGAAAATGGGCAAAATAATCAATTTGGTTTCCCCCGTTTATTTGCCTCCTGGGTTTTGCATACTGATGAGTACTGGAGGCAAAATTTAGTCTCTCTGAATAACTAAATCATATCTAAGATACACATCTGTCTGTTCTAGCACTCTATGGTTTTTCAATTCTCGGAAATGACATACATGTGAGAGATACTATAATGTTTTTCCTAAGCAAGAGAGGAAACAACCACTACGATGAGAATGTTGAAATTCAGTATTTTCTGTTTTCCCCTGTGGTGAAGAAATGATGTGCCTTGAATGGCAAAATAGTTTCAGGGCTGTGTTTTGTATGCTACCATAACCTCAAGATTCCAGGATTTGCACATGCTGATTCATACACATCTTTGCTAAGGATTCTGTAACAGTTGTATAGTCTTGGAACACATTCATAAGGTGATATCATGAAATAAGACTGATGAGAAAAAATGGCTGCCATTTCTTCAATAGAGTAAGTCCTTAATAACACAAGGGATTCCATAATCCCTGAAATATCATCTCATTGCAGGCCAAAATCTAATTTCCTTCCTATTTTCAAATTATAGACACTGATGAAATAAAATGAGCAAGAGAGTACAAGACAGAGAATTTAATTTACTTAGAATAAAACAGAATTAAAATAATCTCAACAATTTTAATCTACAAAAGTTCTCCAACAGTGTGGAAGGAGTTTGCCAAGAAAAATAATGTCATTTAGAACCAATTCACGTTTGACACCATTCTGGGAGCTCTTTCAAAGAAACAAATTTCCTTGAAAAAAATAAGGTTGGATTGAAGAAGAAAACATACTGAAATGATTAGGAGTTAGCATAGTCATTTTGAAGGCAGAAAATAAAATGGAAACATAGCATCCAGTGTTGACAAAATCGTAGCGTCCATCCTTGACAAAATATACAAAAGTCTAGGATTACTTTTTGGCATTTTCAAATCCTTACTATGACAGTAATTTTAAGGCTTGATATTTTAAAATGAAAAATAATTTTAAATTCTTAAACATAGATAATGCTAACGCTATTGCTGTTTATTACACAGAACTGAAAACCAAACTGAAACAGGTGTAGAATTCACCTTGTTAGAACTGAAGCTGAAGTTGTGATATTAAAAGAAATTGCAGAGTTTTTTTTAGAAGAAAGCATCAGATATTAAAACATGTTCCCAGTGACAAATAAGGCCCCACATCCACACTTGATGTTGAAAAGAAAAAAAAAAAAACTAATTCTGTGAAACTACTGAATGATTCACTTACATTATGATACGACTATGGTATAACTAGATAACTTTTTTTAGTTAAATGAGAACAATTGATTTTGAGAAACAGAGCAGCTTTTCAGGTTCTTCATAGACAGTACTTACCTCATTAGACTGATAAGAGGGTTAAATGAGATCATCCGTGTAAAGTGCTTAACACCTTGCAAGCCACATAGTAAGCACTAAATAAACTTTAAGTTCATTATTAAGGTTTTACTTGTTTCCTCATAGCAAGGATTTAAGAGCAAAGAAGTAAAACATACACACTAGTGTGTATTTAGCTGCTTTTAATATACTAATGCAATTCCATCGGGGAAAAATTCATGCTTTTATTTGATAGAATTGAATATGCTAGGGCCAAAATTAGACTCTAGGAAGTACATTGTTAAAGAACATGTTGTGTGATCAGTGAAGGAAGACATTTATTGAGAACCTACTATGTGAAGAATTTTCTTCCAGGTGCTGCTTTAGCAACTCAAAACTCAGAATCTGCAATTCATCACTTTTTAGAACATTATATAACTGAGAATTTTGAGACCCTCCGAGAAAATACATTTCTTCAATATTTTTTCTAACCACCACCACCATCACCTTTTATGATGGCTGAATTTAAGAAGGAAATTCTCATTTTAAACACTGTGCTTTTATAGTAACTTATCAAACAGTGTCCTTTAGCTGTTGTTCTGAGACAGCCACTCTATTAAAATCCTGATGTAAACAAGTGGGGAAGGTGAACTAGAAGTGCAGGTATTTGCACGGCATTACTGTCAGGTAAAATTTTAAAAATAGGTTTTATGAACCCATTATTTGCAGTCAAGGCTTTTGACTACAGCATCTGAAATCATTTAAGGAGACAAAATGTTTTGTCAAAACATACTGCTGGGAGTCAGTGTGTAGCGTCTTTTTATGTAATTCAATTTAGTTCTGTTGTTTGCATGAAAGAGAAATTCTAGCTGGGCAGCCACAGTGAGCCAGTAAAAAGTGACAATATGGTGAGTATCAGAGGCAATTAAAATTAAATGCTTTTTGTCTTCATTTTATTTCTTAATAAATGGGTAATTGTATTGTGGTGTACCTGGTGACAGGCTAAATTAGGAAGATACTGGGCATCTTCGCTAGCTTCTGTCTATCAAATTTAAATGCATAGTTGAATTCTGCATCACATGGAGGGAAATCCTAGGCAAGTTTTCTTTCCAAAATATTTTTCTGAGAAATTAGGTCGCCAAGATCTCAGGCGGAGCTATTTTGATAAAGTGGGGGGGGGCCTACTTTAGAAACAGCAAATAATGGGTTATGATAAAGAGGAACTTCTCTGAGTAAAAAAGTATATAGAGCCAAGTCTTAAAGAGCTGGTGCTAGTGGTAATGTTAAACATCATCAGTATAAATGATCTGGTAGATGAAGAACTCAGAATTCTCTGAGTTTGCAGTGAAAAATTCCTCTGTCTAGCATAGCATCCAATTTGAGAACAGATAATATCTCATGAATTAATACAAACGGAAAAAAGTATGAGGAAATGAGTAACTTTGATATTTGGATACCAATTTATTAAATAATTCATACAAGGCTTTATCAAATGCCTACTATATGGGAAACACTTTACAAGAATGTGTGAATAAATGCAAAATTAAATGTGAGATCCCTGCCTTCAAGCAATGTATAGTCTGGCAGAAAACAAAAACTCATAAATAAATTATTGTTAAGGGAAGGTTGAGGGATTAGAGTAACAGCATGAAAGTTTGCAGTGGGAACTCAAAAGTTTCTCAATCTATCTCAAAACGATTTTATGAATGACTTTTAAAAGGTGAGGACATGCTCACCACATCAAATCACAGCTATAGAAGACATTGCTTGCAAAGCTTTGTTCCAAGAAGAAGACATGGGAGGTAGACATGGAATTTGGGGAAGAAAAATAAGTAACATGGAAATGGGACTGGGGGAAACTACAGTGTTTGGGGTTGGGAATTTATTAGGGATAATGCAGGAGGTTATGACAAAGGCCAGATTAAGCTAAAAAGTTTGGCTTTCAATTCCTAAATAATGTGCAGCCATTGATTAAAGCAGAGGAGAAAAATCAGATTAGCATATTAGAAACATTATTCTGGCAATAAATAATGTAGAGTATTAATTAAAGCAAAATATGATCTAATACAGGAAAACCAGCTATAAACTACTGTAATTAGAGACAGAAAACCTACACTAAAAAAGTAGACAGTAGGTATAAAGAAGAAGACATAGGAAGGAGAGACATTTCAACACAGAATTTACAGCACTGGTGGAAGGTAATATTAAAGAGTTACATTGGTAGTGATTGCTAAGCTTGGGACCTCAGTGACCAAGGAGATGGTGCCATTTTTTTTTACCAAAATTGCATGAATAATAAAAATAGTAATAGCTAGCATGGAGAGCTTAGCCATATATTAACTCATTCAATTTTCATGACATCTAAGTAAAGTAGGCACAACTGGTATTAGTCTAAGTGTGAAAAAAAAATAAGAGTCTTGGACTGGTTAAGTAAATTGCCAAAAACTCTGTCAGGTAGTATGTGATAAAACCTGCACTCAAACTCAGAAATGCTTGATGAAAAGTAAATGATTTTAAGTATTATTATACATCTAAGAAAATGAAGAGGAGTTGTCTTTGACATACTGAGTTTGAGATGTCTGTTGAGATATTTTGTAGACAGGTGAATAGAAAGGGCCGGAGTTCTCAGCATGAGATTGGTAATTGAAGGCACAAGGTAATCACAGAGAACAAAAAGAAAAGAATCACAGGCAGAAGGCAATAATTGTATATTTAAAAGGCAGGCAGTAGATGAGGAGCACCTAAAGGTGTCTGAAAGATGTAAAGAGAATCAGCAGAAAGTGGAATCACAGAGGTCAATTCTATGTTACCCTGTGCTCACATCTATTTCCATGTTCCCAATTCCCACCAGTTGTTCAAAACTTAAGTCAAATGCTACCTCCCCCAGGAGGTCCTCTCTGATATTCTTATTCAAAATTAATCTTTTTCCTGGTCTCTTTACCCCTTGTTCTGTGTGTCTCACAATTTTCACCACTTTCTTTCCTTGTACTATGTTGATATATATGTATATTATTTCTATTCAGCCCATAGTTTTATTGAAGGCAGAATCAATGTTTCTCAGCTTTTATCTCCTCATAATATACATAGAAGATCAATGGCAATTTGTTGGGTGTATGGATTAATGGATAGTCTTGACAAAATGCTAATGAAATTTGGGGCATCAAGGAAAGTATTAGAGAAACAAAATAGCCAGAACCATGTTAGTTCCATATAATGAAACCATAATGCCTATACAACAAAACTCAATGGAAAATTTCTATTACAGTATTTCACACAGGATATTATTGGATCAGAAAATGTCTACAGGAGGAAAGATGGAGAATAGAAATACTTAAAGCTTTTTTCACCGTGAGTGATGTAGAGGCAGTAGAGAGTAGTTGATAATAACTCAGGATTTTGCATCAGAAAATCTTAATTTCAACTTTGCCATATGCCAACTTTCTAACTTTGGTCATTATTTAACTCTCTGAAGTTATCCTATTCTGCAAAATGGGGGTGAAAAGATGTAACATATAGAGATGTAGTAAGGACTAAATTAGGTAATATATGTCAAACACTTAGCATTATGCCTGACCCATTCAATAAACCTAGTCACATTGTTGTTACTGCTGCTGCTGCTGCTGCAGTTGTTGATAAATATTTAATAAGAAACAATTAGAATAAATACAAGAATGTTTTTACTTTATCCATCAGATAATAGGCTTCTACAATTCATTATCACTAATATGTGGTGTTAAAAGCAGGAAATAAAAAATGACTTTAGAAAAGACATGACTGATCATAATCCAGAGACTAAGTGGGTCTCATGGCCTTACTGAAATAGCAGACTATTCCAATTAATATAAACTTAACCCTAAAATTCTGGGCTATTAGGGCATCTGTTCCATTATTTAATAAATACTTTTGTGCAAGTGCTATGCTACTTGACTAATTGTATTTTTTAAATGGGAATGTAAATAAATAAATAAATAAATAAATAAATAGGGAGCAAATCTCCCATGCAGAAGAATTACAAATAATTTATGTAGATACTCCACCCTTAAGAAGGTGGATCATGACTCCCTACTACTTAAGTGCAGGCTGTGCATAGTGACTTTCTTCCAAAAAATATAGTGTGAAAAAAGAAGAGAGAAAAGGAGTAACCACAAAGTGGAGAAACCTGAGAAATGCTACCCCAGCCGTGTGATCAAGTTCACATCCACACTGATAAGTCATATTTATGGTGTGTGTCCTTGATATGATGTGAATGGCACTCTGCCTCTGTGGTCTTTCTCCCCAAAACTCAAAGGTCCATTCTAACCATGAGAAAAAACATTAAAAAATCTCAGCTGAGAGACATTCTAGAAAACACCTGACCAATAATCCTCAAAACTGTCAGGGTCACTAAAAAAAACAGAAAGTCTGAGAAACCATCACAACCAAGTGAAACCTAAGGAGACATGACGACTGAATGTAATGTTGAATCCTGGTCGGGACAGTAGAACAGAAAAAGGACCTTAGGCATAACTGAGGACACTGGAATAAAGTATGGACTTTAGTTCATAATATTGCATCAATATTGCTTCATTAGTTGTGACAAATGTACCATACTAATGTAGGAGTTCAATAACAGGAAAAACTCACTGTGGGGTGTATGGGAACTTGCTGTACTATTTCACATTATGTATATATTGAACTGTTCTAAATATATAAGTTTATTTTTAAAAAATTAAGGAAATCTGTATAAAATATGCACTTCAGTTAATAATAAAATGTCAATATTCATTTATTAAGCATCACAAATGTACCATGGTCATATAAGACGTTAATGATTTGGGAAACTGGGTATAAAGTGTATGAGAACTCTCTGCACTATCTTTGCAGTTTTCCTGTAAGTTTAAAACTTCCCTAAAATAAAGTTTATTTTTAAAAATACGAATGCAAGAAAAGCATTTTATTTAAAATGTTTTTCTTTTCATTTTTCTCAATTGCTATTTCAAAAGATATATCCTACTTGGAGATTTCAGATTTTGTGGCTTTTTATATCTCTACATTTTTTATACAGGTGGAGAAAATAAAAACATTAAATGATTCACATGCATATTCAAGGAAGTATTTTTATTTCCTGTTGTATAAATCTGTAAAACACTCCAGTTTATTCAAGTATATCACCACAACTGATTTGAAATAGAAACATCAGACATAAAGGAGATAGTCTTTCTACATAATTATAGGAAGGCCATTTTCTCTTTTACAATTTTTAGGTTCAACAAGACTGTCTGTATCAGATACCATAACATTGAGATGGGTGAATGACAATTTCAGTTTAGGATGCTGTGAACTGCAGCATTACCAAAGAAGTCACTTACTTTTTTCTCACTTCCATTTGCATGTTTACTACTGTACTTTGTAAATGGTTTAGCCTTGACATGAGAATTCAGAGGTGGGTTTTCTTCAGCTTTTTCATTTATTTATTTATTTATTTATTTATTTATTTATTTATTTATTTTTTGAGCAGAGAAGAATGTGAAGCCTATATACTTCCTTTGGACAAGAATTTCATTCCTCCATGTTACAAGCTGCCAATATAACCTTGGCATTGAAATTTGTCAGACTACAGTCTTTGCAAACTCTGTATCTCAGAGAAGTGTTTATTTCCTAAAAGAATATAAAAAAAAGAAAAACTGTTACCTAAGAAAAAATCATTCATAAACTATAGATAACAACATCAATTTGTGAAATTTTAACAATAATTTTAAATAGAATCTTATTTTCTCCACTTTCCTCAGTGCTCCAAATGTCCACACAATCAAATATGCTGGGTAAATCTTGGTTCCAATGGTCATTACTACTTATATGGCAGCCTTAGTATAGATGCTCCTAACTTCGCTTCTTTCCCCCAAAATGTCATTTTGTATAGCATTTGGCTCAGTTCAAGAATTAACTATCATGAAAAGGTACCAGAGAGAAAGAGGTAGGATGCCTTCAGAGTATCCATTTTCTCTTTCAATCAGATACCCATTTGGGGATTCTGCAGTTTCAGGGAAGCACATGTGATCCAGCCTAAGCCAACAAGAGTATTGCATCTCGTTGACCACAGTGATTGATTCAGGGGCACACATCAACTTAAACTGGTTCATTCAGAGCACTTCTCAAAACTTTCACAAAAAATACTGAGATCAAGACAGTCTTTCTCTTGTGGATTGTGAATAAGGAAGCATTTTTCTCTGATGTTGCTGGCATCCATCTAGGGAAAACAGAGCATTGATACTGAAGGAAATTGGGTTCTTGGTGACATCATTGAACCAACAAATCAAGCCTTCCCTGAAGCAAGTACTATTTCTAGTCTTTTTAATTATGTGAGCCAGTAAATTAATTTTATTGTTTCTACCAGTTTAGGTTAGGGTGATACTTGCAACCAATGGCATACTAAATAATACAACACTCTTGAATTTTTTAAGAAATGGTGTTAGTATACCTTAACTGTCAAGAACCCAGAGTCGGTAGCCAAACGAACTGGGTTCAAGTCTCCACTTTCTCATGTATTAACTGTCTAAACTAGGTTGCATTTACATCACCTTTATGAGTCAATTTCCCCATGTGAATAAAGGTGGTAATACAGATTGCTTCTTCATAGGATGATTGAGAGGTTTAAAGGAGTCAGTACACATAGAATACAGTACTTGACACAAAGTATGTGCTCAGTAAGTGTTTGCTATTATTAAATTCTAAGCTAATGCTGTTTGACAAAAATAAAACAGGTTTATTATATAGTCTGTGAGGTCTAAATTTACAGATGGTCTGATGTAGGAAATGGTTGGCATTAACAAATAATAGATATGACTTAACTTCATTCTCTAGAAAATCATGTAAGTAAATACAAAATAAACCAAACCCTCCGGAGATGTAATCCATTTCTACTCTTTAACTTACAAAATACTGCATTAACTATTTCAAAGTACGTGATTACATTTTAGATATTTATATATTAGGCAACTGTCTGAAGTACTGATTTTTAACAGCCTGGATGAATTAATTGTTATAGTTTCCAAGGAGTCTTAAGTTACATTGGTGTTCAAACTTGTTTGCATGATAGAAAGGACACTTGGTGATTATGATGTTGTTTTCAGAGCACCATAAAATAAAAATGTATTATACCCAAATAAATCATAATTTTGAAATTATTGAAAATAAGCTACAAGTGTAAACAACCAGTATCAGGCATTAAACATTTAAGAAAAATAAGCTGGAAAAAAATAAAAGTGACAAAATTCTAAGCACTAACTTAATTATTTTCTAGAAACTGGGAAACATTGCCTGTATTTTATTTCAGTGGCAAGACCCATTCAGCGCTGCTTAACACACACGCCAGGAACATAGTTTAAGAATAATGACAGAGACAAAACTGTGCACTTAATACAGTTCTTTGCACATAGAGGGCACATAATAGATGTTTTTGATTGGATGACTAGGAGAATCTAGTTTAACATTTATTCTTCATCTAACAACTGCAACTTGCAAAGTACCCACAGAGATGATGTACTTTCAAATATTACACATGGCCCACTGAGTACAATTGTAGTGGTGCCCTTTCATAATATCTTCCATTATAATCTTCTATCAATGCTGAATGAAATATTAAAGTGAAGTGTGCATGTGGTGATTAGCGATCTAGCCTTTCATTTCCTGAAGATTTGGGAGTGATTTGACTACTTCTACCAATCCAAAAGGGGGGATTAGATATTGCAGGCTGAAATAAATCACTGTACAATATTCTTGAGCATTTTCAACATGTCTTCCGAATAGGAACAAATCCAAATTACGTATTTGTAGAAGATAATATTTTCCTGATGTGGTACATTTAGATTTCTTAAATCCTGTGCTTAATATTATAAAAAAGCCTGTGAGCGACGAGTTCAGAATCTTCAGTGTGTTTATTGCTGACAGATGATGCTCAGCCTCATGGTAATTGTTGATGCACTAAAGTGTAACTGAGATAAGTTTCCAGTAAAATGTGCTGAAGTTTGCAGATTTAAAAATAAAATTACAGCATAACCTTTTGCATTTGTTGTTTTACATTACTATAGGAAACTGAAATCAGATCTACATGATTAAAAGATAATTGCTCTTTTATCAATATCGATAACAGAGTACAAATTTCATGTTCAAATTCCAAATTAAATTGTTTAACAACATACCCTAACACAGATAACTGACAGATATTTTACCAGCAGACAGGGTAACTATGAAGGCATGAGGAAGCAAAACATCTGTGGTTGAATTTGAAATCACTAACACCATAAATTAACTGAAAATCTTAAGTGTAACTGCCAATGGTTACCAAAATAGAGATTGTAGAAAGGTATTCATACCCAAAGACTCCTATACAGACACTCAACTATTAAATCTAAAATTAAGGCTAAAAGGCCAGGCGTGGTGTCTCACGCCTGTAATCCCAGCACTTTGGGAGGCCGAGGTGGGTGGATCATGAGGTCAGGAGATCGAGACCACCCTGGCTAACAAAGTGAAACCCCATCTCTACTAAAAATACAAAAAATTAGCCAGGCTTGGTAGCACTGGCTTGTAGTCCCAGCTACTTGGGAGGCTGAGGCAGGAGAATCGCTTGAACTTGGGAGATGGAGGTTGCAGTGAGCCAAGATCGGGCCACTGCACTCCAGCCTGGGCAACAGAGCAAGAGGCTGTCTCAAAATAAATAAATAAATAAAACTAAAATATTTATTTTATCTTTGATTGGTCTCTAATACGCAACAAAGTCAGTAACAAAACAAATTTGTATTTGTTTTTTAAATGATTGTGCTCAAGAATTACGTGGTGAAAGTACACAATGTTAAATGGCATCATGTCTCCAAGGTCACATTGGATGTAGATTTCATTTGACCTATTCAGTGAATGAACATGGAAGCATCTACTTATTGGGTGAAAATTATCTGTGTTAATTTTGAACTATTGAAAATGACAGTGATAGATAAAAAGAACTGTGTATTTGCTTAAGTGATTGATTCACTTAATCTTTACTGTACAATATGTAACATTATGCATGTGTCACTTATGAATTTAAAACAGTGCTTAAAGGTATTTAGAAGAATTGTTTAAATAACTTAATACAAGTAAAGTATTTAGAACGATAGTCCCCAGCCCTGAAAGTATATTAGAATCACTGGGAGCTTTTTAAAAACACTGATGCCTAGGCCCTACCCAAAATCAATTGAATCAGAATTTCTGAAGGTCATCTCTCATACCCAGTCAACAGCCTTCAAAGGCTCTACACTTTTACTTCATATCTCACTTTCCAGTGACTTCTAGTGTCCTTTTACTCTGGGCCTTCTGGAACTTATGGTTCATCATCAACAAAATCTCTTATCCTCAACTTCTTCTACTAAGCCCTTATAGCACTATTTGGTGAGTTAGAAAATGGTGCTTCTCCTTAAGACACTTTACTTCCAGCTGATGGAAAATTGCCAGACTAAATATACAAAGCTTCCAGTGAATTCCACACTATGTATGAAGCCTCCTTAGATGTGGCACTCCTATGCAGTACGAGCCCTTTCCTTTAAAGCTTCACGGAAGACTTACTCTGTAGAGGACTCTTTTTCACCTCGGCCCTTTTATGTTTTCTCCCCACCTCTGTCATACCTTCGAGCCTAAAGGTATAGTAAGTGCTTTCCATGATATTTATTACTTCTTTCTGACCAATCTCTCCTCTCTAAAAAGCCCAAATTTTGAATCTCCTATGAGACTATACCACTTACTACCAGTCCTTGTTGCTGTGTGTCACACATCATTCCTGGAAGATTTTCTGTGCCAGTTTTTCTCTGGCACTTTCTTACACTACTCCTGCAGTGATTTCAATGATCACATATCTTGATCATTCCAGAATTCAGAATTCCATTTCCCATGACATCTTTCTTTCCAGTGGTCTTGTCATCTACTTTTCCTTACTTCCTAGAATAAATTCTAGACTTTGTCATCACAGTAACTGCAACCTTCCTCACTGTGTCTTATTCCCTGAGATTCCCACCTCTCCTCCTTTTCCAGTTTAAATCCATGGTCAATTTTCATAATTACTCACTTGCATACACATTCAACCTCCTTGCCCCTCTCTTCCTTCATTGTACAACCATGTCAAAGGTTCACCCCTGGCCAAATAAAATATCCTCTTACCCTGTACTTGCACCCATACAGCCAAATGTGGTTGAAACAAAAAATACTATCACGGTAAGCATTTTTTGACAATTAACCTCAAGTGTAACCCTTTTTTGAGGCAGCGTCTCACTCTCTTGCTCAGGCTGGAGTAGAGTGGCATGACCACAGCTCACTGTGGCCTTGACCTCCCAGGCTTAAGTGATCCTCCCACCTCAGCCTTCTGACTAGCTAGGACTACAGGTGCGCGCCACCATGCCCGGTTAACTGTACCCTTAATGCTACCTGCAGTCATAACACATTCTCCTAATCAATTCATTTTTCCTACTCTAATAGATAACTAATACTTTCCTCTTGCTCCTTAAACCTTTAATTATTCCTCCTCCTTCTTCAACTTCAGCTTTTTAGTTCCCTAAGTGGACACAAGTAACAAAGGAGAACCATCCAAATCCCCATCAAAAAATGAATCAACTCAATTTTCATCTGTGCCTGCATATCTTGCCTAGTCTGAAAACTAAGGTCAACCCCATGATATGTGTCTCTTCTTGCTTATTCAAGGACATGTTCTAGCAATTTTCTCATTCCTGTCTTGTATCCTCTCAACCTTTCCCAGCAAAACATAAATTAGCTATAAAGTACATTTAATTTAAATTTGGACTATAGATTATATAATTACATCAATGTTAAATTTCCTAATTTTGGTCATTATATTATGGTTATGTAAAATAATGTCTTTGTTCTTATAAAATATGCAATGAAGTATTCAGAAAGGGGGACATGGTAGCTTTAACTAACATTCAATTTGCTCAGGAAAAAATGGAGAGAAAGAGAGGGAGGGAGAGAGAAAGAAAAGAGAAGGAGAACTAAAAAATTGGCGAATAAGAAAAGGGTATAGTATTAGGGGTCTCCAGAGAAACAGAACTAATATGATATATAGAGATATAAACAAAGAGATTTATTATGAAATATTGACTCACATGATTATGGAGGCTGAAAAGTCCTATGATGTACCATCTGCAGGCTAGAGGCCCAGGAACACCAATGGTTCACCTCCAGTCTAAAACTGAAGGCCTGAGATCAAGGGTAGTAAATAGTGTAAGTTTCATTCTGAGTCCAAAGGTAGCCAAGAACCAGGAGCACTGATGTTCAAGGGCAGGAGAAGATGGATGGCCTAGCTCAAGCAGAGAGTGCAAATTTGTTCTTCCTCTGCTATTTTGTTCATTTAGGCACTCAACAGATTGGATGGTACCCATCACATTATTGAGGGTGATCTTGTTTACTTAGTCTATTGATTCATATACTCATCTCTTCCAGAAATATCCTCATAGACACACCCAGAAATAAGGTTTTAGCAGGTATCTGGGCATCCCTTAGCCTAGTCAAGTTGACATATAATATTAACCATCCAAAGTATACGGAGTTTCTTGAACCATTCTTGTGATTGTTATATCAGTTTAAAATTATATGAAATAAGAAGATTTAAAATAAAGACTTTCCAAAATAAGCAAAAAATGCAAAAATCTCAAGAGATTACTTGACTTGTATTGCTTCATAACATTTGGCTATAATTATCTGCACAACACAATAGATTATATCACATTACTAAATGGATTGATACATATTTTAAACTCTTTTGAATGTGTTTCTGAGAACTGTCTGTTATCCAAATCTCCAAGTGGTTTGGAGAACAGAAATAGAAAATATCTAAAACTTCCTATCATATTTTTACCACTAGAACAAGAATATAAATTTCATAATTCTTAATGTTCACTTTCTTTAGATTATAATACAATAGAGGCTGACCTGCATGAACCTTTCAACAGCAAGAGTCAAGAAGCACATAAGGTGGCTAGTTTATATTGCAAGTATTCCAGATGTATTTTATTTGAGTCAAACACTGGTCCAAGAAATGGCCTTTTGATACTAAACCAAACCTTAATGTAGAGTTGTTTAAGGTATAAGGATTTCAGTAGGTGGGTTAGTAGGGAGGCTCCCTAAAATGTGGTACAAAGAAGAATAAATGCCCTGAAGTTCCTACATTATTTAATAAAACACCCCTCCATTTTGTGAATGTGTTCAGGAGGACCATAAGAATTACTTCAAGCATTTCTTGAAGTAATAATAATTTCAGAACTGACATATATTTGAAATTTGTAAATTTGTAAGGACTGCAACTTTGCCATCTCTATATCAAAATACTAATAAAAGCCTTGTTATGCCTTATGTTTTATTCCATTCAAGCTTGATTTTTGCTAAGGTCTACCAATAGTGCATTTTTACACAATTTTGACAATGAGGAAGTTCAGGTATGACAAATCAATGGTAAGTACATCCCACCTACCTTGTCCTCACTGATGAAAGACATTGCCCAGAATTCACAGCACTCTCTGGACCCAGCCTCACAACCCTTCCCAGCAGAGGACTCTAGACAGCCAGCCATCATGAGCTGCTATCTACTTACCCTCTTAAGAGTGGGTGAAAATCTGCTCTTATGAAAAGTTACTTAGTAAGATTAGTTGAACTATATTGGTAGAATTAAAGTAATCCTTTGCCAGTTTTCTGGACCAAAACTAAGAGAAGATGAGCATCTCTCTGTAGAATTTGTCATTGTAAAAGAGTAATTACTGATATTCCAAAGGAGCATGCTCAGGACAGGTTCAAGCCTAGAAGAGATCTCAAATCTCATCAAGTGCAACCTCCTTATTTCCAAATAAGGAAAACTGAAGACTAGAGAAGTGAAGTAACTTACAGAATGAAACACACAGGCATAGGGAGATAGAATACAGGATTCTTCCCTTTTTTGACTCCCAGCCTAGTATTTTAGCCCTTACAGAGTACAGCCTCTGATTTAAAAAAATAATAAAAGTGAAATAAAATAAACACATTGTTTATTCTTCCTGATGTGTGTGAGAGAGAGAGCGAGGGAAAGGGTAAGGTAGAGGGAGGGAAAGGGAGGGGAGGAGAGAAGGAAAACGGGAAGGGAGGAAGTGGGGGAGAAAGGAGAAAAGGAGAGACAAGAAACAAAAGAGGAACAAAAGAGGAACAAAAGAAAAGAGGAAGAAATAGAAATTATTTACTTGGTTCTTTGTTTGATGTATTCAACTATCCACCTATCAGGTGAATTCACATTGGTAGGACTCAATCATTTAAAAAGAACAGGAAAAGGGAGTAAAATCTATAGTTAATAATATACCCAATCCTCTTGACCTGTAAAGTTTCCTTAGCTAAGGAGTAACAACCCCGAATGTCATAGGAGGTGGTAACTGCATTTGAGTAATGCTTAAGATCTAATGTAATTCTCCTCTGTAGAACAGTGGAAAGAGTTAAAATATAGACATTTCAAGATAAGTTTCTCTCTCAAGCAGACTCAAAAAGTCAGAAGATTTGAAAGCTATTAGGACTATGATAGATGATCCTCTTTCAGACACCTTTCTTTTTCACTGACAAGTTGCTGTTAAAAATTAAAGTAAAAAGAAGCCTCCTTTTTTGCTGCACATTTTTAATGGACCTGAAGCCAAAATAAGTCAGACTAAATTATGGGAGTAAATGACCTCCCGGGAAGTATTATACCAAATTCCAAAGTACTGTAAAGACTTTCCTTTGATCTTTTTAGCTTCACAGCCTGAAATTCAAAATCTGTATTTAATTTTAGATTGCACGTACCAGCTTTTAAATTTTCTTTCCAAAATGATATATCATTTTAAATGATAGAACACCTTTAACTTGTATTACTTAAAACTGCTGACCGTCACTGCTTTATTCTTTTACTCTATAAAAACAGATATAGATATAATTAATTGCTAGAAGTATTTGGGGTTCGGTGCTATAATGGATAAACCACTGACCTTCGCTTAAGAGACAGCACTTTAAACTCAACCTTAGTTCCTACATGATATGACTGATCCAAAATGAAGTTTTTAGTTCACACCTGAGGAAGACACTGAATACAGAAAAAAGAATGCTAGAAAGAGATAAATCTTTCTAATTCCTGCTTTTAGGACTATTTTTGGGTAACTGCATCTTATCCTTAATACATCTTTTAGCAGATTGCAAACAGGTGCACTCATTTTCAACACAGACCTTTCTGTAGCTCCACAGATGCCTTAATTGAGCAGCGTTTCAACAATAATGCACGTCCATTAACACCTGTAAATCATTCTGTATTCTTAAACAGAAACATCGCACTCTGATAGAGAGAATCTCTTATACTTTTCCTGTACATGCTGACTGCAAATGTCTTTATTACCTCCTTTGTGGAGATTAGCATGACATCTGCTAAGCTTGAGAAAAAGAAAAAAGAGTATACAGTAATAGTTTGATTTCATAACTAAGGCTTGTTAAGCTAAGGACAGAATTTAAGTGTCATCCATTAATTTAAGTTCAAGCCTGATGGGTTTGGTAGAGGTTAACAACAACAGCAAGCAATAAAGTCAATATGTACCACCCAAAAACAAACAAACGAAAAATTTTCTTTCAGGTCATGGAGTGTGCTGGATACATGAGGACTGATCTTGTGAAATTTACTTTTATTGTCACTGCTCTAAAGTACTCACAGGGCTTTGATCTGAGTTTTACTAGCATTGCCCATGGTTTTCTGATACTATCCTGCTGGAAACTATACTTTTGACCCAAAAGATAGTGCATCTTACCCATAATTACCAACACTATTTTCCTTTTTTTGTTAGTCTTCTAGGTTTCAATGTGACTTTAGGGAAATTACATTGTCTTTCTATGACTGTTACCATGAATCTTAAGAGTAAATTTGTTCTGCACACTTCATATGTAGGGCTTAAAGTAAGATGAGTAAGGCAGTTTAGTGCACAAAATTTAAGGAGACACTCACTCCCAGGATTATACAAGTGCAGGGACTGACAATTATACAACTTTGAGAGTGAGAACTTCCATACTTAGCACAAACTCAGAATTGAGTGCATCACTTACCCCATTCAAAAATGTTCGTTGAACACCAGCTATGGAGCAGGAAAGGGCTGGTTTTCTGATTTAGTTTATTCCAAATTTTTTATCTTCCTGAGTTGAAGTATAAAAGCTGGACAAAACACACACACACAGAGGGAGAGAAAGAGACAGAGAGAATGCACTACTTGAGAGCACTGGAAAATAACAAAGGTAATAGGGATTTGAGAAGCCTATTAACTGAGAAAAATGGAAATTCATAGGGAAATTTCCTAACATTTACTAATACATTTTCTTCTTAAGACATTCACTGCTGTGCACAGTGGCTCACACCTGTAATCCTAGCACTTTTAGAGATTGAGGCGGGTGGATCACGAGGTCAGGAGTTTGAAACCAGCCTGACCAACATGGTGAAACCCTGTCTCCACTCAAAATTCAAAAATTAGCCAGGCATGGTGGCGCACACCTGCAATCCCAGCTACTCGGGAGGCTGAGGCAAGAGAATCACTTGAACTCAGCAGGTGGAGGTTGTAGTGAGCCAAGATCGCGCCACTGCACTCCAGCCTGGGCAAGAGAGCGAGACTCCATCTCAAACAACAACAAAAAAAGAGAAACATTCACAATTCACATCAAGGAGAATGGAGGCCAATGATACTTTTATTAGTAGATATAAATATAATATGATAAAAACATGGAGAATTCCATCATAGATTATAAAATCATAATAAGGTAAAAAATAGAAATTGTAAAACAAAAAATACAACTAAAATTAAGAAATCAATATATGGATATAACAGCCAATTAGTCACAGCAATAGAAATAAGAAAATTCAGAATGAAGCACTAAAGGAAAAAAGGATGAGACAGATGTAAAAGAACATAAGAGGCATTAAGTCATGGATAAAAGGCCTGAATATACGCAGCTAGAGTCTAAGGAGGAGAAAAGCAATAGAGGAGTAGAAGTCATATTTCAAGAAAAACTGGGTAAAAAATTACCCAAACAGATACAAGAAGATCTACTAACTCTAAGAAGAATAATTACAAAGAAAATCACACCTGGTAACATCATGTTAAAACTTAAGAATGAAGGACAACAAGAAATTATTAAAGTAGGTGAGAGAAAAAGCCATTATCTGCAAAGGAACAGTAATAAAAATATTTGACTTTTCAACACAAACAATAAAATCCAGCAGAGAAGAAATGACATCTTAATTTAAAACATCAAAATAGAATTGCTGCCAATCTACAATTACTTATTCTGTACTTGTCTAATAATTGAGCTGCTCAAAAAATTACTTTGGCTGGAAACTCATTTTCATGTTTTATATGTGTGAAGAAATTCTCGTTTGAGGAGATATTTCATTTTAAATTTCCTAATTTTTCTTACTGCTGCTTTGTTGTAACTTGTGAGTATTGTGATGAAGGCTTAGTCTTGTAATGCCCATGTACACAGTGTTCTTTTAGCACAGCTACTGTGTCACTGCTATAAGCCACAATGTTTTGCCATCTAATTAGATTTTAAAATAATAGTCCACACTTCACTGTGCATTAAAAGCATGACGTTCAAAGTCCACCTTTCTCTTTTTTTTTTCTTTTGCCATGGTGGCTAAAGAATTTAAATGCTTTAAAAAATTGTTTTGATGTTGCACTATGGCAACATGTGTGGCACCTGAAACCCTGTTGAGTTAAAACTCTATCACTACAATTTATAGTACACCAAGCAGCAGTGCAGTGATGAGAGCACCGTATATGGTCTCCATGGCAATGACTGACTCTACTATTGCACTGGGAAAACAGCCATAGAAAATACATAGTAAGTGAGCATGGCCTTTTTTTTTTTAAATTAAACTTTATTTATGGACAGCGGAATTTAAATTCTATATTATTTTTATATATCTTAAAACATTGTCTCTTTTGATTGTTTTTCAGCCATTCACAAACTAAAACCAATCTCAGCTCACTCATGTGTCATAAATAAACAAAACAAAACTAACAAGAAAAAAACATGTAGTGGGACTACCAGTTTAGAGTGATGATATGTGGAGTGATAGCTCTCAAGCTAACTCACAATCTTTAAACTTTTAAAATGCAGAAAGTTGGAGATTCAAAATGGGACTATCCATTATTTCATGAATTAATAGCATTTTATATTTCAAGGATCATCTGGAATGTGTAACCTGTGAGGCATATTTGATGTCATTAGCCAATGTGAAAAAAGGGTTTTCTCACCTAAAAATAAAGTGTAAAAGAAAACTTCCATTGTTTTTCCTACTTTTTTTGTACTTTTGACAAAATGAGCATATGGGAGGGGCATAAATTAATAGACCTTTTCTCCATTTAAATATGATGAGGATGCATATACTACATGGATCTTGTAAATGGATTTATAAAAATTTCACACACATTTATAGATGACTTATTTTGCCAGATTTTTATCGCATTAAAGATAAAATGCTTGGTATTATGAAACAGCTACTTGAATTTCTGTGTTTCTTTCCTAATGCTGTCTTGGAATTCTTTTTTCTTATACTATTTTCTTTAACAGACATTCTGTGTTTTAGCTTTGGGGCTTAATATAAAAAATCTATTAAAATGAGCAGTGTTCAATGATACACTGCAATATATCACTGCAAGCAGTGTATCATTGAACTGTTATGGGATCTTCCTAATCTGGTTCTGAACTACTGGGATTATTCTCGGCAGGAAAAAAAACAGTAAATATGATTTAACAGAAAGAAAGAGGAGGAGAAAGGGCAAGAGGGAAGAAGAGTAGAAGGAAGAATAGAGAGAAGGAGGGGAGGGGAAAAAGAGAAGGAAAGGCTGAGAGAGAAAGAGAAAGGAAGAAAAGAAGGAAGGAAGGATAAAAAGAAGAAGGGAAAAAGGAAGAAGGAAACAAACTTTTATTGAAAGACAGGAAACTGAAAATCTTATTAAACATCTATTATGCGAATAATGTACACTACCCATAGCACCTCTTTCTGGTCTTCCCTGCTTCTGACTGACCAGATTCACTTCACCATCTTCCATTAATATAGATATTTTGACCTACCTTTGCCTATGTCTCTCTCATGTTCCATCATAGTTATTTTCTGAATGCTTGTCTATGTAATACAGGGCATTATGTATTACATATACGTATGTAATACATATGTAATACATACATAATATACAGGGCATATTGGATAGATGAGACCTCGAACTCAACAGGTCTACAGATAAAGCCGTCTTCACATTTTAAACTATTACTTCTATACCATCCAATCAATTGGCAGCCAGATCACTCTTTTTTTCTCCCAGCTTTATTGAAGTATAATTGGTATACCAAAAAATACATATATTTAATATGTATACTTAATTAATATACACAAATTGATGAGTTTGGATATATGTTAACATTTGTATTACCATCACCACAATGAAGGTAATAAATGTATCCATCATCCCCAAAAGTTTCCTTGAGTTCCCTGTTTTTTGGTTTGTTTTTTTGTGGCAAGAGCAGATCACTTACAGTTGTCCAAAGTCAAAATCTGGAAGTCCTCTTTTAGCCTTTGCTATCCTAATTTTATCAAATTTGCTATTATTGAATAATTTTTTCTTCTACATTTCTTATAGACTTGTCCTTTTATCTCCATCTTTGTTCCCATGCTTTCATCATATTCTCACTGTCAATTATATCAGCTCCTCGGCTGGCCTTTCAACTTTACCGCTGTGGTAGCCAGTGTGTAAGTTGGCCCCTAATGATCTTCAACTGGCATTCACACCCTTGTATAGTTCTCTTCCACATGTTATGAGTTGGTCTTGTGACCAGCAAAATATGGGAGAAGTTAGGTATATAACTTCCACTTTTACATTGTGAAAAGACTTCAGCTTCCATCTTGGTTTTTTGCTCTCTCTTTCCTTCTATAAGATCACTCACTCTTGGATGACTGGCTCTGGTGAAAACCAGTTGCCATACTGGAAAAACTTTCAGGCAGTCTCTGTAGACATCTAAGTGGCAAGGAATGGAGGCCTCTGGCCAACAACAGCCAGTGAGATACTAAGGCCTGTCCACAAATACGTGACTGAGCTTAGAAGTGGATTTTTCCTAGCAAGCCTACAGCCCTGGCTGACTGCAGCCTGTAGCTTGACTATAGCTTTGTGAAATAATCTGAGCTACAACCTTCAGAAACTGTGATATAATAAATGTATGTTGTTCTAATCTGCTAAATTTGTTACACAACAATACATAACTAATACAACATCCATATGGCAGCCATTTACTCATATTATTATCCTACTTATAGATCTCCAAAGACTTATCATTACCTGTCACTTCAAGTCCAGATTTCTCTGAGTATATTACAGACCTCATATTATCTGACACCACCCTATTTAACATAAGACCTGTGAATAATTACAACTTCTGTGAATCTAAGTGCCTTTCCCATTGTTATCCTTTGCTTATATGGCTCCACCCTCCTGAACATCTTCTTTTTTTTTTAATCTCTCTTTATCCAATATATTCAAGTACCAGGTCATGAGTAATTACGTTCACAAAACCTATTCCAATGGCTCTGTCCCATGCACTGAGTCTTTCCATAGGTTTGACTCAATTTTGCTAGAATTATTTCATATAAGTTGGTTCACCAGAGTTCATTTCCCTAAATCCATTCTCCAACCTCCACCACCTTCACAATGTTTATCTCATCTCACCCAGTTTCCAGAAAACCACTAATTAATTGGATATTTAATCCTGCCATCATTCATCCTTGTAAGGCATTTTCCCCAACAATGTTAAATCACAGTGTCATTTTGAAACCAATGCTTGTTTCAATGATCCTGATGCTGCTGTTATTATTGTCTCATCTAATTGTTCAAATGCTTAAAAATGTTATTAATATCTTATAATGAAGGAAAGTAGTCAGTAGATTAAAAGCACACCAGTGGAAGTCTGCACAAGATACAGTCTAGTGGCCTTCTTAACAACACAGGCAATTTGAAATAATGACAAGAGGAAAATACTTTAAAAGAGACGCTGATAGATATATTTACGTTTTAATACTTAATTCATGTAAAATCTAGAAGAAAAGTTAAAAAGAATCAGGAAATCCAATAAGATAACTGTATTGAAGTGACTAGATGATATTATCTGAATCCTACGAAGTTCTTTCACTGAAATTAGTAGACATTCACTGCATTAAAATAGTCCATTGCCATTGAATCAATTTTTTTTCTTTTTAACCCACACTACAGTGTCTAAGTGGGGGGGGGTCCTTGGGATTATGTAGCAGAAAGGCAACTGCAGGTTCTTTTTTATGGAACTGCTTTGTTTATTTGGGGTTGGTTTTTTTGGGTCAGGGTTACAATCTTTTTATCTGCTTCATCCAACAGTGCGATATCATATTTGTACTCCTATATATTTGTATATTGAAGCTAGGAAATCCCAAAATAATTTTAAAAAGGAAGAGGTTTGTATCTCTCTGAGTTTGTAGAAGGACTCTTGGAAGTGAATTAAAAAATGTCTACAAAACAAATGAAACCTGGAGCAAAATAAATTTAGCTCTAAAATCTGGTCCAAACTATTCTGTCTTAAAATAATTTATTAGATAAAGAAATCTACCAGAGAACAATGATTTGAGACTTTTGAGACCTAGCTAAGGTTTTTTCCCACCAATCCTTTGTAAATAAAATTATATTAAAGGAAGATCCATTTTAAGATAACTATCAATGTGTCTTTATTCCAAATAGAAATAACCAATGTCATTATACAGGGAAGTATTTTCTAAATCCATAAAGAGTTTTGAAATTCTAAATAAACAAATAACTGGAAATTCCAGATGAATTTAGGAAAAACTAGAAGCAACTAAGAAATCTCAGAACCAATGTGAAATGTCACCTTTTCAAAGTGAAATGTTTTATTCGGATGCTGGAAGATTTCATGCTCAATGGTCAGGCAGGGATGCTTTTGGTGAAATGAAAGTCCAAGGAGACAAAATAGACTTAGGATTGGTTTTATAAAGGCTAGATGTTTGCTGGAAAGGCTCATTTGCTCTTCATTTATTAATTAAAAAAATTATAAAGAGCCAATAATCTCCCCAACACACACAATCATCCAGGCACTCATACACACACACACACACACACACACACACACACACACACACACACACAGAGAGAGAGAGAGCAAGAGAGAGAGAAAAAATATATTTTTTTAAATGGCAAAAACCATAGTTACCTTTGTACCAACCTAATACATATGTAAAATCTCACAGTAGTACACTCAAGGTATGAGTAAGGTACCACAGGTGCACAGAGGGCCTAGTATTTAACCCAATCTGAAGACATGGAAGGAAGAAGAATGGAAGCCTGATTAAGAAAATAAAAAAAAAATTGAGCTGAGTAATGAGGAATGAGTAAGAATTTCCCAGGTAGGCAAGAGGCAAGGAATGCACTGAAGCAAGCAATAGCATGGTTCCTCCCAGGGAATGAAAGTAATTATTCTAGACTAGGGCACAGAATGCCAATGTGGATAATGCAAGGGATAGGGCTGGAGGGACAGCCCAGGGGCTAATCATCAAGGGAAGCATTTCCCCTATTGAGACTTCTAAACCTAAGAGTGATGGAGAGCCTCTAAAGAATTTTAACAGGGGGAGCAATGGGGTTTGCACTGTGAAAATGCAACTCTAGCTGCGAAGATAAATTGGAGTGGGGGTGGCCTATGAAAACAGATTAGAGAAGTAAATATAATCCTAGTAAGAAATTACAAAGTCCTGACCTGATGCAGTAGAATGGTGAAAGGGACAGATTTGAATTAGAAACTTTTTAAGGAGGTGTAGTGGCACTTGTGACAAATTAGATATATAGACTTAGTAATTCTAGGATAACTCCCACATTTCTGAATTGGGTTCCCAGGTAAATGTTACTATTCTGAACCAGATCATGGTTGACAGAGACAAGGAGCCAGCAGCGCACTGTTATTTCGATCTGATTATGGTACAATTTGGTGAAAATAGCCAGTAGACAATCAGATATTTAGCTCAGACTGGCAAGAAAGAGGCCTCAGTTCAAGCTATAGGTTTGAGTGACACCAACATAGCTAATAGTTAGATAAGATGTCCAAAGGACACTTACTATAACATAGTTGACATTTTTAAATCAACAGGGATAATTTTTCAAACTCTACATATCCAGGTCTCTATGCTAGGCACTTTCATATATCCTCCAGGAACTATCATAGAGCCTTCAGACAGAAATGATACTTGAGATGGAATTGATCATTTGACCAAATGACTGAGCTGACTGGGCTGGAGATGGGGGCACTGATAAAGATAGAATTTGGTCAATAATAGATCATGACAAGTTTCAGTGGAGGGATAGGAAGAAGGGAAGAAAGTCTGTAGTGCATTAGGAGCAAGGTGAATGTAGGGAGTGCATTGAGAGTGAGGAGAAAGGAGGAGGTGGAAATCATCACTATTTCAAGAAGTTTAGTTGTGGAGGGAAGGAGAGAAATAAGTTGGTAGACAGGGTACTGAGAAGAACATATATTTGAAAATGTTTATAGGCTGAGAAATGGAAACTGCTAACAAAGTTTTTAACCTACATTAATTATTGACTGTTGAAGTAATCAACCAAATAGAGAAAAGAGTCGTTTTCAGGAATTGTCAGTGTAGCTACTCAATTGCCCAATGGCCAATCACTACCCAAGTTTATTATTTGGTTGGCATCCTTTGAATATTGCCTGTTGATTTACTTTCAAGATGAACTGTACAACTGGAAATTTTCACATACATTTTGGAAGGGAAGGATTTTACCAATTCTGTGTTTATTCAAAATATTCACTATAATTTAATTAATTTTTACTAGATGTTCATCTCTCTCAAACAGCTAGTGGTCCAACCATATACTCCTCATTAAATTGTTGGAGGTAGGGAGGTGGTGAAAAGATGGCAAAATAATTTATTCTCAGATTGCAAACAGCAACAAAAGAATCTGTTATTTTGCCCCAGGGACGAGAGAAGGAAGAAGAAGAGAAAGAAGGAAAGAAGCAGGAGAGTAGAGACATAAAGAGACTTTTTTCCCAAGCCGTATAGTTTTTCTAATGTCTAGAAATAAACAAATTCAATAAAAAGAAACCCCTAAAACATTAGTTGTTCACATCTGAGACCTATTTTTTGCTTTGGAAAAGGAAAGACCCTAATTTCTGAAAATTACATTCCAAAGTTCCAAAGAATAAGTTCCTAAAGCCAAATATCTTTACATAAGTAAATAATTGTTAAATAAATTTATAAAAGAATATGGACATTTCAAATTTTAAAGCTGATTTTAAAGTTGGTGAAATCAAGAAAAATATATTAAAAATTGGTTTCAGTTTTCACTTTCTAGGAATCCTGTTAGGATTTCTGAAACAAAGCTTTGATCTAGCTGTATGAGAGTATTTACATATTCTTTACACAATGTTTGTGATACCAGATACCTGTGAACAAATGGGAAGTGTTTAATATTTTACATTGTTTGCCTTTAATTGAAGGGAAAACAAATCATCAAGTATGACAAAGTAAAGGGGAAAAAAAGGATCAGGGTGCAACGAAAGATGTCCTAATCCCTTCCACAGGTGCACTTATTGAATTGTCTGTGTGAGCATCTACCCACATGTTTTGATAATTCAGGGCTCTGGTGGTACCTTGTTGCATGAATGTATCATCTGTGTTTTCCATTAGCATTAATGGGGGTTACATAGGCAAAGGAAGAAAAGAACAGACTCCAGAATCTGTCCAGGATTAATAACAACGGTGCTGTTCAATCTGGTGATGTCTTCCTTGGAAAGCAACCTATATTATCCATTTAGTTTAACAAACTAGACTCCACACACCAAAAAGGTAAGGATTCAATCAATCTAAATAATACAGAGAGTTAAAAACAGGCTTGCAAAGTGGAGCTAAATGTTCTTCAAGATCCAGTTGTCACAGACCTTGTCAACAGTTTAGGCTTCTGTCACAACATTATAGGTACTAAATGGAACCCTTTCTAGGTTCTGAGGCACTGAGTATCATCTGCATTCACCAATTAATACTCCTTACTAGTGTTTTGGCTGCTTTTTTCCTTAGGGGATGGGAGGGTAGGCAGAGAAAAGGATGTGCATTCGGCCCATGGTAACTTCAATTAGTTGCCCACCAAAGATTTTATCCTAGTAGCAAAACCAGGAGGAAAAAAAATCTTTTAAATTAATTTGAAGATGCCTACATTTCTAGAATGGCATTGCTTTAACAGGGCTATGCAAATGAGTCCAATTTAGCATCTTGTATTCAGCTGGAAACCATTGCTAAATGATCAGGATAGCCAGTCACAGATATTAAAATGAATTATATCTAATCTGAATTTTAGTCACGCTACATTAACTAATAGAAAGTTATTAACATTTCAAGAGAAAAAAAGCTTTTGGCTGCAAAATTAACAGTGGCTGAGATGTGACCTGTGAGCCATGAAGCCTGATCACTGTAATGACAGTGTAATGGCATATTTACATTAAAATCTCTGCAGCTAATATGGGATTCAGAATTGGACGGTAAGTCGAGGATTATTTAGTCTGGCCTGTTGGCCTTTCTCTAAGTAGTTTTTTTTTTTTTTTTACTTCAATACAAATCTGAAACTTTTTATTTCATGACTATTTATGTGACCAGTTTCTACAGCTCAGTCTCTCCATCTTTATATGACTCGTGTTCTCTTTCATTTTCTTACTACTTTTTCAGAATATTTCTTTCTGTGTATCTGTTTTTCTCTCTTTCTCTCCCTCTCTCTTTTTTCTTCTTTTCTCCCTTTGGCTTGATGAACTTTAGGAAACCAGCGCTCAAATGCAAACCAGTAAAGAGAAAGAAAGCAGTTCCTTAATCATTTTTACAACTATTTGGCTCCAAAAATCAGACCATTTTGATGTTTTTCATTTCCACTTTTAAAATTCACATTAGAAGATGCTGCTTTGCAACGAACACTAATTTGAAATGAGTAACAATGTAGCTATTCTTATTAATCTCGAGAAATGTGGGAGGTGTTCCCGTTCTCAGACTGTATTTCCTAAAGTTAGTTTAGAAGTTGAAGATTCGACAATATTATTTGCAAAATCTACAGCACTCATTTACCTTGGAGATTCAGGTCATTGCTGTTGTTTCCTTTCTCTTTCTTTTTTTTTTTCTTTTAACTACAGATAGAGAATAAAAATACAAATAATAGGAATAACAAAATAATAGGAAAGCTAAAACCGAACTTTAATTTTATAATTTTATAGGTGTTTGCAGTTGAAAGAATCTTTTTTAAAAAAAAAAACAAATCATCTAGAGAATGGCATAGAAATCTAGACAGCAGACAGCTAAGTTTATAAGTTCTCAAATATGTCACTTGTAGACTAGTCTATTTTCTTAACCTGTTAAAATTTGCAAATATTGGACTTTAAACAGAACTTTGATAATGAAATTCAATGGAGATGCATTCGTCTTTTTTGTTGCCCAGGCTGGAGTGCAATGGCACGATCTTGGCTCACTGCAACCTCTGTCTCCCAGGTTCAAGTGATTCTCTTGCCTCAGCCGACTGAGTAGCTGGGATTACAGGCATGTGCCAACATGCTCGGCTAATTTTGTATTTTTAATAGAGATGGGGTTTCTCCATGTTGATCAGGCTAGTCTCGATCTCCTGACCTCCTGATCTGCCCGCCTCGGTCTCCCAAATTGCTGGGACTACAGGCATGAGCCACAGCATCTGCCTGCATTCATCTTTTTTGAAAGGAAAGAATAAAAGACAAATAATGAGTTCTTTTAATGCCATTTATGTTTGACACATATTTTGCCACAATTGTGTTTCAAAGATTAATTCAATCCATTCTTCTCTAATCATAACAACAAATAAAGCAAATACATATTTCTAAATTGTAACTTCTAACCATTTAGCATTTTATTGCCTTTTACATTCTTAAAGAGAGTGTTAAATTTCTATTTGTGTTTCTTGGATTTATTTTTAAAGTCTTTTAAAAGAGGACTTTATCTGAAAGCAAATTATCCATTTACACTATGAATCTGTGCAAAAATGTATTTCAGCACAGACATGTGTCAATCACAAAGGACATCATGATAAAAATGCTACCTCAGTTCCATTTCCTAATTAGAAGAAGAGTATTAATATGTTGACACTGGTTTGACTGACATGATTCTCTGCTAAATGCCTGCTAGGCTCATATTTATAATAAATACAGGTAGATGCATTTGCAGTAAAACCAAAGCTTCATTCCGTTTCTTGGATTTTTATTAAAATACAGGCATATCATAAATATTGATTGAAGAAATAACTAGAAATTTGATCTGATGTAATATGATGCAAATTAAGTTTAAACAGTTTGAACTTTGATATTTCTAAATGCATTGCTATATTTTGAATATTTTTATAAGAGATGAAAGTGCTAGGCTAAAAGTAACTCACAAATAGTGTCTACTTTTTCTTCTGAAACTCATCTCTCCCTTTTCACTATTGACAAAAGATATTTATTCTGTATGTTTATAGAGAATATACAGACCTACCCAGCTTTGGACATAAATATTAATCACATAAAAGCTTGCTGGCTAAATTAAATTACACAATATTGTTAAAAGAGCAGCCTCTTTTAGGCATGGTCACTCTCACCTGTAATCTTAGCACTCTGGGAGGGGGAGAATTACTTGAGTTCCGGATTTCAAGATCAGCTTAGGCAACATAGTAAGATTGTCTCTAAAAAAAAAAAAAACAGAAAAGAAAAAAGAATTAACCAACCATAGTAATGTGACCCTGTAGTCCCAGCTACCCTGGAGGCTGAGGCAGGAGGATGGCTTGAGCCCAGGAGTATGAGACTACAGTAAGCCATGCACTCCAGCCTGAATGACAGAGTAAAACCCTGTCTCGAAAAGAAAAATATGAGCAGTCTTTCTAATTTCTGCATACTTAGTAACACCCTTAATATGCCATGACTCATATTAGGTATTTATTTTCTAAATAATGTTAGCTAAGTTATCAAGTCAAAAAGTTAACAGCATAAATGCTTAGAAAACAAAACATAAAGAGTATTAGTAACAAATAAACCATATGTGTCTGCAGTCTAAGCCAGTTATAAATTTTAAAATAGATTTCCTGCACATAAACTTCTTGGCTAATAAAACTACTGAAGGAAACAATATCCAGACTTAGTTTTGCTGTACTTGTTCTGAGAGGCAAGAAGGAACACTGCACAAATTCCTTTTCCTCCTATAATTTGGGATTTCATTTTAAAAGGAAGAATAGGCTGTGTCTTTTCAAAAGAACCCTGGGGTTTCAAATGCGAGATGGGAGGGTGGTGGCCTAAGAGAGAACACTGGGGATGAGTGAAAGTGACAAAAATGTTCCCTTATGTTCTTGACCAAAAGCACCATTAAAACCATTTCTCTCTATTCAGAATAGTTGGGAGAAGGGGGGAGCAGGAAGGGACATCAAAGATCTAAAAAATATGCTGATTTTCTCCTTTGTCTTTCTGTATTAGGTTTTCTTGCCAGCTATAAGCGTGGTTTATGGATTGACAGTTTTGATAAACAAATATTGTGTGAAGCAGGAAGGATAGTGCTCCTAAACAAATGTTATGAAAACCTAATAACTGTACTTTAATTGTAATCATTAAATCATTGATTATCTTTCTGCTGTGTTCTTCAGTTATCTCCACAAATCGTGAGCCCGCAAAGTTAATCCCAGTGGAGTAAATATAAGTGCCCATAACTCAATTATTTTTTTCTGAAAATTTTTTTGTTGCTTACATAAAGAAAGAATTCGTTGCACATATGTTAACACAATATGGGATATATCATGAATAACACAAACATATATGTACACACATATATACACACACATACACACAGACACCACTTGACTCATTGTTGAAACACATTAGAGGGCCAGGAGCGGTGGCTCACGCCTGTAATACCAGAACTTTGGGAGGCCAAGGCGGGCATATCACCTGAGGTCAGGAGTTCGAGACCAACCTGGCCAACATGGAGAAACCCTGTCTCCACTAAAAATAAAAAAATTAGCCCAGTGTAGTGGCATGTGCCTGTAATACTAGCTATTCAGGAGGTTGAGGTGGGAGAATCGCTTGAACCCGGGGGGGCAGAGGTTGCAATGAGCTGACATCACGCCACTGCACTCCAGCCTGGGCAACAGAGTGAGATTCTGTCTCAAGAAAGAAGGGAAGGGAAGGGGAGGGGAGGGGAGGGGAGGCGAGGGGAGGCAAGGGGAGGGGAGGGGAGGGGGAGGAAGAAAGAAAAGAAGGAAAGAAAGAAAGAAAAAGAAAGAAAGAAAGAAAGAAAGAAAGAAAGAAAGAAAGAAAGAAAAGAAAGAAAGAAATCCTCTATGAGAGGCAGTATATCGGTTTGTAGCACAGATTCTAAAGCCAGATTCCTGATTTTGAGTTATATTGGCTTTGCCACAGCCAGCTGTGAGACTTCAGAAAAGTCCCTGAACCTCCATTTCCTCATCTATAAATAAGGATCTTTTTTCTTTTACCAAGGTCATGAAATTATTTTGAGGATCAGTTAAGTCCGTAATATAAAGCACTTTTAATAGTGCCTAGCTTATAGTAAATGCTTGATAAATAGTCTCTACCATGCCAAGTATTATTACTACTGTTATTAATAATTATATTAACACTGCCTCTCAGAGATGAAAGACAGAAGACTTGGCAAATTTCACATATTACATCAGTGACTAGACACTTTGTTCTACAAATAAAAGGATATGAAGCCTAGGGCTAAATGATCAACACATGCATTTCTAAACAAGAAAGAAGAGACCCATGGGGTGTGGTTTGAGGGATATCACAAGTCTTCTCACTCATCTCTGCCACCCTTTCATCATGAACTTGCAGAAGTAATTTAAGGTTTCTGGGACTCAATTTCTACAACTATAAAATAAGAAGCTCTTTCTGCATTCAATGATGTTCTTTTGCAATTATTCAGTAACAATATCTATTTTTACAACAAGCTAAGGCAGGGCTTTTAGATCCTCAACATATAAATGTCTCAAACAAGACATCCATAACTTTTCAGTTTGTACTTTTCTTTCTTGAGCTTTAGAAGAGAGGAGTATAAGAACAGCAATATGGCTTGCATAAAGGGAAGGTGATCAGATTTGCAAAACACAGGGAAGTTATTTTGACACAGAGATGGGGGCCTCTAAACGCAGGCTACACCTGCTTCTCATCAACACTAAGGGCTGGCCTTGCTAGCATTTGAGGATTCTTGGACGTGTAGAAATCTCCTAGCCAACTCACCAAAGAAAGAAAACACCAAGCAAAAAACATTGTCTTCTAGATAACCGACTGTGAAACCTGAGAATCATAATAGTCTCTCTAACTGAATCAAAAATCAAAACTAATAGATGAAGGAATCAGACATTCTTTTCCAGCACCAAATTCGGTTGTGAATAGTGTGTTGTAAAAGACATGGAATAGAAATATCCCATGTTTTTGGCAAAATGAGAAGAGTCAAGCATTCCTGTATGAAGCAGGCCTAATAGTTTGAATATATCACTTGGTTTTCTGAATCACTTCTTGTTGTTTTTCTCTTCCCTAAAGTTTTTCCCTTCCTAAAGTTTTTCCTTCACTAAAGGTGACTACTCCACACCATAACATCTAATATCTCTCTATACCAATAGAGTGTATATTTATATCCTTAATTTATCTCAGGGCGAATACTATATTTTATTCATCGTTGTAATTAAAACGGGTACCTCTTTTAAGATAAATATAAATGAAACAATCAAATCTCACACTTCAACTCAGTCATAATGAGAGGTGAAGCTGGCTGGGCTTCTGGGTCAGGTGGGGACTTGGAGAACTTTTCTGTCTAGCTAAAGGATTGTAAACACACCAATCAGCACTCTGTGTCTAGCTAAAGATTTGTAAACACACCAATCAGCACTCTGTAAAAACACACCAATCAATACTCTGTGTCTAGCTAAAGGTTTGTAAATGCACCAATCAGCACTCTGTAAAACAGACCAATCAGCACTCTGTAAAATGGACCAATCAGCAGGATGTGGGTGGGGCCAAATGAGGGAATAAAAGCTGGCCACACCCAAGCCAGCAGGCAACCTGCTTGGGTCCCCTTCCACGTTGTGGAAGCTGTGTTCTTTTGCTCTTCACAGTAAATCTTGCTGCTGCTCACTCTTTGGGTCCTCACTACCTTTATGAGCTGTAACACCATGAGGGTCTGCAGCTTCACTCCTGAAGTCAGCGAGACCACGAACCCCCCAGGTGGAACGAACAACTCCAGACGCGCCACCTTTAAGAGCTGTAACACTCACTGTGAAGGCCTACGGTTTCACTCCTGAAGTCAGTGAGACCACGAACCCAGACCAACTCCGGACACATCTGAACATCTGAAGGTACAAACTCCGGACACACCATCTTTAAGAACTGTAACACTCACCACGAGGGTCCATGGCTTCATTCTTGAAGTCAGTGAGACCAAGAACCCACCAGAAGGAAACAATTCTGGACACAATAATTCATATTATTATTTATAAAACACATTTTATGGCAATTGAGTAAGGATGTAAAAAAATTGTGAATAGATTATTTTATAGCATATATTTTGGTTAAAAAACTATAGCTACATTTATTTATTTATGTGTTTATTTATTTAGAACCAGAGTCTTGCTCTGTTGCCCAGGCTGGAGTGTAGTGACACAATCTTGGTTCACTGAAACCTCCACCTCCCAGGTTCAAGCTATTCTCCAGCCTCAGCCTCCTGAGTAGCTGGGATTACAGGTTCCCGCCACCATGCCCAGCTAATTTTTGTATTTTTAGTAGAGACGGGATTTCACCGTCTTGGCCAGACTGGTCTTGAACTCCTGACCTCGTGATCCACCTGCCTCAGACTCCCAAAGTGCTGGGATTACAGGTGTGAGCCACTGTGCCCGGCCAGCTACTCTTTTTTTAAGTATAAAGTTATATGAGTAATACAAACATAATTTATTGTTATGAACCCTGATTTTTGACATGCATAAGAGTTTCCTCCAAATGAGATCATTCAGCTTTTATTGGGGGTAGTGTGTGAAATATAAAATGAAACTTATTATTCTTGGCTAAATTTTTCTGGACTTAAGTTGTTTTCTTATGATAAATACATGATTTAAGTCAATGCAGTCAACACAATGGAGGAAACACCAGCCAGATTTGTTAGATTCCTTCTATTGGTTGATTCTTTCAAATATTGCTCTAACTGGACCCTAGAGACAGTGAGACAGTGTTAGAAGGGAAATTTAAAACTAGAAATGAAAGTACACTAAAATTACACAGTATCCACATAACACTTTTGTGGGAATTATTAAAGGTGGATGATGCCACCCCAAGGGCAAAGGCACGATCAGTTGTGAACAGGCTAGACGTAGACTTCCCCTAAGCCCTTCAACCAGTCATCTTTGTGCAGTCCACAACTTATGCAACCTCTGCAGTCCACAACTTGTGCAGCGCTGAAACATTGTGTTGGTTTAGCAAACAAATTAAAGGCAAAGGTTTTCTTTAAAGGTTTATGTTGTAATTAATTAAAATGAGCATGGCTGTCTTCTGAATTCATTTGTCAGAATAATAGCAAATCCAATGAGAGTTTCAAAATATTTCAAAATTTAGAAGATTCCTTGCCACCTGTGCCACTTAGGGGAATGCTTACCTTCACTCAGGCTTTATTTATTTATTTATTTTTTTGAGAATCAGATATGAGGTAAACTGTATAAATATTGGAAAATTTATCCTTTTTATTATTTCCTCATAATAAAAATAAATTTACTCATATGAAATCCATACCTTTTCTACGCTGACATACCATATTGAAAGATTAATTACATACACTTCCACTTGAATTCCAAAACTATAAAAAGTCTATTTATGTGTGCATACACACATATACAATAGGCATTTCTCTCTTTAGAATAAACAATGTTAGAGAATATTCATTATTCAAATCTAGACTCAGAGCTGAATGATCCAAAAATGTTTTATTTCTACATAACATAGACAAGTGTTTAAAACAGAAATTCAATATTTTTAGAAGTTTTCAACCTTGCTGCAAATTAACAAGTTCATGTTTTCATTGTTTCATATAAAAATGAGTGCGGTAACTCATGAAAAATCGTGCTTCATGTGTGATTAAGCTGATTTATCTCTACTTCTAATTCCATTTACTTTAACAAAATGCTAACATTGAAAGAAGGGGGCTTCAGAAGCTGACAAGAAGTTTAGTTTTCAAGGAAAATCACAGGATTGGACTCCATGCTTGTCTACACCATGATCACTGGCATTTACAGGGAGGAATTTGTGCAATGGGCAGGAAGATTATTGCTAACGCTGTCCAGAGATCATGAGGCTTGCATTTAACAAACATAACTTTATACTTTCCAAGGCCAACCTCAGGCTAGGAGTCAGGATATATGCCCTTGGCAATTAAGCTGGAGAAGCAAATTATGGACTGACGTACCATGAAATACCACCAGGCCTTTGAAGAATAGTTCGCTGAAGAATGTGCTAACTAAATGGATACTTAATTGAGACAATAAGATTTCCATGGCAAATTATAACATGCAATTTGCACCATTCATGTATCTGCTGCAAACATTAATAAAGAGGATTATTCTCTAATACTGAAAACAAATCACAAATTGCTAAATCTTAATGAAAAGTACAGGACTTCCCTCTATTGGTGGCCTTTGGAGTTTTGTTCCTTAGACTGGCTTAGCAATCTTCATGCCCAATATTTGACTTCCATTCAATACTGAAGGTGCATACTGATGTTTTTGTATTGGCAGTTCCCTGGTATGACTTAGCTGATAGCTCATCCTTCACAAGAATGCTTACATGAATGGCACCCGAGTTGGAAGGAAAGTGAGTAATCAAAGTGGTTTATAGAGCTCTTATTATTTGCTTTCTGCCCCCTAGGAACTCTTCATTTCACTAACTGATGTCTTCTAGTATCTTGGGAGCAGGGAAGGAAATATATAGATGCCATTTTTACCCCTATCATTACTCCCACTTTGATGCATTCTTAAGCTTATTTCTCACTTCTTATCGTGGCATGAGGGAGTTGAATACATGAAGCTTCTCCATCCCCTCTCTCTACCTTGTTGGCAGACTTACAGAGTCACCCAGGACTCTCCCACGGCTAGGTGAAGACTGCAGTCAGGCTCATCTCACCATTTTCAGCAAAACTTTCCCAAAGTTTAGGCTCAGAAAGTTAATGGCATCATGTTCCCCCTGGCTGAAGAGGGAAGCCTATGGCTATGCCGGGATCCACCCTGATGGGTCCGGTTCTCACCAAAGGGCTCCAGGCTATAGAATTTTCCTTCTTCCTTTCTTATCAAGTTTTCCTCCTAAATCTCATATACCATCTGGGTTCTGATATTAAGCTTGCTAATATCAAAAATTAATTCACACTCAAGTGTTAGGGCTTTACCGCAGTTTATTTTGGTTGAGTGGATGTTTTGATGGCTCCCACTTCTTATATCATTGTATATATAATAGTTCTGTTTAGTGAGCTCCACTCCAAATAGTGTCCTAAGTATGTTGAAAATATGATCTCATCTAATCAAGCACAGAACCACCTCCTTTGCCTACTTGTAAGGTTGGTGTTGGCCCAACAACATGCACACAGTACTTGTTTCTATGTTTATCTTTCATTATCCTGGGTTACAACATTTATCTAACCTGAGTGGTTTAAGAATCACTCTACAAAAATGCTTTCTGTGCCTGTTATGGCCTAACTCTACGTTTCTGTTGATTTTAAAGTAAATGATACATGATTCCTGACTTCAAGGATTTCATTGTTCAGTAAGAGAGAGAGATATGAATTATTACAAGGCGGATGATAGAGGGCCTCAATCCAACTTCTCTTCTAACTCTTCCTGCCAGAGTGAAATTGCTACTTTACTTGTCTGTTTCCTGCCCACCCCCTGATCTATTTGTGGCCCAAAATTGTGTCTTAGCAAATTTGTAACCATATTTCCTAACTTCAGGATCCAAAATATGTTAGATAAGAAAAATAGGTATATCATTCCATATTATGGATAGAGAAACTACTCATAGACTTTGAAGGCTTATTCAAAATCTGAAACTAGAAACATCAGAGTTGGAGTTCAGATCTGAGTCCATTGGCACCCTGTAACATGTTTTTACCTCAACATCCTATCTCTGTTGACATTCCTTTTCAGGAATCAATCCGATAGCAATGTATGTGTAAGCAAGAATACTAAAAGCAAATATACTTATAGTCATTTCTAGTAGTCTACAGATCACCCAGGTGTAAATTATCTACTTTGTGGCTTATCTGTTAAAAATGATTGCTATCAGAGTGGCTACCATTTGCCATCTAATACACCTCTGAGCCTTTTCTCTCTCATTATCACTTTTGCAAGAAATGTAAACTGCTGAGATTCTATTATTAGCTTAGATGCAACATAATTTAAACAATAAATCTGATATACATACCCTTGCCAATTGACAGAATGCCACCTAAGTTTAACATAAATGACTTTCAAAAGATGCACCCCTGCATTAACACAGATAATTTCATTTTAATTTACATTCAGAGATTCTGTTTTGGGTAGGGGTAACTGAGAATATTGGTGTGTATTTTTCTTTCTGAGGCCGCCCACCTCCAGGCGATATTTTATTGCTTTACTCTTGGAGGCTCAAAATCTCATGAAATCCTAGAAGGGAAATCTTGGAAATGCAGCCCTCTCTTTTTTAATTGTCATGGAATGACAGCATTCCATAGAAAGGATTACTAGTAACCTGCCAAAAGTAAAGCTCCCAGGTGAGCAAGAGCATCTTTTCAAACACAGAGAGTAAATTCAATCTTGTCATAAGTGGTCATTTACTCAGGAAACCATTCTCTCTAGTTTCTAGAAATTATTTTTAAGCATATAAACTCCCAGGAATGACTGCAAAAGATCAACAAAGATGAAGCTGCAAAAATTAATCACAAACACACACACACAGGGAGAGAGAGAGAGAGAGAGAGAGAGAGAGAGAGATAAGCCTCTTGTGACTTTAAATAAACAGACAAAACCAAATTTCCATTCCACTTCTTTCATCAAACTTTTCTTATTCCATCCAGATAGACACCCTAAAGGTAGTAATAGTCTCACCAGGCATAGTGCTACCTACAAACCACTAGTAGAGCTTCCATGAAGATTAGGAAGACACAAAGGTTTTTGTCTCTTCAGAACAAAAAGTACATTGCACTTAATAATGAACCTGTCATTTTAAACGTCCAGGTTTCAATTATATAAGTAATAGAGTTTAGAGATGAACTGTTTGTATAATTTTGCCCAGAATTTAGATTTATATTTTGTACTTCTATAAATATTTCCTGAAATGTATTCAAATAGCAAGGTGTTAGTTACATATATTAATATGGCAATTCTAATAGCTATCTGTACAATGCAAACTTTACTAAGCTACTACAGGAATCCCTTTTCATTCAGTACTAGAGACAAACTGGCAAATGTAGATAGTGGCCCAGTTGGTTAATAATTATCTTGCTCTCACTGAGAAAAGTCAGTTATCTCAAGACAAGCACATGCAAATTTGAAGGAATGGGGGAAAGAGAAATGGTGGGGCAATGGAGAGGAAAGAGAAACAGAAAAATAATATAGAAAGTATGTATTCAAGGTTCTTTGTAAGGCTATATGTCTAGGATGAGATAATTGCCCTTCTATTACATGGTTCTGAAGATTACTCAGAAAAGAAAGAATAAATAATCCTAACCTATATACTATAATCACATGCAGCAACTTGTATTCATTATGGAGAATAGAACAAGTAGAGTACCCAAACATAAAAAAAAGACGAGAAAGATAAGAAGCATTCATCAAGCAGTATGTAACTGCCATTTACATCAACTGCCCGCAGAAACATTCCAAAAGCTAATATTTCAGCAACATAAACAAAGTCATAATTAAAAGTTTCAATGTCATATCATGCAGCTCTTTATTTTTAATGTAGTATTTGTTCAACTTAGAGAACTAATAATTTTTCTCTTATTAATGTTTGCAGAAAGATCCAGTGGATCATTTCAGAATTTAGTTTGGCTCTCCCCACACAGGATTTAACCAGGCTGACAGATTCAGCACAGGAAAGTATTTTAATGTAATGATATACCACCACTTCTAGACCCAATGACAAGATGAAAATCCAAGAGCAGGCATAAAACACCTATAAAGAAATGACAGAGCTTGAAGTCAGTGTGAATAATTTCTGAATCATAAATTCACAAAGGGAACAGGGAAAAGAAAGGAGAAAAGGAGAAGCAAAGAGGAGGGGGAAAAGTTGAGTAGCTTGTTCCACCCACCTCAAATGCTGAATTTAAGAGCTTTCTGCACATTCATGTTGCCCAGTGACAGGGCTTCAGGTACATCAAGTGGCCCACAGTTGCAGATGCATTAGAAGCTCTGCTTCAATTGTGTTCAGAGGCCAAGTGTGTACCCAGTTAGGTAATCAGGCTTTTTCATGTTGACTACAGATATCCTCATCACGTGCGCAGTTGTGCATAATGGAAAACATGTAATGTTCACAATGGCTTCCCTCAAACTTCACTTTCCTTTCCCAGATATCTGCTGCCTGTCTTTGCTCCTGAAGTGCATCACCATTTGATGGGAAGCTCTGTAAACCTATATTTAGTGCCTGAGAAACACCCTCTTCTCTCTTTACCCTCAGAATAGCTAAGATCAGCACTTCTGTTAATAGTTTCCAGGTTTGAACTCTAAGCAACTAAGCTACCCTTGGAATTTACTTTTTCTCACAGACAAATAAAGATTGAGGAATACTACGAAATCTATTTTTTATTAGCATGTCCAGATAGAAATTCTCTTGTATCTTTGGCCACTCCATTTCTTCTTGTCAGTGTTAAAACTGGAATTTAGGATGCATATGCTGTTAAAAGATCTGGAATTTATCATAAATGTACAAATTGAGAAATAAAGTGTAATTATGTACCACTATGCACATCTAAAAGAAAAAGCCTGCAGTATAGCCAAATATGATGTTCCTGTTGGCATGTCTAGCCTGGTGGTCCTTTGCATTACTATGCATGTAATATGTTTACAGGGTATGTCATCACCCTCTTCTTGGCAGTAGAAACCAAGCAGAGTCTAAAACATGGGAGACTTTTAATAAATGCCTACCAAATTACATTGAGAAGTCAGTGGCCTCTAAACATATTTGGATCTGACTCTACCTTTTTTCAATATGTTTATTGTGTCTAGTTATGAATATCTACATAGATGTGCCTTTCCTTCTTTTGAACTAGAAGAGAAATAAATAGGGAGGAAAGAGAATTCCGCAACTAATTCCAACCCACTGACTTCATTCCTACTGGTTCCTAGAAATAGGCCAAAAAATAGGAGTAGGCTACCTCCATGCTGACCTGCAAGTTCATTTTAATATTAACTACTATGTCAGGCCATAAGATGACCTAATAAGCACACAATATCTGGAGAGCTAAGCGGAGTTATCCCTCATACCTAAGGCGACTTCTCTCTCTGGATATTTGTATGCTGGATTTGTCTCTGAAGCTAAGCTTGGTATGGGAAAATGGGAAACTAGATAACTGAACAGCTATTACTTGTTAAACTGCAGTTGGGGTGACTATAAACAAGCAGAAGAAAACTCAGTTTTAAAGTGCCTTAAGTGCAGCTTGAAGCAACATACCTAGAACCCTGAAGTCGGTGCAGCTAGAATGAAGCAGGACTCTGAACAAAACCTTTCCCGTAACTAAAATCTCTGTACCTGCACATTTTATTTTCAACACAGTATTCTTGGTAAAGAGTTCTTGAAAGCATCAGAAGCCATAAATAATGCTCTGTAATCAAAGACTGGATATGAATTAGAGTTTACAAGTTTGTCATTTTTGCCTTTAAAAAATGTCAGAAATATGGTGTCTGTAGTGATCTTATTTTCTGAAAGGAATCCAATTGCAGACAAAGGAGGCTTTCTCTAGAAGCAAGGGATGTAAAGCTTGAGAAATATGGATTTATAATGAATACTTAGAATCACGTTAAACATTGTTCTCCTAGAAATATCAAGTTAATTATTGATAAACACCCTGATGTCACGATCAGGTTCAATATCTAGGGGTTCAATTTCTGTTTCTTGGTGACCTTCAATATCAACACCTATTCAGATTTTCAGGTGGCTTCTGTTTTAGGTTTTTATTTATTTTGGTTTGTATTTTGCCTCATTCATAATAAAACACAAGGTCATTCCTACTTACGCTGTTCCACAAAGGTTACCTTGCACACATTATAAGCAGGTAGACCCTGTGAGTCAAATATAGCACATAGCTATGTTTGGTTTGACTCCAACACTGTTTGAAATATGTGAAATTTTTTAGATATCGATAAATTCTTCCATTCACAATGATTCTTACCACCTCCTATTGTATTTACCCACATATTTACAATTATCTTTTTTAATCTTTGTAGGCATCAGAGTTGGCATGCCCTACCCTAGATTCTGGGCTTCCCCTGATGCAAAAAAAAAAAAAAAAAAAAAAAATCCTTATTTCATACTGGGTCAATTCCATCAGCTTGCACTAAATATTTACAGGAGTTCATTTATTAAATGTTTGTTGAGCAGCTTCTATACACTAAATACTATGCTGGGCACTAGTGACACAGTAACTTCATGCAGCTTCCATTCACGTTGGGGATGGGAGGGTGAATTGACAATAAATAAATACATTTCAGGTGGTGATAAATATTATGTAAGGAAAAATAAAGTAGAGGAAGGAGATAGAGTGTGACAGAGGATGCTATTTTCAACAAGTTATCAGGAAACATTCTCTCTGACGAGGCGATATCATAGCAAGCACCTGAATAAAGTGACAGAATGAACAATACAGATATCTGGGGGAAGAGCTTTCCAAGCAGACACAGGCCCCCTCTTAAAGGAAGCCTCATCTTTACAATGGTAAGAGTTTCTACCTCTAGCACACTCTTGATTTCTTGAGCTGAAAATAAAAGAAAATTGCTAGTCGTTTTCTCCTTAATTCTCTCAGTGTTTTTTCCACTTGGTTTTTTAAACCAAGTGGAAAATACATCAGTAATTTTCAAACTCTTCTTTCACTATTACAACTTGATGCTTCTCTTATCACTGAAACAATAATAATAGAATTTTGCTACTCTGGAGGAAAATGTCTATTGGAAAAACTACTTATGGATAACGCTCTCACCAAAAATCCCTAGGTTACTTCTAACAGCAAGAATAATGAATAATAAGCAAGGGCATGTTTATGTAAAAAAGAACCATATCCCTTTTGCAAGTATTTTTTAAATAATAGAATAAGTGAATATTCTGCCTGCTTTTTTAAAAAAAGAGTCTGTAATTAGTGTAAATTAGTAAAGAAGTCTACTTTGTGTTTTTAAAAATAGAAATTATGTTAGAATTTTAAAAAGACCTGAGAGATTATTTTCATCAGTTCCCTCTCTTAGTAAGGAAACTAAAGCTCTCGGGGTTTAAATGGTTCCAAGGACAAAGAGCCATTTATTGGCCATGCTGGAACTGGAAGCCAAGGTTTGTAATTTGTAGACTAGTACTCTTACATTGTGTAGAGCACATTGTACTAGTGAATTTAAAAAAAAAAAACAAAAACTTATATTGGGACTTACTATTTCCCATGTTGTGGGGAGTTCAACATTCGGGTAGCCGCCAACCCCCGCCACCCCACTCCGCGGCCCACGCTACCACCCTCCGCCACCCACCTTGGGTTTTAGCTATAGGAATGTGAAAGCATAATCTAACAGGAAAGCTAATTTTCTCCATATTAACATGACTGTGCCTGTCTCTGCCGAACACCCTGAGTCCCAATTTGTGATTACGAAGGGCTGGATTAATGTAGGACCTTCACAACAGCTTTAACAAGGCATTAGTGGGGCCTACTGGATCAGAAAGTTGATTTCCAAGAAATAGTACTCATTAGAGTAAAGTCTAAACTCTCTTCTGGATCTCTTCAGTTGGCAACTATGGGAAAAAAGAACCTAAACATCTGCCATCTTGCTGGATTTATGCAGAATCACTGGACTGATAAATCCATTGTGATCCCTAGCCTTATGCATGTTTATTATACCATTTACCACTGCAAAGGCATTCATTGGTGATTTCTTTGCTCATCTTATTTTTAAGTGAAAAGCATTTTGATGAAGTAATATCTTAAAATATGGTAGGTAAATGTCAGTTGTGAAACCAGCAATATAGAAATCATTTTACATAGTACATGAAATTGATTTGATTTTCAGGAGTAACGTAAAATAATTTAGATATGTGTTTTGCTTATACCTAAAACCAAACTATTGATCATTAAAAATTCCTAACACTATAAAACATGTTATGGCAATATGCTATATATATTATTGTCAACATAATAGCATGCTATTACTCTTTACAGTGTTCTCATTAATCCCACAAATTGTTCAAACCATGGGTTTGAATTTCTATATTGCAAATGAGTGGAAATGTATCAGTTGTGGATCTTAGTATAGTTTCAGTTTAGTTTTATGGAGATATATTAACTACCTGCTCTATACAAATAATAGATAATTAAACAAATAAGAACTGATTCATAAACTCAAGGAACTTAGACTTAATTTCGTTTCAGTCAGATGTCAGGAGCCTGACAATCCTCTACTTGTTTATTTCTTATTTATATTGCAGTGAAATATCATCCATTTTCAACTAATCCAACATCAAAGGCCCTGTGTGTTAGGTGTATGTTAGGAAACAATATGTTTCCAATTATTTGAAGAAAGTGAAACATGCTAAGTTCTCAGAAGGACATTTGGAAGGGAGAAGCTAGCTTGCACATAGGAGGCTCTCAATAAACCTCTGATAATTGAACAAATGTAACTCAACTCTTTTGTTCCAACTTGGGGCCTAAGGAAGACATCTTCCACAAGGAAAACCCTCCAGCATAAAAGGAATCTCCCTGATGTACCCTGCCTGAAATCATACCATCCAGCTCCATTCTACAGTGGTGGCAGGGGAGCCTGGCACTTCATGGCTGTAGAAGAAACTAGCAGGTGAACAGGATTATATGATGTTTATAGAAACAGTGAAACCCGAAGTGTCTCGCACTTGTATGGAAGAGACATTTAAAATCAGACATTGCTAATCTGGCAATGGTCTGTACTTAGATTTTGCAAATATTCACAAGATTCCTGTTAAAATTTTTTATGGCATGCACTTTAACCCCTGAAAATCTTGAGAAGCACAATATTACAATTTGATATATGATTTATTCTAGAAATTGAGTTGTCAGAAAAACAATCAACTCTCAATTTCTAAAAAGAAAAACTATAACATTTACAGAAGTTTTAGATTAAATAGACAAAGCTTAGCTTTGAATATATTTTTTAAACAAAAAGAGCAAAACTACTAAGAAATTTATAAGATAGTATCTTAAACTGAATAATAGGATGGATGAGAGATGAAATAGCCAGTAATGTTCTCTTGTTTTCTTTTGAAGAATTTGTGGCTTGGGGAAAGAAGCAAAATTTATCATTCTCAAATAATTGTTTTACTTTATTAAAATTTTATACATCTTTATTTTGACACTTCTAATAGCAACGTATATGATGGATCTGGTTCTAGTTCATTTATAATGAAAACTAAAATAAATAAGTATAGTATAAAAGCTATATTTTTGTCCAAATCTAATCATGGCCTACAGATCTGAAACTACAGCAAATATTCTGAAATTTTAGGTCAATTATATGAATATTCAATTAAAATTTGTAAGAAGGAGATATGGCCTACATACATCCTGCCTGGATACCAGGCGTTTGAACACAGACAAAAATTCAGATATAATGTAAAATAATATTTTAAATATTAATATAAATATAAACCAATATAAAATAGTAAAACTTGTTGGAGTCTACAGTTTAGCTTCTTCATTTAAAATTGAAAAAAAGAAAGCCAAGTAGTTCCTTTCATTCACTTTTGCAAGACTGCAGTTTGCTAACAAAATGAAATTCAGCTTTTGCTGATGATTTACCACTAAACTAGGCTACCTCTAATTAGGATACTGAATTTTTAAGTAACAGTGATCTACTTATTAGGCTATGCTTAATTGAAAAATAAGAATTTTCTTTAGTCTTTTCTAAAAAGAATTTTTTAAATGAATTAAATGTCAACAGTTAAGGCAAGAGCAAGAGTTTGCCGGAAAAAAGCAAGGAAAGGGAAAGTAGAAAAAAAATTAAATCTACATCAGTATTTTCATCAGTGCTTGACTTCTCAAAAATTTAGCATTTTGTACTCAATTCAGATGTTCTAGCTATGATGCCTAATCCCATTAGGAATTATGATTATCAGTTAGTGGAAAATCCTCTATGTTGATCAAGACAGGATTTTGTGGGTGTGTGTGTGTGAGAGTCTGAGTTTTATATCTAGTAGGCATTGTAGAAGATAAGCTAATTTTGATGTGGGAGATTGAATTAAAGTCCATAGAGGTTAGCATATTGAAAGGAAAATGAATTGCCCTCCTTTGGATGTTGTATACAGTTGGCAGCCCTGGAATTTGTAGCCACGACCGACTGCAATGGACAAGGGCGAAAAAAATCATGATGTTAGATAGCATCTACCAAACCAGCCCTATTGCAATTGATTCTGTTTCTAGCCTCTCTCTGACCCCACTGTTACCCTCAAATCCCAGTCAGCTTCCATGCCGAGTTTTTTATTCTGCCGCTGTTTTCTCTCCACATAGTTTCTTTCCAAATCAACATCCATGTTCCACTCATCAACCACTGCTTTAGAAAGCTTCAGGCTGGATGGCCAGGCATGAAGTGCTGGCAGGTGGTGTAGCTGTTAGCCAGCCTTGTGTATCACAAGAGATCTGATGCTATCAAATTCCTTTTCCCCCAAAGACTAAAGAGAGCAAGCCTTTGTGAGCATGCAGGAGGGGGATGAAAACAGTTTGTCTCCTGAGCAGCCAGCCTTTGTCATATTACAAATGAAATCACTTCGGAAATTTAGAGAATTAATATCATAATGAAGACGGGAGTACCCATTAGGGTGGTCTAATGTTGCTCTGGAGAAATGTGATGGATGCCCAGTGGCTGCAAGCCCTTATTTGCAGAGAGTCACCTCTGCAGTTGCCATTATTAGGAAGATGTCTGAAGCAGAGGATCAGACACAACCATTGCAAGATGAGATAGTGTTTGATTGGTTTCCAGGGAACCGAAGGATACAAGCTTAGTTGTACCTGTCACTATGGCTCCCAGCATTTTTCTCCCTTAATGTCTTTTTTAGCTGTAGGAAGTTTCTCTTTAAAGATTCAGTGCTTTCCTAATGGCATAAAGTGAGTAATGTGAAGCATATAAAAATGTTATATAGATAACAAATGAATTCAGTCTATTTCGAGACAACGTGTGCTAGCCCTAAAGAATGATTTTATTTAGCTTCAGTTTTCTCTTGAAAATAAATTTAGCCAAACATTCTGAAATGAGCACACCACTGGCATCCCCATGTTCATTTTCCCTTCTAGGTAAAACATACCTGGATTTTCATTGCAATATGTGTGCCTACCCAAAATACAATCTGCATCTGATGCTCTTTCATACACTAAAACCTAGGAAACGGTACTTCCAGGAATTATTGTAAAATGTAATTGAATCATCATTCCTGGTACTCAAATCTCTGTGTGTGTGTGTGTGTGTGTGTGTGTGTGTGTGTGTGTGTGTGTGTTGTAATGCTTTCCAGTGACACTGGTACCCATAATAGGAAATGGGGGTTTTCCAAAACCCCACATCAATTCCAAACTAGATAAAGGGGAAGAAGAATTTCCCTGAGAAAATTTTGGAAGGGTGGAAAGGAAAAAAAAAAAGGCTAAGTATCACCTGGAAAGTAATATTATACCTACTTTTTCTCCACTTTACAACTAATCCTTTTGTCTCTCAGGTTTGAATTTATACAATTTGTATTTCTCATTCCTATATCTGCCATCATCTAAGTAATATTCCTTCTCTGCAATATTTTTCGTCCCATGTCTGTCCCTTCTCAAGACATGTTTATAGAGCAGTTCATTCTCTTGATGAATTCAAATACAGTTTTCTATTTGAGACTACTGTAAAGATATGATCACCCAGAATTTGTAAATCTTGGTCAATTATAAATGGAAACAACTCAGGAATTATTCCCAGTGCTTTTCCTAGCAAAACAAAAACAAAAACCAAATAGTGAAACTTACTAATCAATTAGAGAACAAAGTTGGAGGATGGCAGGATTTGGTTCAGTGAATATGCAGGTTCTTTCTGTTGAGCTGTTTTTAATTTCCTATTGTCTTCTGTATTCAAAACCTGTAAGCACAGCCAGCCTAAAGGACCAATCAAATCTCTCTCATATAAAATGATGAACTGGAAGCAGGGTTCACCAAAAAGCTGAGCAAACTACTGTCCAGATTGTCTCTGGTTCCTATTGAAGAATGCACAATTAATTTCATTCATAAAGCCTGATTACCTTTCTAAGACAGGAAACTCATTCTCCAAACACAAAAACTTGCTGATCATCCATATGAATAGTTTGCATATCCATTTTGGTACTAAGTTAATTTCAAATTTGCATTTCATCACGTATCTTATTAGTCTTTAACTTTATCAGGTGTCCAAGTTATTTTCCCCACCTAGATTTCAATTTCCCTAAGAGTAATAGATATATATATATATTCATAGTACCTAATCCAGTGTGACATACATAGTGAGGACTCCATAAATACATACTGAAGGGAATCAAACATATAACAAACAAATGATGTTAACTTTCTAAAACTCAACATAGATAAACAAATCCTATGCGTGAAAAAGAAAGTATGTGGTCACTTCCCCGTATTGTTTCTAATCTTCTTCCAAGCTGACATATATAATCTCAATAATAAAGAAATTCATCCTCCCTAAAGCAAATAAAAGAGTCCTAATGAAAGTAATGTACCCCACTAGCATTCAGACCCTAAAAACGACAAATGTGATCTTAGAGAAGAATCTAATGAAAACAATTACATTAAACATAGCTCTTCTGTGCTCAGTGCTCAGTAAGTGAGCAGCAGGCTCTCTCTGTCTAGCTTACAGAAAACAGGAGGTAGCAGTTTGCAAGGAGCAGCGTTTTAATGTGATTGGACTATAACAGACAATCTATTTACAGCATGCTCTGGGGAGCTTATAAACAAATGTTGAGTAATTTCAGCCAGCAGTAATTACCCTTGCAGCTGACAAGGATAGCATGAGACTTTCTCCTTCACCTTCAGCCCAGTCCAGAAGGCAGTGTACACAATGCCACTTCTAATTATTTCTGCATTTCTATGGCTAAAGACCAAAGTGTGTTATTAGAGAACATTTTAGAAGCTTTTTAAAAGCTTATTTATTAGGACAATTAAAAGTCATCACTATGACAGCAAATAAAATGTTCCATTCTCAGGAGTTCAGTATCAAATGAGCTTCTGCCCACTTACCTTTAAGGCAATGTGGACTCTTGTTGTCTATTGTTAAGAGCTGAGACTAAAGCTTGGTAATAAAAAGAAATAGTATCTGGAATGCATTTGGATTAATTCTGAAATGCGCCCTTTTCTTTTCACAATGTTCAAGCAGTCTAGAGCATGTAACTGAGTTATTTCTCAAAAGGCACAGAATTTTGAAGTGTGTGTGTGTGTGTGTGTGTGTGTGTGTGTGTGCGTGTTGCTTGATTACAGATGCTAATAGAGATAAAATGCATGTGGTCATCCTCTCTTTTCTCCTTCTCACAAGAGGCACTGGATTACCCTGGCTAGTTAAAGGATTTTATCTGGAGGGGTCATTCATGTTGCATCAGTTTGACATAAGGAAGATGCTAAGAATTCAAAGATCTAAAAATAAAACTTCAGCAGATAAGCTTCTAATGGAGTGCTGAAGGAGTAAAACAATTATGCAGAGCAATCACCCTGCGCGTTTGTAATTAACAATCAAATTACTTCCCAGAAGTGTCCAACAAGAGAACTTTTGTTGAACATTTCTATACGTGCCAAACTACCCCAAAGTAATTGGGGAAATCAGTGAACTGTGGTGTGTGTCGCTTCTCAAACACCATGGTCAGTTTGGCGTTCACTGAGCTTCTGTCCGCCTCAGTAAGTTCGGTTCAGATCCTGACCATAGGAATTGACAGCAGATATCTAATCCCACAAAGTATATTATTTACATTTTTTGATATGTTACATTACATTACATTCTGTCATGTTGCATTTCATCACCAATGGACAGAATGTTGCATAACCTCATATGACATGATGACAGGTCTCATTCATTCTGTCTCTCTCTTCCTCTCTCCCTCTCTCCTCTCACACGTGCTCTCTCTCTCCCCCTCCCTCCGTCCTTCCCTCTCTCCATCTCTGTGACACATGCACAGACACACACACACACACACCACAAAAACGTTCAGATCAGGAGGTGAGTCTAAGGAAATATTTTGAATTTTGGCCCCTGTAAGGATCCTGGAAGCCCTCCAATAGTGACATTTACAACTTCACCAAAGCCATGGTCCTTTTATGACAATAACACCAAATTGCCCTGTACAGAGATGCATAAGCTTACTCAATATATATTTTGCCAGCTGTTTGTAATTATTTTTAAATGTGTCATTATGATGTACAGTGAACCACAAAAGCACATGTTCGGTAATGTAAAACAACAATATGTTGCAAATTAGCCTCCTTTAAAGAAATATTCAAAAAACAAATTACAAAGTTTAAAAATACACCATTGGATGCATGTCCCTACATTGCTCTGTGCTCATTTCTGAAATGTGGTTGGCAGAGGGACAATAATTTGTCCTTGTTCTTGAGACTGGCAGGTGTCACTTTGGCCAGTGTGGGATGTGAGTGACAGATATTTTACTGCTGAAGAAATGAGAATGCAGAAATTCAAGAGTACCTCTGGGATTTGCCTGGTCATTTGTGGGCAGCGCAAGGGCAGGGCGGGCTGCGATGCTAACGTAGAACTGCTTGTTGTTGCGACCGCTGCGGGCAGCTGCCGATTCACAGCATTTTAAATACTACTTCTATTAACAAGGCTATGTTTCTGCTTTGATGGAAGCATGCAGAAAGCTGCTCGCTAGGCTGTCGGCTGTATACTAAACTGCTCTAATTGCTTTCCTATGCTTTATTCAGAAATCTGGTAAAAGCTGAATTTGGTAGCAAATTGCTTACAGATTTAGCATTTTTGAACATAAAGGTTTTCATAGATGTTGATATAATCTACCAAAAAGCTGGAAGCTTATTTTCCTCCTCTACCCAAAAGTATCAAATTATTTGTTTTACCAAAAAAAAAAAAAAAAGAAAAGAAGAAGAAGGAAAAACTCTGGTAGATATTTAAGTGATGATCATAGAAAATAATAACAAAATAGAAGGCAATTCAGGAAAAAAAGAGCATTTCTCTTTTCTACTTGGACATAATTGGAAACTTACGTTGTTTTGGCTCGAATCTAATTTTAATATAGGTCAAAGAGAAATTGAACATTTAAATTATAAAAGAGCCTCAACTATATTTAAACAATATTTTAAATACACTTTTTAGGTTCACTATTCTCTATGAGATAAAAGAAGAAATTTTTTAAAAATATAATAATTCAAATACATTGATATAAATTTTAGGGTGTATAAGGGTTAGAAGAAAAAGTGAAAAAAGTCCAGATATTTTTACAAACAAATATCCTCCAAAATCCACAGGCATATGTTTAAAATAGAAAGATAAAAATCACTTCTTTGTAAAGTATAATGCAAAACTTATAATGCACTTATATTTTTAGTACTCTTTATGGTGTTAAGATTACAAAGAAGTGACTCTCTCTTGTTTTAGGACTGAGTCATCCCTGACATTTACATATTATAAACACAATATTTGAATTTCCCTTTTTAAAAAAATATTATATTAGCTATACTAAGTTAATATACTTTTTTCCATTGAACTTACAGAGCTCATGGGCGTTCACTTAAACTAAACTGACATAGGGAAGATACATTTTAAAAAATCAAAGCTCTCTAGTATGACTGCTTAAAAGAACAATTATGATATACAAGCAATATGAATACTAGGTTTTGCTTACAAAGATAGTTACCTGCCTTCATTTTCTATTAATTTCCATCAGGGCACTACCAAAATATTACCTGGCAAAATTAAAATGAAAACCGTATGTTGATGAGGGAAAACATATAATGGCATAGCACATTTCAACGTTCAGTGAAAGAGTTAACACTGAAAGCTTCTCCAAAGAGAAAGAAGATATATTGATTCAAATGTATATTAGAATATGTTGTTCAATGTCATTTGCCAAATGTTTCAATTTTTAAATAATCACTTACGTTAAATAAATAGAAGCATGCATTCAAACAGTGTGATATGAAATTAATACTTTGTTGTAATTTTAAGAAGAGGGATAAGATTTTCCCCAAAAATGGAATGAAACTTCTGCATAAAAACCAACAATATACTGAAAAATAAACAGTTGCAATTACTTTTTTTCCTACTTAGTAATACAAAGATAAATTGTTCTCTTTGGAAATCAAATATTTTCCTAACCACTGTGTTTCTTTAATTAAACTGTATTCTTTATAGTGATCAAACATAATTAGCAGTAACAAGTATTTAATGAAAACAAACTGCTACTCCCAAACCTTTACTACATGTTTTGTTTAAATCCCACAGATGCTCCAAGGATTACTGTATCTCCGTCACAAGTACAAAAGCATACACCCTCCCCACTCTGCCCACCCCAATTTGCCAGGAGCATTTAAAACAACAATAAAAACAACAAAAACTTCTATAATTCCAAGGACTTTAGTTCACATTCAAATCCTGCTCCTCAGCTCAAGGCATCACTTCCAAAGAAGCTTAACACTTAGCCCTTCAAATATTTTATAGATTTGTTCTTCAGAAATCCCACTTGATATCTTCATATAATAAAGCATTACCCTGGTATCTTTGATTATTAGTAAGTGGTCAAAATAGAAAGAAAAGTGCCCATGCTGGACTCATTGACAGCTAGGTGATACAGCAAGTCTTCTGTAATTAATTGTGAGTGAAAGGGGGTTTGGTTTTGCAGCCTCATAAAACTTTTCCCACATGGCTGAACCCACGGTCAGGAGATGTTAGGCAACATTAACTGCCTGCACATTTCTGCAAGGCTCTAGAGGAACAGCTAGGCACTGGGGCTCCAATCCTGAGAACCCTGGGACATGAGACATCAGCATCTACCTTTCATCTTAGCTGAGATTTGGAGTGGGTTCAGACCACAGAGGCTCCTTAATTCTCACTAATTCATTTGCTTTCCTGATTCACTTGGCTTGGAATAACCTGAGAATGATAATGAACCTGTGAGGGGAGCTCTTAGTCCCTTGCCTTTGAATGTGCTTGGCACGGATCGAGGGCTTTCTCTGAATCTTGCAAGAGGAAAAGAATCTTATTAGCACTGATTGCTAGTCATGAGGTTTCCTCTAAAAATTGCTCATGTGTTTTAACTCTTGCTGCTTTTTGAAAAGTAGAGTAGTGAGGAGGGAAAAAAAGTTGGGCTTTTTAATACAAATAACGTATGTATCTAGAAGCTGGGGTTATATTTTAGGGGTGTGATTTAAACCAAATCCTAGCTGCCAGCTTTTTCTTGGACTCTGAAAAGCAATCTCAGTGTTTCTCACTGTTTTCTACAACTGATGCTAAGTTCCTTTTCATTTCCTGTAGATAAACACATTCTTGCACTAGAGAGATGGGGTTTTTCAAAAGAGCATCCAAATCCTCTTTTTTTTTAAAAAAAAAAAATCGTTTTCAGACTTAATGTACCGCAGGAGTTGTCAAGTTCACATACATTTCTTGTGGTTTTGGAATTCTGTTGAATTGGCACTTTTGCTTTTACAATTAGTGTGTTGTGGACCTTTAGCTTCTACCTAGGTAAGAATTTGTGCTTGAGATGAAAAAGTCAATAAATGAACTGGGCAAAGTGGTGTATCTTAGTGAAGCAATAAAAAGGGCAATTTGGGTCTACTGGTCTAGCTGAAGGTGGTCATTCTTTAGATTTTGAGATACTAAACTACTGACCAAATTATTCTCTTGTTCAGTTGTAACTGTGATTTCACATGTACAGTTGCACAGACCCTCCTGTGCACATGCTAACTGAGGTTATATGCAGCAGCTGCAATGAAATAGATGCACCAAGGGGGAGCAGGAGGCTTGACTCAAGAATTAGAAAGGGACTTCAGTGGCAAGGCAAAACGATAACACATTCTGGTACTTTACAAAAGGTACATGACCTCTGATGTCATGTGCTTATCCACCATTTGGGGACTCTCTTATCAAGATTTAAAATTTCCTCCACAATCTGAGTGACCAGAGCAACCCATGACATCCATCTGTAATGTTAGTAAATTTGTAGTATAGGTACTGGGGCACCAACCTAAGCCATAAGTCATCACCTCATTTTGAGCATACAGAATACCTGAATGCTAAAGCAGGAGAGATCTTTAGAGTTCATCCAGTCCAACTCATGGGGATTTTAAAGATGACAAAATTGAGAGCCAGTAAGTTTGGGAGATTTGTCCAAGGTCAAACAGCTGTTTAATGATAGAACTGTGAAGAGAACTCAGTATTCGTATTTGAAGTTCAGTGCTCTATCTGAGACAATGCACAAAGAGTGCTAGAATTTCCATACAAACTGGTTTGACATTGCAATGTACATGTTCAAGGGTTTAATGCTAATGGAAAGTATTTCAAGAGGTAATCTGTCTTTTCAAACCTTACCACTGGTCCTCTCTATTGACTTTCTATGGCCTCACACCATTACCTGTTTCAACTTTTACTTTTTCCAAGGACACCCCTTTTTATTTCTTCCCAGCCAGAGAATGTTTCCACTAATTAAATAAGTGGACATCAGGGATCACATTTTCACTTATTTCCCTTTCTCCATAATCTCACACTATTCCCCTCTGCTCTCTTTCTTCAGCACTGGGGCTATCCTTATTTCTGGGCAGCACTTGGCAAATGTTTACTAGAGTAACAGTTTATTTACAATTTATTTCTAATTCTATGAAATCACTAGTTGGTGTAATTTCACAACATCTGTGGATATGCAATTTGAGAAATATTTATGAAAAACACATCAATGCTTTCATCCTGGGGGCATGGTCATTTCAAACAACATAGACCAGTGAATAAAAACGGCTTTGGGAGCTGACAAATCTGAGCTGAAATCCTGAGCCCCAATACTTACTATGATCTTAAGCAAGGTATTTAACCTCCCTAAATCTCAATTTTCTTTTTTATAATACATGAGGCTTCAAAGTCTTGCCACAATGCTTGGCATATAGTAGACTCTCAATAAATGTTAGCTATTATTGTTATCATTATTATTATTACTATTATTAGCGACATTGTTTTCCTATTAATATAAATAATAAAAGATCCATTTATGAAGCATTGTAAAGCTCAAGTAACTGTGGATTAAATGGACTTGAGGGCTCTCCTGGAGTAAAAGGTGAGATATAGAGGTGAAATTCTACTTCAAGCATTCCAGCTTGAGAACTTGAAAGTGATGACAATACTTGTCACACCCTAAAAGGGGGAATCTTGGAAGCAGATTTCAATGAAGTGGCTTTGATAATTGTGGATTTGTGTCAGGTGAGGGCAACAGAGAGCTATCCAGGCAGACAACACTGGAGGCCTGAAAAACCACGAACTTGGTTATCAATCCCCATGGGAAGGAGGGAAGCCAGTTTGAACTGAGGAGAGAAATTAGAACTCAGAGTCTCCACTGGGCCCAGAAGAAGGTCAAAGGTAGAAGCCAGGATGACTTCAATTCACCAAGCAAGAAAAAGGAGGAAAGCTGAGTAGAACTAGAATGGAGTTGGGACAGATAACAGCAGCCACAACTATTGAGATCCCTCAGAAAGCAGCGTCCATAATAACTCTTTGTGATGCAGCAATTCAGAGCTTCCCAACTGAACCCAGACAGCTGTCACTGGCCTTTGTGAAGGCCATGTTGACTCTGGTCTTTAATATTTACAACTGAGGTAGCAGTAGAAGCATCCAGTACAAATAACCAACCGAAAGAAAAGATGATCAAGCTTAGCAGAAAATTCAGGAAACTATTGAGGAAAGCCAAGGAAACTACCATCTATTGAGCACCCACTATGCATTTTGCAGTCTCACTTAATCCTGTCTATCCTATGCACTAGGCATTATTACTTCTACTTTGCAATGAGAAAAATGAGGTTATGAGAAATTTAAAAAATGTATCCAAGATCACATAGCTCATAAATGGAAGGACCAGGTAGAATTAGAATGAATATCTGTCTGATATCAAAGCTCTTCCCATCCATTCCTGCCACTCAGTATTAAAGCCATGAGAATGCATGAGTACTCTGAAGGACCAAACACACACACACACACACACACACACACACACACACACAAAAGAGTCAAAGGAGTCAAGTAAGTGTTTAATGCAAGAGTAATTTCAGGAATTAGGACTGATAACACACTTCTGGATTTGGCAATTAGGAAGACACTAGTGACCTTGGGGAAACAAGTTCCTGTAAAATGATGAGGATGGAAACTGAAAGCCGGACTGTCAGTGAGGAGTGGTAAGGGGATGGTGGCTAGAATTGTAAATCGCTCTTTGGGGAAACTTGGCAGTAAAGGAGTAGTAACTCTAAGAGTACCACAGCTAGAGACATTTTTTTCTTTTGTAATGGAAGACATGAAAATATTTGTGGGCAGTGATGATGGAGCCACTAGAAATCAGTGTACATTCGAAAGAAACAGGGCATTATTCCAAAGCACAGTTATGTAGGAGGGAAAGAAAAGATAGCTAAAAATATATAGACTTATTTGAGTTGGTAAGAATAATACAAGTGTAGAGATATTTGGAAGTTAGAGTGTGACAGGAAATAAAACTTGGGTCAGATAGCTTTGATCAATCAAGTAGGAGACAGAAGTATCTGCTGTGAATGAAATGTCTCAAAGTGGATCTTCAAGTGATAAATAAGTGAATGAATGAGTAAGTGACACAAGAGAAAATCTAGTGGCATGCATTGGTTAGTGTCAGAGAGAAGCAACATAGCAAATAGACAGAATTTCATCATTAAGTGAATTTGGAGTTCTGCACAATCCCAGTATGTGGTGAAAGTTGATGGGCCAGAGCTGTTATAAACTGACCCTTCCAGGTCTATCACAGCCCACCTAGAAAATGAATCCTACTGTAGCCCCTGTGGGAAACAGATATGCTAATTATATAAGCAACATCAGTCTTTTGAGTTTCTCAGCAGTGATATTTACTAGTTTGCATTGAAATCAGGACAGCTAAAAACTGTCCATAACTGCCTTCTTCTACCATATGCACAGTAAAATGGCTGGTACATCACTTCCATAGGCAGAATACAGCAGACTTCATCTTTGTGCCTAAACTCCCCTGCTAAAACAAAAGCCTGTTCGTAAATCCTAATTTTTTAGGAAAAAAAATAATGTGTTGCAGGACTCACACTGTAAGCATTTAAAACATCTTGACAGGAATGAATATTATGTGTGATAATTTCCTTTAGGGGTTGGAAAACCTGTATAAGGTATAAGCTTGGGAATCAAAAAGATGAGATAGTGTGGGTAGAGTGGGGGTGGGCATCTGTTATCTTTTTCTTTCATCTTTAAAAATCTATGGCAAATTAACCTCCCTTTATTGGTGGAGTATTATCTAACAACTCAGTCAACATTTAAAGTACATACTTGAACAAGGTAAGAACAGAAAAATACCTTTTATCAGTCTATAACATTAAGTTGCTGGAATTCTAAAATTCAAATTCAACTTTAAGGAAAAATCACTTTTTTCTCAGCATTGATGCCACTTATTCTGATGCAATTTGTGTTTCATAAGGTTCTGTTAGCCTGGAATTCTAGAGGCATTCATGAATTCAGAATTTGTTACAAATCCCTCTATAGAGGCACATGTTGATTTAGGAAGTGTCCACATGACAGTAAAACAACCAATCAATTCAGTGAAAAAAAAATCAATTGATTCAATAAAAACATCAAACAGGCTGTTTGCTGTCATGAAGATCAAACTACTGTTTGACAGAACTTTTACGTTTTAATCAATGGTATTGATGTCCGTAAACACTGTCTTAAGTTTACCAGCCCATGTTCATCGTACAAAAGGGGACCAAGTTGCTAATCGTTAAGTAATTTCACCAAGAGAGTACATAGGAAAACTTAAATTTCAAGGCCAAAATTTCAACTTCTACTTTGTAGCTCTTTCCATGTCTAATTTCTTTCTTAGTGATCTCCCTCCAAAAGAAATTTGTTTTGTAATGTGGTGCCATTACAATACAATATACCTCAAGCAAAATTGCCATCATGCTGAGAAGCATCTTCTGTGTTTACCCCTAAAACAAAGGTGGTAGATTTTAGCCTTCCTTTCTTTATATGCACCATTCATCTTTCTTGGCTGATATTTCTGGAATTTGTAACATATCCATCATTATCTAACTGCCAACTGCTTTCACAGGAGCTGTTGCTTTAAGCTCATTATTTCTTCCCATTGGAGAATCTGCAGAGCTTCTTTCTACAACTCACAGCAGCCAGCATGGTACGTGTGTACAGATGAATGGTCAGGTTTGTCCTTCAGAGTCCCTTTGTACCCAGCTTTGCCCCAGAACTGCAGCGTGTAATGAGCAGCAAATGCATACTCATGTGCCTTAAAAGTGTACAGTGAAAACTGTAAAAAAAAATGCCAAAATAAAGACCACATTCGTAAATAAGCTGTTAGCATAACCACATAGTTCCGTAGAGTTTCCTATTTACCTAAGAGTTTGGGGATTATCATGACTCTCCTATAATTAGTTTCCTCAAAACTTCCTTGTAGTCAAGCAGGGTTGATTGGGCAGCTGTCTTTCAAGAAGAGTTACAAGAGCTACACTTTGGGAGATTTCAAACTAAATCTGAGAGTGGATGATGAAAGCACCAACATGCAGATTGTGAGGAAAGTAAGCGAAGACTCTATGAATGCTATTAGTTTAAAGGGCTGTGCAAGTGTATCCACAAGGTACTGAGTTACAATCAGAGAAAAAGATGTGTGTCCCATGTCTCTTTCTATAACTCATTATTTAACAACCCAAGTTAACAGGCATAGATGCTCCAGAGTTACTGAATGCAATTTTCAGAATTTTAAAGATTGACCGTTACTTGGAAATATTGAAAATGTGAAATTTACCATCTCTGCACTGATCTCGAGAGTCTATTTTGGGACATGAGATAATGGGGAGTGGATCTACAAATAATTGCTAGGTAACCAAAATAAAGCTTTTTTCTTTTCTCTCTTTTTCCTTTAATATAGGTCAAAGTGAACACACATAACACTCCACCACGATCAGACCCGGTTTTGCGCATTATGTACTGTTATTGTTTTTGTTAAAGCAAAGAAAAGCCAGGAGGATTAGTTATCTCAGCTGTAGATATCTGAGTTACAGAAACACAGCTGGAAAGTCATGGTTTCCACCCCTTCCACAGTCTTTCCTATGGCTAAAATCAGCATGGCTCCTTTGAGATCTAAAAGACAAAGATGTATTGTCACTGACTCCTGCATGCTAACACTCAAGTGTGCCACCTTTAGTGATCTAGAGTCATTTTGGATATTCAGGTATTGATAACAATTATTTATACTCACATGAATGGATTAAAATCATTGTTGTCATGAGAAATATGACTTATTGCCATATTATTTTAGAAAGAATATAAAGAAATCTAACATAAAATAAACAAAGGCATCGAACCCTATGCCATAGGACATTAAAGCGTCAGAGAGGACAATCAGAAAATAACTATTTTTAAGCTCCCAGCAGGAGCATATGCTGCCACTGCTAATGGTTATATACATCTCAGAATTGAAAGATGGAAGCTGCTCTAATATTTTAGATTTTGTCACAATATATCATTCTATTTTAAAAATAGATCAGTGGAAGATGCTTTTCCTTTGAAGATATTTCTGTGCTGCTTTATACGCAAATTTTTTTGTGGATTCTATTTATCCTTTGACCAATTCTTTTCAAGTCTAAAAGTAAGGATTGTCCCAATTTTCTAGGTTCCTATGAAAGAAAGAACAAGCTGTAGTAGTTCAGCCACTTCATGCCATTTTTCCATGAAATTAAAAGGCCGTAGACCAACTGAAGGGTTTGATTGTAGAAACCACCACTTACCAAATGTTTTATTTAGATGCCATATAAAGCAGTGGGTAGTTGAAGATGTGTTGAAAAAAATCTTACTAATATGAATCATTAAGATGATATTTACCTTTTATATTTTAATTAAAAATTGTATTGATATTCAGATTCACATTCACATACATTTGTAAGGAATTATACAGAAAGATGCCCTATTTCCCTACACACTTTGCCCACTTTTCCCCATGGACATTTGCAAAATGATTGTATAATGTCACAATCACGATAATAATATTGATACAATCCACCTGTCTCATTCAGATTTCGCCAGTCTTGTTTGTACTCACTTGTATGTTATTTTATGTTGTAAATGTTTCAATATTCCAATATTAGGAACTATCTTCATTAAATTTTGTCAGAGCATGTGATGGGTAGGTGCCATCTGGTGTTTGACCTGGAGCTATCTCCCTAGTTCTGTAAAATTAAGTAGTTAATATGTTTGGTCAAATTGTATTTCAAGAACTGATTTGCTGCAACAGTGATAGTAGCATAGTCCAAGACCAAGATAGATGTTAAACAAGAAGGCATAAAAGCTTACAAGCAACATGGCTAACTTCCCCTCGAAGAAACTAGGTGCTTTGAAGAACGCTAAAAATTATATGAGACAGATCTTGAAGTTCACGCCTGTGTGTGGCAATGGGTTGATTTTTGTCATCATTTTTATTGAGTGCCCTTTGGGTATACAGTTCTATATGAGTGAAAGGAAATACAGTTTTATGGATCGAGACATATCAGAAGGATCCAAAGCCCTGAATTCTTGACTGAATCCTACTGCATATCTCCCAAATACAATCCCAAAAATGACAATCTTTATTCTCTTGCTCAGTTTTTTTCAAGTATGAGTTAAAAACTCTGGGGTGTGATGAAACACAATGTATTGGTACAGTAAAATTGAAAAGAATCTTTCAGCTTAGTTTTCTCCTTTGCTTTTAGAACATTCTGTCCTCAGTCACAGTAGCTGTATAACCTAACACTTAAGTATTTACTATATGCCATGTTCTATGCTTAGCCCTGTGCATGTACTACTTAGTTTAATTACTATCATTCCCCAAAGAAATCTAGGATTTAGAAACTGTTATTTCCCCTGTTTTACAGATGACAAAACAGGGGCATAGGTAATTTAATTTACTTAAAGTCATGCAACCTGGTAAATGTCAAATCTGGATGTGGAATTACAGTTTCCTACCCAATGTCTGTGCCTTGTTCTTACCTGCTAGGTTACAATGGCTTCCTTTCTATGGTCCATATATTCTCTTCTACATTGAATGAAAAGGAAAAATAGCCTCCAGGATCTATGGTCCTATTCAGCCGCCAGTCATTGAAATGTCCCTGTATTACAAAAGTGTTACCCAGGAGCCTGAGAATACTAATAATATGAGAAGAATCCCCCCAGTCACCATTCTTCACTTCTAATTAGAGCAGTAAGAGAGGATTTTTTTTCTTTCACTTTTAAATTCAGGGGTACATGCACAGGTTTCTTATATAGGTAAACTCGTGTCGTGGGGGTTTGTAGTACAGATTACCCATCTATTAAGCCTAGTACTTGTTAGTTATTTTTCCTGATCCTCTCCCTCCTCCCTGCCTCCACTCCCCAATAGGCCCCAGTGTGTGTTGTTCCCCTCTGTGTGTCCATGTGTTCTCATTATTTAGCTCCCACTTACAAGTGAGAACGTGCAGTATTTGGTTTTCTGTTTCTGAGTTAGTTTGCTAAGGATAATGGCCTCCAGCTCCATCCATGTTCTTGCAAAGGACATGATCTCATTCTTCTTTATGGCTGCATAGTATTCCATGATGTATATGTACCATGTTTTCTTTAACAAGTCTACCACTGCTGGGCATTTAGGTTGATTCTATGTCTTTGCTATTGTGAATAGTGCTGCGATGAACTTATGCAGGCATGTGTCTTTATGAAAGAAAAATTTATATTCCTTTTGGTATACACCCAGTAATGGGATTGCTGAGTCGAACGGTAGTTCTGTTTTTAGCTCTTTGAGGAACTGTCACACCACTTTCCACAATGGTTGAACCAATTTACACTCCCACCAACAGTGTGTAAGCATTCCTTTTCCTCCACAACCTTACCAGCACATGTTATTTTTTGACTTTTTAACAATTGCCATTCTGACTGGCATGAGATGGTATCTCACTGTAGTTTTGATTTGGATTCCTCTAACGATCAGTGATGTTGAGCTTTTTGTCATATGTTTGTTGGTCATATGTATGTCTTCTTTTGAAAAGTGTCTGTTCATGTCCTTTGCCCACTTTTTAATGGGGATCTTTGTTTTTTTTTCTTGTAAATTTGTTTAATTCCTTATAGATTCTGGATATTAGATGTATGGTTTGCAAAAATTTTCTCCCATTCTGTAGATTGTCCATTTACTCTTCTAATAGTTCCTTTTGCTTTGCAGAAGCTCTCTAATTACAATAGATCCCATTTGTCAATTTTACTTTTGTTGCCATTGCAATTGGCATCTAAGAGAGGACTTTCTTTAAAAAACAAACAAATAAAAAAACCACGAAAATTAAGTTTCTCAGGAGTAACTGAGGGCCTACCATTTTGAAGAAGAGTAACAGTTTCAGTGCCAGTTAAAAAATAAAAATAAAATCCTACCAGGTGGTTAAGTCATTTGCACACTACTTGAAAACCAGCAGCAAGAATGAAAGTAGAGCTTTTTACCAAGAAAAGACCAGAGAGGAACAGAACAGTAGGCACATACATATCCTATACTTCAATCCAGAAGCACTGAATTTATAAGTCCTCTGAGACCTTTCAAAAGCTGGAAGAAGAATCTAGGCTGGTAGTCTTCAGAGGATACTGTGTAGAGAACAAAGCTCTGATGGCATCAAATCAAGGGACCCACCCCCCCACTAAGAGGTTGTAAGAAATCTCGGGAGAGACACCCTCACCACCAAATGGATCTTTCTGGGCATACATATAAAAATATCCTCGTTCCTAAGCCATCAAAATTCGTGCCTAAAGAGCTTTCATTATAAAAGAAGGTGAGTACACTTCTATCAGACTCACGGACTGGCTGCCTGCAGCCTACAATACTGAGAGCAAGGAGTCCACGCAGCACGGGATGTTTGATGAGTAACTCAGCAGCAAACCTAACCTCATGGTCGGAGCCTGCTGGTGTGCACGCCCCATCGTACAGAGAGACAGATGGAGGTGATGGAGCTAGGGATGGTTTCCAGTGCAGTTGGGTATGCTGGAAAGGTGGCTTGTTAATAATGTCACTGCTCCAAGCAATTTCTTGTCAGTAGTCAAACTTTCAGGATCATGGACTGGTGGCTTCTTGAAAAATGCTGCAGGACTGACATAATTCCTAGTGTAATTCCTGGTGTAGTTCCAGTAAAAAAAAAAATCAGAAAATTCTTATAACACTCCAAAGGGCTATGGTAAGGCCAGTGGTGTGAAGTGACTAACATTTGGTGAAATTTCACAGCCGGGCATGGTGGCTCATGCCTGTAATCCCAGCACTTCGAGAGGGTGAGGCAGATGGATCACTTATGCTCAGGAGTTTGAGACCAGTCTGGGCAACATGGTGAAACCCAAACCCCCATCTCTACAAAAAATACAAAAATTATCCAGGTATGGTGGCACACATCTGTAGTCCCAGCTACTCAGGAGGCTGAGGTGGGAGGATGGTTTGACCCCAGGGGTGGAGGTTGCAGTGAGCTGTGATTGCACCACTGCACTCCAGCCTAGGCAACAGGGTGAGACCCTGTATCAAACAAACAAACAAACAAACAAAAAATTTACATCATGTCTTGCAATATTTATACTGTTCCAATAATCAGATTTTTTTAGAGTTGATATTCACATTAACCGTGCCTTTTTTCTTTACATTTTGATAAAAACAAACAATCCTAAAACTCTTTTTTATAAAATCTTTTGCTAAGAAGATTTTCCTTGGATGCTGCAAAATAATTTTTGATGTGAGAAAAACCAAGTTTGTAGCTTATTGTAGGACAGGTTAATTTTCAGCCAGGGTATCAGGACAGAGCATCGAAATTTCTACATGAGGTCAGGTGATCTTTACTAAAAATGTGATTAGTGAGAAACCAAATAGGATGATTAATGGACGTTGTTGGAATTTGACAATGTAATTACACACTAGCTTTTTTCCCTCACACTGACACAGAGTATACTCTTACAAAATAATATATTTTTCAAATAACACTAATCACAATAAACATTTTAAATGTCTTCCTGGGATAAGCCATGATGAGTAAATGTGTTCCTAAGACATTTCTTCCTGAAAAAGTTGACAATGAGTATGACAATAACTTGCAACTATTTTATTGAACGTACAAAATGAACAAAACTTGGAGTTTCTAGAATTGTTCAAAGTGGAGCTTCCTTTTGTCAAAAATTAGGCCAACATGGGCAGATCACAAGGTCAAGAGATGGAGACATTCCTGGACAACATGGTGAAATCCAGTCTCTACTAAAAATACAAAACTTAGCTGGGCATGGTGGTGCACACCTGTAGTCCCAGCTACTTGGGAGGCTGAGGCAGGAGAATCACTTGAACCCCAGAGATGGAGGTTGCAGTGAGCCGAGATCGCACCACTCGCACTCCAGCCTGACAACAGAGTAAGACTCCATCTCAAAAAAAAAAAAAATAGATAAATGCTGGTATACGTGTATTATTAGTAAATTGTAAAATATATTCCGTAGTTTTCCTTTTTCTGCCCATGCTTTCCTTTTTCTACTACTACCAACCTGAACAAGTGGGTAGTCCTAATAGAATGCTAGGTAGAGGGCCATTTATGTCCTTAAGGAAAAGGAAAACCTTAGCTTGAAAATGCTAGAAACTATGTAAAAAGGATAAGTCCTTATAATTTTGGTGGAGGGTTCATGTAGACCAAGCACTCATTGGGATGTAAATGTAATGCTCTAACCAAATGAGTCAGTCATTTGAAAATAATATTTTATATTATTTATGTCATCTTTATTTATATACATTATATTAATATTTATATATTTATATTTAATAATATTTATAATTATTTATATACAATATTAAATATAAATATTTATATTTATTTATGTCACCTCCAAATTTATGTCACCTTTCTGCTGTTAAAAAAAAATGGTTGGGAAAGTTCAGGGAGGCTGTACACTATATAAGTCCAGAATCACCAAGGAAAATGCTGCCAAATGAGCTAGATAGTTGAAAGTGAATTAAACTGTGAGGTGCAATTAAAAGTCACAATGAACATATTTGGATTTTTACTTACTTGAAGACTACCTCAGCTCAGAAGAGGTTAGCTTCAATAAACCCAGTAGAATATGGTTGCTGTTAAAGCTAGAGAAGACAGATATCTACCTGATTTTATTGCTGTAAATATCTTTTTTCTACCTGCTTTGCTCTCTGTTAAAATCAATAGGCAGTGATTCTAAAGACCTAAGTTCAAGTCCCTCTTTTATCACATGTATGACCTTGGGTGTTTTTTGAGCTCTAGGAGTTTCAATAATCTCACCTTTAAGAGTCTTGAGATCATTGGAAGGAAAAAGTGAGATAATGGAAATTGTATATCTTTGGTATCTGTAAAGCACTATGCATATACAGATTGCCTGTTATTGCCATTAATATCAAAATTCAGGGTTAAGGTGTTTGTCCCTAGAAGAGGCTGTTATGTGCATAAATGTACATAGTAGTATTGATACATTACTGTGTTAGTATCAATGGGGGTGGACCCTTGAAACCTGTAGAAATGATTCAATTTTATTAAGTAATATTGGCTGAACACTTCCTATATACTAGACATCATAGTAGGCAAGCAAACATATAGATGACACTTAGTCACCAAGCTTAACCTATGAGATAGTACCCTTATCCCCATTTTACAGATTAAAATGCAAGTGTTCTGAGAGGCTATTTGCTCAAAGCTACTTAAATAGTAGATTTTAACAGGAAATGTCTACAGCTGGAGGTGCCACAAGAAAGTGACAAAATTAAACTGGATACCTAAAGGCAGGCTACACAATCTAACCAAAACGGGAGTAATAAGGTGACAATAGAATAGCATATTTTAAAATTGATCTCATTCTATTTAGGTATAGGACAAATGACAGAAATATTGCTCCCATCTCCAGCTCTGCTTAAAAATTAATGCTGGTAGACAAAGCCACCTCCTAGGGACTGGGTAGGATCACCAGAAGGAAAAGAAAAAATCTCTCTAAATTATAGTCATGCTCCATACTAGATATTTGCTGGGGGTGACTGCAGCCAGTCTGTGGGGTTTATGTTGGCATGCTTCAGAAACACAGGGCTTGCAAGCAAAAGTTTAAAAAAAAAACTTAACTAAACATAACCTACTAGGGCATTTGATCAGGCTGTAAAACTAATAGACTTCTTTTTTAAAAGAAAAAATGTTGACATATTTTTCTTTCACCTAATCTTTGATTGCCTTTAAGGTGGCAGGGAAGGGGTGATGTTGGAAGTGAGAGCAAAGTGATGAAGGAAAGCAGCCTGAGTCTGTCTTTCAAATATTGCTGCTAATCTGCTCCCTGCTGCCAGTCCTGCCACTCAGCAGAATTCGAGGGGCTGGAACAAGTGCAATGGAGAGTGAGAAAAGGGAGAAGGGAAGGAAAAAGAGAGAAAGAAGAAACTGATGTTGTGTTGGAGGAACAGAGAACAGCAAGACCTTGTTTGTAGCAGCAGAATTCTCAATATACTCCCCCCAAAATCCCCAATTTAATCATATTTCAACTCAGTGTGAATCTATTTATGTAGGAATGTAGGTATATAAAGATGCATCTATCATCTATCTGTCATTTATATTGGCTATTTATTTATCAATTATAAGTGACTTTTCACTGAGGTCATTTGGGCTTATTATTTTTCTTTATATTTAAACATTTCTTTCCAAGCAAGTTAGGTACACATCCATAAACATGCAATAGGCAGACACACTGACACACACTCTAGATGATAAATGAATCAGATAAATCTATTTATAAATAGTTATCGATCTGCTGCTCTCTGCAGTGTTGCCACTTCACATAGTAGAGCCAAATGATCTATTTTGCCTTTGGACCTTTGGTTTAGCTGAAAGATGACTACAGTGGTGTGTTGCTAGAAGGTAGCCCATTGGGTCTTTGTCCTTAGGACACTGAAGAATAGGAAATAACACCTGGGTGAGCTAGAATCATACTCTTATTTAGGTGCAGAATGCTCATTGCTAGTTCATCTGCAAGGCTCATGGCTGGGATAAATCATCAGACAGCAGTCTTAACTAGGGAAGAACAGCCCAGCAGGTAACACACACAGCCAGTAAGCTGCCAGCTTATTGACAGCCAGTGTGGTGGATTTCATATTCTATAGGGATGTCAGCTTCCAGAGAGTTTAAACAGAAGCCCTAGTGAAGGCAAACTCCAAGACAGTAATTTTGCCTGTCAGGAATGCTATGCCAGACGGATTTAGCAGTGGCTTGACACGTCCAGACTCTAAAGGACATTTTGAAAGGACTGGAAAATCATCCAGTCTTCCTTTTCCAGCCATTGTCAGCCATCCCCACCCATCAGAAACCACGGCCTTAAAATCAGGAAGGTCTTAGCAGTAGAATAAAGGGTCACAGGAAGAGAAATTTCCATGTGGTAGCGGCAGCCTTTACTCACTTCAAGTTAGCTATCTTCATTTTGTACCAGAATTCCCTTACCCCTCTAAGTGCTCCTTATGGCAGGCAAATCCACTCTCACCTAAGCTCACAAGATATTCCACCGTAAATTTGTATATAATGCATAGATTTCTAGAAACCGCTTTTGTCTAAAAGGGGCTGGAAACAAACAAGAAAAGTCTTCCAAATGAAAAGAAAGGGATAATTGCCCTGCACTAAAACTTATATTCACCCTACAAATACAGAAGATATCCTTAGTTTCTTTTACCACCTTAATCATATTTGAGAGAGAGTGAGAGTATTTAAAGTGCTTGACTATTAAAAGCAATTAATAAAATTGCAGTGAACAGCCTTGCTTCCCTAGAGTTATTATTGACTTAAAGCTTTTACTTCACTGTGATTAGCAAATAAGAATAACTGTATAAACAGCAATGAAATGGATTTTTCTTCCCTCATAAAGAGAAATTGTCAAATTGTCATATAGATGGCAACTTAGTGGAGTGATTGTGATTGTCCTAGACTGTTTTTTTTTTTTTGTTTTTTTTTTAGAGACAGTCTTGCTCTGTCACCCAGGCTGGAGTGCAGTGGCACGATCTTGGCTCACTGCAACATCTGTCCCCCAGGTTCAAGCAATTCTCCTGCTCAGCCTCCCGAGTAGCTGGGATTACAGGCACATGCCGCCATGCCTGGCTAATTTTGTGTGTGTGTGTGTGTGTGTGTGTGTGTGTGTGTGTGTGTGTATGTTTTAGTAGAGATGGGGTTTCACCGTGTTGCCCAGGCTGGTCTCGAACTACAGAGCTCAGGCAATCCACCTGCCTCGGCCTCCCAAAGTGCTGATATTACAGGAGTGAGCCACCGTGCCCGGCATTGTCCTAGACTCTTTATGTAAAGTATCTGCCTTAATCAAATCAACCAAGTTCTGCAAACATGATCTATCTACTTGAATTTGGAGGCCATTTTCTAATATAGAAACTTCAATATAATGACTGTAGTTGTTATAAGGCATTGCCAATATATCTATAAAGGAGGTGTTTTTTTTTATTTTCCTATGCAGGTTTTTAGTAGATAGAAACATAGTCAGAAAATAGGTAGATGGGCATTGGTAGAGATATAGGTATTGCTAGATGGAGTGATAACAATTTCTCATATTTTACATGCCATTAGTATGTAGGTCCTATATTTGAATCTGGAACAATCAAGTGAGACTATTTGTAACATCAGCCCTGAACACCAGCAGCATTCTATCCTCACCTTTGCAATTACCCACTCTGGCCTTTCTTATAAGGCATAAGCAATATCATATATTCTCATTCAAATCTTGCCTTCTTTAGAATTTAAACCCTGGAGGATAACAACCTTTTCCCCAAGAGGGCCAGAGGGAGATATGGCAAAAATGTCATGTCACTTCAGGAATTCCATCAAATGGCCCAACTTCAGAGCAGAGGTATTCTAATCTTGATACTGTCTAAGCAACCAAGTCCTAAAATGTCCAGTTTGCTGAGAACCATCTTTGCATTTACTTACTATGAATATTTTATTCATGTATTTATTTTTAATGATTGACCCACTGTTCTGTACCTGCATGGAGTCAATGTTAGTTTGTAAATTCCTATAGGTCAGAGAATATGTTATTTTAACTCTATCTTATCCCCATCTCATCTTTCAATTTTGTATTTAAAGAATGAGTACTTAATAAATAATGCTGTCAATGGGTTCAGTAAAATACCTTACTAAGCTTTTGGAGCACACTATATTCTTCTACCTTAGTTAACTGCCAATACATTAAACTCTCTTTTTATTTATCTTGAATTGATCATTTCCCCCCATTTCCCATAAAATACTTAGCAAAAGGCTTGCTAATAGCAAGGGCCCAATATATGTTAATCATTCTTTTGAGAAGGTATCCAGTTCTTGGACTTCAGATTCTGTCATTTCTATATTATAAACCTGACCATATCACTCTTGGTCGTTTGAGCTTGGGCAAGTCATTTAATCTGTCTACAGATAATAGTACATTTTTCATAGCCTTTGCTATGAATTAATGCATGTAAACCACTTAGCATAGTTCTTGCCACATAACACAAACTTAAAAAAAATACTACCATTCTAATTACTTTTGGCAGGTCATTTGACACTAGCATTCCCTTTGGAGACTCATGCAAACTTTGCCCTTTCTTGGCATAACCTGGCCTCTTTGCTCTCTTTCTGCCTACGTCCACCCACTGTTACTCTGCTGCACATATTTTTCTTCCTCCCCTGACTCTTTAAAGGTGAATATGCTTCAAAGTTTCTGATCTGAGAATATTATTACTTTTACAATACATTCTAGACTTAGACTATCTCATTTACTCTCAAAGGTTTGCACTTTTATCTCATCACTTCAGTGTATGGCATTGCCTCATAATTTTCAGAGTAAAAAAAGAGGCCATAAGGCAGGAATACCTTCATCTTGCCACTGTCAAATCTCTAAACCCACCTGTATCTGTCCTGTCCTCGTTGTTTCACCTCTTTTGCAACATAGGATGCATCTTTCCTACAAAAACAAAGGCCGATTCCTTCACCTTTACCCCAGATTACCCACTTTACCCCTGTACCTCAGCTTCAGCCTGGTTCAGGACTTTTGTCATACCTGTTTTCCTCTCTTTTCCTACTTAGTCTCTCCCTTTCTGAATTCTTCCCCTAGGCATTCAATATGCTTAACAGTTCCTATATGTAAAACCACAAGCAACAATAAGAATGCCTTCCATTTTGCCCACATCTTTCTGTTTACTGCTCTAATTTTTTTTCTCCGCTTTACAATCAAGCTTCCAAAAGCATTGTCCATGTGCTGTCAATCAATCTTCCAGAAAGCATTGTCCATCTGCTGTCTTCTCTACTTTCTCATTTCCCTTTCACTCTTCAAGGCAATTCAGTCTGGCTGTGAGTCCCACTACAGCAAAACTATTTTCTTTAGAGTCACCTGTGATATCCATGATTTTATAGCTCATATGTGTTATTCTGCACTCATCTTTCTTGACTTACTGGAATTATGTAACATACTGGCCTGCATTACTGGTCTTTTATGACACCGGACTCTCTTGGTTTTCTCTTCCAGATAATTCTAAGTCCACGTTGATTATTATCACCTTGCTCTCTACCCTATAACTAAATGTTGGTGTTCAACAAGTCTTAGTTCAACTATCTCTTCTCACACTTCCATCTTGTCATAACAATCTCACCAGTTGGCATGGCTTTAAATACCTTCTGTGTACTAGATCTCTATATGTGTGTGTGCGTATATGTCTAAATGTGTATCTCCATAACTGCCACAGCCTGTATTCTCAGCTTCAGAAACTTGATAAGCTACACACATATTATCTCCAATTGGAATTGCTATAGGCATCATAAACTTCCATCTTCAGAAACTGAGCTTTAAATATTCTTAAATTGTCCCAGTCTGTGATAGTGGCACCTCCATCTACTTAGTTGGGACTAGAAAAAGTCCATTCAATTGTTCACATGAAAGTCGTCTCTCATCCCTCTTTCTCGCTTACTTTCCATCTTGATTCATCACCAACTCTTTCAACTTTGCTTCTGCTTTTCTTTTCTACCACCATCATGCTAATCTAATCCCCATCATTGCTCTTTGGTATTATTGATATAATCTCCTAATTAGCTATGTCCTTTTTTGACCACATTATCCATCCCACCTCCTAGTAGCCACAATAAAATTCAAATTTTACCATGTCACTTATCTGCCTAAAATTTGTCTATAAATTGTCACTGTTTAAAATAAATTCTAAAATCCTTTGCATAGCTTTAAAAGCCTTATATGGTCTGGTCGCTGACTCTCTTTACAATTTTATCTCAAACTTTGTCTTCTTTTTATTCTCTAAGTTTCAGCCGCTCTCATCTTTTTTAGTTCCATGAATACTGGCATGCTTTCTCTAATCTCATACATCCAACATCCTTAACTCGCATAACTCCTTCTCATTCTTCAGATCGCTGCTTAACTTAAACATCTTCAGAAGAAGCTTTACTAAGCTGGGCATGGTGGCTCACACTTGTAATCCCAGCACTTTGGGAGGCCAAGGCAAGTGGATCACTTGAGGTCAGGAGTTCGAGACTAGCCTGGCTAACATGGTGAATGAAACCCTGCCTCTACTAAAAATATAAAAATTAAGCCAGGTGCAGTGGCTCACGCCTGTAATCCCAGGACTTTGGGAGGCCGAGGCGGGCAGATCATGAGGTCAGGGGTTCGAGACCAGCCTGACTAACATGGTGAAATCCTGTCTCTACTAAAAATACAAAAATTAGCCGGGCGTGGTGGTGCATGCCTGTAATCCTAGCTACTCAGGAGGCTGAGGCAGGAGAATCGCTTGAACCCAGGAGGCGGAGGTTGCAGTGAGCTGAGATTGCACCACTGCACTCCAGCCTTGGCGACCTGGCTCTGCCTGTATGGCTCTGTCTGCATCCTAGCCGTATGACTATTTTCAAACTGCAAAACTTCCATGTGCCTCAATGTAAAAGGAGAATAATAATAATAACTGCATATGAGACTATGATGTGGGTTAAAAGAGTTAATATACATTACACATGTAGAACTGAGCTTGCACATACTAAGCACTCAATAAATGTTAGCTACTACTATTACATTGTTAACACTAATTTTCTAAAAATTCAGATGAAATCATATCACTTCACGTTCATGCCTCCCCATTTCTAACAACAATAACAAAAAATACTCAGACTCCTTTTTAAGATATCTAGCAATCTGGACTCAACCTACCTTTATCATTACTCAGCTCAACCTTCTTCAACTCCTGCACTGCAAACATCCCTAATTAATTCAGTGTTCCTAAATCACAACATACACTTTCATGCTTTCATGCTTCCATGCCTTTGATTATGCTGTTCTTTCAACTTGGAATGCCTACTTCATGTCTCAAACACTTGTAAATTCAAACCCAAGATTATTTTCACAATGTCATCCCCAAGCCTGTTACTTAGAATTAATTACTTTCTTGTATCTCCTATAGCGCCTGTACCTCTACTGAGCACTAACTTTAGTTTACCTTACACTATCGATAATTGCATACATTTCTGCCTCCTTGCCCCAGTCCCTCACCAACTAACCCCAGTGATGCAATTTGTTTGAAATTTCCATGTCAGTAGCAACTATATCCTCAACACCTTCCTTTAACATACAGTATCTAGCAGGGTGGTATCGAGCAAACAGACCATCCAATGGCAAACACTCAAAAGTTATTTGTTGACTTGAATTGGGAAAGAATTGAGTAGTTTAAGGTTATGACAAAAATAAGACCTTTTTTCTTTTCAGAGATACTACCTAGCTGGCATAATGATAGAATTGAATTTATTATTGATGCTATTGCCAAATGCTTAATTATAACTTGTATCAGTGGGGAAAAAAAATTAAGCAGTCTGTTACTTATGATGGCTCACACCTGTAATCCTAGCACTTTGGGAGGCCGAGGCAGGCGGATTACTTGAGCTCAGGAGTTCAAGACCAGCCTGGCTAACATGGTGAAACCCTGTCTCTACTAAAAATACAAAAAAGTAGCTGGGCATGGTGGCGTGTGCCTGTAATCCCAGCTACCTGAGGGACTGAGACAGGAGAATGGCTTGAACCGGGGAGGTGGAAGTTGCAGTGAGCCAAGATCTCGCCACTGCACTCCAGCGTAGGCGACAAGAGTGAGACTTCGTCTCAAAAAAAGGAAAAAAAAAAGAGAAAATAATCTTACTTCATGAGATTCAGCTTATCAGTAAACTGTTTCCCTACAATAAACACCAGGAATGTGATAGCAACCATTTAAGCATTTTATATTTAAAGAGTGACAAAGTAATCCGAACCCATTTTTTCCCCAAAATAAAATATATTGTGTTTTTCACTTCCCTACATGATCTCTCTGTTTACCAAATTTCAGAACAGTGAGAGGTTTGAATTTTTCTTTTTACAGTCAAATTATTAATGTTAGAAAATGCAATATCTTCAGGGGATAGTAATGGACTCCTGAACAAAAATGTAAAATTGCCTAGAGATGTAATGTCAGTTAACTAGAAGTTTTTATTTCCCTTCCAAACTGCAATCTGGCTTCTATATGAAACAGGATCCTTTGTCTTTTTGGCAGCCTCTTTGGCTGAACTGAGATCTAAACGTCCAGCGTTCCTTTAAAACAGTTCAACAAGGCCAGGAAAGAAAATCGTGCTGACCAATACACCTATTCCAAGACCTGGGATGCTTGATTTTTAGACCTAATATCAGTCCAGTCAGGGTATCTCATGGCTAGGATCTCATCTCATTATTTTTTCAATTCATATTGGATTCACTGTTAAGCTATTTTCAGTCATGCACATTGACCTAGATTCTCCCACAGTGTAAGCTACTCCCCAGGAGTATGCTAGGTACTTGAGGAAACTGCATTAACACTTTCAGGGATGCTACAATAATGGGTTTCCTGGTGCCTGAAAAGAGCTGCCTCACAGGATATTAAATGATACCTTCATATACGGAAGAGGATTTATACAACTTCTATAATGATCTGCTGTGCAAACCAGGGGAAACCCAGAAACTAAGAGAAAATGCTTACTAAATAGAAGGAAAACAAATATTTAGATAATAGATTTTTTAAATCTTCTAATAGAAATTACAGTGTACAATTATCAGCTGGTTTCTAATTATAGGAAGGTTTTTGACCCAATACCAAGGTTACTAGAAAATTAAAGTGCTATTTTAAAGATAAATGATGACTTTGCCCTGGAGGCTCCTTCTCGCAGTCTCTGCCATTGAATCTAACTCAACGTTCTGTGATCCTTTAGAGACAGTACTTTATTTTCTACCAATTGAGCCTTTAAGGAGGTATCTCTTTAACTACATTGTTAATTTGTAGAGAAATTTACCTCAAACTAGCTTCAGCAAGAGTAGCCAATTGTTCTTGGCTCTTGAAACTCAAAAGTCCAGGGATAGATGTTTGAGGAATGGCTGGATCCAGGGTATCAAATGATACCACCCAGCTCATTTAATCTTTCCGGTGTTTCACTCTTTCTCCATTTCTGCACCTCTCAGCTCTTTCTTCTGTGTTTGACTTCCTTCTCCGGGGACTTCTTTCTTCATTAATGGTGGCACTTGGACTTCCACAGGCATACCAGCTCAGCAAATCGGCAGAAATAGCGTTTCAGTAAAAGTCCCAACAGTGAATCTCATTGGACTGGCGTGGGCCTTTTTACCTTCAACATTTTACCCATTCACTCACCTCTACATTGGATAGCCTGAGAGATTGTAAAGCACAGTGGTTAGGAACATGCAGTGTGGAAGCCACCATGCCTGAGGAATAACCTGACTCTGCCTCTTCCTGACCATGCTACTGTCTATCCTGGAATAAATCAGTGTAGCCAGAGGTCGTACTGCCCATGTTGTCAAGGCCTGCATTATGTCCCCATTCTGGCCAGGTGAAGGTGGAAGTAAGGTCAGTTCCACCCGCTTCGAGATCAGTGAAGGGAACAAAAACAAGAAGCTGTTCTAAGAAAATTAGCAGGCATAAACCACCAATGTCTATTAAACTGATACATGAAAAATAATTAGCATACATCTTATGGTTAAATACAGAACAAGGGCTAACACAGATGTGGGAGGTACCTACACCACAGCTCTTCTCAGACTGCATTGTTGTTACTTGTTTACAAGTGAGTCTCCCTCAGTAAACCTGAAGCCTCTCAAGGTCAGGGGCTGTTTCCGGTGAAACAAGGAGTAACTAGCCTGTGGAGAGATTTAGTGAATCTTTCTGAATAAGGCAGAAATGGCTCCAGCTTTAAACAAAATACTTTCCACAATATATTTGCAAATATATTTGCACATTTTATTTCACTCACAAGAAAATACACGGCTGTAATTACTTGGAAAGAGACTCTATAATTCAGTAGAATTTACCAACTTCCACATTGTCTTAAAAAAGAAAACTGATGGAGATTGACACCACTATCTTTGAGTTTACTGCCCATTATAGTACTTTAAAAAAATACTGGTGAGGGAACTATGGAGATGAATTAGAACTTGAATTAAGCTAAGGTTGTTGATGGTTCAAATTTATTACCATCAAAAAAAGCTGTTTACTTGCTTCTTTGAAATATGCCAGTGGGTTTAACCCTGTCCCTAAGCTAAAATTTGTTCTCCTCTCTTCACTAGAATCTCTTTGAGCCAGGAACAGAGGCATACACAGAGGTCCATGATGAGACTTGAACTTGCAGTTTTTGTGGCGTCCAGTTTTTATGCCTCTAACATAAATTCACTGTCTGGGATTATCAATTCATGTTACAGCTTAACTTCTTTTTAAAAATGACCAAACAAAAGCTTCAATAAATATCTGGTTCAGAAATAGACAAGACAGAAGCAAAATGCACTCTTCTGATGGTGTATAAACTCTTGTAAGCCTTGGAAGAGGTTATTTGCTAAATGTCTAAAAGAGTTAATGATCTTCCAAAAGGGAATAAAGATCAAACCCAGTGTCCTCCAAGCAGCACTAATGGCCCAGTACACTAAATCTTATACTCTTCTCTAAGTGATTTCAGTCTTTTTCCTTGCCCTATTGAAAGCAAAATTCTACCCCTTTATAAGGGACAAAAGAGGAAACTACTTTTAGATTGCATTAAAACCATATGCTGCCCAGGAAATTCAGCATTAGCAAGCAGTAAATTACACTTTGAATTTGCTTGTTGTTTCTGGGTGTTGCCACAAACATACTACAGTATGTGATAACACTTAGTGGCTACATACCCTATCCATGCCATTTGGAAAATATGTATTGCATTAATGGCGGACTTCAGTTTCAACTCAGTCTTCCCATCTGCCCCCCATAAGCTGGTTTAGATCATAACACATAATTTCCTAAGTATGACTAATAAGCACTTTAGTGCAAATTCATTTAGATTCTACCCTCCCTCCATTTTGCGAGGTAAAATGAAAGAGATTTTTTTCAGCCTAACTCCCACTGCCCATTAAAGTTGTGTATATAAATAAGCCAGGTTATCTTTTTCCTTGTGAGAAATGCTGTTTTATCTAACAGTCGCTTTCCTAGGAGTTCAGTACTCCACTGCTCTAAATTAGGACACTTTATCTTAAGGCTTCATAATCTTACGAGACTATAATTGGAAAGTTTATAAAAATAAAATCCTGCTTTGTAAGCTTGGCAGCTGAGATAGAAGGAGGGAATGAGAAGGGCTACAGCAGAATTACACCATCACTGCTACCCTGACTCCGCTTGACAGAGCCGTTTAATATTTTGACAAGACAAAATATAAAGCAGCATTTTATTCTGTAGAGACTTCACTAGACACAAGCATGGAAGTGCTTGTGATCAATAAAGTTTGTGGTGGAGAGTGATTTATTTACAGCAGGGTATTATGTAGAGAAAGAGCTGTGATATTTCCACAGGCTTTGACGGCATAATGGGCCCCTCTCAATCCTTACATGGAAGGGTTAGATTGTCATGGTTGCTCAGGCAGTATTCAAAACGTTATCTGATGAGCCTTAAAGACTTCAGAACGAGACAGATGATTAGTTACCCTAAACGATCCTCATCATGCAGAAATTGATGATTTAATATAGTCAATGACAGACGATTCCATTTGTACTAGATAAAGTGTCTGCGGTTTGTATCAATCATAATAGAGTTATTATTGAGCATAAAAGAAAAGCATGTTTAATATCATTAATTCCAGATATGTCGCTTTCCACATCTGGCATTCATCCATAGACCAGAACCACTCCAGGCTATCATTCCTGCCTCTGTGCTGGCGACTCCAGTGTTTTTTGTAATTTCAAAATGTTTTTCAGCACCTCCAGCTAGGCGCAATAACAGTTTACAGATTACCTATGTCATCACATTTTGACAAACTTCTCAATCTGATGTGACCTTCATCTTCAGCCATCTGCTTGCCTTTGTTTCTGCTCTTTTTTGATAAACCTTCACAGCTTAAAGCTGTAGTAGTTTGTTCCACACGCTGTACTTCTAGGTCAACATTTCACCTGTGTAAATCCAGAAACACAGACTGCAGTGTAAAGATGGTGACCTGGGTTCAGGTCCCCAGGTACCTGACCCACCCTCACCCCCTTAGTTATATTTTTCATCATTCATGTCAAATGCATTTTGATTGTATGGAGGGGGAAGCACACGATCAGAAAAGAGAAGGCATAAGTGGGCACTGGAATGAGGAAAGGGGGAGAAAGAATAATCAGTGAAGCTGAAAAGTTGGGAAAAGCAGGGGGAAATGTAATTTCTGTATTTTTCTTATCTGCAAACAATGTAACAATGGGAGAGGCACATAAATAAGAAGGAAGCAGAGTCCCTAACTTTCTTTTAGGTAACATTATAGTTACCTAAAATAAATATTGTTTCTTCTTTATTTTGAAAACTATATGTTGAAACAACCAAAAATGTCCAAACATCAAATATTGTGTATCAAATTTTTAGAAAAGAAAAAAAACTCATTCAGAAAGAAAACGTCTCTCCTATTTAAATTACTTTTACTAACAACTGCACTCTAGGTTGCAAAACACTTCTTTTTAAAAAAAAAATAATCGATTTGGAGACAATTTTTAAATGTATTTGATATGATTTCGCTCTGTGTCCCTACCCAAATCTCACCTTGAATTCTAATAATCCCCACATGTCAAGGGTGGGATCAGGCAAAGATAATTGAATCATCGGCAGTTTCCTCCATGCTGTTCTCTTAATAGTGAGTGAGTTCTCACAAGAACTAATGGTTTTATAAGGGGTTTCCCCCTTTGCCTGGCTTTCATTCTCTCTCCTGCCACCCTGTGAAGAGATGCCTTCTGCCATGATTATAAGTTTCCTGAGGTCTCCTTGGCCATGCAGAACTGCGAGTCAATTAAACCTGTTTTCTTTATAAATTACCCAGTCTCAGGTATTTCTTCATAGCAGCATAATGGACTAATACAGTTTTTATTTAACAAATATTTATTGTGTACCTACTATGTGCTGACACTATTTAAGCACTGAGAATACATCAGTGAACAAAGCAGACAAAAATTCCTGTCCTCATAATGCTTACATTATTATACTGATTACTAATGTAAAAGAAATTGTTAGAAGTTAGACAGTTATAAACAGAACACCTAAAAAATTAAAGACAACCAGCACAAAACAAGGTTGCCCTCTCTTACCACTCCTATTCAACATAGTATTGGAAGTTCTGGCCAGGGCAATCAGCAAGAGAAAGAAATAAGGGTATTCAAATGGGAAGAGAGGAAGTCAAACCATCTGTTTGCAGATGACATGATCCTATATCTAGAAAACCCCATCATCTCAGCTTAAATGCAAATTAAGCTGATAAGCAACTTCAGCAAAGTCTCAGGATACAAAATCAATCTGCAAAAATTAGAAGCATTCCTATACACCAACAATAAACAAGCAAAGAGCCAAATCATAAATGAACTTCCATTCACAATTGCTAGAAAGAGAATAAAATACCTAGGAATACAGCTAACAAGGGAAGTGAAGGACCTCTTCAAAGAGAACTACAAACCACTGGTCAAGGAAATCAAAGAGGACACAAACAAATGGAAAAACATTCCATGCTCATAGATAGAAATAACCAACACCGTGAAAATTGCCATACTGCCCAAAGTAATTTGTAGATTCAATGCTATTACCATTAAACTACCATTGACAGTCTTCATAGAATTAGAAAACACTACTTTAGAATTCATGTAGAACCAAAAAAAGAACCTGTATAGCCAAGACAATCCTAAACAAAGCTTGAGGCATCAGGCTACCCGACTTCAAACTGTACTACAAGCCTACAGTAACCAAAACAGCATGATACTGGTATAAAAACAGACACATAGACCAATGCAACAGAATAGAGATCTCAGAAATAAGACCACACATCTACAACCATCTGATCTTTGACCCACCTGACAAAAACAAGCAATGGGAAAATGATTCCCTATTTAATAAACGATGCTGGTAAAACTGGCTAGCCATACGCAGAACATTGAAACTGGACCATTCCCTTACACCTTATACAAAATTTAACTCAAGATGGATTAAAGACTTAAATTTAAAACAGAAAAGTATAAAAACCCTAGAAGAAAATCTAGGCAATACCATTCAGGATATGGGCACAGGTAAAGGTTTCATGATGAAAATGTCAAAAGCAACTGCAACAAAAGGAAGAATTGACAAATGGGATCTAATTACATTAAATAGCTTCTGCACAGTAAAAGAAACGATCGTCAGAGTGAACAGACATTCTACAGAATGGGAGAACATTTTTGCAATCTATACAACTGACAAAGGTCTAATATCCAGAATCTACAAGGAACTTAAACAAATTTACAAAAAAAAAAAAAAAAATTTAAAAGTGGGCAAAGGACATGAAGAGACACTTCTCAAGAAGACATTTATGTGACCAAAAACATATGAAAAAAAGCTCAACATCACTGATCATTAGATAAATGCAAATTAAAATCACAGTGATTTGCCATCTCATGCCAGTCAGAATGGTGATTATTAAAAAGTCAAAAAACAACGGATGCTGGCAAGGCTGTGGAGAAGTAGGAATGCTTTCACACTATCGGTGGGAGTGTAAATTAGTTCACCATTGTGGAAGACAGTGTTGTACTTCCTCAAAGACTTAGAACCAGAAATACCATTTGACCCAGCAATCCCATTACTGCATATACACCCAAAGGAATATATATCATTCTATTATAAAAATACATGCATGCATATGTTCACTGCAGCACTATTCCCAATAGCAAAGACATGAGATCAACCCACATGCCTTTCAATCATAGGCTGGATTTTAAAAAGAAAATGTGTCACATATACACCATGGAATACTATGCAGCCATAAAAAGGAGAAAGATCATGTCCTTTGCAGGAACATGGATGGAGCTGGAAGCCATTATCCTCAGCAAACTAATGCAGGAACAGAAAACCAAACACTGCATGTTCTCACTTATAAGTGGGAGCTGAACAATTAGAACACATGGACACAGAAAAGGGAACAACAGATTGGCTGGCAAGATCTCTGAATAGGAGCAGCTCTAGTCTGCAGCTCCCATCAAGATCAACCCAGAAGGCAAGTGATCTCTGCATTTCCAACTAAGGTACCCAGCTCATCTCACTGGGACTGGCCAGAGAGTGGGTGCAGCCAAAGGGCGAGCCAAAGCAGGGTGGAGCGTCACCTCACTCAGGAAGCGCAAGGGGTCAGGGAACTCCCTCCCCTAGCCAAGGGAAGCTGTGAAGAACTGTGCCACGAGGAACAGTGCATCCCGGCCCAGATACTATGCTTTTCCCATGGTCTTCACAACCCACAGAGCAGGAGATTCCCTTGGGTGCCTACACCACCAGGGCCTGGGTTTCAAGTACAAAACTGGGCACCTGTTTGGGCAGACACTGAGCTAGCTGCAGGAGTTTTTTTTCATACTCCAGTGACAGTGGCAGCCGGAACGTCAGCAAGACAGAACCGTTCACTTCCCTGGAAAGGGGGTGGAAGCCAGGGAGCCAAGTGGTCTAGCTCAGTGGATCCCATCCCAACAGAGCCCAGCAAGCTAAGATCCACTGGCTTGAAACTCTCGTTGCCAGCACAGCAGTCTGAAGTCAACTTGGGATGCTCAAGCTTGGTGAGGGGAGGGTTGTCTGGCATTACTGAGGCTTGAGTAGGCAGTTTTCCCCTCACAGTGTAAAAAGACACCAGGAGGTTCAAACTGGGTGGAGCCCACTGCAGCTCGAAAAGCCACTATAGCCAGACTGCCTCTCTAGATTCCTCCTCTCTGGGCAGGGCGTCTCTGAAAGAAAGGCAGCAGCCCCAGTCAGGGGCTTATAGATCAAACTCCCATCTCCCTGGGATAGATCAACTGGCGGAAGGGGTGGCTGTGGGTGCAGCTTAAATATTCCTGCCTGCCAGCTCTGAAGAGAGCAGTGGATCTCCCAGCACAGCATTCAAGCTCTGCTAAGGGACAGACTGTCTCCTCAAGTGGGTCCCTGACCCCCATGCCTCCTGACTGGGAGACACCTCCCCACAGGAGTCGACAGACACCTCATACAGTAGATCTCCTGCTGGCATCTGGCTGGTGCCCTTCTGGGATGAAGCTTCCAGAGGAAGGAACAGGCAGCAGGGTGTCCTGCAGCCTCCACTGGTGATACTCAGGCAAACAGGGCCAGAGTGGACCTCCAGCAAACTCCAACAGACCTGCAGCTTAGGGCCCTGACTGTTAGAAGGAAAACTAACAAACAGAAAAGAATTACATCAACATCAACAAAAAGAGCATCCACACAGAAACCCCATCTGAAGGTCACCAACATCAAAGACCAAAGGTAGATAAATCCAAGAACATAAGGAAAAAACAGCACAAAAAAGGCTGAATATTCCAGAAACCAGAATGCCTCTTCTCCTCCAAAAAATCACAACTCCTTGCCAGCAAGGGAACAAACTGGGTGAAGAAAGAGTTTGACAAATTGACAAAAGTAGGCTTCAGAAGGTGGGTAATAGCAAACTCCTCCAAGCTAAAGGAGCATGTTCTAACCCAATCCAAGGAAGCCTTGAAAAAAAGGCTAGGGGAATTGCTAACTAGAATAACCAGTTTAGAGAAGGACATAAATGACCTGATGGAGCTGAAAAACAGCACGAGAACTTCATGAAGCATACACCATTATCAATAGCCAAATTGATCAAGTGAAAGAAAGGATATCAGAGATTGAGGATCAACTTAATGAAATAAAGTGTGAAGACAAGATTAGAGAAAAAAGAATAAAAAGGAATGAACAAAACTTTCAAGAAATATGGGACTATGTGAAAACACCAAACCTAAATTTGATTGGTGTACCTGAAAGTGACGGGGAGAATGGAACCATGCTGGAAAACACTCTTCAGGATATTATCCAGAAGAACTTCCCCAACCTAGCAAGACAGGCCAACATTCAAATTCAGGAAATACAGAGAACACCACAAAGATACTCCTCAAAAAGAGCATCCCCAAGACACATAATTGGCAGATTCACCAAGGTTGAAATGAAGGAAAAAATGTTAAGGGCAGCCAGAGAGAAAGGTCGGGTTACACACAAAGGGAAGCCCATCAGACTAACAGAAGATCTCTCTGCAGAAACCCTACAAACCAGAAAAGAGTAGGGGCCAATATTCAACATTCTTAAAGAAAATAATTTTCAACCTAGAATTTCATATCCAGCCAAACTAAGCTTCATAAGCGAAGGAGAAATAATATCCTTTACAGACAAGCAAACACTGATATTTTATCACCACCAGGCCTGCCTTACAAGAGCTCCTGAAGGAGGTACTAAATATGGAAAGGAAAAACTGGTACCAGCCACTGCAAAAACATACCAAATTGTAGAGACCAACAACATTATGAAGAAACTGCATCAACTAATGGGCAAAATAACCAGCTAGCATCATAATGACAGGATCAAATTCACACACAACAATATTGACCTTAAATGTAAATAGGCTAAGTACCCCAATTAAAAGCCACAGACTAGTAAATTGGATAAAGAGTCAAGACCCATCGGTGTGCTGTACTCAGGAGACCAATCTCATGTGCAAAGACATACATAGGATCAAATAGAGGGATGGAGGAATATTTACCAATCAAATGGAAATCAAAAAAGAGCAGAGGTTGCATTCCTAGTCTCTGATAAAACAGACTTTAAACCAACAAAGATTAAAAAAGACAAAGAAGGGCATTATGTGATGGTAAGGGGATCAATGCAACAAGAAGAGCTAACTATCCTAAATATATATGTACCCAATACAGGAGCACCCAGATTCATAAAGCAAGTTCTTAGAGACCTACAAAGAGAGTTAGACTACCACACAATAATAGTGGGAGACTTTAACACCCCAATGTCAATATTAGACAGATCAACAAGACAAAAAATTAACAAGGATATTCAGGACTTGAACTCAGCTCTGGACCAAGTGGACCTAATAGACATCTACAGAACTCTCCACCCTAAATCAACAGAATATACGTTCTTCTCAGTACCACATTGCTATTATTCTAAAATTGACAACATAATTGAAAAAAAAAACACTCTTCAGCAAATGCAAAAGAACGGAAATCATAACAAACTGTCTCTCAGACCACGGTGCAATCAAATTAGAACTCAGCATTAAGAAACTGATTCAAAACCACACAAGTACATGGAAATTGAACAACCTGCTTCTGAATGACACTACTGGGCAAATAAAGAAATTAACGCAGAAATAAATAAGTTCTTTGAAACCAATGAGAACAAAGACACAAGGTACAAGAATCTCTGGGACACAGCTAAAGCAGTGTTTAGAGGGAAATTTATAGCACTAAATGCCCACAGGAGAAAGTGGGAAAGATCTAAAATGGACACTCTAACATCACAATTAAAAGAACTAGAGAAGCAAGAGCAAACACATTCAAAAGCTAGCAGAAAACAAGAAATAACTAAGATCAGAGCACAACTGAAGGAGATAGAGACATGAAAAACCCTTCAAAAAAATCAATGAATCCAGGAGCTGGTTTTTGGAAAAGATTAACACAGTAGATAGACCACTAGCCAGACTAATAAAGAAGAAAAGAGAGAAGAATCAAATAGACACAATGAAAAATGATAAAGGGGATATCACCACTGATCCCACAGAAATACAAACTACCATCAGAAAATACTATAAACACCTCTATGCAAATAAACTAGAAAATCTAGAAGAAACGGATAAATTCCTGGACACATGCACCCTCCCAAGGCTAAACCAGGAAGAAGTCGAATCCCTGAATAGACCAATAACAAGTTCTGAAATTGAGGCAGTAATTAGTAGCCTACCATCCAAAAAAAAGCCCAGGACCAGACAGATTCACAGTCAAATTCTACCACAGGTACAAAGAGGAGCGGGTACCATTCCTTCTAAAACTATTCCAAACAACAGAAAGAGAGGGACTTTTCCCTGACCCATTTTGAGTCCAGAATCATCCTAATACCAAAATGTGGCAGAGACACAACAACAAAAAAAGAAAATTTCAGGCCAATATCCCTGATGAACATCAATGGGAAAATCCTCAATAAAATACTGGCAAACCAAATCCAGCAGCACATCAAAAAGCTTATCCACTACAATGAAGTTGGCTTCATCCCTGGGATGCAAGGCTGGCTCAACATACACAAGTCAATAAACGTAATCCATCACATAAACAGAACCAAAGACAAAAACCACATGATTATCTCAATAGATGCAGAAAAAGCCTGTGATAAAATTCAACACCCCTTCATGCTAAAAACTCTCAATAAACTAGATAGTGATGGAACGTGTCTCAAAATAATAAGAGCTATTTATGTCAAACCCACAGCCAATATCATACTGAATAGGCAAAAGCTGGAAGCATTCCCTTTGAGAACTGGCACAAGACAAGGATGCCTTCTCTCACCACTCCTATTTAACATAGTATTGGAAGTTCTGGCCAGGCCAGTCAGGCAAGAGAAAGAAATAAATGGTATTCAAATAGGAAAAGAGGAAATCAAATTGTCTCTGTTTGCAGATGACATGATTGTATATTTGGAAAACCCCATCATCTCAGCCCAAAATCTCCTTAAGCTGATAAGCAACTTCAGCAAAGTCTCAGGATACAAAATCAATGTGCAAAAATCGCAAGCATATATATATTGGTGTATATACCTATACACCAATAACAGAGAGCCAAATTATGAGTGAACTCCCATTCACAATTGCTACAAAGAGAATAAAATACCTAGAAACACAACTTACAAGGGATGTGAAGGACCTCTTCAAGAAGAACTACAAACCACTGCTCAAGGAAATAAGAGAGGACAGGAACAAATGGAAAAATATTCCAAGTTCATGGAGAGAAAGAATTAATATCTTGAAAATGGTCATACTGCCCAAAGTAATTTATAGATTCAATGCTATCCCCATCAAGCTACCATTGACTTTCTTCACAGAATTAGAGCAAACTACTTTAAATTTCATATGGAATCAAAAAAGAGTCCATATAGCCAAGACAATCCTAAACAAAAAGAACAAAGCTGGAAGCATCATGCTACCTGACTTCAAACTGTACTACAAGGCTACAGTAACCAAAACAGGACTGTTTTGGTACCAGTACTGGTACCAAAACAGATATATAGAACAATGAAACCGAACAAAGGCCTCAGAAATAATGCCACACATCTACAACCATCTGATCTTTGACAAACCTGATAGAAACAAGCAATGGGGAAAGGATTCCCTATTTAATAAATGGTGTTGAGAAAACTGGCTAGCCATGTGCAGAAAACTGAAACTGGACCCCTTCCTTAGACCTTATACAAAAATTAACTCAAGATGGATTAAAGACTAAAACCTAAGACCTATAGCCATAAAAACCCTAAAAGAAAAGCTAGGCAATATCATTCAGGACATAGGCATGGGCAAAGACTTCATGACTAAAATACCAAAAGCAATGGCATCAAAAACCAAAATTGACAAATGGGATCTGATTAAACTAAAGAGCTTCTGCACAGCAAAAGAAACTATCATCAGAGTGAACAGGCAACCTCAAGAATGGGAGAAAAATTTTGCAATCTATCCACTTGTAAAAGGGCTAATATCCAGAATCTACAAAGAACTTCAACAAATTCACAAGAAAAAAACAACCCATCAAAAAGTGAGTGAAGGATATGAACAGACACTTCTCAAAAGAAGACATTTATGCAGCCAAGAAAAATATGAAAAAAAGCTCATCATCACTGGTCATTAGGGAAATGCAAAGCAAACCACACTGAGATACTATCTCATGCCAGTTAGAATGGCGATAATTTAAAAGTCAGGAAACAACAGATGCTGGAGAGGATGTGTTGAAATAGTAATGCTTTTACACTGTTGGTGGGAATATAAATTAGTTCAACCATTGTGGATGTCAGTGTGACAATTCCTCAAGGATCTAGAACCAGAAATACCTTTTGACCCAGCAATCCCATTACTGGGTATATTCCCAAAGGATTATAAATCATTCTGCTATAAAGACATATGCACACATATGTTTACTGCAGCACTATTCACAATAGCAGAGACTTGGAACCAACTCAAACACCCATCAATGACAGACTGGATAAAGAAAATGTGGCACATATACACCATGGAATACTATGCAGCCATAAAAAAGGATGAGTTCATGTCCTTTGCAGGGACATGGATGAAGCTGGAAACCATCATTCTCAGCAAACTATCACAAGGACAGAAAACCAAACACTGCATGTTCTCACTCATACATGGGAGTTGAAAAATGAGAATGCATGGACACAGGGAGAGGGACATCACACACCAGGGCCTGTCAGGGTGTGGGGGGCTAGGGGAGGGATAGCATTAGGAGAAATACCTAATCTAGATGACGGGTTGATGGGTGCAGCAAACCACCATGGCACGTGTATACCTATGTAACAAACCTGCACGTTCTGCACACGTAACCCAGAACTTAAAGTATAAAAAAAAAAAAAGAAAGAAAAGGGAACAGCACATACTGGGGCCCGTCAGCAGGTGGGGGCGTTATGAGGAGAGGGAAAGCATCAGGAAAAATAGCTAATGCATGCTGGGCTTAATACCTAGGTGATGGGTTGATAGGTGCAACAAACCACCATGGCACACATTTACCTATGTAACAAGCCTGCATGTCCTGCACATGCATCTTGGGACTTAAAATTAAATTAAATTAAAAAATAAAAATTAAGAACAACATCAAAATAACAGACCTCAGGAAGTATAAACAAAAATCAAGATCTCTCTCTGCTATAGGAGGTGCTAGATGGTAGGTATGTGTAAGCTGCGAAGTAGAAAAATGTCATTGCTCCTAGATGCGTTTAGTGTAATGTTTATGCTTATCAACACTAACATATTTCTTTACTCTCCTCTTGTTTTATTTGCTGGGGTACAGTAAAAGAGATTAACACTGTTTAAGAGACAAAGGGCAAGTTTTCAACTTTAGTTCTTATTGCCTCATCATATTACTTTAGTTATCACTGCTTCAACATGATTGTTATCCAAGACAAAGCACAAAATCTCCAGAAATAATCACCCTTTGTTCATTATGGAGCAACTGGCAAATCATGTGAGTAAACATATAGCTTTTCAACTGTTTTGCTGAAAAATATTGGTGACATTTAAGTTGTAAATATTAAAGTATTTAGGGGAAATTTTAACAGATTAGCCAAATCAGATGTAAGAATGCAAATTTTATGAAATGCCTTCTGTAATAGCAAAACATTCAGAGTCAGATTTTTAGTGCTCTGGGCCTGGCTCCATCATTTTCTAATTAAGTGACAAGCTCTCCAATCCTGAGATTTCATATTTTCAAAGTAGGAGAAGATATCTATCTGTTTTACTTATTGTACAGGTTACATTAAGAGTGATTTTTAAAAGTATTTCGCAACCAAAAAAACCCTATGTTATGATCTATTCAAATTTCATTTCATAAATGAGAAAGGCTCAGAAAACAGGAGATTTACTCAGGTTTACTCAAAGATAGTATTTTAATAAATGGAACCAAGGTTAAGTTATCATTCTCAATTTCTTTTTCTTTAATGGATACATAGTAGGAGTACATATTTATGGGGGACATGAGATGTTTTGATATAGGCATAAAATGTGTAATAATCTCATCAGGATAAGTGGGATATACATTACCTCAAGCATTTATAATTTCTATGTGTTACAGACATTCTAATTATACTCTTATAGTTATTTTTAAATGTATAATACTTTTTTTACTGCAATCACCCTTTTGTGCTATCAAATACTAGATTTTATTCATTCTATCTCACTATATTTTTATGCCCATTGACCATTCCCACTCCCCAACTACCCCACTTTCCTTCCCAGACTCTGGTAACCATCATTCAATTGTTTTACTTTTTAGCTCCCACAAATGAGTGAGAACATTCCAAGTTTATTTTTCTTTGCCTGGCTTTTTTCACTTAAAATAATGCTCTCTAGTTCCATCCGTGTTATTGCAAATGACAAGATCGCATTCTTTTTATGGCTGAATAGTACCCCATTGTGTATCTGACCACATTTTCTTTATCCATTCATCTGTTAATAGACACTTTGGTTGCTTCCAAATTTTAACTGTTGTGAATAGTACTGAAATAAACATGGGAGTGCAGATATCTCTTTGATATCCTGATTGCCTTCCTTTTGGGTATTTATCTAGCAGTGGAATTTCCGAATCATATGGTAGTTCTATTTTTAGATTTTTGAGGAATCTCCAGACTGCTCTCCATAGTAGTTGTACTAATTTACATTCCCAAGAACAGTGTACAAGTGTTCCTTTTTCTCCACTTCCTCACCAATTTATTTCCTGGTTTTGGGATAAAAATCTGTTTTAACTGGGGTGAGATGATATCTCATTGTAGTTTTGACTTGCATTTCTCTGATGATCAGTGATGTTGAGCACCTTTACATATATCTGATTGCCATTTATAAGTCTTCTTTTGAGAAATGTCTACTCAGATCTTTGTCCCTTTTTTAATCAGATTATTTTATTTTTCCTATTGAGTTGTTTGAGTTCCCTATGTATTCTGGTTATTAATCCTATTTCAAATGGATAGTTTGCAAATATCTTCTCCCATTCTGTGGGTTGCCTCTTCACTTTGTTGATTGTTTCCTATGCTGTGCATAAGCTTTTTAATTTGATATGAACCTGTTTCTCCATTTTTGTTTTCGTTGCCTGTGCTTGTGGGGGATTACTCAAGAAACTTTTGTTCAATTCAATATCCTGGAGAGTTTCCCCAATGTTTTTTGTTTATTTGTTTGTTTGTTTGTTTGGTAGCTTCATAGTTTGAGGTCTTAGATTAGGTCTTACTCTATTTTGACTTGATTTTTGTATATGGAAAGAGATGGGGGCCTATTTTAATTCTTCTGCATATGTATATCCAGTTTTTTCAGCACAGTTTATTGAAGAGACTATCCTTTCCTCATTGTATGTTCTTGGCACCTTTGTTAAAAAGGAGTTCACTATAGATATATACATTCATTTCTAGGTTCTCTAATCTGTTCCTTTGGTCTGTGTGCCTATTTTTATGCCAGTACCATGCTGTTTTGGTTGCAATAGCTCTGTATTATAATTGAAGTAAGAAACTGTGGTCCCTCCAGTTTTGTTTTGTTTTGTTTTTTTGTTTGTTTTTGCTCTGGATGGCTTTGGCTATTCTGAGTCTTTTGTGGTTCCAAATAAATTTTAGGATTTTTTTTCTATTTCTTTGAAGAGTGTCATTGGTGTTTTGATAAGAATTGCATTGAATCTGTAGATTACTTTGGGTAGTATAGACATTTTAACAATATTGATTCTTCCAATCCATGAACATGGATTATCTTTCCATTTTTTGTATCCTCTTCAAATCCTTGCATTCAGTGTTTTATAGCTTTCATCATAGAAATCTTTCACTTCCTTGGTTAAGTTTACTCTTAGGCTTTTATTTTATTTGTAAATGTAAATTTTATTCTATTGTAAATGATATTATTTTCTTGATTTGTTTTTCAGATTATTCATTTTGGCATATAGAAATGCAAAAAAATTTTTGTATGTTGATGTTGTACCCTGCAACTTTACTGATTTTGTTTATCAGTTCTAATAGTTTTTTTGGTGGAGGCTTTAGATTTTTTCAAATATGAGATAATATCATCCACAAACAAGGATAATTTGACATCTTCCTTTCCAATTTGGATATGCTTTATTTCCTTCTCTTGTATGATTGCTGTAGCAATTCTCAACTTCTGTCTAGTAACCTTCTTCTCCTCCATGAGATAATATAGTAAAAATGCTTTGAAAACTATAACATGCATAAAGTGTATGGTATTATAATAATAGAGCAAAATGATGTGATCTTTCTACATCTAAGTTTTTTCTTTTCTCAAAAAAAAGCATTACTGAATATCTCACAATGAATTTCTGCTAAGAATTAAGAGAAAATTTATGCAAGAACCCTTCTGACAGCAATGATTTCACATTTTATATAAAATGTATATGCATATAAGATTAAAGTCCATCAATGATCATCATATTAACAGATCATGCCAAGTTTGACACCTTACCAAACCTGGGTGACAGAGCGAGACTCTGTCTCAAAAAAAAAAAAAAAAAAAAAAACAAGAATAGGGCAGACGTGGTGGCTCACGCCTGTAATCCCAGCACTTTGGGAGGCTGAGGCGGGTGGATCACCTGAGGTCAGAAGTTCAAGACCAGCTTGGCCAACATGGTGAAACCCCGTCTCTACTGAAAATACAAATATTAGCTGGACATAGTGGCGTGAACCTGTAGTCTCAGCTACTCGGTAGGCTGAGGCAGGAGAATCGCTTGAACCCAGGAGGCAGTTTTGTCTTTAGAGATTTATCTTGACATATAAAATTATTGATTAAAAAATACTGATTAGAAAGTATTGATAAAATAACCAATATTAGAATTATACTTTAATTTTTAAAATTAAGGATTAAAATTTTAAAAATTAAGGATAATTCTAAAATATATTTTATCATTAAATTTTTTGTTGTGTATGGATGCAAGCTATGACTTCTTAGAATACTCTGATTCTCGTCTCATTTCTGTGCCTGTGTTTATAATACCCCTTTCTCTTGGAACTCCTTTCCTGTTTCTCTTCTATTTAAATACTGCATTACCTTCAAGTCCCAAATTAAATCCAAATACAACAACAGATATTTCCCTGAACATTTCCCTGTATACTTCAGGCTCATGCATCTTGGATTTTTTCTTAATTCTAAAAGCAAGAATAGGCTGGGTGCGGTGGCTCACGCCTGTAATCCCAGCACTTTGAGAGGCCTAGGCAGGCGGATTATGAGGTCAGGAGATCGAGACCATCCTGGCTAACATGGTGAAACCCTGTCTCTACTAAAAATACAAAAAATTAGCCGGGCGTGGTGGTGGGAGCCTGTAGTCCCAGCTACTCAGGAGGCTGAGGCAGGAGAATGGCGTGAATCCTGAAGACGGAGCTTGCATTGAGCCGAGATGGCGCCACTGCACTCCAGCCTGGGTGACAGAGTGAGACTCCATCTCAAAAAAAAAAAGAATAGGGCAGGTGTGGTGGCTCACGCCTGTAATCCCAGCACTTTGGGAGGCTGAGGCAGGTGGATCACCTGAGGTCAGGAGTTCAAGACCAGCCTGGCCAACATGGTGAAACCCCGTCTCTACTAAAAATACAAAAATTAGGTGGACATAGTGGCATGAACTTGTAGTCTCAGCTACTCGGTAGGCTGAGGCAGGAGAATCGCTTGAACCCAGGAGGTGGAGGTTGCAGTGAGCCGAGATCACGCCACTGCACTCTAGCCTGGGAAACAGAACAAGACTGTCTTAAAATAAAATAAAATAAAATAAAATAAAATAAAATAAAATAAAATAAAAGCAAGAATACTCTGTACTACATCATCTGGGAACAGTCATTCATTCACTAAACGTATATTTAGTGCCCGGCTTGTGTCAGAAACTGTTAGGCACCAAAGCTACTAAGAGGTTAACGTGAGAGTGGTATTCCACCTTATCTAGTAAAGGAAGAAGAATTATGCATGTACTTTGACTCAGAAGAGTTTTTAAAATATATTATATCATTTAATTCTCATGTGGTAAAATTATCAGCCTCATTTCGTAGGTTAGAAAACCGAGGCATTAGAAGTCTGAGTTGCTAGCCCAAAGATTTCAGAAAGAGTACATCTTCCTAATCATTCTAGATATATACACCTCATCTCCATAACTACACTGATGCCCATCTCTCTGGGGCACGGATGCTCCATTCTCTCTGAGAATTTGGGAACCTTTCTAAAAACTTTTTCTGTTCTTTGACTTGCTGGTAAAAAGTATATATTCACTGAAATATTTATTGACTGATTGCAGAGCTTTGGCTTGACTCAACTCTTAGTACAAAGCTGGATGGTTGTTTTTCCAAATATTGTATAAGACAGTTGGAATAATTTTCCATATTATAAATAATGATATAAAAATCATTTAATAGTTTAAGACCTTCATAATGCTGAAGGAAAATGCTGTAGATAAGAAAACTAAAAAATAATACATTAACCAAATCTAGGCCCTTTTCTCTGTAATAAGGCTATAAAAATACAAAACTATAAGATCATTTTGTAACTACACAGATCTAAGAGGTCAAATTCACTGACATCCTATCTTATCTATATACCAAAAGATCAGAAAATGTTCAGCCCTTCAAGCAATGTGCATTCTAAGTAAAACAGTAATTTAGAGTATGTATGTGTACTGTCTTAAAAACACACACACAATCACCGAGGGCAAAATCTCTCCTTCAGATCTCTATGAATAATCTGAACTCCAACTTTGTGCTTTCTTCAAATTAAAAAAATAAATAAATAACTTCATTTAAGACCTTCCAAGAGAAGAGCAAATCCAAAATGTGGTTCTTTAGCCTTTATTAATACATTACATGTATATATTCACATATAAACATACGTATTGTTAGCAAGCAAAAATAACAGAAGTCTTTTGAATGTTGCAATATCATTCTAGAGATTCAAAGAAAAAATTTCTAAAGGAAGAGAAAAACTGTGGTTATGGAATATCTGGCTGTAATAAATATACTTAAGAAATTTTCCCATAAACCATGTCATTTGCCTGGAAATTATATTTTTATTCCAGCCTGATGTCTGAATATGTCAGCATTAAATATTTTATTTTCACACTGAAAATAAATGTTATGTCTCTAAAACATTAGTTACAGTACAATTTAAAGGTAGAGGTATGTAAAATTAGAAGGGAAAAGTAATATTATTAACTATGTAGCTATTTCTAATCACATATTAAAAATATCATTTAAAAATGCCTATCCCCAGATTCATTACCCTATGGATCCAGTTCTCCTTTGTCAAGATCAGCGTGCATATTGTGGCTTTAAATGGCTAGGTTCTTTGGCAGAAAATTACATACAGTCTCCCCTGGTCTATTCCCCTGAGCTTGTGGTCATAGTGACTACAGATGAGGTTCCAGTATTCGGGCTGCCTAATTTGAACTCCTGGCTCTACCACTCATTAGCTGTGTGACTTAGCATGAGTTACTAAATGTCTCCAAACATCAAGTCTCTGATCTTAAAATAAAGCCAAGTAATTCATGTCTTATGAACTTGCCATAAATATCAAATGAGATAATGTACACTTAATACTATGCCTGACACAAAAATAATGGTCAAGAAATGTTAGCTATTATTACTGCTATGATTAGCCAATAAAAGCTTATCAGTCAAATCAATATGCCATTAAAGTTTATATTCTTCAAATGCAAAGGCATGTGATACTTAGCTTTGTGTTCTTGATACATGGAATGTGCACTGAATAACAGGCTAAATGGACGAATGAGTGAAGCAACAAATGCATTATACAAGACAACCCAAAGGCATATAGCCAAATTGTCAACCAATTAAGTAAATTTAGTCAACTTATCAATTCAGTGAAAATAATCATCTAACTAGATGGTTATTTGATTGAATTGATTGAATTGAAATTCCTGGGCTAATTCTGTTCAGTATAGCAAAGCCTGAACTAATATTTAAAGAAACAGTAACAAAAAGAGACTTGGGAAAAGAAAATGTGGTATATAAATGATAAGTAAAGCAAACATAATTACATAGAGGCTGAAGAAAGAGATGAGATGAATATTACCTATTGTGAGAGTAGGGAGATTGGAGAATATAGACAAAGAGAATTTGGCAAAAGTATGATGTAGAGAAGGCAGAGGGTTAGAAAGTAAAAACTCACTGTTTTTTATAAAAATAACATTAGAAAGTTAAATATATTGCCTTGGAAGAATTACAAAAATCATTCCAAAACCAAGCAGACATAATGTCAAAGCAGCCATGTACTTGTTCCTAGAAAAGATTCCTCCACTTTAAGCCTTATTGGAATCACATTATGCATTAAACACACACACACACACACACACACACACACACACACACACACACTTCTTGGTTGAGCTGATTAAAATTTTAAAATAACTCTTAAAATTACTGAAACCATATGTCTCAAAGATATTAACAAACAAAACATTGACAATAACAACAAATCTAACAAGTACTCCTTAAAGCATTTTGTGTCTGGAATACTATGAATTAGCAATAGGCTAATGTCCATGTTTCTAATTGCAACTCTGGCACAGATCTGATTATAGTGACAACTACTACTCACTTATTGTATTAATTTTTCCAAGGTCATCTATCCAGCAGACCACTATCACAGATAATTTCACTTCTGTGAATTTGTTTCTTGTCACAGTCACATCAGATGAAAAGAAAAACGAGTTAACAGTCAGCACTTAGAGGTTGTTGAAGTGGCAGAAGGTTCAGTTCCTTTAGAACAATGAGTCTGGCTTGACGTTGTATGATTGTAAGGTAAAATACTGTCTTACCTGAAAGAGGCTTTGTCTATAGCTGAAAGGAAATAGCATGTCTATTCCTGAAAGTGAAATATGGATCTGCAATTTCACGACAAATTGGACCATTAGTCATCAAATATATTCGGAGTTATTTTAAAATTATTTTTGTACTGTCTTATAAAAGATATTATATACCCTGCCCTCTAGAGTTCCTCTTCCCCCTCCCCACAAACACTCCATATACATGCCAAAATGATGCTCTGCAGTTGGGATCTGTTATCCTTGGTGCTATTGAATCTGCAATGTGTTTGATGGAAAGTTGTCACATTCTTCACACTGAATGGCATGAATGAATCATCAACAGTATGGTACTGGAAGGTAGCCAGTCCACACGGATAGAAGTACCACTTATCACAACCCAATTCCATCAAGATGAATGTATGTAGAAAATAGATGCTAACAAGACACCTAAACTTGGTTGAATAGTGAGCAGGCTGAAGTAGACGAGGTAGAAGAAATGCTCTAAAGAATCAGCGAGAAAATAACATCTAGGAAGACATCCTGGATACCCAGACCTTGGTAGTATGGATCTTTTTGAGCCAATGTTTCAGGTCAACATGGCAAAAGAACAAATAGCAAGTATACTTGAGGAAGGAGCTGCAAGTACAAAGGAAAATTTTTATTGTAATTGCAGGTCTCAAGTTCCATCTTGATCAATCCCTCCAGCATTCTTCTCGGAATCATTGTCAATGCCATCCTCTGTGATAAAAGCTAACAATGTGCGGCATCATATCTGACCAAGTTGTCATTAACCTTGATTAGTTTGAGGCAAAGCTCTAGAAACTATAACTGTAGAAAAAATTAATTCAGAAATCTAAATAATAAATGTAGAAGAACATTTTTTTTTCAAATAATTTGCTCCTTAAATGAATAAGAACAGATCTCCATATTTTCATTTGCAATAAAACAAATTAAACTTCTGGCTTTAATCTTCCTCCAAGTCAAGAATATCTTATAAAACTGATGGAACCAGAAAGGCTCTACACTGGGCTCCATAGGAGAGCTCACAGTCATCCTTGCTTGAACTCATACCACTCAAAGTGTTCCCACTGTACCTGCTCCTCCTTTCCTTTCTGCCTCAAAAAAGTTACTACATCAACTGGCTGCCCCTCACCAAACATCTTAAGATGCTGAACTCATACCACAAATGAAATTTAAGCTATCCTTGACTCCTCCTATCAACCAGAAACACATGTGTTCTTATTTGTGACAAATTACCAAAGACTATGTAACTCTGTGGACTCTGGGCATTTTCAGCACACTGATTTGGTGTTCTCCAAACTAAATTCCAAAACTCACAGTTAAAATTCCAGTTTAATTTTGTTCAACAATTTTTGTATCTACCTTATCTTATTACTCTGCCTACAACCCCACCCATTGCCTTCTATAACATTTCCCCATATATTTCTCCCTATTTGTGCCATGCCATTTTTTCCAGGAGAGAACCCGTATATATTCATTGCTTGTTTCTATTATTATAACTTCAACTTGTATGTCAGTTTTTTGAGTAAAGAAATTAAGTCTGTCTTTTTTATTATTGCTTCCCCAGCACCTAGGCTAATGCCTGGTGTCTTAGTTTGGGCTGCTATAACAAATTACCATAGACTGGATGGCTTATAAACAACAAAACTTTATTTCTCACAGTTCTACAGGCTGGAAGTCCAAGATGAGGGTGCTAGTATGGTCAGGTTCTGGCAAAGGCCTCTTCCAGTTTTCAGACTGCCAACTTCTCCTTGTACCCTCACATGATGAAAAGCAAGCAAGCCTGCTCTTTGGTCTTTGCTAATAAGGGCACTAATCCCATTCATGAGGGCTCCACTCTCATGACCTAATCATCCCCATACGCCCTACCTCCACATCAAATACCATCATATAAGGGATTAGATTTCAACATATGAATTTGGGGCAGGGGCAGCACATTCAGTTCATTAACAACTGGCAGCAGATATATTCAGCGTATTCAATAATATATTCAATGAATATATAATTACATATATTATAGTTTATATGATAAATTCAATAAATGAATGGATAACTCCTATCCTAAAATGCTCTACAGTACATATTTTTGTCTAAATCCAAAAAATGTTTTGCATTGCATGAATTAGATTAGCTTTTTTTGTGAACCAACTGATTATACATTCAGTCTACGTTTTAAATTGTTCAAGTTTAAGGCCGGGCACAATGGGTCATGCCTGTAATCCCAGCACTTTGGAAGTCCAAGGTGGGCAATTCATTTGAGGTTAGGAGTTCCAGACCACCCTGACCAACGTGGTGAAACCCCATCTCTACTAAAAATACTAAAAATTTAGCCAGGCGTGGTGGTTCATGTCTGCAGTCCCAGCTACTCTGAGGCTGAGGCAAGAGAATCGCTTGAACCTGGGAGGTGGAAGTTGGAGTGAGCCGAGTTTGCGCCACTGCACTCTAGCCTGGGCTACAAAGTGAAATTCCGTCTCAAAAATAAATAAATAAGTAGTTCAATTTTAAAATCATCTTAAAAGTATTTTCATACCTATATACTGATCTACTGTGTCCTCAAGTGCTAATAATTACCCCCATCTCAGTTTCCCTGACTTTAATCTTAATGAACATAAAGCTCAGAAGGCCGGAATTTGTACAACCTCTGTCAAACAGTCATTCTGAGGAAAGATCTTAATGGAGGACTTGGGTCTTTTGGAAATTACGTTTGTGGGATCATCCAGTGTAAAGTTGATGTGTATATACTGTGATGGTATGGCCAGAAGCTGTATACACAGACATGTAGAAAGCATTCCAGTGAACTAGAGGCAGTGTGAGGAATCTATGTCTGGAAAAGTTGGAAGAAGTCTATGGCAGACAAGAACATGGCTGATAGTTCATAAATATTAATACAAATGTTTGTTCATATTGTACTCTACACTGCATCAAAAATTAGTAAAATGAGTGTTACCTCATTTATTTTCAGTATATTTATATCTCTTACCTCACTGATAGGCTATCAGAAACTGCAGTTCTAAGTAGGAAAGCCTGGTGGCTTTAGGGGCACAAAATTGTAGGTTAAAAATATAGTGATTCTGTTTGTGTGACATACTCACTTACCCTAATGAATGTATCAATGACAGTTTTGAGGAGTTATTGTTTCCTAAAATCAGCACTCTCCAAGTATATCAATAGGAGCAATTCTTTGGCACTTTGTAGAAAATGATATATACTGAAGATATACCACAGAGCTAGTGTTAATTGGGTTTTAAGTAACGAGATAATTTGTAATACACTAAAACACAAAAACTATCTGCCTTGGTGAGATTTCTACTTTTAATCTTGGTAGTTCTAGAATGGGGTGTGCAGTTTTCCTCTGCCCAGCCCTAAACACACACACACACACACACACACACACACACAGCCTCACACCCCCATTTCCATAATCTTTTAAAACCAAAGCAGTAGGTCAAGCTAGTTCAATGCCTGCAGAGAGAACTCTGACTGACATTTAAGTCAACCTTGGAAATAGCCAGTCATCTCCTTGCTTAGAATGAATACCAAAGAATGTCAATTTCACTTATTTTTAAGTACCAGTGCAAGGCACTGAAAAGAGGACATGTTGATTACGTTTTGTTTTGTTGCTTTTTGCTGTTGCTTCTGTTTCTTTCTTGGAGACTTTTGTTCTGAATTTTGGTCTTGTGTATCTTATTTGCAAGCTGATTTGGAGGCTAATTACAATATCTAGTGTTTTTTTTTTAAATTAGGTTATAAAATCCTGCTGACCCCTGATAACATAGAAGGCTCTATAGCCCAAGAAGTCAATTTCTCGAAGTGTTGAAGAAATTGGCTTCTTATTAACTCTTAATAATTAATTGTTTCCATATGCTGGTGTTCATTGTCCAAAGAAACCATCAGTTAATTGGAGGTAGGGGGAAATACTATTGTTCTGCATCCCATTTCCATTTGGCATTTATTTGAGCACATATTTAATTCATAAATACTTACTGAAAATATGCTAACATTTTTAAGGAATTAAGATAATGAATATGATGAGGTTTCTGTTCACAAAAATTTTATGAGACAGGCTGAGAAAGTAATAATTACATTGTAATGTGATAGAATCAATATCACATTGATGAAAGGAATTCAGAATATCTGTGCAGAGAGAGCTAACAAGAGCTGTAAACTTATATCAAGGGATGCAGTCAGCTCATGTTGACCCCTCAGGGAGAATGTCTTTCTTATGCTTCCCAAATGGCTGGATTCAACCAGAGGCTGGAGAACAAGGAAGCCCATTGTGGTAGTCCATTCAGGTCCACCTTCCAGAGCACAAAGCTGGATGCTTAAAGCATGGAATGTGGATCTTGAAGCATAAATGAAAGATATCCAACACTGATAATAGACTTGGGAGTGTAAGTTTGGTTTTGGACATGCCAAGTACCATGTGTTTGTAGGATATTCAGATAGAGATAGATCCAGAGTCTGAAGTTTAGGAGAGAGGTCTGTGGTAAACAATGGATTTTAACTCTACCAAACCAGAGGTGGTTGCAACCAGAAGAGCATATGAAATAACTAATGAGGAGTGGAAAAATAAAAGCCAGAGGAAGAATCCTGTTTAAGTCCAACACTTAAAATGCGGTTAAGGAAATAGAGTGCATGAATGATATAAAAGGCTGCATTAACTAGATGAGAAGAGAACCGGGAGAATGTTATCATGAAGTACTGAGAAGAAGTGCTAAAACAGTTAAATACAATGAAGAGTTCAAACAAAATAAGGATTGAAAAAGGTTCATTCAATTTAGTGATGAGGAGATCACCTGTAATCTCAGTGAAAACAGTTTGAGTGAAGTGAGGCGTCTGTCTATTACAACAGAGTAAAACCATTGCAGCCATTGCAAAGCCTTAATGACCCCTAGAAAATAGAGCCTAAGGCCAGTGCTTTGTTGGGAGGTACAATCCCATGGCGGAAAGAGTGAGGGGGAGAAAAGAACATAAAGTAGACAAAAGGGAAAGCAAATATGAAGAGGTGCATTTTGGGCAGTCTACAAATTCATGAGAAAATACAGCCAGCTGCTTGGCATCGGGATAGGCCATTTGGAACTACCCACAATGTGGAACAGTCCAACGGGGGAAAAGAAAGAGGAATTTATCTGCTGGATCTCTAACTGCTCTACCCTACATCTTCTGTTAACTCTCCCTGACTCCTGAGTTGTGGCACACAGCCCTGTATCTGAGTCCTGAGTGGTGGAAGGAGCTGCAGCCTTTGTGAATCAAGTCAGCCAAGAGCTTTGTGGAACAGCTATGACTCCTTCCTGGACTAGCGTGATCTAGGTCATGCCTAGGCCCAGCCCTTGTCTCGGTGGAGTCCACAGTAGCCTGGAGGTGAGGAGGCAGTGTAGATGTACAGGCTCTCTGTTGAGCCAGCAATGGAGGACCTAGGAGGCAGCAGGTGCCAAAGATACCTACGGGGGGTGCACAAATTGTATCTAATACAGGTAGAAGTGAAATCCGATCATGTGGACAATTATTTCATGGAAAGTGACCAAGAAAGGTAAAGATGATTTCAGGATACAAATGGTAAAAGAGCAGACTCCAGAACCAGATTGCCGAGGTCTAGATCCCTGCTCAGCCACACTACTCATGTGATCTATCACAATTCACTTAACCTTTCTCTACCTCAGTGTTCTTACCCGTAAATTGTGGCTATCATATCTATTTCATAAGGATGTTATGTCTTAATGTATGTAAAACATTTAGAATTGTGTCCCACACATACTAGGCACTATTTTAATGTTTGGTGTCAAAGGAGGATTCTTCTTTTGTTTCATAGACACTTGAACATCTTTTTATGCTGAGGGAAAAAAAGAGTTTTATGGGAAAGACTGAAAACGTATAAGAGATAAGAAAATATTGATGAAAAAAGTGATCATAAAGAATAGGATTTGTTACACAGGTGAAAGTGTTAGTGCAAAAAAGGCACTTGGTAATTGTATGCTTATGGGTTTACCAAAAATAAGTGTTAGATCAGCTGAGCATGGTGGCTCACCCCTGTAATCCCAGCACTTTGGGAGGCCAAGGTGGGTGGATCATCTGGGGTCAGGAGTTCAAGACCATCTGGCCAACATGGTGAAACCCCGTCTCTACTAAAAATACAAAAATTAGCTGGGCATGGCAGTGCGTGCCTGTAATCCCAGCTACTCGGGAGGCTGAGGCAGGAGAATAACTTGAACCTGGGAGGCAGAGGTGGCGGTGAGCTGAGATTGCGCCACTGCACTCCAGCCTGGGAGACAGAGTGAGACTCTGTCTCAAAAAAAAAAAAAAAAAAAGTGTTAGATCAAATAAAGTAATAATACAAGGTTTATGTGAACAATAATGTTTGTAGTATTTACTAGTCTAAATTTTAAAATAAGGCCACATGTTGGCTCATGCTTGTAATCACAAAATTTTAGGAGGCCAAGGTGGGAGGATCACTTGAGGCCAGAGATTCCAAACCAGCCTGGTCAACATAGCAAGACCCCATCTCTATAAAAAGCCAGACCTAATGGTGGATGCTTGCAGCCCTAGCCACTTGAAAGACTGAAGCAGGAGGGTCACTTGAGCCAGAATTTTGATGTTACAGTAAGCCATGATCAAGCCACTACACTCCAGCCTGGTCAATAGAAGGAGACTCTGCCTCAAACAACAATAGTAATAATAATAAAATAAATTTTAAAATACGTTATACAATAATGGCATTCACTGTATCCATACACATAAAGACCCTCCATAAATGTTTAATGAATAAAGAAATGAAAGAATGATTGAATGAAAGTTAATAATACTTCTCTGCCCAACTAGTTGCTATTTTTCCAGCTTCATCCAAACTACAGAATGTCTTAAACTCTTACATTAAGCCAAAGCAAGAGAGACTGACTATTCTGACCACTGAGGCTCACAGTCAGTGGAGTCTGGAATTAATTTTATAATATCTGATGAAACTGCATTGAGCCCTAGGCACTCGTGTATCTATTATATTGTATACAGTCTTTACTGGGTGCATGTTCTCCAAGCAGTAGGTCTAAGCTTCTGCTTATGTTTCTCTTTCAGCATTCCAGTTTCCTTCCAGAATTAGAATTCAGCCCTAAACTTTAGTCCTTGTACTTGAATCTTTGGTTTCCTGCCTTTTTTGTCAGAGTAGGAAAGGCTGGACTCTGTCCCCTGACCTTACTCAATGGCCTAGTTTCCTCTTCCAATGACTGACAGCACCAACACATAATAATGCTGTTCCCATTGGACTGAAGATAGCCATTGCCTCAACTTCTTTCCAACTGGATAATGGATGACATCAACCTGCATCATCTCGGGTTCACCAGGTTGCTTTGGAAACTACTGGCTTCCTCACCCAAAGGCTAGCATTAAAATTGGATCATTTCACCTGCTTGTGATCTTTGTAGCTTCTTCTCCTAGCTGATTCCTTTCCTTTTCTTTCCCATTGACCTGTATTTGCAACAAAAAATTCCAACATACCTGATGACCAAAGCCATTGGAGCTAAAGCATGTCCACTCAAACCATGATTTTGTGCTTATTTTAGAGATAATGTGAAAATGTTAATGTGAAAATGTCATTTCCATATACTTTATTGTAGAAGTATGATGTATTTATGATCCTAAAAGACAGATAATGTAAAATATACAGTCATGCACCACATAACGTTTCAGTCAAGGATGAACTGCATATACAATGGTGGTCCCATAAAATTATAATGCCATATTTTTACTGTACCTTTTCTGTATTTAGTTACACAAATACTTCCTATTGTATTGCAACTGCCTACAATATTCAGTACAATAACATGCAGAACATATTTGTAGTCTACGAGAAATAGGCTATACCATATGGCCTAAATGTGTAGTAGGCTATACCATCTAGGTTTGTGTAAGTCCACACTAGGATGTTTGCACAAGGAAGAAATTGACTAACAACACACTTGTCAGAATTTACCCCCATCAATAAGCAATGCATGACTGCATTAGCTTCAATAAGCAACATTCTTAACACCTCACGATTCTTCCTTTCCTATCAAACTGAACATGGCCAAGTTCTCAAGTTCTTGCTGTGGACAGCTTTCTGATTTCAAAGGCAGTTTAATATACTGGAAAGAACAAGGGCTTTGCAGCCAAACATCCATGGGTTCAAATCCTATCTGTGAAAATTATTTTGTGTCACTTTAGGGAAGTTACTTAGTCTCTCTTATTCTCCATTTCTTCAACCATAAATATAGGGCTGATAATAACTGCCACAGAGGGTTGTTTGAGAGATAAATGAGATAACAGATCAAAACCACTCTATCCAGTGCCTGCTACTTAGGGAAAGGTAATTCCCTCCCTTTTTTTTCCTTTCCCCTGGTAAAATGAACTAAAGATCAAACAGACTTCAGAATCAATCACAATCAGTCCTATTCCTGAATACATTCTACAATTTTTATAAGCCACTTCAATATCAGAAATATGACTGTCAAAGCTTGATTGTCTATGTTTTTCTCCACGTACAGACTAGGTAAATTTGAGCAATTTCATAAATTGGAAGCATTTAAAGGCATTTTTAAACAAGAGCCTGTTTACTTATTTACTTATTTTGCAGCCCCTGGTCATTTTGAGTGTAATCAGCCTTATTGTTATGGTACAATTTTGCAGCTGTGAATAGTAGGACTGTATTAAGGAAGGTTCCTTTAAAAGTGAGGGATATTGTATTTGCTTTTCCTTAAATTGGGTTATGTTCAGTCAATTAACCAAAAACCTAAAACTTGAACATTTTTTTCTTGAATGCATCCAAATAATCAAGGGCCTTCTCAGATTACCTGAAAAATTATATACCTTTCTTTAAATGATGATTAAACAAATGGATGTGTCATGTACCTAGAAAACTACACAAATCCATCCTCCTCTTTGCACATCAAGACAAACTACAGATCATGGTGGTTCCAGTGACTGCCTCAGATATCTCTTTATTAAATCTGTGTTATCATCCAGGCATCACATTCATGACTTTATCACTTAGTTTTGCTATTTGCTTCTGCTGGTATGGCTGTTTTAAAACATGGCCAGAGAATTCTTTGACATGCCACGTATTGATAAATGCAGTATATGTTCCCTCCCCTTGAGGTCAGTAACTATTTGACCCATAAGTGACACTGTGCTCGTTTCCAGTAAAAGAACTTAAGAAACTGGCAGCTGCTACTTCCTGATTCTCTTGGGATACACGATCTTGAAACCTAGGAACCATGCTGTGAGGAAGCCCAAGGGGTCTTATGGAAAACCCACATCCAGAGGAACAAACGGATATTCCTGAAGACATTCCTGAAGATAACACCAACTTCCCAGCCATGTGAATAAACCATCTTAGAAGTAGATCTCCATCTCATTTGAACAGTTGCAGCTATTTATTCTGAGCCCTGCCAAAATTTCAGATTCATGGGTTAAAAAAAATTGCTATTCTTTTAAACCACTAAGTTTTGAGTTGGTGTGTTATTATGGAATACGTAACTGGAATAGTCCTCACAGATTATGCTTCACAGGAAAAAGACTTCAGATAATATCTGGATGTAATCAATGGTCTATACACATTTATATTTAGAAGGAAAATGGCCTCAAATTGCCTACACAGTATCTATCTCCTGACTTCTCCTCTCTGCCATTACCTCTCTGATTTTGTCTACTACCTTTCCCTTTATTCCTACATTTCTGGTATTGTGGTCTTTTCACAGCTCTGCATATATACACAGACTGCACCCAACTCAAGGGCTTTGCATTACTGTCTGCCTGGAATCCGCTTTCTATGATATCCACTCAGATTATCTCCTTCTAATCTTTGCTCAAATATCTCTGTCTCAATGAGGACTTCTCTATTTAAATTACAAATTCATCTAACCAGAGAATTCATTATCTCTTTTACCCTGCTATAATTTTCTTCATAACATTCATTAACTTAACTATTGTTTATTTCTCTATCGATAGAATAAAAGTTTAATAAGAACAGAGTTTTTTAGTTTGGGGTTTTGGAGGTCTTTTTTTTTTTTTTTTTTTTTTTTTGCTTGCCCATCAATGTATTTCCAGCAACACAGTATTTGATATTCAATAAATATTTGATCACTGAATACTAAGTATACAGAGATCAGCTTTTTTTTAACTTTTATTTTAGGTTTAGGGGTATATGTGCAGCTTCGTTATACAGTAAACTCATGTCACAGGAGTTTGTTGCACAGATTATTTTGTCACCCGGGTACTAAACCTAGTACCAAATAGTTATTTTTTCTGATCTTCTCCCTCCTCCCACCCTCCACCCTCCAATAGGCCCAGTGTCTGTTGTTCCCCTCTTTGTGTGTATGTGTTCTCATCAATTGGCTCCCACTTATAAATGAGAACATGTGGTATTTGGTTTTCTGTTCCTGCGTTAGTTTGCTAAGGGTAATGGCCTCCAGCTCCATCCATGTTCCTGCAAAGGACATGATTTCTTTCTTTGTTATGGCTGCATAGTATTCCGTGATGTATATGTACCGTATTTTCTTTCTCCAATCTGCTATTGATGGGCATTTAGGTTGATTCTATGTCTTTGCTATTGTGAACAGTGCTCCAGTGAACATACATGTGCATGCATCTTCATGATAGAACAATTCATATTTCTTTGGGTATATACCCAGTAAAGGGAATGTAGTTCTGTTTTCAGCTCTTTGAGAAATCACCACACCGCTTCCCACAATAGTTGACCTAATTTATACTCCCACCAACAATATAGAAGCATTCCTTTTCTCTGCAACCTCACCAGCATGTTATTTTTTGACTTTTTAATAATAGTCATTCTGACTGGTATGAGATGGTATTTCATGGTGGTTTTGATTTACATTTCTCTAACAATCAGTGATATTGAGCTTTTTTTCATATGATCATTGGCCGCATGTATGTCTTCTTTTGAAAAGTATCTGTTCATGTTCTTTGCCCACTTTTTAATAGGGTTGCTTGGTTTTATCTTGTAAATTTGTTTAAGTTCCTTATAGATTCTGGATATTAGACCTTTGTCAGACATATATTTTGCAAATGTTTTCTCCCTTTCTTTAGGCTGTCTGTTTATGCTGATGATAGTTTTTTTGGCTGTGCAGAAGCTCTTTAGTTTAATTAGATCTCTTTTGTCTATTTTTGCTTTTGTTGCAATTGTTTTTGGTGTCTTCATCTTTGGCAGTTCCTAGGTCCAGAATGGTATTGCCTAGGTTGCCTCCCAGAGTGTTCATAGTTTTCAGTTTTACATTTAAGTCTTTAATTCATTTTGAGTTAATTTTTGTATATGGTGTAAGAAAGGGGTCCAGTTTCAATCTTCTGCATATGGCTAGCCAGTTATCACAGCAACATTGATTGAATAGAAAGTTCTTTCCCCATTGCTTCTTTTTTCCAGTTTTGTTGAAGATCAGATGGCTTCAAGTGTGCAAACTTATTTCTGGGCTCTCTATTGTGTTCTGTTAGTCTATGTGTCCATTTTTGTACCAACACCATGATATTTGGATAACGTGGTAACTCCAGGTTTGTTATTTTTGCTTAGTATTTCCTTGGCTATTTAGCTTTTTTTGGTTCCTTATGGATTCTAAAATAGTTTTCCCTAGTTCTGTGAAGAATGTCATTGGTAGTTTGATAGAAATTGCAATGAATTTGTAAATTGCTTTAGGCAGTATGGCCATTTTAATGATACTGATTCTTCTTATCTATGAGCATGAAATGTCTCTTATTTGTTTGTGTCATCTCTGATTTCTTTGAACAGTGTTTTGTAATTCTCATTGTAGAGATCTTTCGTCTCCCTAGTTAGCTGTATTCCTAGGTACTTTATTGTTTCTGTGGCAATTGTAAATTGTGAATCAGGGTTACATTCCTGATGTTGCTCTCGGCCTCACTGTTCTTGGTGTATAGGAATGCTAGTGATTTTTGTATGTTGATTAGGTATCCTAAAACTTTGCTTTTTATCAGCTAAAGGAGATTTTTGACTGAGACCAGGAGGTTTTCTTGATGTAAGAATCATGTTGTCTGCAAAAAGAATAGTTTGACTTTCTCTCTTCCTATTTGGACACCCTTTATTTATTTCTCTTGCCTGATTGCTCTGGCCAGGACTTCCAATACTATGTTGAATAGGAGTGGTGAGAGAGGGCATTATTGTCTTGTGTCAGTTTTCAAAAGGAAAGCTTCCAGCTTTTACCCATTCAGTATGACATTGGCTGTGGGTTTGTCATAGATGGCTCTTATTATTTTGAGGCATGTTCCTTCAATACCTAGTTTACTGAGGGTTTTTAACCTGAAGGGGTGTTGAGTTTTATTTAAAGCTTTTCTCAATATATTGAGATAATCGTGTAATTTTTTTAAGTTAGGTTTATGTGATGAATCACATTTATTGATTTGTATATGTTGAACCAGCCTTGCATTCCAGGGAAAAATCCCACTTGATTGCGGTGGATTAGCTTTATTATGTGCTGTTGGATTCAGTTTGCAAATGTTTTGTTTTGTTTTGTATTTGAAAATTTTTTGCATCAGTGTTCATCAAGGATATTGGCCTCACGTTTTCTTTGTTGTGTCTCTGCCAGATATTGGTGTCAAGATGATGTTGACCTCACAGCATGAGTTAGGGAGGAGTCCCTCCTCCTTAATTTTTTGGAATAGTTTCAGTAGAAATGCTACCAGCTATTTTTGTACATCTGGTAGGAGTCAGCTATGAATCTACCTGGTCCTGGGCTTTTTTTGGTTGGTAGGGTCTTTATTACTGATTCCATTTCACAGTTCATTATTGATCTGTTCAGAGAATCAATTTATTCCTGATTCAGTCTTAGTGGGTGTATGTGTCCAGAAATTTATCCACCTCTTCTAGATTTTCTAAGTTGTGTGCATAGAGGTGTTCATAGTAGTCTCTGATGGTTGGTTGTATTTCTGTGGGGTGAGATCAGTGGTAACATCCCTTTTGTCATTTCTAATTGTGTTAATTTGGATTTTCCTTTTTTGTTAATCTAGTTAGTGGCCTGTGTAGTTTAATAATTTAAAAAAAAGAAAAAAACAACTTCTGGAATGGCGTGAACCCAGGAGGCAGAGCTTGCAGTGAGCCAGGATTGCACCACTGAACTCCAGCTTGGGCAACAGAGCAAGACTCTGTCTCAAAAATAAAAATAAAAAAAACAACAAAAACAACAAACAAACCAAAAACAGCTCCTGGATTTGTTGATTTTTTTTTTTCTTTTGGGACAGAGTCTCACTCTGTCACCCAGACTGGAGTGCAATGGTGTGATCACAGCTCTCATAGCTCACTGCAACTTCTGCCTCCTGGTTTCAAGCAATTCTTGTGACTCAGCCACCCAAGTAGCCAGGATTACAGCCATGTGCTACCACACCTGGCTAATTTGTGTGTGTGTGTGTGTGTGTGTGTATGTGTGTGTGTGTGTATTTTTAATAGAGATAGGCTTTTGTCATGTTGGCCAGGCTGGTCTCAAACTTCTGGCCTCAGGTGATCTGCCCACCTCAGCCTCCCAAGTGCTAGGATTATGGGTATGAGATACTGCGCCCAGCATATTGATCTTTTGAGTGACCTTCGTGTCTTGATCTCCTTCAGTTTAGTTCTTATTTTGGTTATTTCCTGTCTTGTGCTAGGTTTGGAGTTGGTTTTCCCTTGCTTCTTTAGTTCTTTTAGTTGTGACATTAGGTTGTTAATTTGAGATCTTTCTAACTTTTTGATGTGGGGATTTAGTGCTATAAATTTCCCTCTTAACACTGCCTAAGCTGTGTTCCAGAGATTCTGTTATATCTTTGTTCTCATTAGTTTCAAAGAACTTCTTGATTTTTGTCTTAATTTCATATTTACCTAAAAGTCATTCAAGAGCAGGTTGTTTAATTTCCATGTAATTGTATGGTTTTGAGGATTTTTTTTTTAGTCTTGATTTCCATTTTTATTCCACAAGATCAGCTATTTTTTTTTTTTTTTTTTTTTTTTGAGATGGAGTCTCACTCTGTCATACAGGCTGGAGTGCAGTGGCATGATCTTGGCTCACTGCAAGCTCCGCCTCCCGGGTTCAGGCCATTCTGCTGCCTCAGCCTACCAAGTAGCTGGGACTACAGGTGCCCACCACCACACCCGGCTAATGTTTTGTATTTTTAGTAGAGACAGGGTTTCACCATGTTAGCATTAGCCAGGATAGTCTTGATCTCCTGACCTCATGATCTGCCCACTATTGTTAAATGTTACACTTAGCAATAAGTTCTTGGTTTGGAATATCATATGCATTATCCTACTAAGTGAGCCAGGAAATAATCAGAGGTCAGTAGTGCAAGACCAGAAGAAAAGAAAGTTAAAAAAAAAAATCAGGTCCTAAGTTTGAGGGTATTGCCTAGAGGTATAAAGTTTGGAACCCAGTAGCCAAACTATGGTGTCACTACAGTATGGAGTAATTCCTTGCTGATGGCAAAAGGGCTCAAGGAAGGTAGAGATGGAGAAGGTTATGCCCATGCAGAGGTGAGCAATGAGGCTGGAGTGAAGATGAGCCCCTGCCTCATTCTGGGAGAACTCCACCACAGGAGGGTATATATTTATATCTACACAGTGACTGAGAGACTCCAAGATGAGGTATAAAACGAAGAGCCAAACAGTGGTAGACAATATGAACATTATATTGACTTTACAATTATTGGAATAAAATAAAAAAGAACAAGTATTAGTGAGGACATAAAAAAAATGAAGCCTTCATACATTGTTGGAGGGAATATTTAAAAGGTGCAGCTGCTATGGAAAACAGTCTGGCATTTCCTCAAAGTGATGAGACAACTGGATTTCCACATTCAAAAGAATGAAGTTGGACTCTTACTTCATACCATATACAAAAAAAAAGAAAAAAAAACCCCTCAAAATGAATCAGTGACCTAAATATATTGGCTAAAACCTTGAAACTCTCAGAGGGAAACAGAGAGCAAGACTCCGTCTCAAAAAAAAAAAAAAAAAGAAAACATAGGAGTAAATCTTCATGACCTTAGATTTGGTGACAGATTCTTACGTAGGACAACCAAAGCCTGAAGGGGGGAGAAATAATTGAATTTCCTCAATCAAAAAGTTTTTTGTTGTTGTTTCTTTGTTTTGTTTTGTTTATTTGAGATAAAGTCTCACTCTGTTGCCCAGGCTAGAGTGCAGTGGCGCGATCTTGGCTCACTACAATCTCCCCCTCCCGGGTTCCAGCAATTTTCTCACCTTAGCCCCCTGAGTAGCTTGGAATATAGGCATGCACCATCACACTCAGCTAATTTTTTGTACTTTTAGTAAAGGTGGGGTTTCACCATATTGGCCAAGCTGGTCTCAAACTCCTAATCTCAAGTCATCTGCCTGCCTCAGCCTCCCAAAGTGCTGAGATTACCAGTGTGAGCCACCATGCCTGGCCCTCAATTAAAAAGTTTTGTGCAGCAAAGGACATTATCAAAAAGTGGAAAGACAATCTACAAAATACAGAAAATGCTTACAAATTATGTAGCCTATAGGAACTTCTAAAACTCAACAATAGAAAGACAACCCAATTAAAAAATGGGCAGAGGACTCAAATGGACATTTCTTCAAAGAAGACATACAAATGGCCAATACGTAAATGAAAAGATGCTCAATACTCTTAGTAGTTGGGGAATTAAAAATCAAAATTAAAATGAGATACAACTTCACATCTACTGGAATAGAATGGAAAAGAGTAAGTGTTGGTGAGGATGTGAAAAAAAAATTGAAGCTTATGTATGTTGCTCAAGGGGATGTGAAAAGGTCTAGCTGCTGTAGAAAACAGTTTGGTAGTTCCTCAAAAAACTAAACCTGGAGTTACCATATGACCCAGTACTCTTGTATATATACCCAAAAGAATTGAAAACAGAAACTTGAACAGATACTTATTTGCCAATGTTCATTAAAGCATTATTCACAATAGCCAAGAACTAGAAATAATGCAAGTGCCATCAACTGACAAATAGATAAAATATGCAATGGAATATTATTAAGCCATAAAAGGAAGGAAGTTCTGATTCATGTTGCAATATGAATGAAGCTTGCAAAGACAACTAAATGAAATAAGCCAGACACAGAAGGACCAATATTATCTGATTCTATTTATATGAAATATCTAGAACAGGCAAATCCATAGAGACAGAAAACAGATTAGGAATCACCAAAGGGTAGAGAAAGAGAGGAACAGAGAGTTACTGCTTGAGGCTAGAGTTTTTGTTTGGAGTCATAAAAGGGTTTTGGAAGTGGTAGAGCGAATTTTGCATAACATGTGGGTGCAATAAATGCCACTTACTTGTTCACTTAAAATGATTAAAATTGCAAATTTTGCTAGATATAGTTTACCACAATATTAAAAACTAATACAATTGAAAGGAGAAATAGACAAATCCACAATTATAGACTTCAACACTCTTAGTAATTGATAGAATAATTAGATGGAAAATTAGTAAGGATATAGAGACTCCAAAAAAAATCCTATTGTAAAACTTGACCTAATTAACCTGTATAGAACACTCCACTCAACAACAGAGAATTTTTTTTCAAGTGCACATAGATCGTTTACCACAATAGACCACATGCTGGGCCATAAAACAAAACTTAACAACTTTTAAGGAATTGAAATAATATAAAGTGTGTACTCGGATCATCATGGGACTAAGCTAGAAATCATTAACAAGATATCTGGAAAGTCCTCAATTATTTGAGAATTATACAGCACACTTCTAAATTGCATATGAGCCAAAGAGGAGCCACAGAAGAAGTTAGAAAATATATTTTATTGAATAAAAATGAAAACAAACACAACAGATCAAAATTTGTGGGATATAGCTAAAGCAGGACTTGGGGGAAAATATATAGCATTAAATGCTTATGTGAGAAAAGCAGAACACTCTCAGATTCATGAACTAAGCTTTGACCTTAAGAATCTAGAAAAAGAGCACAATTCAACAAAAACAAGCAAATTAAAACAGAAGGAAGCAAATAATGGCTACGGCAGCAGAAGGCAATGGTGTGTAGAATGTAGTAAGATGTCAAGCAAGAAAAAATAAACAGTGGCTTCAATTACAAGCCTCAAATAAAAGTTTACATGTTTAGACATTTTGAATTATGGATGTTGAATTGCCATCAGGTTTCTTTTTATATGTGCAACTCTGTGTGGTGTACTCAAGGTGAGTGGTAGTTTGAGTTAATCATTTCATGATGGTTAACCCTGCTTTCACAAAAGCAAACACTCCATAAACAAGGCATAAGCATGATGACCCAGAGAAAATGACCACACACAGAGGTGTGCTATCTTATCTGTTCAGGGTAGTTGGCATTAATGCCTTTTTACTCTAATAGTAGTGTTCCCCACATATAGGAAAGTTCCTAGTTTCAAGTTTGTAAGTGGAAGATACACAATGTATCTTAACTAGTTAAACATACAGTGAAACTAGTTGAATATACAGTGTATCTTAACTAGTTGAACAATTGTATGAATTAGTGTGTTATATTCCCTAACCATTTTTCAAAAGCAAAAAAATAGGCTATGCAGTTTTAATGGTTACTCACTAATCTTCCTTTATATTTTTTGTACCCAATAATGCATCCACAGCAGTATAATGTAATTTTGCCAATTTTTGAACTTTATATAATTGGAATCAATCAGAATATATTCTTTTATGTCTGGCTTCTCTTGCTCAGCCCGATTTTCAGTGTCATTCATGCTGTAGATAGCTACAGTTGATTCGTTTTTCAGTGCTAAATTCTATTTTATTATACTACTATTCCACAACTTATGCTTCCATTGATGAGCATTTGAATTATTTTGAGTTCTGCTCTTTTACAGTCTCTGCTAAGAACCTTCTTACCATGTACCTTGGTGCACATAAGTATTCAGAACTTTAGGGAAGATACTAGAAGCAGAACTACTGGGTCCTAGGAATGAATATCTTCTAGTTCTCTAAATAATGCCAACTTTTCCTAAAGTGATTGTATCAATTTTGATCCCCACCAGTAGTATATGGGAGTTTTTGTTCCTCCACATATGTACCAATTCTTGTTTTGTTTTATTAATTCTTTTTTCCTGTACCCCACCCCCAGATCTTTCTGTTACTTTGCTTCTTTCTTTCCTTTCTTTCTTTCTTTTTCTTTCTTTCCTTTCTTTCTTTCTTTCATTCTTTCTTTCTTTCTTTCTTTCTTTCTTTCTTTCTTTCTTTCTTTCTTTCCTTCTTGTTTTTGAAGAAAAGTTTACAATTTTATTATGGTTACATTTATAAATATTTTCCTTTATGGCTAATGTTTTTTGTGTCTTATATAAGAAACCTTTACCTACCTGAGGTGAAGAAGATATTCTCCTATATGGTTCCCCAAAACCTTTTTTGTTTTACCTTTCATATTTAGATCTCTAATCCACTTTAATTAATTACTGAGTGTGGGCCAATTTCATTTTGGATGCCCATGTAGTCCAGCTCTATCTTACAGCCCTTCTCCATGATTCTACAACACCAATTGTATCAAAAATAAAGGATCCAAAGTTGGGTACGGTGGCTCATGCCTGTAATCCTAAAACTTTGGGAGGCCAAGGCAGGAGGATCACTTGAACCCAGGAATTTAAGACCAGCCTGGGCAACCTAGTGAGACCCTAACTCAACAAAAAATAATTTTTTGGCTGGGTGTGGTGGCTCACACCTGTAATCCTAGCACTTTGGGAGGCTGAGGCAGGCAGATCACTTGAGGTCAGGAGTTCGAGACTAGCCTGGCCAACATGGTGAAACCCCATCTCTACAAAAAATACAAAAATTAGCTGGATGTGGTGGCGGGCGCCTGTAATCCCAGCTACTCAGTAGGCTGAGGTTTGATAATCACTTGAACCTGGGAGGCAGAGGTTGCAGTGAGCCAAGATCACGCCACTGCACTGTAACCTGAGTGACAGAATGAGACTCTGACTCAAATAATAACAATAACAATAATAATAATAATTTTTTAAACAATTAGCCATTTGTGGTGGCACACAACTGTAGTCCCAGCTACTTGGGAGCCTAAGATGAAGGACCGCTTGAGCCTGGGAGATAGAGGTGGCAGTGAGCCATGATCACCACTGCACTCCAACCTGGTAACAGAGACCCTATCTCAAAAAAAAAAAAAAAAAATCAAGGGTCCCTATATGTATGAGTCTGTTTCTGAGTTCTATTCTACTCCTAGAATTGTGAAATACAACTATTTATCTAATCTTGTGCTAAAACCACAGTTTTAGTTATTATGTCTTTATAGTAAGTCTTGACATTTAATAGAATATGTACTCCTACCAAGGATTGCCCACATAATTTGCAACACTCACTGCAAAATAAAAATGTGAGGCCTTTTTATCAAAAATTATTAAGAATTTCAGGATGACAACAGCAGAGTATTAAAGAGAGCATGGGATCCTTCTAAGTGTAGGTATCTGACAACTACCCAGATCATATGCCCGTGAAGCCAGCATTGCCCCCACCCTAAATTTCAGTGTCCACAAATAAAGTTTTATTGAAATCAAGACATAATCATTCTTTTTTGTATTACCTATGCTTCTCTTTGCACTACAAGAGCAGGGTGGAGTAGTTCCAACAGAGACTGTGGCCCCCAAGTCTGAAATATTTACCATCTGGCCCTTTAAGAAAAAGTTTGCCCACTTCAGCCTAAGATTCTGAATGTAGTTTTAGAGGAGTAGGGGAATTTATGGAGGAAATAGAAATTGGGTTGTGCACTGAATGACGAGCAAGATTTGGATACATTAAAATTGAGGGGAAATATCTCCTAGACATGAGGAAAGCATGAAGAATCCTTGGGATCAGTAGTAGATATAGGGAAGTCAGGTCAGTGTGAAGAATGACCTACTAACACAGCATTTCTACTTTGGGAAATTACTGAAGGTAAGATTGTAGAACTAGGAAGTATCCAGAAAACTCTGGAAAATAAGGCCAATTTTTGAAGAAAATTTTCCAAGAGAAAGTAGAACACATTAGGCATATTTTATCATGAGACATTTTAAAATGCATGATTTTTGTCTTGAAAGACACACTGAAAAGACACATAGAAAATCAGGCAAATTTAGTACCCCTGTTCCATATTATAAATCACCATTTGGGCTTAGATTATGTTTTCCATTAGTGTCATCTGGCATCTAAAATGATCTCATACACACATACCTTTCCATTTCACCTATGAAATGACTTTTCTTATTTATTTTCATCAATATGAACCTAGGATAACTACATATTTGATATTTTCCTGAATTCATATCACATGCTCTTTAAACAAAACAACTAACTCATACTCATGAGCCTCCTATATGGCCCCTTTTGAAGTAGCCATTATTTACCTCTCAGCTATAGGCAGATAAGACATTGATTACATTTCAACTTTATTGGAAAATCAGCCTCTTCACACAGGGTTTGAGGACACAAATTAAGTTACTCCATTCTTTGATTCACACACTGGTCAGTCAGGTTGCTCGTGCTACCCTGCACCGAAGCTTTCTGGAAGTCATACCATAAGTAGGAAAACCTATGTTCGGTGCCATCTCAGCATCCTTTATGCTTGCTCCCTCATAACAAGACAACTAGGTTTTTCCCAGCCATAGTTTGGATCCCCTGCCTAGTAAAATAATTTATTTTTTACCTTCTTCTCTTGTGTCAGTTTCCTTGAACTGGCTCATGACTGATGGCAAATAAATGTGTTAGGTCCTGAGGGGATCCAAATTTTTTAAGTAGATTTCTGAAAAAACTGATTTTAAATCAAAAGGAATCACATTTTAAGGGGAAATTTCACACAATGCAGTTGAAGTGATACTTCCAAGCAGGGTTCTTTCTAGCAATCTTCAAAAAAACAACAAGAAAAAATTCAGGCCATGTAGGCAACTGTTGTTCCGTTTTACATAGATATCATAGTCTACATAGCAGTCAATGTCCACTCTATATCTACAGTTAGAGCTGTTGCCCAAGAAACCTCTCAGGAGCTCACAGGCTTTGAGGCTGATTGGGCCCTGGAGACTAATCTGGAAGTCACACTACTTAGGCTATTAAGGTAGCCCTCCACCTTCTGGGATATACTGTTCACTCAAAAAGAAATATTTATAGAGTTTACAGAAATCTCTGGACTCCATAAAATAATGGATGTGCATGTAGCACCCACCTCAACTAAGTTCTCTCACAGTTCATAGGAGAAATTTCACTTTCTGATCAGTTACTTGGCTTAAGAGTTTATTCATTTGGTTCTGAGCTGCGTTAGGGAAACAAGAAAGGCTCAGCCTAACAAGTCACATCCTGAACAAGGGAAGAAGCCCACACCAGCTGTCTCCAGGTCTTTTCAGCTTTTCATAAGACCAAATGCCATCAAAGTACTGGCTGCAATTCACAGTGTAGGATCCATGTGAAAGGCTGAAGATCTAGTATTTTATCATTAACAGATGTTGTCCATAGATTCAAATTCTTGAAATAAGAGGAGAGGGAGGGAGGGACTTTTTATTTTTTACTCTGCTAGTTTTGTGACTTTAGAATTTTATGCAGAAGGTATAGCTATAGCCACCACCATTTTAAAGGTGAGGAAACTGCAAATCAGCAGAGAAGTTGAGTCGCTGTCCAAGGACACATGGCTGATGGCAATATGTGCACTTGCTGGGTATCTATACTTACTGAGGGCCACTGTTCCTTTATTCAAGCCTCTGCTTCTTGCTTTGGAATCCTGTAGCTGAGCAGCAGTTGATAGATATCATAGAATCAGCTAAAAATTACAAAAAAGGGGGAAGAAAAGTTCATGTATGATGATGTTAATTAATCATGAATCCAAGCAGTCTCTCTAAGGCCTTCCATTCCCATAAATCAATCTCAAGCTCTAAGATCCACATTCTGTTTTTAGAAATAATAATAACTATCTTTGAGGTAGTTATTAGGAGACTTCTAGGTGCCAGATAATATATACTTTAATCTTTCCAATAGCAAAATAGGTTTTCCGATTTTACAGATTAGAAAACTGGCTAAATTATCTGCCTCATCTAGTAAATGGGAAAATGAGAATTTGAACCTAGGTCTCTCCCAGTCTCCTTTGTCCAGTATTTACTACTGCTCCAAGCTAGGTATATTATTATACCATCTTTATTTCAAAGCCTATGGAAGTTTAAAAGTTAAATACCAGCAGAGATTTACCCTCTTCAGGTAAATCTAACATTGCTACATACCTACTCTCTGTCACTTTTGATAGAAATGCACAAGAAAGTTTAACTCTTTCTGTACATCCAAGCATGCAACCACATTTTGTCTTACCAAAGAAAGCCCACAACTTCAGCCTGCCTAGGCACCCACCAGGAGGGTTCAAAGGCCTACTACCTAAAAAGTTATTCTGCTAGTTTCCTGGAGTTATAAGCTCCAATAACCTGATATCTGCATGCTCATCTTAACTCTTGAATTCTGGGTCCTTTTTGCATTAACCTTAACCAGGTGACTTGAGACCGAAAGGGCTATTTTATCAGGGCTCCTTTGTTTAGTGGGTCACATAACAGATGTATCCCTTCAAATACCATCTTCCTGCTGATGACTCCTAAATTTATTCTCCAACTGTAGAACTATCCCAGGGGTTCCAGATTTGTATGTCAACTGCCTCCACAATATCTCCACTTGGACATGCAATATGTCAAAACATCTCAACATTATGTGGCCAAAACGGAACTTTAGATTCCATACCAGGCCTGGCCTCCAGCCAATACATTCTTGGGCTTTTTCAAGCCCTTCTATAGCTTAATAAACAAAATTCTTCAGTCTCTACACTTAATTGCTCAGGTTGAAAATATAGAGGTCATTCTTTCTATTTATTTTTTTTTTTTGAGAAGGAGTCTCATTTGTTGCTCAGGCTGTACTTGGACTTCTGGACTCTGGACATCCTCTCCTCTCAGCCTCCAGAGCAGCTGGGACAACAGGCACAGACCACCATGCCCAGCTTAGAAGTCATTATTGATTTATTTCTTTTCCTACCATCCCACGCTTAGTCCATCAATATGTCCTGTTGTAGCTACCACTTCTTACCAACTCTTCTGAAACTAAATTCAAAGCTAATATTATCATCTGCCTGAACTATAGGAACAGTTCCTAATGGGTCTTCCTCATCCTACTTGTGTCCCCTGCAATTCATCCCCTACACAGCACTTTCTAAAACATAAATTATGTTACTCCCTTACTTAAACCCCTCCAATGGCTTCTCATTATGTAAACAATAAAACAAAAACATATACCACTGTCTATGAGATCTTAAATGATCCCAGAATCATCTACTTCTCTGACCTCATGTGCCTATACTTTCCACCATCTTCTCTCTGGAAAGGTCCAAATTTATTCCTCTCTCAGGGCCTTTCTACATGTTAGTACTCTGCTTAAAGCACTTGTCCTCCTCAAAGAGGCCTTCTCTGTGTACTCGAAGTAAAGTACCACCCCTACCTCTGTCACTTCCCACCACTTTATCCTATTTTATCTGTTTCTAGGCACTTACCAATAAATGAATTTATCTTAATTATTCATTTGTTTACTGTCCATCTGCCCTATTTCTCCTTTAAAATGTAAGTATCTTCAGAACAAGGACTTGACTATTTTGTTCACTGCTGGATCTTCTGTGCCCAGAACAGTGCTTGGCACAGAGTGGGCACTCAGCAGTTGTTTACTGACTGTTTGACTGATCCAGAAAAAGATACATTAGACCCCAATTCAAAGAAGTAGTTGGAGATGGAATGCCAAAACAATAGCCTGCTACTTGCCCTGACTTAAAGCAAAGAATGTGTGCTCTTTGTCATATATATACACAATGGAATACTATTGAGCCTTGAAAAGGAGGTGAATCCTGTCATTTACAACAACATGGTTGAACATGGAGGACATTATGCTAAGGGAAGCCAGGCACAGAAAGATAAATGCTGCATGATCTCACTCATTGTAGAATCTAAAAAAGTTGAACTCATGGAAGCAGAGACGAATGATTGTTACAAGATTACAGAAGGGGGTGGATGGAGAAAAGGGAAATGTTGATAAAAAATTATGAAGTTTCAGGCAGAGAGGAGGAAAAAGTCTTAGTGCTGTAATGCACAGAATGGGGACTGTAATAATGCATTGTATATTTCAACAGTCCTAAGACAGTAGAATTTAAATATTTTTTACCACAACAAATAATAAGTATGTGAGGTTACAGATTTGTCAGTTAGCCTGATTTAATCATTCCACATTCTAAACATATATCAAAACATCACATTTTATCCCATAAATGTTAAATTATTATTTGTCAATTAAAAATAAAACTTTACAAAATAAAAATAAATGAATTAAGTAAAAGAATGTCAGCCAGGCTCGGTGGCTTATGCCTGTAATCCCAGCAGTTTGGGAGGCCGAGGTGGGTGGATCACCTGAGGTTGGGAGTTTGAGACCAGCCTGACCACCATGGAGAAACCCCGTCTCTACTAAAAATATAAATTAGCCAGGCGTAGTGGTGCATGCCTGTAATCCCAGCTACTCAGGAGGCTGAGGCAGGAGAATTGCTTGAACCTGGGAGGCAGAGGTTGCAGTGAGCAGAGATTGCACCACTGCACTTCAGCTTGGGCAACAAGAGTGAAACTCTGTCTCAAAGAAAAAAGAAGAATTTATGCTTTGAGTTCCTCTGAGATCACAGGTAGGAATTATTTCTCACAATCAGAGCAAGTGGAGTAAGAGACAGTGACTGCTCTACATTCATAATAGTTCCTAAGAAGTATTCACCCCTGAGAATAAATTTGATCATTTATTCTCATAGAGTTTGATAGAGTTATGGCTTTGACACCATTTGTTGGGGAAAGGAGAGAAAGAAGCAGCCTTAGTTTTTGAACCACATCGAGTCCTAATACTCATCTTCAAAGAATTGCTAGGATGGCTGTCCAGGTCAGCAACCACTGCTTCTGAATGTCATGTTAATTCTCAAATGCCTGAACTCAATGGGTGAGATCTCAGATACTACTCTAAAAAATCACATAGAAATATTCCTTTGGTCTTTCACTGCCACTCCCAGAAGCAGCCAGCTACACTTCAGTAGGTGGCTCCTGAAGACACTCACCTTCCCCGCATCTCGGTAGATGTCCTACAGCTGCCTGTGAGAATCACAGAGGAAAGGCAATAACCACAGTGGCTTCTCTGGTGAGAGTCAGACCCACTGCAAGTGGTAGAAAACCTGCAGTAGAAAAATAAATTATTCTATTTGGGCTGAATTAGAAGTAGTTTCACCTCTAATCCATGTTTGGCATGATTTTATTAATTAATTGATTTAAAGTATGAAGTGTAAAGCAAACAGGATTGTTGGAAAAGCCATTGGGTATCTGACAGCTACATGATCTTGGACAAGTCATTCAGCCCCCTCCATACCTCAGATGTGTCACCAGCTCTGCTTCTTGTTTATAGACAGACATAACAGTAGTCCCAGCTTTGTCTAAAATATGGGTCTCATGTGCTCCATAAGTACTATTTGATGATGGTTATCACCTCACAGCCACCAGTCTTGGTTTCTCTGTTACTATGAAGCTATTAATATTTGGTACCAGATGGTATATTCAAAATAACTTGGGTGGAAATTGCTACTGAAATGCTAATAACTATTTTGTTCATTCTGGACAACCAATTCATATGCAGTAACTCAGGTTTAAAATCAGAAAGCAAGTAAAGCACCCTGGGGGATGTAAGAAGAACAAATCACTCTTTGCCTAAAGGTATACAAAAAAATAGTAATAACAATAACCAGGATTTAACTACATAGATATAAACACTAGTTCCTGATTATTGATTTTACAACTAAATATTTCTGTGGTGAAAACACTACTACAAATGAAAATGTTATTATATAGTGCCACTTCAAGTTTGGTCCTCAGACCTCAGCATCAACGTCACCTGGGGCCTTATTAAAAATGCAAATCTGGGTGTCCCAACCCAGACATCCTTAATCATAATACCTGGGGTTGAACCGATAGTTTTGGGTCAACCTTACAAATTCTCTTACAATACACGTGGATGGTTCTTATGCAACTAATAACTGAGAAGTGTCGTTAATGCACTGACATCATGTATAACTTTGGGATCTCAAACTCAGATGCATAGAGGGTCAAAGCTAGTAATAGAACAAGTGACTCAGCCTAGCTGCAACCTGTGGTGAACTGGAAGCCTCATATCTCATTCAAAGGATGTGAAGCTTCTGCTGATGTTGCTATGCAGAGATGTGAGTCCACAGTGGTCAGATTTTCCAGCTGATATGGTTAGGCTTTGTGTCCCTACCCAAATCTCATCTTGAGTTGTAATCCCCAAGTGTTTAGGGAGAGACCTGGTGGGAAGTGATTGGATTATGGGGTGGTTTCCAACATGCTGTTTTCATGATAGTGAATGAATTCTCAGGAGATCTGATGGTTTTATAAATGGTACTTTTTCCTGTGCTTTCTCTCCCTCTGTCTATCTCTTTCTCTTTCTCTCTCTCTCGTGCCACTATGTAAGACGTACTTCTTCCCCTTATGCCATGATTGTAAGTTTCCTGAGGCCTCCCCAGCTATGCAGAACTGTGAGTCAATTAAACCTCTTTTCTTTATAAACTACCCAGTCTTGGGTATGTCTTTATAGCAGTGTGAAAATGGACTAATACACAAGCAATTCAGGAGAGCCCCCAAATCTAAAATTTCAAGGAAAAATTTTGTATTTATGTTTTAAATTTTTTAAACAAATCTCAGGCCAAACAAAAGCTCTGTTGTAAGGGTGTCTGGCATGCTTGAAGAATAGCCCAGAAGTCAGTGTGGCTCTTCTGTGTGAGATGATTAGGAGACGGAGCAGAAAAAGTAGAAAACAAGCTTGGCAAGGTAAAGATCAGAAGGTGTAGGTCCTTGTAAGTATTGAGAGGGTTTGGATTTTCTTCAGAATGAAATGGGAAGCCAGTGGAGGGCTTTGAGCAGAGAAATATTATAACCTAATTCATGTTTAAAAGGATCACTCTCATTACTTTTTTAATAGCAAAACCAGGATCAGAACTAAATCACCAGCATCTCATCACAGTAATGCTATATAATAGAATTGTACATATGAAAAATTCAATCACCCAGTGTTAAATGTAGACCTTGATATTTGTTCTAGACAGAAACCAGTAACATAATGGGTTTCTGGCAAGTGTCTCTCTAGTCTGTAATGAGCACCTCCAATAAAGTACTATTTCAGGGCAGCCAGTTCTATTTTCAGACTCCTCTAATCCTTAGAATTAAACTTCAGTCTCCTTTTCTTTTTCCTATCCATGTTTCCAGTGTTGCTCTAGAATTTAGATTTAGGATGAGTCAAATCCATCTTCCACATGTTAATGCTCCATTTATCACTCAAGTTCATTCAACTCTTCCAATAAAATATGGTTTCATGTTTACTGTCAAAGTTTCTTGTAATGTGAATGTCAAAATTTAAGTTCACATTCACAGTGAGGTCAGGTCATTGCAGAATGAACTGGAATTATTACCTCCCTTAGTCAGGACACTGTGCTTTTTGCCTCATCCTATCTATTCTTATCAAGTTTGTGGTTTAATCAAACTTAAGTACTTTTTATGATTATGTAAAGCCACATTTATAACATTCAGAAATTGTACAACTGATTTTTCAGAACCAAGAGTGGGATTCTACATTTATTCCAGTTTCATTTAGTTTTGTTGCAGCAATGTTGCTAGCTATAAATCCATTTTGATATGATTGCTGCCTAATATAGTTATATTTCTCCTAATCTTGTGCTGTCTGCAATTTAAATAAATGTCTTTTATGTCTCCAAGTCATTCATATAAGGGTTAAATAGAACAAGGACCAATGACAGGTTTGAGAAATTCTCTAACCTCACATAGTCACACTGCCTTCTTTGTACCCATGACAGACATTAATAATTGATCCTGGCAATCTTTTCAACAGAACTCAGTTCTGGTTTTAATTTTTTTGTCAATCCAGTATTCTGCATAGCCACCACTAATCAGTGATATTTGGCACTTGAGATGGAGACGATTAGATATGCTGAGCCCACGACAAAGCACAGTGTCATTCTTCGGATTTCATGTCTACCAGTTGCTGTAGTATTCAACTTACTTTGAATTGTGTACCATTGACTGTTTTCATGTCAAATTCAAAATCACTAAAAATTATTCGAACTTTTTAATTTTTTTATGTGTATTTTTTAATTTATTTTGAGACAGGGTCTCCCTCTGTTGCCCGGGCTGGATTGCAGTGGCACAATCTTGGCTCACTGCAACCTCCACCTCCCAGGCTCAAGCAATTCTCCCACTTCAGCCTCCTGAGTAGCTGGTACTACAGGTGCTCACCACCATGCCCAGCTAATTTTCGTATTTTTAGTAGAGATGGAGTTTCGCCTTGTTGTCCAGGCTGGTTTGAACTCCTGGCCTCAAACAATCCTCCCACCTTGGCCTCCCAAAGTGCTGGGATTACAGGTATGGGCCACCACGCCTGGCCTATTCAACTTTTAAAATTTCATAAAACGTTTTGTTCGTCTGATTGTTAATTTTTTTTTTTAATTAGAGACTCACTAACTCTTTCCTAGTCCACTTCTAAACAGATGCCATTTCATTGAGCTTTCCTCCTCTTCAATCCATTCTCCACTTTGCCAGCAATTATCTACTTGTATCCATCCATCCATTTTATTTCATAAATATGTTTTCTGTTTCTCCTACATGTCAGATATAGTGGTAGACTCTTGAATTACAAAGGCAGGAAAGACAAAAGCCGTATTTTCAGGGGATTGACAATTGAGAGAGAGAGAGAGAGATCAATAAACTGTTCATAGCAATCCAAGGCTGAGTGCTGTGACTCATGCCTATAATCCCAGCACTTTGGGAGGCCAAGGCAGGAGGATTGTTTGATCCCATGAGTTAGAAAATAGCTCGGGCAACATAGAGAGACCTTGTCTCTACAAATAATACAAAACAATTAGCTGGAGTGTGGTGATGTGTGCCTTTGGTCAGAGCTATGTGGGAGGCTGAGGCATGAGGATCACTTGAGCTGGGGCTGCAGTGAGCCGTGATTGCACCACTGCACTCCAGTCTGGGTGACAAAGTGAGACCTCGTCTCCAAATAAATAAATAAATAATTTATTAAAATATAATTTAATATGGAGCAACCAATGATAAAGAAATGCCCAACTTGGAAACAAGACCATCTAATCTAGCTCAGAGGAGATGGAATTCAAAACAAGCTCCCTGGAGATACTGAGTTGGGCCTTATGAGTAGAGATAGTTAGGTGGACATAGAAAAACTGAGAGAAGCACAGAGGTAAAACAGGTAAGAAAATGGCAGAACATAAAGGTAAGATAGGCTGAAGGGGTAACGGGACAAATTTTGGTAACCATGAGACAGAAAACAGAAAGTATGATTAACTAACTTAAATCATATCTATTAGGTGATGAGAAGCAATTGAAAGTTATGACAGAGTTAGGTCTACTTTCCAAATTAATCACTGAAACCTATGTTGTAGATTTATTGGAGAAGGAAAGATTATAAACAAGGAAACTACCTCAAAGATCACTTTAGTAGTCCAGGGAAAAGAAAAGATGAATGTCTGATCTAAGACAGTAGTGGTAGAAAGGTAAAGTAACAGAAGGATCAGAGAATTTAGGAAGTCAAATAATGTATTAAAATTTGTTGATTGATTAGATATTGAGGTGCTAATGCAGAAACATAAAAGATAGTTAAGTTTCTATCTTGAGCAACTAGATAGATGGTGTGGTCATCAACTGTGAAAGAGAATATGGAAAAGAGGTAGGAACGAATTTGGAGAATGTTTAGTTTAATGTGTTTGGGAGTATTCAAGTAGAGATATCTTACAAATAGATTTTTTATGACTGAAATGCAAAGGAGATATCAGGACTGGAGCTTCTGTGGTGAGTTCTTCCACATGGCCTGTAGGATAAAGCCAAACCTAGTCTGTCATTCCAAATCTTCTCCTCACTCTATACACTCCCAGCTACAGATACTGGGCTCCTAATCACATCAATACATTTTATTCCATAGCCTTGCATCTTTAATCTTTCCTTTAATGAGAACTGCCATTCTCTTTAAACTCCTACTGCAAGTCCTTCAACTTCGTTTTACCTCAATTTTTACATATTCATGAATTTTTCCTAGGTGCCTTCACTTAGAATTAAATTCTCCTGCTACCATAGTACTTTGTGCCTGTTTCGTATTGTTTTTAACAGCTTTATTAAGATATAATACATATACTATAAATTCAACAATTCTAAGTACACCAATCAATGATTTTAACAAATGTATAGAGTTGCGCAACCATGACCACAATCAGATGTCAGAACATTTCCATTACTCCAAAAAGTACCCCCTTGCCATTTCCAGTCAATTCCCACTCCCAGCCCCAGCCTCAGGCACTGATTTGCTTTCTGTCTCTACATATTTAAATTTTCTGAAAATACATAAATGAGATAACACAATATGTGGTCTCTTGTGTCTGACTTCTTTCACTTAGCATGTTTTTGATGCTCCCATGTTGTAACATGAATCAGTGGTTTGATCCTTTTTGTTGCTGGAAAATATTTAATTGTATAGATATTCCATTGTTTATTTATAGATATACTAATTTTGCTTATCCATTCACCAGTTGATGGACATTCATATTGTTTTCAGTTTGAAGGTATATGAATAATGCTGTAATAAGCAATCATATAGAACTATTTGTGTGGACATATGTTTTTATTTCTCTTGGGTAGATATCAAAAAAAGGAAAATGTTGGATTTTATGGTAAGTTTATATTTAATTTTTTAAGAAACTGTTTTCCATTCCCACCATGTATGAGGGTTTCCAATTTCACTACATATTCACCAATACTTGGCTTTATCAATATTTTTGTTATAGCCATTCTGATGTGTTTATAGTCATATCACATTGTGGTTTTAATTTGCATTTCCCTAATGACTACAGATGTTAAGCATCTTTCTATGGACTTATTAGCCATTCATAGATCTTCTTTGGAGAAAAATCCATTCAAATCTTTTCTCTATTGTATCAGTTTTCAGTTACTTCTTTTGGAACAAATCGCTCCAAACTTAGTGACTTACAGCAAACAAAAATATTTATTATTTCACACAGTGTCTGGGGCCAATAATCTAGTAGCCTATTAGCTTGGTGTTTCTGGCTCAGAGTCTCTCATGAGATTGCAGTTAAGATGTCAATCATCTGAAGGCTTGAATGGAGCTAAAGTACCTACTTCCAAGATGTCTCTCTCACAAGGCTGTTAGTTGGACATCTCATAATATATCATATAATAGCTAGATTCCCTAACAATGATTAATCCAAGAGAGAGCAAGGTACAAGCCTCAAGTGGCTTTTATGACTTATCCTTAGAAGTAACATACCATCACTTAGGCTGCAGTCTATTGGTCACAAGGTCAACTATTCTACAACGTGGTAGGATACTACGTAAAGGAAGAGCAAGAGACAAGGAATCACTGGAGGTTATTTGCAGGCTATCTCCCACACCTATTCTTTAATTAGGTTGTCTTATTACTGAGTTGTAAGGCCTATGTTAGATACATTAATTGAAAATTTTTTTCCTAGCCTGAACTCATCTTTTTCATTCTTAAGGGTGTCTTCTAAAGAGTAAAAGTTTTAAATTTGATGAAGCCCAATTCATCATTTTTTTTCTGTTATAAATCTTGCATGGAGTGGTTTATCCAGGAAATCATTACTTAAATTTCATAAAATATTTTTCCTATGATTTCTTCTAAAACTTTTATAGTTTTAGCTATTACATTTAGGTCTATGATTTATTTTGAGTTAATTTTTTTTTTTTTTGAGATGGAGTCTCGCACAGTCACCCAGGCTGGAGTGCAGTGGTGCAATCTTGGCTCACTGCAAGCTCCACCTCCCGGGTTCAGGCCATTCTCCCGCCTCAGTCTCTTGAGTAGCTGGGACTACAGGCGCCTGCCACCATGCCCAGCTAATTTTTGTATTTTTAGTAGAGACGGGATTTCACCGTGTTAGCCAGGATGGTCTCAATCTCCTGACCTCGTGATCCACCCACCTCGGCCTCCCAAAGTGCTGGGATTACAGGCGTGAGCCACCTTACCCGGCTGAATTAATTTTTTGTATTGTGTGAAGTAATGATCTAAGTTCATTCATTTTGCATATGGATATTCAATTTTCCTAGAACCATATCTTAAAAAGACTTTTAGTTTTCCATTAAATTGCCTTTTCAACTTTGTTGAAAACCAATTAAATGTACAAATAAGGGTTTATTTCTGGACTCTCAATTCTGTTCCATTTTTTCATTGATCTTCCTGTCTTGATTAATGTAGCTTTATAATAAGGCTTGAAATCAGGTAGTATAAGGCCTCCAACCTTGATTCTCTTTCTCAAAATAGTTTTTGGATATTCTAGGTCATTTGAATTTCCTCATAAATTTAGGATCAGCTTGCCAATTTCTTAAAATGGTATAACATTATTTAGAATATTCAGTTCTAATTTCCTTTTAATTACTCTAGGGCTTGTAGTTAGATCCTTTCTTTCCTGAATAGCGAATTTGAGCCTTCTCTCTTTTTCCCTTGGTCACTCTATCTAAAGGCTTATCTATTTTGTTCACATTTTCAAAAAACCAATCTTTGATTTTACTAATTTTTCTCTATTATTTTCCATTTTCCATTTTTTTCGTTGATTTCCCTTCTGATCTTTATTATTTCCATTCTAATGATTGCTTTGGGTTCAATTTACTCACTTTCTCATTTTTAAAGCAGAGGATTAGGTTATTGATATGAGACCTTTCTTCTTTAACAATATAGGCATTTAAAGCTAAATATTTTCCTCTAAGCAATGCATTAACTGTGTTTCATACACTTTGATATCCTCTGTTTCCTTTTGTATTCATTTCAAAATATTTTATAAATTTCCTTCTGGTTTATTCCATGATCCATGCGTTATTTAGAAATGTATGGCATAATTTCCAAATATTTTGGATTTTCCTAAGATTCCTATTGTTGCAGATTTACTATTCAATTCCATTGTAGTCAGAAAATATACTTTGAATGAAATCTAGTTTTTTAAACATGTTGAGATTTGTTTAATGGCACAGTGTATATTCTATCCTGGAAAATGTTCTGTGTACACTTGAAAAAAAATATGTATTGTCTTCATGTTGAAAGAAATGTTCTACAGTTGTCAATTGGGTCAGTTAAGTGGATAGAAGTGTTCAAGTTTTCTATATCTTTGCTGATTTTCTGTCTAGTTGTTCTATCATTTACTGAGAATTGTTGAAGAATTTAACCCCAGATTAAAATATCCAAACATAATTTTTGAATTGCTTATTTTTCCTTTAATTCTGTCAAATTTTGCTTAATGTGTGGGTCTCCATTGTTAGATGTGTTTACACTTGTGTTATGTATTTCTATGATATACCCCTTTATTATTATGAAATGTCCATCTTTGTTTCTCATCTTTCTTTTCTTAAATTCTATTTTGTCTGATATTAATATAGCTATTCTATATGTATTGTGATCACTGTTTTCATGGTATATCTTTTTCTATATTTTTACTTTCAACATATTTATGTATTTGTGTGTGTGTGTGTGCATGTGTGTGTGAGAGAGAGAGAGAGAGTCTCACTGGGTCACCCAAGCTGGAGTGTAGTGGTGCAATCTGGGCTCACTGTAGTTTCTACCTCCCAGGCTCAGGTGATGCTCCCACCTTCACTACAGGCACGCACCATGAGGCCTGGCTAATTTTTTTTATGTTCAGTACAGACAGGGTTTCATCATGTTGGCCAGGCCGGTCTCAAAATCCTGGACTCAAACGATCTGCCCACTTTGGCCTCCCAAAGCGCTGGGATTACACAGATGAGCCACCACACCCAGCAAGTTTCATTATATTTATGTCTTTTGCTCTCAAGTGAGTCTTTTATAGAGAATATATAGCTGATTCTTGCATTAATATTTCATCTAAAAATCTCTTACTTGGGCTGAAATGTTTAATATATTGCCATTTAAAGTAATTATTTATATGACTGGATTTACTTCTGTCACTTTGGTTTTTTTTATGTCATCTTTTTATTTTTTTTCCATTTATTGCCTTCTGTGTTAAATAATTTTAGTGTTATGATTTTAATTATTCTGTTAATATCTTAACCTTTTATGAAAGACATTTTCTTAGTGTTTGCTCTAGAGATTAAAACATGCATGTTAATTTACCACAATCTATATTAACACTGGCTTAAAAGTTAATACATAGTAAAAATAGCAACTAGTCCCATATAGGTCTATTTCCTCCCATCTCTTTTGAGCTATCTGTTACTGTCATATATATTACACCTATGTGTAATAAACCAATGATACAGTGTGTTATAATTATTGCTTTATATAATTATATCTTATGAAGAAATTAAAATAAAAAGAGAAACATATTTATAGAGTCTTTTAAATTTACCCGTATATTTTTCCAATGCTCTTTATTTCTTCCTGTGAATTCAAGTTACTATCCAATATCATTTCGTTTCAACCTGAAGAATTTCCTTTAGTGTTTCTTCTAAGGCAGATACTCTGGCAACAAATTCTCTTTTCGTCTTTCAACATTTTCAGTGTGTCACTACTACCTTTCTGCTTCCAGTATTTCTGACCAGAAATCAGCTATTAATCTTATTGCTATTCTGCTGTATCCTTTCAATATTTTCTCTTTGGCTTTAGGTTTCAATATTTGGCTATGATGGGCCTGTGTGTGAATTTGTTTTTATCCTGCTTGGAATACACTGAACTGCGTGATTCTGTCTATATATTGTTTTATAACAAATTTGAGAAGAATGTTGGCCATTATTCTTCAAACATATTTTCTTCCTTTCTCTTTCTCTCTCTTTTTTGTAGCCTCTCATCACATATATATGTTGCCACACTTAATGTTGTCCATGGGTCTCTGAGATGTTATTTAATTTTTTCAATCCTTTTCTTATTTTTTTCTTAAGATTGAATTGTTTCTGTTGATCTATTTTCAAGCTCATTGATTCTTCTGCCATTTTATATCTGCTATTCGTTTCATCCAGTAAACTTGTTATTTCCAATATTGTACTTTTCAATTCTAGAACTTTCATTTGTTTCATTTTAATATTTCTATTTCTTTATTAAGATTTCCTATATCATGAATTATTACCATCATACTATATTTCAACTTTTTTTTTTTTGAGACGGAGTCTCGCTCTGTTGACAGGCTGGAGTGCAGTGATACAATCTTGGCTCACTGCAACCTCTGCCTTCCAGGTTCAAATGATTCTTACCTCAGCCTCCCGAGTAGCTGGGACTACAAGCATTCACCACCACGCCCAGCTAATTTTTGTATTTTTAATAGAGACGGGGTTTCACCATGTTGTCCAGGATGGTCTCAATCTCCTGACCTCATGATCCACCTGCCTTGGCCTCCCAAAGTACTGGGATTTCAGGCATGAGCCACCGTACCCGGCCTCCTTCAATTTTTTAAACCTGATTTCCTTTAATTATATAAAATATTTACCATGGCTGCTTTGAACTCTTTGCTAAATTGAAGATCTTGGCCTGTTCAGAAACTGCTTTTTGTTTTTTTGTTTGTTTGTTTGTTTCCTGAATTTGGGTCACCCTTCCCTGTTTTTTTGCATGGTTCTTTATTTTGTTGTTGTTGTTGAAAAGTAGATATTTTAGATCACATAGTGTAGCAACCTTGGATTATGGTTTTTTCCCCCCTGAGGACAGCTGTTCTGGATAGTTTTTCTTTTATTTTGGGTTTTACTTTATTTTGGTATCTTGTCTGGATTCAATCTATGGAATGTGTTTTTGCCATAAAGTGTAATTGCATACAGCTCTACCCAGTACTTTTTTTATCCTAATTTAAATTTTTAGCCTAGTGCTCAATGGGTCATCCCATGTGTGTCTGTGTAGCCTAGTAATAGTCATCCAATGAGTAGACAGAGATGCTCAAATACCTCAAGTCAATAAGGCTTCTACCATTGTGTGGGTTGGGGAACAAGTTGAGGCAGCCTTCAAGTCAACGAACTGGATGACTGACTTATCTCTGGCTCAAATTTTCACAAATTCCAGGTTTAGTAACTCAGTCTTTTTCTTCGCACTCTACTCTTGTTTCCCTGCCTCCAAAACCTGCCACATATTAATGTCAGGGTGTGGTCCTAGTCCGAACTAAAGGTCTCATCTTATATCCAACCCCAAGTGCAATTTGACACTAGCTGCTTTGCCTGGATAACCACCTACTAGGTATCAATACCTTCTTCTGATACTGGGTTCTCTCTCTTATGCCTATTAGTTCCTGGTTTGGCCTGTGCCATCAGCAACTGAGGTCCCAACCTAGGTGAATAGGTCCAATAGAGGGAGGAAATTTCAGACAGAGACCATGTTTTATTTATCATGGTGTTTCTTCTGCTTTTAAAGTGTTTTGTTCCTCAAATAATAATCATTCAGCATGTTTGTGGCACTAAATTAATAAAAATGACTATAATTGTTTCCTTTATCACTTTAATCCCATGTAAATTTTTAAATCCCATGTAAATTTTTAAATTGCAAAAACATTTGAGTAAGTTTTGTAGTTTCTGAGCTCATTTTTCATATATTACTACATTTGACCCTTGAACAACATTGGTTTGAACTGTCTAAGTCCACTTGTGTGTGAATTTTTTTCAATAAATACAGGTTGCCCTCTGTATTGGTGGGTCCTGCATTCACCACCAAATGTGGATCAAAAATATAGCATTAGCAGGATTTGAAACCCACATATATGGAAGGCCAATTTTTCATATCTGCAGGTTTACAGGGCCCTGACTACAGGACTTGAGTATGAACAAATTCTGGTATCTGTGGGAAGTCCAGGAACCAATCTCCCGTGGATACTGAGGTAGGACTGAATTTGTCAGTTGGAGAAAAGAAATTTAAGAGTGGTATAAAATCTTCATATATTTACAGATACACATTCACAATTTTACGTAAGGTATTTTAAGTTATAAAACTAAAATACTGTATCTAAATAACACTGATATTAGATGAATATTAGAGAACAGATAATATCTATTCTCTCATATTAGATAAATATTATATCTAAATAAGAAATATCTTTCTATATGAAAGATGGGTATGTCCTCAGTAATTAACTGTTGTGCATGCCATACTATCTCTCAAAGCTATCCATAAGATATTGATTCTTTGCTGGAATTACATACATATTAATTAGTTGTTACAGCACTTGAGAGAGTTCTGTTCTATTCCCACTAGTAAGCTCAGAAAATGCATCCACCTTAGTTAGCATCAAATTTAAAAATCTTGAAATAAGGTGGGGTCACAGAGAAGAGTGGGCACCACAAGGAAAGGGAAAGAGAAGTAGGAATTTTTCCCAGCCCTGAAATGACACCACGTGACCTAATCAATGGACTTCATTTGTAAGCATCCTAATCCTGATTACCCACAATTGGAATGGACAGTTCTGTCCAATTAGTACGTGGCCAGGATGGGTTTGAATTTAGTGTCAAAAATGTCGGTGCATCAAATTAAAATTCAAATATTCAAATGGGAAACTTCAAGGGGAACTGTTAACCATTGTTACTGAGCTATGTGTAAAAATATATAAAAGTTTGCCCACTAGAGTTTTAAACTTGTGTTATGATTTAGTCTAAGATAAAAATGCCAGAAACACCTCTACTTTGTTCACAAGCTGCTAATCAGCTTTTAGATTTTAGAGTCTAGGGCTTCTTTGAATATAGAAACTTCTACATGCAAATCAACAAAAGAGTTATTCATTTTTATAACACAGAAATAACATGCAGGTGTTCTCAAAAAAAAAGTCCATGCTTATTTTTTATTTTTTGTCTCTATTTTATTGAGACATGGCCTCGTTCTGTCACCCAGACTGGAGTGCAGTGGTGTGACCATGGCTCACTGCAGCCTGGACCTTCCAGGCTCAAGCAATCCTCCCATTTCAGCCTCTCAAGTAGCAGAGACTGTAGGTGCGGACCACCACACCCAGCTAATTTTTTTATTTTTATTTTTGTAGAGACAAGGTATCACTATTTTGTCAATGCTGGTCTTGAACTCCTGGGCTTAAGCAGTCCTCCTGCTTCAGCCTCCCAAAATGCTGGGATTTCAGGCATAAGCCACCACGGCCACTGTGCATATTTATCAATCTTTGATTTCTAAACTGGACTAAGTGAAATATATATATGTGTGTAAAATACACACACACACACACACACACACACACACACACACATATATATATATATTTGAGATGGAGTTTTGCTCTTGTTGCCCAGGCTGGAGTGCAATGGTGTGATCTTGGCTCACTGCAACCTCTGCCTCAGGGTTCAAGCTATCCTCCTGCCTCAGCCTCCCGAGTAGCTGGGATTACAGGCACCTGCCACCATGCCTGGCTAATTTTTGTATTTTTAGTGGAGACAGGGTTTCACCATGTTGGCCAGGCTGGTCACAAACTTCTGACCTCAAGTGATCTGCCCGCCTCAGCCTCCCAAAGTGCTGGGATTACAGGTGTTAGCCACCATGCCCGGCCTGTACCAGATGTTTTAAACAAAACCAAATTTTTAGTTGAAATATTTTACATAAAAATCTAGATTTCATTTTTTTCTAGAAAAAAATGCATATCTGGTTCAACACAGGGCCTTCATTTCCACATGGCAATATTCAGCTTGAGCTGTATAGTTGTGTTGGTTCTACTTTTCTCTTCACTCTTGAGTATGCATATGCACACTCACCCACCGGGTCCCTTCAAGTTCTAAAATTCTGTAATTCCTTAAGTTTATCATCATGCACTAACCAATTAGCCCCTAGAATGGTAAGCTTCTACTTAAAAGAGATTAAAAACAGAGAGGATGGTAAGCCAATAATTATACTCTGGTGGACAGATAGATACATTCAAGAAATATTGGAATGTGGAACTTGAACTAAGAGGGCAAACCATTAAATCTCCGGGAATAGTGAGTATAGAAACAATAAGGCACTTAGAATTTGGACAAAGAAGTGCTTAACAAATTTTGAAGTGGAATTGAGGAAGAAAATGGATCATTTTATTAAGTGTCTATTTGATGCTAGACATTGTAGTAGCCTTTTCATGTCATTTTCTGATCTGTTAAACCTCACAGCTTGTGAGTTGCTAGGTACAATCTCCATTATGAAGAAGAGAAAATTCAGGCTCACAAAGATTAAGTAACTTGTCCGTGGGACACAACTAGTAACTGTAAGAGGCATAATTTGTACCTAACTCTAAAGCCATCATATTACCTGACAAATTTTTATTTCCTAGCCTGAGACTTGGACAAGGAGGATAATTAACATTATCTTTGTTTCCTTTGTATGAATATGAGTAGGTTCTGCAGTTTCATTAAAGGAACTCTCTGACAAGTGTAAACATATAAAACGGGCCCTAAATCAATTACCAATTGAAATACCCTCCTGTAAATTATAATAATGCCTTTATAATCAGCTACATCCTTATAATCAACTAAAATATCTTAAGGTCATTCATTCACTTAGAAAAGTTTAGATGTTGCTATTTCTGAAAAGTGAGGGGAATTCAAGAAGACACAGCTTATAGTAACCTTTAAGTGCTTGGAAGAATTGAACACTTACCAAGAACTAAATTCTAAGTCTGATTTTATCTATTTAGTTAATGTTCATATTAATGTCCATTCAAATTCCATTTTCACAAAATTGGCAATTATGACAAAATCCTTCTGAAAGTATTCCTAGTGGACATACTCACATATACAATAAAACCCTGAATACCCAGTTTTTCTGAATTTTTAGAGTTCTGGAGAAAAACATAATGTGCACCATAATCCCCTTGGTCTTTCTTGAAAAAGAGGGATTTTAATTACTTACATATAAGAGCAAAAGGAGACAAATGTTACCTAAAATTAAAATTTTAATTTCTGACGTGTGGTTGTGTTATTTAAAGGTTCACTGTATTCCATGACCTTTGTTGTCACCGTCATCACTAATTGCAACATGATCTCAGAAAAATAATCCTTCATACAGTCAGTATTTATTCAGGCATGTATGTCTCTTAGCCTATTACACTGTTTCAGTAGTCTACAATCTCATAAAGTACTGGTTAAATCAGATAATCAGCTGCACAAATGCCTTACACAATTAATTCTTTTCTGTATTTTCAAAATGGGGAGTATGAGAAATATTTAGTGTTGTGATCCAAATTTAAATCTCTTTTGCTTTAAAAACAAGGCCAAATAGCAAAGGCTCCCCTACTGTTTGTGCTCTATGGTATAACATCTCTTGATTACTCTGACAGAGTTCCAGTCACAGGTTGTGAGTCAGAAAGAGGATTTTCAATGTCCAGCAGCTAAATGTGTCAGCCATGACATTTCTGAAAGTTCTATTTTTATATACAGAGAGAAGGAAAAATCACTTCTTTGTATCTGTCCTTTGCAAAATTCTCAGTTTAACTCCGGCTCTAGATATGTACAATAGTGAATGCATTCTTAGTTAACATGACAAGCAACTGACATTTTTCAACTGGAATAATGCATGTAATGAAAAATAATCTACACAAGTTTGCCTCTTCTGCATTCTTATTCCCTCTTTCACTCATAAAGCCTGTTAAAATGCAGTTGAAATAATACAAAATGCAATTCAAATGTCACTATTATTCTAATCCTTTTTTTCTCTCTATTATACAGCTTATCTAAAAATGTTGAAATGTAACTTGCTTGAGTTATAATATTATGTGAATTAAGAATCCGTATTGTTTGGAAGCTCTTTTTAATTGGTCTACAGGGAGGTTTTCTGTATATATTAAAATGATTGTATGTCTGAATTATAACGAACTTACCTTTAAACTTCTTTTGTGTTTAAATACATATTAGAGGCAAAACATTTTAATATTTCTTAGGACAGGCTTTATTGCTAAAATTATTGGCTTGGCAATCTTGGCAGGAATGGAAATTTCTGATTGGCTGTCATATCAATGTCAGTAAAGCTCAGGAAGTGCATAGCTCTGGCTGTTTTCCTTATTTTTATTTATAAATTCCATTTCATAACAGCAATAAGATGCTTCAGGCCTTGCAGTACTGGGGGATTATTGCACTTGTCAGGTGGTAAAAATCACTGGCCCCTCTGCCTTATGCCTTGGAACACCACTAGAGGCATGGATCACTGAGAAATGCAATTTCTGGAATCTCTTAATGCTTTATTATGACATACGTAACTTTCAATATAAATTATTTATTTTGAAGTTTGGGGGTGTCATAAGAGTATCCAACCAGTAGCTAAAGAATGAAGAAGAAATAAAAATGTAGATTATGGAAACAGAGAAATAGTCAAGCAGTGGCCATCTTACAGTGAACCCTGAAGGATACGAAAATTTATAATTTAGTATATTTAATATTAAATTGAGAGGCTGGGCTATGATTGGTATATATATGTATATTGATCTAAATGGCCTTACCATAATATCCTAAGATTGTTTTCTTCCTTACAAATGGACATTATGTTTATGTCTCCAAACATGCATGATATATATTGCAGACATAAATGCATGAAAACCACATTTGAGAAAATAAAACTTCCATACACTAAAGGAAAGTCTACATACTGTTTTCTTCTATTTAAAACATTTAAAACAAATACTATGTGATATAATTAGCATAGTATCCACTTAAAAATATTGAAAAGTATACTCTTGAAAAATTTAAGCAACCTGATTTTTTAAATAAATAAAATGTAAAATTCAGACTTAAATTATACAACAGTGGATAGAGATTTAAACTTACAGATTAAATTTATATTTCTAAATAATTGTTTGAAAGTAAGCTTCTATTTCTATATTTTACCAATTGTTCTAAATAACAATGTAAACTGAATGAGGTCAAATTATCTTTTCAGGGAAAGAATACCAAAGTTTTCTTTGGAAATGAGCCAGTTTTAGGTAGGGGGTGTTTATGGCCTAGGGAGTTACTGTAGCAATAGAAAAAGATTAATAATTTGCACATGTGAGATTCTTGGAAGGCAGGATACAGCTGTAAAGAATTAACCCCTCTTGAGAGATGTAAAAACACAGAGCAGCTGAGAGGAGACCTGTTGGGAGGGACTAAAACTATTCAGGCTACAGATGTCCTCAAAGAGAAAGTCCATTTGGGAACTGACAAGCTTTTGTCTTTTCTTATAAATGGGCAGATAACTCAAACATTTTTTTGAAAAACAAAAGGAACCAATTGTGACCAATTAAAATGTGTTATTGAAATATTAAGTAAGCACTATAATGAGTTGTTTCAAGAAATCAAGTACTGTACTACAAGGCTTTGCTCATAGGATTACTCAGAATGGAGCCACTTTGGTAAAGGACGAAGGTGTGTGTATTCACAGATGATGCCCTATGCCTCTATTGTCCCAAAAAGTCACTTTATTGTCTAATAGAAGATTCATTTTCCAGAATACACAAATTAAATGCAAATTAAAAAGAAAAAGTAAACATATCAAAACATTTTGTCAACAGATAAACAAGAGGTCCAAATTTCATTTTAACTGAAATTTGTGATTATTTTTTGTTTCCTGGGAAGGAAGGCTGTTATGCTTCAATGAAAGAAATCCAAAACAACTTTTTTAAGGTTCTTGAAACACAGGTTTAAAGAATGAAGATAGGACTGAAAACATTGTATGAAATCTCCTTGAAGTAAATCTCATTTATCATTCCAATTTCCTTCGAGCCTGAAGAAGAGAGGGGAAACTATACATACCTGACGTAATATATAATTCAGTACCTTAGTATTTCCATCAAAATAATAGGTCAGTGATTCTCAAAGTGTGGTCTCAGTTTCCCTGGGGGGAAGTCTCTAAAACTATTGAGGTCAGGCTTGTTTTCTTTTTTTTTTTTTCTTTTTTGAGATGGAGTTTCGCTCTTGTTGCCCAGGCTAGAGTGCAATGGCACCATCTCAGCTCACCACAACCTCTGCCTCCCGGGTTCAAGCGGTTCTCCTGCCTCAGCCTCACGAGTAGCTGGGATTACAGACATGCACCACCACACCCAGCTAATTTTTGTATTTTTTTTAGTAGAGATGGGGTTTCTCCATATTGGTCAGGCTGGTCTTGAACTCCCGACCTCAGGTGATCTGCCTGCCTCGACCTCCCAAAGTGTTGGAATTACAGGTGTGAGCCCCAGCGCCTGGCCTAGGTCAGGCTTATTTTCATAGTTAATATTAAGATATTGTTGTTTTTTTCACTTCAATTATCTCATGAGTGTTCAGTTGACTTTCCAGAGGCTACATGACATACAATGATATCATCACTCTTGTGGCTAATGGAATGTGTGCTTGTGCATTCTTGTGTTTTCTGGAATTTTCTAGATAAGCTTTTTGGGGTCATCAATAATTGTTGAGTATAAACTTTAAGATTTTACACTAGTAAAGTGAGGCCAAAAAGTTTAAAATATGGTCACCTGCTTCACCTCACAATAACATCCTTACCTATGTCTGATGTTTTCAAAGCTGCCTGCATATTGTTAAACACACTGCAGTTGATATTATCATGATTAAGGAGTACATATCTCTACTACATATGTTTCAAACTCTACCCTTAGCAGCAGAACCTTTAAAATCAATGAAATACAATATTATGTGTCAACAGCAGATGAAAAAGATAAAAGTAGAGCTGCTTTGGAGAGGGGGAAGCACAGATCTTCCTGGCTGGCCCCCTGAGACTCCTCCTGAGCTTCCTTGACTTCTGCAGAGACATTGTAAAAACCACAACATTATCATTGTCTATATATTTTTACTATCTGTGTGGGTATTTTTCTATACATAGGATTTTATTTGGTTTCAATAACAATCTTGTGAGGTATAAAATAAGAGCTATTATCACACTATAAAGACAAAGAAATCAAGAAGCTGAGAGATGTGAAACGAATTATCCAAGGTCACACACTAGTAAGTGACATGGTCAAGGCTGATACCAATTTCTTCTGATTCCAAGTCCAGAGACCTTTTCAGTTTACCATTCTGCTCTATTTGTCATTTTAAATTGCTCACAAACTGAAGACTCATTTTTATAATCATTTTATATTTAGCTCCTTTCTTCCCAAAAAACAGAGAAGGGAGAAGGACCTCTTTATTCATTCTGACTTTTCTTCAAGAATCCTCTTCTAAAACCTTAACTTGACAAGATCCTCCATGAAAATAGGATTCACCAGAATCTTTAAGCATTGCCTTCCCCTAATAGCAATAAGCAAACAGATTAATTAGGTAATTAATTAATAGGAGAGTGAAAATAGAAGAGGAGTAATCATGCAATCGAAGAATGCCCCAAGATGACAGTGATTTCGCCTCGTCTTTTTGCCCAAACCTGGTTACTTTTCCTTCAGTAGGCATATTGTAAAGAGAAAGAGAGAGGTAGGAAGAATTTACATTCTTCATATATTATGCTCATGGGAATTATTATCTGGGGTTCTTTAAACAACAGTTTATTTTTACTGAAGAGTATGCCTATTGCACACTTTTTACAGGTGAGTAAATATAGGCAACAGGGTGAATAGCTTTCTAGGGTCACAAAGGCAAGAAAACAGCTAAACAATAATAACAATTTCCAAGGCCAATCTGTACCATGTTTGATTTAACCACTACACTACACTTTCTCAATAGGTAGTTGTTAACAGACTATCTCTCCCTTTTCCATAAATTCTTATTTCTTCCTCGACCTCCAACAATGAAACCTCAACTCTTATCTGCAGCTCAGTTATGTGTGTTTGGTAGGGGAATAGGACTTCAACAGCAGTATGATCTTTCTGAGGAATAGGTCAGTCTCCTATTGAGTTGGAATTTGCAACCTTCTTGGGGTTGCCTGGCCCAGATATTTTGTGCTAGACTAAGAAATGATTGTGGTCATTATTTTCAGACTTCAGTGAAACATCTACAAGCAGTTCTGATCTATCTAACATCTACATTAAAAGCTCCTGAATACCATTCGTATTAGCTAGTGCATTTCTAACAATTTCTCTTCCCTGAAAATAGCACCACGCACACATCCAGTAATGGAGGCATTTGTCAAGCTGTGTTAGTTAATAGTAACTCTAAAATAAAGATTACAGAATGTTCAGGGAAAATTAACCTAATGATTTAATACAATCCTATGTTTAATTAACACAATAATGTTTTGCATACCAACTAATTCTATTGTCTAAAACAGCATTTTATCATACAAAAATAGAATAATAAAAGTTGACATTCATACCATACTCTTTATCACCATGGTGTTTTATATTATTTATCTAATGTACACAGGACCTTTGCCAGGTGGGGAAAATTTGTTATCCCATTTTACAAATGATGATAATGGACATAGTTAAGTAATGTTCTTGGAGTTACATCAAAATCAGTGGTACTGCTTAAAGTGAAGCAGAGAATTTTGATTTTTTCCATTTAGGTTCTTAAGCTTCTTTGTTACTTTGAAATTATTTTACTATCAGCAATGTTTCCTCTTGTCCAAGGCATTGTGTATGGAATACCTACTATGTTCTAGGGACTTTTACATGTGGTATCTAATTAAATCCTCACAAACCATCCTGTTAAAGAATGATTACAGATGAGTCCCCCTTTCACTACCTTGTCTCAACTTCTTCTACTGTAAAAGAAAAATCAAACATTTCTGCCAACAACCATTTATAAGAATAACCCACAAAGGCCAATTCATCCCAAAACAATCTAACAACAATCTTTTTTGAAAAAAGAAACAACAACAAAAGATAAAAATAAATTACTAGAGAGAAGAGGATAAATTAAGAGCAATAAAGCAGGAATCAACATTTAACAAGCAGATACTGATATCTTACTGTGTCAGACATTATGGTATATCCCTGGCCTCATGCAGCTTACTTTCCAAAGTGCTTTGATGTAGAAATAAGAAAATATAAGCAAGAGAAAGAAGAGAGAAAGGAAACATTAAACACAGATACTTACACACAGAGTAGAAAGGAGACCCAAGTGAGTTGGGCAAGAAAAGCTCTTCCTGTTATGTGAAACATAGTAAAGGTGACTCTCCAAATTATTTTAAGTTGTAACAAGTGAAAGCTTGATCATTTTCATTAATAGAGATGAAGACATACTTTCAGAAATGATTGTTTTATCTGTCTCTTAACTTAGAAAAGCACTGAGCCAAACCAACATAGCTAACAGAGCCCATTACCTTAGAAAAGCCCTACAGTTTTCATTCCATTCTCTGATTGGTTCCTCTCTAGACAGGATGTCACGCCTATTACGAGAAAAGATGGATACTGCACTCAGATGGCAACAGGAGCTAGTGACTTACAGGAATTATAAGAGATGGAATTGTGGTTCTAATAACATCATGTTAGGTTTATCAGCTTTTTAAAATATTGCAAATAACTAGTCTAGTTATGGCAAACCCCCTTACTACTCTGAGGGTATAAGTGGAGCGTTATTTTGAGGTTTAGGGGAAGAAAAACCACTCTCTAGCTTTCGGGTCCCTTCACTGTAGTGCATGAGCCCTTCCATAGAGCAGGTTCCTGGAGTGGTGCCACCAGGGTTTGGGGGCAGAGCACTATTGTGACGAGATGGGTCACATGCCTCTGTTAGCTTGCCACTGTGGAAGAGATTTGTTTCATATGGTATTAAAGCAATTCCCTCAGATTTTAGCTGACTCCTACTAGTAACTGGACTTGGCTGAAGTAGTCCCAAAGTAAACACATTAGCTTTACTAAAAAAGACTCTGAAGCTTTTACCTACAATACCCTCTTCAGCTAAGCACTTCCTGAGGGGGACCCAGAGGTCTGTTTATTTTTCCAACTAACAAAGAGTAAGAGAAGCTCTCTGACATTTTTGCTTGGGAAAAATCTTCGGATACTTGAATACTTTTTTTTCTTAATTGTAAGTTGGAGAGAGACTTAAGCTCAACCCAGTAACATCCCTTGTTCGCCTTACCGCTGTAATTACTGCTCAAGAGAGAGACTAAGTTGCTTACTCCAAGCGCCTAGGCCGCTTGGGGGTGGCTGTTGTTAGAGCCCCCTTGAGATAATGATTCTTCTGGGTCAGTCTGAAGAAACTGTCTGCAACAATGGCAATCCCCAGGGTGACACTCCGAGGGGTCCTAGATTCATCTGTCAGTCACCTTCAGCCCAGAGCCATCAAATCCATTTACACAAAAGCTGGTTATCACAAACCTTTTGAAAAGCCAAGTAAAGAGGAGATTTACCCATCCTTGAATCTTCATTCTTTTTTCTTTGAGCCCCTCACTTCTTCCATTCTATCTTTCCTTTTTTTTTTTTTTCCTAACTACCTCTGGGAACTTCTGGGTTTTTTACCCCCTGCTTTTGTTCCACTCTAGAGCTTACACTGTTGTAATTATCTTAAAGTTTGAATATCATTCTCAAGATGTACGGAAATAAATACCTGGTACCCTCGTATGAACAATTTTAATTCTAATAGATACATTTGTCTCCAAAAGGGTAGGATTTTCCCAGGTTTGAGAGAGGATTATTTTATGCTGTAATGTTGGAAACCTGAAGTTGTGTAGTATTTAAAGTAAGCATTCATTTGTCTATGCATACACATTCATATATACTTTCCTGTCATATACTTATCTTTTTCTTTTTTAAAAAAAGTGTACACTAATAATGTGACTATAAATTTAAAGCCTGGATCAGTTTGCAACTAAAATGAGCCTCAACAACTTATTGAAATGTGAAATATTATTTTGCTGTCTAAATATTACTGAATTTCAAATATAATTCTTTGAGTTCCTGATTTTGTTTCACAGATAAAAGGAGAAATTCTGGTTATGCTGTAGAAATTGTGGTCTTTATGTAATAGCATTTTTATATAATATTAAATTTAATAGAGTTTTAATTAGTTAAAAATATAAATAAAATATTACATTAAAATGTAAGTGTTTCATTGATGTGCATATGATTGCTAGAATTAGACTAACAAAATATTGCCTAGTATAATGCCTCAAGGGAGTATTTGTAATTGTAATTAGTTTCTTAATTGTAAGAAATTTGAGTGTCATAATTAGAAATTAATGGAGGCACAGATATCCTAAGATTATTGGAGCTATATGAAGCCTGGTATGAACAAGAGGCCAGAAAAAACAAACAAACAAACAAACAAAAAATCCTTATAGCTAAAAGACACTTTATAAAGAACAAGATTGTTGGCACTCAGATCACATCATTAAGGCTAGTACTAACTCTACCAGTTGCATATGATATAGCTTGAGTTAGTGCAGAGTTTTCAACCTCGCCTGGTCCCAGGTCTCCCTAAAGTGACTACCAAAGGGACATCCAATATTCCACTGAAAAACAACTGAGTGTTTCATTTGCTCATTCCACATTATTTCTTCAGCATTTACTACTACTTGCCAAGCTTTAACAGTAAAAGGATTTTAAGGAACTTACACTTTAGGAAAAGGAACCAAAACCAAGTAGGTATTTGAGGATGTTCAACAATAGATTGTTGTCAAGTAGTTTTAAACACACTGAAATCTAATTTGTAAAATTAATTTGCCCATTCAGACTATGTAACAATGTCAGTAATGTCTCAAGAACATTGTTAGGATTCAAGGGTATAAAAATCAAGATAGGGACTATGTCTAAAGGTAGCTCATGATCTGCTTCACTAACTGAGTCCAGGGCACTATATAGAGCAGCTTAGCTCTGCGTCGTTTGATTCCAGCTTATCTCTTGGCCTCTCTTCTAAATACTCGGTTCCCCTCACGTTACACTCCAAACACATGAGATTTTGTTTCTTGTTATTTGCTTTCATTTGGAGCATGTATCTCTTTTTCACCTCAGGGCCTTTGGGATGATTCTGGTCCAAGTTTATAAAGTTTTATTATATTGTTCATTCCTGTATTTTGGTTGGATGTTAGCTGATGTGGAAGATTTAGGTCACTTAATCCACTGGGCTCTAATAACATTCTATAAAATGCATAAAATAAACTTTCCATACTGTCACTTTCCTGCCTAATCGTTTTATTAGTTGATTTTGGAGTTTTTTTAATGCCATTATCACCATTACCATAACAAAGGTATATCTCAATACAGATTGTAGAGTATATTCATTCCTGGGGCTGCCATGACAAGTTATGACAAATTGGGTACCTTAAAGAAACAGAAATTTATTCTTTCACAGTTCTGGAGGGCAGAAGCCTGAAATCAAGATGTCAGCCATGCTTCTTCAGGGGATCTGGAGAAGAATCCATTCTGTGCCCCCACCTAGCATTTTGTGGCTGCCTGCAATCCTTGTCATTCCTTAGCTTGTAGCCACATCATCCCAGTCTCTGCCTCTGTCTTCGCATCACCCCTCTTGTCTGTCTTGTATCTGTTCTCTGTGTTAAGGACACTTGTCATTGATTTAGGACCCACCCAGGTAATCTAGGATGATTTCTTCATCCCGAGATCCTTCACTTAGTTACATTTGCAAAGATCCTCTTTCCACATAAGGTAACATTCATAGTTTCTAGGGCTTTGATATAGTCATATCTTTGGGGCGGCGTTGGGGGGCACGGTTCAACTCCTTACAAATTATATTTTTCATATGTTTTGGTTTTGCTATTGAATTTTTTGTTTTCATTTCGAAAACAAATCATTTGTGATGCCTTTAATATAGCTTGAATGACTAATGTGTATATTTAATATGTAACTTGAAAAATATATTTAATCTCTCAGATCTTATTGTTAGGAATTCCTATAAAATTTTGATGACCTCGTTCTAGGATTAGAAGAATTTTACTGAGGAAAATATTTGGCTCACATTGAGTGTAGAGAATCATGTATCTTTTGTTCTTTTCTCTTGTCATGAAGGTTCAATTTTTATGATCTAAGAAGAGACTGAAGTAATGACTATCAAAATCAACCATATAATGTTACAATCATTTGTTTGAAGTACATTGACAAAAAAACTTTTAATAGAAGAAAAATACATTACAGAAACACACATTTCAGTTAACAATAAATGAAGAAATGTAGCAAGTTCAGCATTCATGATTGCCTATTTTTCTCTTTATTTATATTTTATTTTTATAGATTTAGGGGTTCAAGTATATTTGTGTTACATGGATATATTATGTAGTGGTGAAGTCTAAGCTTTTAGTGTACTCATTGCCCGAATAGTGTACACTGTACCCATTAAGTACATGATTGTCTTAGGTATTTATTTTATTCTCTATACCTAGGAAGGAGCATTACATATAAAAGATTAGAAAGACAAATATGTTCTTTTTTTTTTGATACGGAGTTTCACTCTTCTTGCCCAGACTGGAGTGCAATGGCAGGATCTCAGCTCACTGCAACCTCTTCCTCCCGGGTTCAAGCGATTCTCCTGCCTCAGCCTTTCGAGTAACTGGGAGTACAGGTGCCCGTCACTACGCCCAGCTAATTTTTGTATTTTCAGTAGAGACGGGATTTCGCCATGTTGGCCAGGCTGGTCTCAAACTCCTGATCTCAGGTGATCTGCTTGCCTCGGCCTCCCAGAATGCTGGGATTCACAGGCATGAGCCATGGGGCCTGGCCCACAAATATGTTCTTTATTGCACACATATACAGTAATGATTGATAGAAACAGAGCCTAGCGTTTGTTAGCTGAAATATTAACAAATTACAACTCAGTTGGTTACTTTCAAGGATAATTCCGTTTTTCTCTTTTCTTTCTTCTTTTTCTCTTCCCCCACCATCCCCCGGAGAGGAGATGTGAGGGAGTCACATTTAGCCAAAATTATCTTTAAGAAAAGGAAGTATACTTGAATTTAGAAACTAGAGAAAGGAGAGGAACATTGGAGAAGGAAACAGGAGTTTAGAGAATGATACTCAGATAGAAAGAAAATAACATTGGAAACAAATTTTATGAAATTTAAAACTTGATTAAGTATGAAAAATCTGTAAAATTGCTGGACAAAACACTACTGTACTTAAGCAGGAAAAAAGTCACAAGCTAATGTGTTGTTTTATTTGATTGAAAATTAAAGGACAATTTCATTTCTAATCCAAATCTAGAAAGTTATAGTCACTCCAACATTAAGTAAGTACTATATTAAAGCCATAGAAGTCCACAGTTTACAAACATCTTTTCATGGATTAGTGAGGAGCTATTTGATCTACTCAGAGAAATTCTGTGTCTCAGATTTTCAACTTTAACAATGAAAGAATATCTGTCACCCATGATTTTTTATGTTGATAATTAATGGTGGAAAAAAGTAACTAATTTTCCTATCTGGTAGCAAACCAGGCACTTATGGAAGCATATTAGCTATATATATCACACCAGTAGCAATGCACCAAATCGGACTTAAGTTTCCTGAAATAGTTGTTCCATCCCTGATCACCAACCCCCCAATATGTGAATTATTAATTTACTAGCAAGGAATAATCAAGTCAGAGCAGAACAACATAGGGAAATTCAGGAAAATAAGTTACTTGACTTGAGAAAGATTTTTTTATTTAACAAGGAGTAAGATTAATATAGATTTTTCCCAAAAGGAAAAGTCGGTGATAGAGAAAGCTGGAAACTGATTGAGTCAGAAAAGGAAAATAGATAATAAAAGGTCCAGTAGTCCTCCCTCATCTGCTGCTTGGCTCTTTGCATTTTCAGTTACCTGTGGTCAAGCATGGTCAGAAAATATTAAATGGAAAATTCCAGAAATAAACCATTCTTAAGTTTTAAATTGCACACCATTCTGAGTAGTGTGATGAAATCTCCCACCAGCCTGCTCCATCCCGTCTAGGACTTGAATCACTCCTTTGTCCAACGTAGTCAAGCTGTATGCTACTCACCTGTTAGTCACTTAGTAGTCGTCTAAGTTATGCTATCAGTTGTCACCATATTGAAGTGCTTGTATTCAAGGAAACTTTATTTTACTTAATAATGTCCCAAAAGCACAAGAGTAGTGATGCTGGCATATTATTATAATTGTTCTATCTTGGATTGGTTGTTCCTAATTTCTTACTGTGCCTGATTTAAAAAATAAACTTCATCATAGGTATGTATGCATAGGAAAGCACTTAGTACATATAGGGTTCAGTACTTCCGTTGGTGGTCTTGAAATATATCCCTTGCAGATAAGGGAGGACTACTGTATGTACAGTCGCATATCACTTAACAATGGAGACACATTCTGAGCAATGTGTCCTTAGGCAATTACTTCCTTATACAAACATCACAGCGTGTACTTACACAAACCTAGATGGTACAGCCTACTATACTCCTAGGCTATATGGTATGGCCTATTGCTCCTAGGCTAGAAATCTGTATAGCATTTTACTATATTGAATACTGTGGACAATTGTAACACAGTAGTAAGTATTTGTGTATCTAAACATAGAAAAGGTACAGTAAAAATATGGTATTATAATCTTATGGGACCATCATCTTATATTCAGTCCACTGTTGAACAAAACATCTTTGTAAAGCACCAAACTGTGTGTGTGTGTGTGTGTGTGTGTGTGTGTGTGTGTGTGTGTTTCACTTGAATCACTGGCATCAGCAAGAGTGAGTGAAAACACAGGATTATGTTGGAATCCATTTTGCAGCCTTAGCTACAGTGTCTCAATCTATTCTTTACAACTATTTTCAACTATCTCTTTTATTCCTCATACACCAGCAATGGGATTTATTCAATGTCATTTCCAGAAGTAAAACCTCAAGAAACACTTTCAGAAACAGTTTCTCAATTCCAGGATATTGATACTTTTAGCAGCCAAGAAAGAATTTCTGAAGTCATCTCAAAGACTGTTTCTAAAAATGGCAAGAGCCCAGTTTAAAAAAAAATTGTATACAGTACACACACATTTACATGAATGAAGAAAATTATTAAAATGGAGCATAGAGGCCAGAAAGCATCCAGGTTTTATTATTTATCTTTTAATGCACCTGGATTTTGTTTTAAGATCTTGATTCCATTTCAGTTGTTCCTGGAATAGTCATGCTACATTGAGATTCTTTTACAGATGGCAAGGTGTTTTCTAGAAAAACTGGAGTAAAGGTTTTCTTTGACAAAAATTTCACTATTTGTTTGGCCAGTGAAATCTGCTCCCTCCAAGGTTTGCATTTGCTCTTCAAGCCAAGCAGATGCCCACAACTTGCTTCCTGTATAGTCTACAGAACTGTGAGCCAATTAATTCTATTTTCTTTATAAAAAAAAAAAAGTATTTGTTCCTAGGTTCTTAAAAATCCAGAGAGAAAAAGAAGCTCCTTGTAAGCCTATTTAGTTATACAGTTTACAAAGATTTGGGGGGTAGTACTTTTTCCAATTAGAAGAATCAAATATATCACAAATGAGGCAATCTGCTTTTCATTGACTACATCCATGTATTATTGCCTTTATTCCCTTTTTTTCTAAAGAGAGACATGTATGATGTACAGTTTAATCATCAAGACCATCATTATGGGCCGTAAGTATGGGCAAATCCAGAAAAATTTGTTAAAGTTGAAAATAAAACTCAGATCTGGGATCTTAACCATTTTAAACCTTGAAATCTCATAAATTAAGCATCATTGAGCCTGGTCCCATCTTTCATAACAGCTCTCCAGAGAAACTCTAAAAGCCAGGACACTCTGAGATGAGCTGTGGATGATTCAGTAGGTGGCACAATTTTCACTGAGTCAGTACTGAACTGATGCCCCAGCATGGTATGAAGGGGCACTGCACTGCTGGAGGTGTCGTCTAATGGATGAGGGTAAAACCAAGGTCTTGACCACCAGCAGTTATTAAAAATCCCATGGCACTTTTCAAAAGAGTAAAGATGATGTTAAACCCTGTGTCCTGGCTAATTTCCAAATTGGGCAATTATATTCTGCCTACTTAAAATTTCTCTGTAATTTTAGTTGGATAATATATTCTTCATCTTCTGCCCTATGCTTTTGCTGTTTCCAGCTTAGAGGTGGATGCATTTCTGTGTTGAGGGAAGTGATGCTTCTTTGAAAAATGTCTTGCAAGGTCTGGGATCAGGGGATGAAAGGTAAAACATCCATCTATCAAAACAGGTGCCATATTAGTTTGTTTCTCCTGTGATTAGGCTGACTGTAAGAAAATTGCCAAATAAGTGTCTTTAAAAATAGCCTCGTCAGGTAGTCAGAGGTGCTATGCTTGCAAAGGTTTCCAAGATGGATATTTTAATTCTATTACGTTGTGACTATGAAATAAGGCTTCTGTTGAAGTGAATATATTATGTAAATATTAACAATCTAAGCATAAAATTATATACATTAAATAGGAATAATTTTCCAACATTTGCCTAGCAAGGCCTATCACATTCACTCTAAAACACTAGTCACTATATCATTTTAACTTATACTAGAATTTTTTCCAAATCAATAATTGTTAAGAGAGAAGATCACTGTTGGTGAATAAATGAAAAGCATTTCTACAGAAATAAAAATAATAAAATAATTCTTGGTTACTATGCTCTGAATTTAGGGAAAGCCTCTAGAAAACAATGGGAAAAGACCAATAGTGGGGTGTGTAAGGCCAGACTCATAGTTAATGCTTCCTCACTATGCTTCCGATTTTACACAATACTCTGGGCTGAACCCTATAGAGACCAATGTGAAGAAGGAGTTTAGTATCGCAAATGGTGACAGCACTCAGAGACAGCACTAAATACTATGGTAAACAAACATGGAAACTCTGTTTGCATAAATGTCATGACTGCTGAATAAATAAATCACTTGAAAAAGAAATACCATCTTAAGAATTTGGACTTGCCTTCAGCAGAAACTACTGTTTTTAGCTTTAGCTTTGACAACTACAACAGACTTTACTGAGTAACAGTAAGAGTTCACTTTGTAATAGAAAAAGTAGTCACTCTGATCACTTTGTCTTTTTAGTATGCAGCCCAGAGGATTCAGAAAAAGATTACATTTACCATAATTAACATATATGTAAATGGAGATCATGGCTATGAATGATAAATTTTCATAGCAATTTAAACCTTGTACAAATTAATCAACCATACAGACACTTGATTAATGAAAAGCAGTGTCACTTTAAAATGCAACATGTTAATATATATTACTGTTATCACAGATCAAAGAATCTTTAAATGTAAACTAATTAGAGCAAAGTTCAATCCACTTTTTTTAATAAATGTAATTCTCATGTAATTATGATGGCTATTTTTAAAAATGTTATTCGGCTTCAAATATTTATTTACTAATTTTAGTGAAAAGTTGTGCAAATGAATTTTGGCTGTTTCAGCATAGTGATTGCATTCCCAAAATATAGAATTACAAGAATTACAGTATCTTCAAAGGATAAGATGAATGCACAAAGCAATTACAAATAAGATATAAAACATTTATTCACATGTCAGGTTAAATTTAGAAGTCTTTTCCTAGTTGCTCATTTTTATTCTCACTGAAAGAGTTATGTTAAATAGCTTAAATAAGTACTAAATGACTGATAGCTACCCAGTATAATGTTTGAGATAAGATTTATCATGCCACTTTTTACACTATCTGTTTTTTGCAAACAGAAGTAAGGCATAAATAAATCAAGAAAAATCATGAAACATTTTTCTTGATTTTTGAATAACATAAATTTAAAACTCTTTGGTAGACTTAAATTTATTAAGAATAATTTTTATTTTTATTATGAAAATTATTGTATAATTTCTAGAAAAAACTCTTCTTAGAAAAAATATAGGACCAGGTGCGTTGACTCACGTCTATAATCCCAGCACTTTAAGAGGCCGAGGCTGGAGGTTTGCTTAGCTCAGGAGTTGGAGACCAGCCTGCGCAACATGGTGAAATCTTACCTCTACTAAAAATACAAAAGTTAGCTGGATGTGGTGGTGCGGTGCCTGTAGCCCCAGCTACTTAAGAGGCTGAGGTGGGAGAATCGCTTGAGCCGAGGAGATGGAGGTTGTAGTAAGTCAAGATCACACTACCTCACTCCAGCCCAGGTGACATAGTGAGACCCTGTCTCAAAAAAAAAGAAAGAAAGAGATAAAGGAAAGAAAGGAAGAGAAGAAAGAAAATAAAGAAAGAAAAAGAAAGAAAGAGAAGGAAAGAAAGAAAGAGACAGAAGGAAAGAAAGAAAAAAAGACAAAGAAAGAAAGAAAGAAAGAGAAAAAGAAAAGAAAAGAAAAGAAAGAAAGGAAGGAGGGAGGGAGGGAAGGAGGGAAGGAGGGAAGGAAGGAGAGAGAGAAGGAGGGAGGGAAGGAGGAAGGGAGGGAGGGAGGGAAGGAAGGGACGGAGGGAGGATGGATTTACAGTTAATACACAGATATGTGTTCAAAATTTCAAGTCTGGAAATGTAGAGTTTATCTATAATACCCCTGTTTTTGCAAACAGAAGTAAGGCATAACAATACACATACTACCTTACAAAGTCAATGTAGATATGTTTCACAAAGGAAATCACACAGTGAGTTGTTGATTTTCATCAATAAATCAGAAATCTAAGCTATTGCCAAATTTTCCCACTTAACTAGCATAGTATGTAATGCGTTGTTGATAAAGGGTTAATAAAAGTGCAAATTAAGAAAGCCTGCGCCTGTACTAGACAGCAAGATGAAATAAATGTGACACTGAGTTCTATACCAAACTCCTAGTATGGAACTATACTCAATATGGCTAATAATTATTGAACTTTTTTTTATGTGCTATACACCATCTTAAGAACTTGGCATTTAAAAATATAATGTATATATTGATGAATTAATTCTTAAATCATTAAATCTCAACAACATTTCTATAAAGTAGACTTATTAGTTCCCCCATATAGTAAGTAGTAAAACTGGAACTTGGATCTTAGGCCTTCTTATTTCAAATATTGTGTTCTTAAATGCTATGCCATACTGCCTCCCCATGACTCTGTAACATTGTTCATCATCATCATTATACCTAGTTTCCTAAGCAGTCCCTTTAGAGCTACAATGCTGCTGATGTTGGTATAGGACCATTTTGAGAACCACTGCTAACACACTACAGATTCTGTAAATGGTTTAAATAGCACTGCAGAATTACAAACGAGGTTCACCTCAGTTAGTCTACTTGAATTATAAAACCTGCCTTGAATCTGCCTTGGTCTCTCCTGGAGTAGATATCAGAGGAAAACAAAGAAGTAGGTAAGATATTAGCAAATCTACTTATTAATTACATAAGCATTTACTAGTTGGCCAAGATCTGTGCAAACTGTTAGAGAAACAGTGAACAAGGTTACTATTTCCAAGGAGTGTAGTGAGGCAGGCAGGAAAGTAGATAACCAATAATAATACACTGTGATAAGCACTACCATAAGGATTAATTCATGACGCTATGGGAATACATAAGAAGACCTTCAAGGACAAAGAAAAATTCGACTTATACTAAACTAAAGCGGTTGTGTCTAGTCTGTACATCTTGGACTGCTAGAAAAGTCTATGCTGCAATGGTACAATCATTAAAAGTCTGGGTTTAAGAAAAAAAAAGCCTTCAGGTAAGCCAAGAATTGCAAGGACCACAGACACTACTTAGTAAGAGATTATATAATCTTTTAATAAAGATTAAAAGGCTACTGATCATTGTATTAATTAAGATAACAGAAGATCCCTAAATAAGGGTTGTTTAAACAAATTTATTTCTCTCTCACTTTCATTAATTCAAGATAAAGAAAGTCCAGCGCAGCCACAGAAGCTCCATGAAGTCATAACAGATGCAAGTTTCTTTCTTCCAGCTCAATTCTTCACCACCCCTACAACGTGGTCCTTATTCTCATGGTCCAAGCCAGTTATCAGAACTTAGCTTTCACATCCACCATGATCCAGGCAAGAGGGTGAAAAAAAAAGGGAAAATAACTCAACTCACTTTCTCCTTTTGTTTTTAAGGAGGCTCTCCTGATGCATCATTGAACACTTTCCCTTACAGCTCACAGGCCAAAACTAAATCAAATGGCTATAAATTCTACTACAAGTGAGTCTGAGAAATGTCGTCATTTAAGTGGGTGACCAAAGTGCTCACCTAAAACATGGGATCTTGTTAATATAGAAGAATGGAAAGTAGACCCTGGAAAAGAAAATTGTAGTCTCTGTCACAGTCATGAATGAGTTCGCTTAGCTCACAGAAATGGTAATCAATTAATAGAGAAAAATAATATTTTATATATTTCTTCCCTAACCTTCCCAAAGCTACTCATTTCCTTTGAACAGCTGGGAATCTTTGCTACATCATCTGTCTAGAAGGTAGGGCATAGATTCTCATTGCTTTCTGAACCTGAGCTATATTCAGTAAACATAAGATATCTTTTCATTGTAAATTAAAAATCTTGGAGATTTATGTGGGAAATAACATCTACTGAACATCCATAAGATTTTTTTTAACTAAATGCTTTTTATGACTCTTGACTCTCAAATTATTGAAATTGTAATAATAGTTACAAGTATCAAAGATTTCATAATTAAATGCTTTTAACATTCATTTATCTTTTTGTTCATTCAACAAATACATACTAAGTGGCTGCCATGTGCCAGGCTCTGATCTAAGTGCTGGGGACACAAATGAGCAATACAGTTGAGGTATGTCATGGAGCAAATAGTCTAATGAGAGAAAATAGATAATAAACAAGTAAATACACATAAACATAATTATATATACATATATAGTGCTGTAATGAGTTAATCTGTAAACTCCCAAAATTTACATGTGAAGCCCTAACCCCCAGTGTCTTAGAATGTGACCGCATCTGGAGATATAACATTTAAAGAGATAATTAAGTTAAAATGAAGCAGTTAGGTGGTTCTAATCCAATCTGACAGGTGTCCTTATAAGAAGAGGAGATTAGAACATCCAAGTGACACATGTGAAATATGTGCACTCAGGAATGACAATGTGAAGAGGCAGCAAAAGGGTGACCATCTGCAAGCCAAGGAGAGAGGCTCGGAGGGAACCAAATCCAGCACCTTGATCTTGGACTTTGTGCTTCCAGAATGGTGAGAAAATAAATGTCTGTTGCTTAAGCTACCTAGTCTGTTGTATTTTGTTACGGCAGCCTTCTGTGGTTTGAAAATATATGTCCCTCTAAAATTCATGCTGAAACTTACTCTTTAATGCAATAGTATTAAGAAGTGGGGCCTCTAGAAGGTGAATGCAGAGCCCTCATGAATGGAATTAGTGCCCTTTTAAAAGGGCTTGAGAGAGTCCCTTTTGACCTTCCACCCTTCTGCCATATGAGTTCATAGCAACAAGGCATCATCTATGAAGCAAAGAGTAAGCAAGGCTTCACCAACCCCAAATCTAGTATTGGTTTGATGCCTTTGGATTTCCTAGCCTCCAGAACTGTGAGAAATAAATTTCTATAATTTATAAATTACCCATTCTAAGGTATTTTGTTATAGCAGCAAGAGCAGACTGAGACACAGCCCTAGTAAACTAACATAGGTGCTAAACTGAAAATAAAATTGTAACTGGGAGACCACTTAGATTGGTAGTCAAAGAAGGCACATTTTGAGCTAAAACTTAAATGATGCAAAAGATTCAGCCATATAAATATTTGGGATGAGTGTTCCTGGAATGGGAAACATCTAATGCAAGGCCCATTTTGTCATATAAGAAATAAGCAAAAACAAAACCAAACCTGGCACGTGATTATCTTCACCATCAAAATATCATTTACTCACAACTATCTATTCATGGTGCTATGGAAAGCTTGTGGATCATAAACATAAAGTGATATAGCAGGCTATTGATAATTTCATAATAATTATCTCATTATGAATTACTTATTACACTGTGAATAAGATTGTCATTGACTATCCAGGGTCAAATGACTTTACATTTCAGTTACGAATCTTTTTCCTTGTTCAATGTTTATCTTAACAGTTACAAATTTAAGAAATATGTTAGCCATTAACCAACTACTTATTTGCTCTTGAACTACTAGTACACAAACATTACACAATACATTTTGCATAGAGAAAGAAGAGTGAGAACGTGGCTCCCATTCAGGCTGTCTTTACTTATTTTTTAAAGAATGAAGGGAGCATTTATTGAATATTCCCAAAATAAGCCTGGGATATAATTATTACAATGCTCATTTTACAGAGAAGAAGTTTGAGGATCCTGGAGGTAAAGTCCCTTTCTCAAGGTCACGCAGTGAATGAGAGTACCCAGAAGCACAAGTCTGCCTCAAGTCAACGCCTGGGTTTCCTTCTTAGGAAAACTAAGGCGTCCTAGTTTGGACACCAGGCACAAGCTACAACAGGGCTTCTCAAGCTCTAATGTGCACCCGCTCCTGAATCCCTGGGGATCTTGTCAACGTAAATTCTGATTCAATAAGTCTAGGGTGGGGCCTGTGATTCTGCATTTTTTCTTTTCTTTTCTTTTTTTTTTTTTTTGAGACAGGATCTGGCTCTATTGCCCATGCTGGGGTGCAGTTGTGCGAACCTGGCTCATTGCAACCTCCACCTCCCTGGCTGAAGTCATCCTCCCACCTCAGCCTCCCAAGTAGCTGGGATTACAGACTCACACCACCAAGCCCAGTTATTTATTTTTATTTATTTATTTATTTATTTTTAGTAATGACGGGAGTTGGAGGAAGGGGTTTACCATGTTGCCCAGGCTGATCTTGAACTCATGAGCTCTAGCGATCCACCTGCCTCAGCCTCGACCTCCCAAAGTGCTGGGATTATAGGCGTGAACTACCTACCACACCCAGCTGATTCTGCATGTCTAACAAGCTCCCAGGTGATTCAAGCTGTCTTCTTAAAGTAGCATTTTACCAAATAATCATTCATAACTAAGAACACAAGATATTAAGTGGCTTCGTGTTTTCTGAAAACTACAAGTGAAATGATTATTATTGTTCCTATATTTTTTTGCCAGGTATTATTAACTTAAATTTTATATCTTTTTTTTTTTTTTTTTGAGATGGAGTCTCGCTCTGTCGCCCAGGCTGGAATGCAGTGGTGCGATCTCGGCTCACTGCAACCTCCGCCTCCCGAGTTCATGCCATCCTCCTGCCTCAGCCTCCCGAGTAGCTGGCCTCAGCCTCCCGAGTAGCTGGGACTACAGGCGCCCGCCACCACGCCCGGCTAATTTTTTATATTTTTAGTAGAGACGGGGTTTCACCGTGTTAGCCAGGATGGTTTCGATCTCCTGACCTCGTGATGCGCCTGCCTTGGCCACCCAAAGTGCTGGGATTATAGGTGTGAGCCACCGCGCCCGGCCATATCATGATTTTTTTAAAAGGCTATTTGTTACGGGAAATCATCTCTCTTAGTTCCTGTTATGTTTTGTTGTTCTTGTTGCTACTGCAACCATTCAATTCCTGAAATTCCTTACAGAGATATAAAATAGTAAGACAATGCTTTACACACCATTGGAATTGGCAACCCTCATATCATTTTATGGTGACAGACTTGAGCAAAGAAAGCCAGCTATAATTTACTTGGTATTAATGTAAACAAACATGTAAAAGGAATAAAATCAGCCAAAGTTAAATGCATTTATTAACATAAGAGAAAGTTGCAAGAGCCAAATTCAGAGTACCTGAATATGCACAATTATTAATAAAATTTCTGGATGTGAAAAAAAAGTCCTATTTTAGATGACTTGGCTATAATTCTTCAACAGTTAAGAACAATTTTGTAAATATAACATATAGGCTAGAAATACATATGCACATTTTATGTATTTTAAATATTTTCATTATTTTACATATTTTTATATATTTTTCCTTATATTTCAAATGGAATATTTCTAAACTGTACCTCAAATCTTTGAAAAAATTAAAGTAACAACTCTAAGCAGCAACTGGCTCAATTTAAATCCTATTTGGTGGTGCCAGTATAGTTTTCTATATCACACAAAACGCCACCATAATTTGCATCCCATCAACTATTCCCTTAACTCTAAAGAACTATCATGCCACTCCTAGAGTAGGTCTCTGGGGTTGAAGCCTGTTCTATCACTCCTACGTTAGATCTATTTGGTAGTAAAATCAGGGTTACTAGCCTGGTGCCCCTTACCTGGGAAAAAAACTCTGTATTAACCCTGTCTTCACTCTTCTCAGAAAACTGATAATAAATTTTGTCCTTTTGCTCTCTGCTCTTTTCAATTCCTGGCATTCCAGAAGTTGTTAGACTTGCCTTTCCAGCTTTTTCCTGGCAAGGCTAGAGCTGACATACTGTTCTAATATTCTATATCACTTCCAATCTATCTGCATTGTGCAGTTTCTTTTACATGGCACTTGACTTGTTAATATTTTTCAAATTATCAAAATCAAAAGTTATGTATCAGTATATTTATACAGAATTTCCTTTTTCTTCTTTGGCTTTTTTTTTTTTTAAGATGGAGTCTCCCTCTGTCTCCCAGGCTGGAGTGCATTGGTGCGATCTCAGCTCACTGCAACCTCCGCCTCCCAGGTTCAAGCAATTTTCTTGCCTCAGCCTCCCGAGTAGCTGGGTTTACAGGCATGTGTCACCACACCCGGCTAATTTTTTTTATTTTTAGCAGGGACGGGGTTTCACCATGTTGACCAGCCTGGTCTTGAACTCCTGACCTCAAAGTAATGCCTGCCTCGGCCTTCCAAAGTGCTGGAACTACAGGTGTGAGCCACCACACCCCGCCTTCTGCATTATTTTTAAGTCTTCTCTTTTTCTCTTTACCTCTTTACCTGCCAACTGTTTCACCTATAAATAGGTTCTTTGACTCTTGATATGCTGTTATTATTACTTTATTTGTAGAATGCTGTTCTAGGGTGTTGGTGTTCCCACACCTGTAACTCATATCAGAGTAGCTTTGCTGACCTAATCAATATTATGCTGCAAAGCATAACCCTTACAAAATAACAGCAGTATCAGTGAATTAGAGAAGTTTTACAGAATCAAAACTGGATTATTTAATAATATTGTGCTGCTGGTAACCTTAGCATAAATTATTATTTTCTAACTCTGCTCAGTATCTACTCACAAGCATTAAATTCACTTTTAAAAACGCTAAAAAGTCTGGGCGCAGTAGCTCACGCCTGTAATCCCAGCACTTTGGGAGGCCGAGGCAGGCGGATCATGAGGTCAGGAGATCGAGACCATCCTGGCTAACACAGTGGAACCCTGTCTCTAATAAAAATACAAAAAATTAGCCAGGCGTGGCGGCAGGCACCTGTAGTCCCAGCTACTCGGGAGGCTGAGGCAGGAGAATGGCATGAACCCGGGAGACGGAGCTTGCAGTGAGCCCAGATCATGCCACTGCACTCCAGCCTGGGCAACAGAGCAAGATTCCATCTCAAAAAACAAACAAACAAAATGCTAAAAAGTATTGAAACAAAGACCAGAATGATTTAATTACAATATCTCTATGAGATCACAGTCATCTAGATGGACTGATTTATAGGTGAATTCCTATTTCATAGCTACTTGCTTATGGCATCTAGAAAATATGGCTATTTTACTGATGGAAATCAATAGCATCCATTGCATTGCTCAGCCACTTGAAGATCTGTCAGCTAGAGTTACTGTACTTTGTCTTACTAACTGTACCATAGTTATAATGGATTTTTTTTCTTAGACAGGGTCTTGTTCTGTCACCTAGGCTGGAGTGCAGTGGCGTGATCATGGCTCATTGCAGCCTCCACCTCCTGGGCTCAAGCGATCCTCACATCTCAGCCTCCCGTAGCTGGGACCTCAAGTAATGCACCACCATGGCCTGCAAAGTTTTTTTTACCTTTTTTGTAGAGACAGGGTCTCCCTATGTTTCCCACGCTGGTCTTGAACCTCTGGGCTCAAGGATCCTCCAGTCTTGGCCTCCCAAAGTGTTGGGAGCCCAGCTCGAAATGAGTCTTAGTGAGAGAGGTTTCCCTACCAAAATATTGATATCTACTATAGAGGAGAATGTCTTCAACCACACTGGCAACAACCTCTCTGAGCACTCTAGAAGACTTTTAAAAATTTATTTGTTAATATATCCTTACTAGTGGAACACAATCTCCAGAAATTGAGATGGTCAAAACTTGAAATATATGTATATATTCCCGATATTTACCTTTTTCTAGATATAAAATAAGTCATCTGTGATTAGACTTTACTTCTCCAACATGGTTACATCTTGAAAATCAATGGGGAAGCATCTAAAACCCTTGTACAGCAATCTTTATTTTCAACCAAAAAATACAAGAAGTCTATGTTAGTACCATTAGGATGAATATAGCTGAAGATATCATATTAGAATCTTTGCTATCAATTTACAGCAAACATTTATCACTATATATGTAGTTATAGGCACTAATTGTCCCATAAATAGCAATGTCACATTATTAATAGGAGGCTTTCTAATGGATTTTACATTTCATAAAAATACATCCTTTTATTTGGCATCTGTCCCTTTAAGGATTTACCAGAAAGCTAGCTTAATAGTAATGCAGAGGTTTAAGCCTTGACTATTAAATTAGATTGACAAATGATTCTCTTAAATTGTCTCTGTCACTTCAAAATTTCCATTAAACTCATATAAACTATAAATTCCTTATTTGTATTAATATTTACTATTTGGGGACCTGTTCATGCAGTTTTCTTTGTTTTTGAAAAATCTATAACTTACTGAGATACTCAAACATAAAAGAGGGGATCTGCCACTCATCATATAATACTTTCTGATTTCTTAGGATTTGATTGTTACCATTTCTGACAACTTTCAATAATATTGGCAGATTTATATACCTATGAATTAGAATGATTGTCAATTGCCATGAAGAATCAGAGGAGTAAATCTAGTAACTTTGTCTTTGAAAAAGTAAGATCAATGGCAGCGCAGTTGAGGAGGTTGTGTAGATCTTCGATGAGTAGTTTTGAAAGTATTCTAAAAGGTAAGAATACCTTCTTTGAAGGTGTAAGGTCATTGTTTGATCTTTTGGAAGAGGGGCCACTGGAAAAGTTGCAAAAATACTCTGAATTTGTCAACAGAAATCAAGTTGATATCTTTAAAAGCATAAAGAAGAATTGCCAATCTTTACTTGTAATTTAATTTAGACAAATATATGCTGAACACCCATTGCATATATTGTCTAGTTTATGTTAAGAAATCTAGGAAAATCAAGAGGTAAACAAGACGTAGTCCTGGGTTTCAAGATAACTTCAAGATAGTAACAAAGACAGGCATATTGATACATATAATTCAAGGCAGAAGAGAAGCTTAAAAATGTGCGTTAAGGCCGGGTGTGGGGGCTCACGCCTGTAATCCCAACAGTTTGGGAGGCTGAGACAGGCGGATCACCTGAAGTCAGGAGTTCGAGACTGGCAAAACCCCATCTCTACTAAAACTACAGAAAAATTCACCGGGCATGGTGGTGTGTGCCTGTAATCCCAGCTACTCAGGAGGCTGAGGCAGGAGAATAGCTTGAAACCGGGAGACCGAGGTTGCACTGAGCCAAGATCACACCACTGCACTCCAGCCTGAGCAGCAGAGTGGGATTCTGTCTCAAAAAAAAAAAAAAAAAAAAAAAAAAGGCATTGAAATAAAATAAGAGCAATTAAGTCTGGCCAGAGCAATTAAGGAATATGTAAAGGAAATGCTACTTAAGTTTATCATTAAAGGATGAATAAAAAAATTAAATTGGAAAGAAAAAAAGCAAAGAATTCCAAGATGGCAGCAGAGTACAAACAACACGGAGATAAGAATGTGCATAGTGAGCTTGAGACATGAGATGTGAAGATGCAAGAAGCAAAGATCTGGATGATTAAGGTTAGAAACGCGTAATGTTGACTGACCAAGGCTTTAGGAAATACTCCAAAAAGACTTATAAAGTTCAGTAGACAATCAGAAGGTAAGACTAATGGCTTTGTCAGTCAGTCTACTTGTGATGGTTAATATTAAGTATCAATGTGATTGGATTAAAGGATGCAAAGTATTGTTCCTGTGTGTATCTGTGAGGGCGTCGCCAAAGGAGATTAACATTTGAGTCAGTGAACTGGGAGATGCAGACCCACTCTCAATCTGGGTGGGCACCATCTAATCAGCTGCCAGCATGGCTAGGATAAAAGCAGGCAGAGGAACGTGGAAAGACTAGACTGGCTGAGTCTTCTGCATACATCTTTCTCCCGTGCTGGATGCTTCCTGTCCTTGAACATCAGACTCCAAGCTCTCCAGCTTTTGGACTCTTGGACCTTTGGCCACAGACTGAAGGCTTCCCTACTTTTCAGGTTTTTGGGACTCGGACTGGCTTCCTTGCTCCTCAGCTTGCAGATGGCATATTGTGGGACTTCACCTTGTGATCATGTGAGTCAATACTCCTTAATAAACTCCCCTTTATATATACATCTATCCTATTAGTTCTGTCCCTCTAGAGAACCCTAATACACTACTGTAACAAAGTACCATAAACTGGGTGGTTTATAAACAACAAAAATTTATTTCTCATAGATTAAAAGTCCAAGAAGTTTAGAAGTCCAAGATCAGGATGAGGTTCTGGTGAGGGCTCATTTCCAGTTTGGAGACTGCCAACTTCACCTTGTAATCTCACCTGGCAAAAAAAAAGATCAAGCTAGCTCTCTGCTTCTTCTGAGGGCATTAACTCCACTCACGGAAGCTCCAGTCTCATGACCTAATTACCTCCCACAGGTCTCATCTACAAATACCATCATATTGGACATAGGATTTCTACATATGAATTTTGGGGGACACAAATTTTCAGTTCATTGCAATTAAGGAATATTAATAAACCATGCAAGAGGTCCTCAGCTAGGGAAGTATCATAAAAAAATGTAAAAGAAGAAACATGTTTGAGCTATATTATTAATATTGAATTTACTTGACTTAGTAGAACTTAAAAATTTACAAGATTTCCAGTCTTGATGACAGAGTGATTCTTGTACCATTGCCAAGATAAGAAATACATAGAAGAGAAACAACATGTTTTGGATGAAGGGACATGATGAATTTATATGTGGATATACTGAGCGCCAGTGTTTTGGAATAGCTATGTGAAAGCACTAACTTGATACTGTATTTACACATGTATTCATTTGTTTACATATTCAAAATACACTTTAAAACTCAATAACATACTCTGCAATAAAGTAAAATCAGATCTAATACGGTTGACTACTGGGGCCTGAACTCTGGGACTCCATACCGGCAAGCTACCTAGGCTTATCTTGGTCCTTTCCTTATCCTTGCACTAAGTCTTCATTTTATGAGATTGGGCTTTTTGTGTGTTACTTATAGAATTATAATGTGTTTGATATTTATCAAGCATCTATTATGTGTTGGACACGTATAGGCACTAGGGATGGAGAAATGAACAAGATAACACAGTCTATCTTTATGGAAGTTAATATTCTAGTGGGGGAAATAGAAAATAAACACAGTAATAAGTAATATAATTTCAGATAGTAAAGAAAAAGCAATATGATAAAAAATGGTAGGAGTGTCTTACTTCAGATGTGGTTGTCAGAGAACCTTTGATGATATGACATGACATGACATGATAGAATTGAAGGACATAAAAGAATCAGTTGAAGATCTGGGGCATAAACGATCTAAGCAGCAGGAATAAAAAAAACCAAATATTCTAATACAGTAATAAATTTAGAGTGGGCCGGGCGCAGTGGCACACTCCTGTAATCCCAGCACTTTGGGAAGCCGAAGTGGGTGGATCACCTGGAGGTCAGGAGTTCAAGACAAGCCTGGCCAATGTGGTGAAACCCTGTCTCTAATAAAAATACAAAAATTAGCCAGGCATGGTGGCGTGCCTCTGTAATCCCAGCTACTCAGGAGGCTGAGGCAGGAGAATTGCTTGAACCCGGGAGGCGGAAGTTGCAGTGAGCTGAGACCATGCCACTGCACTTCAGCATGGGGGACAGAGCCAGACTCCGTCTTAAAAAAAAAAAAAAAATGTAGAGTGTTTTCTAAAAACAATGAGAAAGCCAGTGAGGGGGTTGGAGTAGCAGCACATTAGGAAATGAGTCTGGAGAGTTAAATAGAATGCCCAAGCAGATATATAGAATGCCAATACAGGGCATTCTAGGGCATAATAAGGTGTTTAGATTTTGCTATTAAGTTTAATGGGATGCTTTTGTGCAGATGGTAATCATGATATGATTTAAATTTTTAGGAGTATTCCTTGGTTCCTTGGTGGTTGATAGAGTATAACAGGCCAAGTGTAGAATCATGGAGTCAAGTTGAGAGGTTACTATAATAGTTTAGGTGAGTTTTAATGACTACTTGGAATGGGTGGAAGTGGTTGAGATAATAGGAAATGGTCTGATTTAGGGCATATTTTAGACTCAAAAGTGACATAACTTGATGATGGGTTGGGTGTGAGGAAAAGAAAAATCAAGAATAATCCTTACATTTTTGGATTGAGCATCTGGGGGCATTGTGATGACATGTATTAAGATGGAGAAGATGAAAGAGGGAGAGGTGTAGGTGAGGAGAGGAATGCAAAACCAAGATTTCTCTTTCAAATATGCTAAAGTTGAGATGTTTAAGTGAACATCCAAGAGGAATGTTGAACAGGCAGTTGCATATAAAAGTCTGACCCTCATGAGCGACATTGGAGCTAGAGACATTGAGTTGGGAGTAATCAATATTATGCTGGCTAGCTTCTGTTTCTTCTCTAGTTCCCCTTTATCTATTCACATGAGTCAACTATGAATTCTCTTACCCTCTGGATTTTTATCAGTTTCTGCCAAAGGGAAGTTCTTGCAGTGGAAAGGAAGGAAGAAGATGATGTATTTATTCCTCTCTATGGTATTTTCATGGGCTGTCTGGTTCCCTCAACCAAATGTCATAGCTCCTACCAAATGGCCCTTTCTGTCCAGCTTTCCCTACTTGCAGTGTACACCCCTCTCCTTATCCTTTCTGCCCTAGGAGTGGTAGCAGATCCCTGATATTTCTTATTCTAGGTATTTCATTATCTCTTATGATTTCCCTACCCCCTGCTCACCCTTTGTAAAAATCTCTTTATTAAACACTCCTTTATTATCCTAATTTTAGTATGCCATCTGTTCCCTGCTGAGAGAGAAAATAAAACTGTGTTTTCCTGGTTCCCTCCCTATAGTCTAATAAGAATAATACAGTGATTGCTATTGGAAGTGGCCCCAGGAACTGACTCTCAAATGAGATTCTGGGATTATTTTCCACATGTTTGAAAAGTAAATTGATAACCCTCTTGCTAGGGAAGTGGAGGGGATGAGGCATGGGCAATGCATGGCATACAGCAGCATTATGCTTACCCAAATTATCACCAGTGGATGGGGCAAGGTATTGAGCAATCAAGTAGCTATGGTACTTATCACTGTGGCAACAATGGTGATTGTAAACATGGTGGCATCAGCTGGCTTATTTTGGTGGCCCTAAAGAATGTATAAAGGAAAAATTAAATATCAAACTGCAATTATACATAGAAAAATCAAGTCACTGGCAGCAATGAAGGAGTCCTTCATCTCCCGAAGTTGGGAAGATATGACTGAGAATCAAGCCCATGGCTGGAATGTAAGAGCTGAAAATTTGATAGCCAATTAAACCTACTAGATCTTTTATACCAAGGCAAAGGAGCTGGTAGAAAGGTGAAAAGAAAAATCTCGTGTGTTGAAATATGTACATTTGGGTAGACAAAAATGAGGCTGAGAACTTCAAATGGGTATATCCCTTGTCCTTGCCTTTCCAGCAGAGGCAGCCTCCCCCCAGTATGTTTTATTTTTTATTTTTATTTTTTATTTTACTTTTTTTTTTTGAGTCAGAGTCTCGCTCTTTCGCCCAGGCTGGAGTGCAGTGGCACAATCTCGGCTCACTGCAACCTCTGCCTCCTGGATTCAAGCAATTCTCCTGCCTCAGCCTCCCGAGTAGCTGGGACTACAGGCACCGCCACCATGCCCGGCTAATTTTTTGTATTTTTAATAGAGATGGGGTTTCACCGTGTTAGTCAGGATGGTCTTGATCTCTTGGCCTCGTGATCCACCCACCTCGGCCTCCCAAAGTGCTGGGATTACAGGCGTGAGCCACCGCGCCCGGCCTCCCCCCAGTATTTAAGGGAACCAGTGTTTTAATGGCTGGGTCTAGGTAGTTGCCTCTCAGACTGGTGCTTGTCCTTTCCTAGGATTAATTTCTACCACCCTTAATAATGGGTATTAGACTCTGATATAATCTAAAAGAGGAGTACAAGGCTGGAAGGAAGAAATCCTATACCATGAAAGACTTGTAGAACCTCATTGATTTCTATTGACAGGAATCTGGAGAGCACACAAGGAAGTAAATTATATGGCTGTTTGACCAAGGAAGAAAACATATGAGGCTGGATTAGGTTGAATTTATTGATAAGGGTTTATTCACTCAGGATTTTGGCTCAAATGTGTTGTCTGGAGCACCTAGGAGTTAAGTCTATTAAGTTGGTTATCTAAAATGTGGACTCTGTCAATAGTGGGGTAAATTCAATGAGTTTGAATAATGTAACTTCCCTGGCACAATATAGAAAAATCAAGTCTTAGGAAAATGGGAATGCTGGAATTGATTTATTATATGCTACTGGTCAGCCAGTCTTTATTTATATCACCCAAAAGGGCCCTGAGGCCACGCCCTTTACCAACACTTTTTAAAATGAATCTGTTGGTAAGGAGGGATACCATTATCCTTGAAAACCAAAGTAATGTTCTATGGTGGCTGTTCTCCAGAGGTGATGGTAGAGCATGGTACAATGGAGTTAGATTTCTTGATGACAATGGAAATAATAGGATGCCAGAGACTCAGAAGTCAAGTAGGGGTGCTTACTCGTTATAGATCAAGTGGGCACAATTACCATAATAAGCCACAACGATGGTTCCCTCCCTATAGTCATCAGGAAGTTTGACCTTCAGAGATCTTTGGCATCAGCTATTCAATCACAAGGTCCTTAAAACAAAATAAAAGGACTGTCCAACAAGGAGCTGTTTGGTCTATATAAGGAGAAAAATCCTAGGAGGTTTGGTGGGCTAAATAGTAACTTGATTTATGGTAGTGGAGATTCACTTATTCTTACTTTGTTCTCAGACCAAAGCCAATTTATAAGAGACCTTAGTTTGAGAAGGCCAGATCTATAAGGAATGACCTGGCAATCAGATCAAAGATACATAGCATGAGCCTTCCTCTACACCTGACTTAGGGTTACGTGTTACTACTTAATAATTATGCACTGGAGCAGTGGGTTTTAAACTTAAGTGTGCATCAGAATCACGCAGATGGCTTTTAGAACACAGATTTCTGGGTCTCACTGATTCAGTAAGTTTGGAGTGGAGACCCCAGAATTGATATTCCTAATAAGTCCTCAGGTGACACTGAAGCTGATGGTTTAGGGACCATAATTTGAGAATCCCTGCACTGGAGAACTACACACTTTATGGGATTATTGGATACAGTCTCTTAAATGATACTAATCCCTGGAGACCTAAAACACCACATAGGTCCAATGGTCAGAGTTGAGACTTACAGATATAAGTAAAATCTTAGTCCAAGTTTATTTCATAAGGTGTTCTGAGGGACTTCAGATCCATTTGTTTATAGGCCAAGAATGTATAGTGAGAATAAAAAAACTTAATAAAGAATTTCCTGATGCAGAGTGGGTTTTATTGCATAATAAGGTCCAAACTACATTTTGGACCCTTTTATTGCCTGCCTTTGCTAAGATACTAAGCTAAAAGTCCAGCAGGATGTGCTACCCCAAATGCTTAAACAATTACAGAGGTGGTATGAATTCCCCGTTTTATTCATTTGCATAGTGGCCTATGCAAAAGTCAGATGGGTCTTTAATAATGAGGATATATTATCAGAAACTTAATCAAGCAATGATATCAATCACATCTGACATTCTCAATATAGTATCTTTAGTGGAGGAAATCAGTATGGTCCCTGACCCCTGTGACTTAACAAACACATTTTCCCTTCCCTCCATTAGTAAAGATGAAAAGAAGCTCTTTCCTTCACATAGCAGGAATATCAATATGCCTTTACTCTCTTGACTTAACCTACCTCAGCTCATCTCCTGTTCATCTTAATATGATCTGGAGAGAACTTTATTGCCTTGATACATCACAGAACATGATGATGGGGCATCTTAAATCAGAAGACAACATCTTAAATGTAAGAGACAAGTGTCCCAAAGGGTTGTAAATAAACCCCATGAAAATGCAGGAACCTGTCACTGGTGAAGTTGCTAGGGGTATAGTGGTCTGGGCCATGTCAGCAGATCCTCCTTAAAGTAAGAGTTGATTTGCTGCACTTTCCAACGCAATGAAAGATGCACAATGTTTGATGTACACGTTTGGATTTTGGAGAAAACATATAACACATTTGGGCATGCTACTTTCATGAACTTAGTGGATAAGCTTAACATTACAAGATTTGAGTGGGTCCCAGAACAAGAAAAAGCTCTATAACTTGGCCTTATGACCTAAAAAAACCAATATTACTGGGTTTTAGAAGTGTCAATGGCAGACTGATACATCCACTCCATTTTCCACTTTGATCTGTAACCCAGAAGGCTAAACTATGCTAACTGATCAACAAGTTCTTTTGCTATTTACATGAAGTTTCTGGAAATTTCCAATAGGAGAATCAGTGTGGACCTATAGAAATTTTGAGTAAAATGCCCTCTTTCACTAACAAACTAGTCTCTGCAGAAAAAGCAACTATTTACTTGCTACCATACCCAGTAGAGAACAAATACCTAACCGTAAATACCCACGGTACTTACTATCCATCCCACTTGCTCATTTTTAACTGATGTTATATAATTTGTGGAACTAGCTGGGTACAGTTGCTCACATCTGTAATACTAATGCTTTTGGAGGCTGAGGCTGGAGGATCACTTAAACCCAGGAGTTTGAAACCCTGGGTTCAATTTTTTTTTAACATTTTAAAAAATTAGCCAGGCATGCTGGTACATGCCTGTAGTCCTAACTACTAAGGAGGCTGGGACAGGAGGATTGCTTGAACCTAGGAGTTCGAGCTATTATCATACTCCTGCACTCCAGCTTGTATGACAGATTGAGACTCTGTGTCTAAAAAATAGTAATAATTATAATTCTGGAACCATAAAATTAGAAGTCTGTAGAACATTTCTGTATAAAATGGAAATGATACCATGCAAGTCTAGAAGACATAAGTAAATTGCAGAAGGAGAGGGCTTAGATTCCTGTTGTAGTGGACTGAACTGCTCTACCACCTTTCCCTCTACTCACACCTATGATGTCATGGGCAGTTCCTTATGACATGTTCCAGCAGGGATCTCAGGTCTAGCTACAGAAGTACAAATGTAGTGACTATGTTTTATGTTATTTAACTCTATCCTCTTATTCCCCTGCTACTTTATATGAACAACACTGGTAATCGCTAATGTTTCAGATTCCATGTGAGAGTATGACCAAGCTGAGCGTATGACCAAATTGAGAACATGCAGTATAATAAATTCCTTAGAGTGGATTGATTTTCAGCAGCTGACAGTATAGCATCTGATGGAACTTCGTGTGCTGTTTTAGTTTCCTCTGCCTGCTGTAACAAATTACCACAAACTGCATGGTTTAAAAACAACTGAAATGGCCCTGTGTGGTGGCTCATGCCTATAATCCCAGCACTTTGGGAGGCTGAAGCAAGTGGATTGCTTGAGCTCAGGAGTTTCAGACCAGCCTGGGAAACATAGTGAAACCTTGTCTCTCCTAACTGGGCGTGGTGAGCCAGGCGTGTTTAAGGTTTAAAGAGTGAGGAGATGTGAAATAGCTTTTACTGGGTTTTTATTTTGTTTTATTTGATTTAGGGAAAAAAAATTGAACAAAAAAATTTAGTAGGATTCTGAGAAAAATATAGGGAGAATAAAACTTCTGCATGCTCAGGGCCTTGCCCAGTACTTGGCACATATTAGGAGATTCATTAATTTATTTGCAAATATTTACCATTCGACTACTGTATGTTGAGCACTATTATAGGCATCACAGACATAGCAAAAAATATTAAAACATAAAAATTAAATCCTTGCCTGCTCTTTGATATGTTAGATCAGGTTTTGGCAGATTTTGTTAAGGGGCGTATAGTACATATATATTGAAGCTTTGTGAGCAAGGTGTTTTTTGTTGTAACTACTCGACTCTGTCATTGCAACACAAAACTAGCCATAGACAATACATTAAAAAATAGCCTAGGCTGTGTTCCAATAAAACCTTACAAAAATAAGTGGCAAGTTGGATTTAGCCCATGGGCCATCGTTTGCCAAACTTTACGTTAGAGGGTCACTGGTGCAATGAAGACAAAAGAGGCACAGAAGAAGATGAGGAGTACTTGAGGGGAGGGCATCATTTTTAAAAGTGATGAACAGGTGAAGTTATGCCAAGAAGGTATCATTTATGCAAAGGCTGGGAGGAGGTGAAGGATCAAGCCATGTAGGTGAGTGTTCCCAGAGGAGAATGCCAGTATAAAGGTTCTTAAATAGGACAGCATCTTGTATGTTTGTAGAATAGCAAGGCAGTTGAGCAGAAGGAGTAAAGGGGGAGTAACAGTAGATGAGATCGGGAATTTAAAAGGGAGGAGGATAATATAAGACCTTGTAGATTACTGTTATGATGCACAGTAAAATGGAGTGTCGTTAGAGGGTTTTGACTAGGGGACTGCCATGATTTGACTTGTTTTAACAGGCTTAATTTGGCTGATGTGTTGAGGGGGACAAGGCTGAATCTTAAAAAGTAATTTTTAAACAAATGGATGAACAAACAACAGATTAATAAGAATGTATGTCACTCAGTTGAATATTTGAGATTGGAAATATAAGTTGGGGAGTCACTAGGAGAGAATGTAGATGCTGGAACAGAATGAAAGGAAAATTTTCACTAGAACCTGAGAGAATAACCAAATGAGGGGTTGAGAGAGAAGGAGGAGCTAGTGAAAAAATGGAAAAGGAGTAATTAGATCTATGTTTTGTAGTTACTGTTTTTCATGTCCTCAGAGGTTCAGTGGATGATGGGATGATTGTATTAATGTTTTTCTACATCTTGCTTCATATGGGTAAACCAACTGAATAATTTAATTAGGAGCACAATGTCTACTTTAGCAGTTCATTCATTCATTAATGTTTATTAGCCATTGACTATTTGCTAGACACTGTGAAAGGCACTGATCTCTTCATTACAATCCAACACATTCTACTGGAAATCAGTCATGACATTGACACATAATATTATTCACCCATCTAAGAGGGATTTTGGAAGATTCTAAGGAAATTAAGAAGTTAATATATTTATGTAACTAGTCAAAATAAAAGGTTAAATAAAATACCACTGGCTTTTTGCATTTCTAAAGTACTTCCTCTGAGTACCATAATCTTTCCAAATATATATATAAATTTTTTTCTTTTGAGACAGAGTCTCGCTCTGTCGCCCAGGCTGGAGTGCAATGGCACAGTCTCGGCTCACTACAACCTCCGCCTCCCAGGTTCACGCCATTCTCCTGCCTCAGCCTCCCAAGTAGCTGGGACTACAGGTGCCCGCCACCACGCCCGGCTAATTTTTTGTATTTTTAGTAGAGATGGGGTTTCACCATGTTAGCCAGGATGGTCTCGATCTCCTGACCTTGTGATCCGCCCACCTTGGCCTCCCAAAGTGCTGGGATTACAGGCGTGAGCCACCGCGCCCGGCCATTCTTTCCAAATATTAACCAAGGAGTTTGTAAGTAAAAGAAACAGTATGACAAAGTCAAAAAGTCAAGAGCAGAGATGAAACAAAAAGTTATACAAGAACTGTTATTAGAGTAGAAGAAATGGAATTCAGGTCACATAATATCTCAGTTTTATTTACCTATTATTCACATTTTCTAGGAAGTATCTTATAGATACACATATAAAAACATATTTTTTGATAAGACATTAAACATGTTTTAGTGCTCCTTGACTTTAAACTTCTAAATATAGCTTTCTTCACTTATTAGCTGTCTAGAAATATGCTGGCCCATGCGACCTTTTACTCTCATTTACTTATACTCTTAAAAAGTCGGTAGTCCCAGGTTTCAAATTTTCTTTTGTAATACACAGTTAAATCTTTGAACTCGAATATTGAATAAACTCTTGAATGACTTTGAGCTCTGGATGCTGAGCTTGGTAACCTTGAACCTCCCATAAATTGGGGAAAACCTCTAAAGCAGCCAAAACAAAGCTCTTGACTTTCTAAATATAACATTTGTTTGACTCCTTGACTTAATTGTGAACTCTTGTTTTTCCTTGACTGGTTTGCCACTATCATTTGAAGTTAACCTTTTCTCTACTTAGTTGAAAATTGTGCTTCAATGGATTAAAAGACAAAATTGCATTCCTTCTAATTAAATCTAAGAAAATCTCTAAGATGTGCCTTGAAAAAACAAAAACACATGTGAATGTTAATTTTCCTAACTTATAATCAAGGATAATGAATCCTCCCTTTAACTATTTGTCCTCCTTTTCAGTCTGACAATAAATTCAGTATGTTATTTAAGTTCTAACTTCAGTTCTTTAGTTTTTATCTCATCAATCTTCATCTTTATTTTTTAGTCTTTAAAACCTATTTTTCATTTTGTGGCATTTAAAACTGAGAAAGTTACACATGCTTTTTGTAACAAAACCAATCAATATAGGATTGTGTAAAACAAAAAATAAAAGCTGGGTGCAGTGGTTCACGCCTATAATCCCAACACTTTGGAAGATTGAAGTGGGAGGATCATTTGAGTCCAGGAGTTTAAAACCAGCCTGGGCAACATAGTGAGACCACGTCTCTATAAAAAATTTGAAAAATTAGCCGGGTGTTGTGGCTTGGGCTTGTGGTCCCAGCTACTCAAGAGGCTGAGGTGGGAGGATTGCTTGGGTCGCAGGAGGTCGAGGCTGCAGCGAGCTGTGATCATGCCACTGCACTCCAGCCTGCAAGACCTGAGAGACAGAGTGAGACTGTCTCAAAAAAGAAAAAAAAAAAGAGAAAAGAAAGCTCTTTTGCACTTCTCTTAATCCCAAATCACTTTATAGAGGTAATTATTATACAATTTGGTAATGGAATGGTTTTCATGTTCTATACAGTTTACTCCATATGCAAACATACACATACTTACATATACTCTTACAAGTTGTGTTTTAAAATTACTATATTATATGCAGCAAAAATAAACACTATTAATAAGTGAATGATGAATTGTTAATGAATGCTAGATAAACATCATATTATATGTCTCATGAGGTACTTGAATATTTTTAAATTATGGCTACAGGCCGGGCACCATGGCTCACGCCTGTAATCCCAGCACTTTGGGAGGCAAGGCCAGCAAATCACAAGGTCAGGAGTTCAAGACCAGCCTGGCCAATATGGTGAAACCCCAACTCTACTACAAATACAAAAATTAGCTGGGCGTGGTGGCGGGCTCCTGTAATCCCAGCTACTTGGGAGGCTGAGGCAGGAGAATCGATTGAACTCAGGAGGTGGAGGTTGCAGTGAGCTGAGGTTGCGCCATTGCACTCCAGCCTGGGCGACAGAGCGAGACTCAGTCTCAAAAAATAAATAAATAAATAAATAAATAAATAAAGGCTACAGTATTGGAAAAAACTTGTTTCCTTCTCCTTTTTGTATTATAGTGCGTAAGTAAAATATCTTTTTAAACTTTTACAAAAATATTTAATAGTCACATAAAAATTTGTTCAGACAAACAGTAACAACTGATAATTTGTATTACTTTTCTTTTTCAAAAAGATTGCTATTAGGTATTTTGTACTTAATAGTTATAAACTATTCAAGTGGGCCGAAAATGTAAATGAAAAAAATACAGCAGTAATAAGAGGAGTACAAATGAAAATTTCCTCAAATCGTGTTAGCATTTTTAACATGTTATTTATTGATTCTCTTTCTAAATAGACCATTCTGACATTACATAATTTTAAGTACAGATCCAGTACATTCTACTGCACCACTTTCTATAAAAGAACATAGAAATAATGTGGGCTCTGTGTTTTTGCCAGCTATGAACGAATTACATCCATTTGGTTTATACCCTACATGTAGTATCTCTTTAGGACTTATTCTATGTATATCAAAACACTAATTTTGAAGCAGTAACCCTGTAAGTGCTGTGGGTTCATAACATACTGGGTGTCTTGAAACCAAATATATATTCAGTTCTCAGCATTATTGGTGTTTCCAATTTCAATAACTATAATATGATCACCTTTGGACATCTATGGCATCTTTCATCCGTGGATCTTAAAGGGCTTTACAAACATTAATTCACACAACATTCTCATGAGGTACAGAAATATCATTAACCCCATATTACAGATGAGGAAACAAGCGCAGAAAGGTTAATAATATGTGCACCACCTTCTACTTGTACAGTGCCTTTGATTCAGGAATTTCTAAGTACACTGGAAGCTTTATGATGCTGGTATAAGAGAATAGAATTAATACAACTTATAGATTAATTCATAGCATACTTTTATCATATAGCATGCAGTTTGTAGAAATTGCCTCCATATTATAGATTGATAATATTCATCTTATATTCAAATAGTTTTCCATTATAATTAGGAATCATGAATGCGAACTTACCCTTAATTTTATATCTAGTTTGAAGATGTGTGTGGATGATTATACTACATATGCAACAGACTATATAAAATTGTGTCTTGTGTTAAAAAAAAAGAAACCTCAAAATTAATCTAACACACGATGACATGGTTCCCAAGTTTGTTGCTCTATGCTTTTTAGGCATCAGTGGTGAGTCATTTATATTAAAAACAGTAAATAAATAATTTAATTTTTACCATGTATTTTTATAGTTTTCATCTTCTTTTTTAATCTTTTCATGTATAAACTAGTTTTAACCCTACAATGTAGAGTTCAGACCTCAAAACTCACAAGTTGCACTACGATTCACTATGGTTACAAAAACAAGGGACTTAGATGTGAGTTACCCAAAGCCAGAGTTTTCTTTATCACTGATTTTTCTTCCTAAAATCATTAGAGCTCAGGTTTTCAGTGCATCTTCATATATCTTTCCCTTTCTCATTCTTTTCACTGTTGGAATTTACTAAGAAATCCTTTAGTATTTCCCTGCTTTTGCTTGCCACCACCTTCTTAGAAAGATTGTTTATGGCTTCTGTGTCCTAAAGAGCTCAAGGTACTGTGCTGTGCACTGGGAATACAGGGGTATACAAGACAGATTGACTTAAAGCAGCTTAGAGTCTGGTGGAGATAGACATTGGACAAGAAATTATAATCGCATTAATTACATGACCATGCAAAATCTCTGTGAAACAAATCTATAAATGGTTAACCCGGAGGCTGACAGCACAATTGTCACTTAAGAGGGAAGAAATGAACTTGTGAGTCTATTATAGTTCCAGTTCAAGGGAAAATAAAATACCTTGATTACTTGATTATTGTTGATAGATTCTGAAACATGGATTGCTGGAGTACAGACCAGCTGGGATGGGGACTTGTACTTATTCATACAGGAAAGGCTTTATGTCTGAGACATAAAGTATCCTGACATACCTCAGAAGTGCCTAAAATTTGCTTTTAAAAAAGCTGGGTGGGATGCTTGCATAAAAATACAGGTAACTGATATATCAGAAAGAAAGCTCATATAAGAGAAAAAAATATTTTTGCTTTTCTTTTCCCTTCACTATGCATGCATACTCATATATATCTCTCCCTGCCAATACCGTTACTTCTGCCGCTGCACACTCTCTTCCTTCATCAGAGCTTTCTGGAAATCTCTGTAAATCTTTATTTCATCTCTTCCTTCTTTAACCTGATCTAGCAATGAGGAACTGGTGCTGAATGTTCTTGGACTTTTTTTTTTTTTTCTTTAAATAATTGGCTTACCTTCATGCCTGAGCAGGGAAAAACTACTAAAGAAGAAAAGAAGTTTCCAAAAATGTGATTGTGAGCACCAATGCAATTTTGCCTCAGGCCAGCACACTTTACCTCAATGGTAAACAAGCATACTTGGGGTGACATGTACGTACACGTATGTTGAACAGAATACTGCTCACAATATATTTTGTTGAGAGGTGGCAAGAATATCACCATTTATGTACCTGAGATTTTTACAGATGGGTACACAGATTTTACATGTTATGCTTAATCTCAACAAATTAAGTCAAAAGCCGTATTTTTTTTTAAAGGATAGCTCCTCAGTATTGGCCTGATATCATCTGTAGGCTGAGCTGTTTCTAATGTGATAGAAGTTAAGCCTTGCGCTCCCTTATGGGATTTTACAAACATGTTAAGTAGGCAAAAGAAAGAAAGATTGATGAATAGGACTAAAGTCATACAGCCAGAGAGAGATGGAAACAGAAACAGATTTAGTTTGCATTGCTATTCTCTATATAAATGGAACTCAATCCCAAAACGTGGTTCAACATGCAGACTTTAAAATCAGACCTGAATTCAAACCCTATTGTAGCTACTCAAACATATTCATCCTAGTGCAATTTATGTCAACTCTGAGCTTCCATTTCTTCATCTTTAAAATAGAGTTAAAATTACTTTATATAGGATCTCAGAAGCTTAAAGTATAAGTGCATGTGATAAATAACCCCCAAGGAAGTTATCTTTACCATTTCCCACTTATATGAAACCAAATAGCAGGTATATAGAAATACCAATCTTATTCCTCTGGTTATACAAGGGGTCTCAAAATGAATAGGATAAATTCCAATTTATAATTCCTAATCCAACTCACCAGAATAAAATGAATGACTGGGTCCTAAATAATCCTTTGTCACCATATTTATTATCAATACATTAGTATATGGGATATTTGTAACTGATTTATATTATTGATTTATTTTATTTTATTTATTTTTTTTGAGATGGAGTCTTGGTCTGTTACCCAGGCTGGAGTGCAGTGGTGCAATCTCGGCTCACTGCAACCTCTGCCTCCCAGGTTCAAGCCATTCTCCTGCCTCAGCCTTCTGAGTAGCTGGAACTACAGGCACGCACCACCACGTCCGGCCAATTTTTGTATTTTTAGTAGAAATGGAGTTTCATCATGTTGGCCAGGCTGGTCTTGAACCCCTGACTTTAGGTGATCCGCCTGCCTCGGCCTCCCAAAGTGTTGGGATTACAGGCATGAGCTACCGTGCCTGGCCTAGATTTATATTATTTATTGATCCAACCTAATGAATCCTGATATTCCATATTTGAATCATCTTATAATATATTTTCATTTTTAGGAAATGTAAATTACTTACCCAAGGTCACACAGCTTGTCCATGGTAAAATGCAGAAAAGTTTAAGTCTTATGACTTCTAATCTAGGGCCTTACCTACCAGATCACACAGCTTTTGAACACACTTAACAGGTTTATCATTCTCTAAGCTTAAGAAAAACCTCACTAATATCATTAGAACATTCCAGGTCTTCTTTTCCATATTCATTTATGTACACGGATCAGCTCATTCTTTTCAAATGCCAGGGATGTATTGCTCACTGGAGGAACTCCGGTACCCAGCGGTCTTTAATGTAAAAGGCAAACCTTTCCACTAATGAGCAGTTTGTCTAGTGTTCTTAACCTTATCAGCAGCTCCTCAAGTGATAAAGGCTTAACTATTATGCACCGAAAGGTGTTTATAATTCTCAATCTTCATGCAGAAAATGGCTCTTTTGTCACTTCTTATAGTCTACTGTTAAACTTAGCATACTGCTTACAAATTACCTTTCCTGTTCGGCAAAGCAGTCAGCTGGAAGTATTGGTGGGCCGGCAGCAGGTGGAGCCTCCTCCTGTCAGGACAAGAATGATACCTGCTGCTTAATAGAAAAAGAACCATCTGCAGTTTAATGATGTAGACCTGTCCCAGGAAATAGACTGGGTTTAAAGACAAGGTAGAGGGAAGAACATTTTTTTCAAAATAAGAAAAATGAGGTTGACTATTAAAGACTGTACAAATAGAACTGAAGGCTAGAGGTTTTACCAACGGAAACATTAGTGCATAGTGACTAAAATGATTTTATTCCTTTGCTACTGGAATTCCCTAAAGTACAGTGGGGCCTATAGAGCCAGCCCACAGCTCATAGGGCCTTTCCTCCATCAGCTTCTGGAATGAAGAATGCAGGAAAACATTGTCTCCATGTTGCTGCAAGAGAAACAATAAAAGCTTGATCAGCTGAATGCTTAAATATGGCTGAATGTTTGATGAGATGAAGATGTAATTTTGTCTATGTTCCCTAAGGATCTGGATTAAATATGACTACAGGGCCTAATCAAATAGCTAGTCACTGAACAACGGTCCCAACTGCATTTTTCATTCTAGGCATGCCTTTCTTTCCCCCCCTCCTCCAAGTACATTACTTATTCACTGGTTTGTCAGCAGTGTGCATTATTAGCGCTTGAGAGATAAAACTTTAAGTGTTGCTCCCAATTAGCACAACAGTGACCACGCACCATGCTCTGTGCTTAATGCCTGCTCTCAGAGAGGAGCTGGTTTTGAAGGTCTGAGGTGGAGGAGAAAAAAAATGAAACAGCTTAAGCATTCATTTTGAGTGGAGAGACAGCTCCTATTAACATTTAACAGCATTTGTGCAACTTGGTGCGGAGGTTATGATGCAAATGAGGAGGAATTAAAAGTGGCCAGGGGTTTGTCATTGATGGATTGCAGTCTGGCGGTGTTCACACTTCTGCCGTGTCCATCAGAAGCGATTACTGTGTAATTAAACCTTATTTCTCTACTCTTCAGTGCATAATTACTTTGTGAATGTAACCATCATCTAAAAAAGCTACCAAAATGCTTTAGCATTTAGTCTAGCAGTCATTTCCCTAGCTTGTGTCAGATATAACCATCAGACAGTGCAAAAGAACTGTCACTTTTAATAAGAGGCAAAAAATTAAATGAAACAGTATGCTTATTACAGGAAAATTAGGCGTTCAAGTGGTAGAGTCCTTTTCTGCTATTTGCATAATTTATTCTTTTTTGTCCCTCACACCAGCAGCTTCAGGCAATTTTCTTCACATTTAAATAGATCGCACATTTAAGGCTACTTAAGGAAAATTATCACTTTGCATATTTTAATTGTTGTAAAGAAAGTGAATAGAAGAGGTCTGCAGCTTGGACTCTTGAGTCGGTCAGATGCTCAACTGTCTGATTCTGGAGCTCCCCACTGCTGCACTAGAGATAACCCTATAGTTCACAGCTATCCACTTGCATTTCATCAGCATGCAAATGCAGCTCCAAGCACTACAATAAATGGATCTTTGATATTTACAAACTAGCCATTAATAACTAAAACATAATTTGTTTGACATAACTTTAGATTCTCTTATCACTGTGCCTTCTTTTTTTTTCTTTTTCAGAGAAAAACCTAAGTCTTTAACGTTTAGAAAAACTGAGACAGTCCACTCAAACTGAGTCATGTTCTACAGGTTCCAGAAATATGATTTGCTACAAAATTATGTCAGTTCCATTATGTTGGCAAGGCAGCCAACATTTCAAGTTCTTTTGTTTAATTTGGACTCACTTTTATTCAAATAAAAAATTCAACAAAAAACTCTTTCCCCCATAAGAATTATAGCAAGCCAATGGTGTTTCAAATGAATGATTCAGTTACCAAGGGAAGCATGTAACATTTCAGTATGCTTGTGTTGTAATTCAAAAAGATGAGAGCAACAGCACAGGGCATTGCAGAGCAACCGCTGTAAATAGGCTAATGCCTGTACAAACTGTTAATTATGAAACTGGTGAAAAGTTAAAAGGAGATTCCAGTGAAAACTTTGATCAAAACATACTCGGCTTATTTATTGTACTTAAGTGGGTTAAAGAATCTCAGTGGTATAATTTGCTTAGTTTTCATTACCAATTAAAAAAAATTCCAAAGAGACAGAAAACTGAAGTCTTCATTTTGACAAGACAGAAATGCTTTAAAGTATATTCAAATGTGAATCCGATTAACTCAGCAACAGTTTTAATTACAAACAATTATATGTTCCCTTTGGCTACTGGTCATTTTCATTTATAATGCCATTGTCCTCCTTAAGTGCAAACTCTAAACACTAATGAATGTCTGAGGGACTACAGTTAGCACACATTTGTAGACACTAAGCAAACATTTGTCTTTAAAAGTAAGTGAAGTAGGACTTAGTTTACAGAAACTATCAGTGTGGGGCAAAGCAACATAAAATAGCACGTTATAGGGACTGACAAAAAGTGAGTATAAGATATGAATTTGTAACTTAGAAAGGAATCTACTCATTTTGACATATTTATTCTTTAAGCTGTGAAATGTAGTACAGCATTATTTAGAAAGGCAGTACAAGGTTTTTCTTCCATCAGAACAATATTTTCTAAATGTATATTTTTGCTTATTATTTTTTACTTAAAATACTTAATGGAAAAAATTGTGTAAATTCTGAAAAAGATAAAAAAAATTGAAAAGATCTTTACAATTTCCCAGAAGCAACATACAGCTGAAGTCATATTTGATTCTAGCATAGTACGTAGAAAGGAAACAAATTATTTCTGGTAGCATTTTTTGCATCACTGACTACTTGGTTAAATCAATTGACTTAAAATTTTCCATTTGGGTTTTCTTCTTTTCCTCTTTTTTGGAGGTGAGTTTTAACTGTGCTGCCTTAACACACACTTAAAAGAGGAATCACACATACCTTTTGACTCTGCTGACCCTTCATGCTCCCTCCAACTCCCATCATTTCTAAAATGAAAACAACCACAACAACTGATCTCTCAAGTTAGCTGAATATATCAGAGAATCAAAGGCAGTAATGCAGATTTCTCAACATAATATCCTGTTTACCTTTACTATGGAATTGCTTTTTTGTTAAGTTGCTTCCTTCTAGGAAATGGAGATAATAATGTACCTAACTCAAGAGGAACATGGTGGGGAATAATTGCAAGTAAAGTTGGCACACGGCTCTGCAGAATATACCTAATACATGTAGACTGTTTTCACTACAGAAAAAGAAAAAAAAAATCAAACAACTATAAAAATTTGACTAAGAGTATCAGTCTGATAGGTCAAACCTGAAGTCCAAAAAATTCTGCCAGCCCATACAGTATATTATGTCGCTCTCGTCTTTTAAAGACAACTATCATAGATTCTGAAAAGTGCCTAACAGTAGTCTCCATGTTTAGTCTCTGTGACACATATATTTGGTCAACTGAGACTTTAGGCAAATGTGGTATCATGGTAAAAAAAAAATACAGCATTTTGAGTCAGTAGAACTGAGTTAAAATTCTTACTTCATTTACTGTCTTTTCCATTTTAGATACATTGCTAAGCTTCAGTTTTCTCCTCTGCAAAATGAACATTTACTTGACAGGGTTGTCGAAAAGATTCATTGAAATAAAGCGCTTAGCACTGTGCCAAGTCCCTAATAAATGTCTGGAAATATTAACTGTTGTTCTTATTACTATAAATATGGCATCGTATATTCACCTTTTTATATATCACATACCTGTGATGATTTAAAATTGACATTTTGCTTCAACATCTTTCCTTAATAAGAATACTTTGAGTTGTGAAAGTTACATGTTTTTAAGTAATGTAAGCTAAAATTCATTACTTCATGGTGTGTGTGTGTGTGTGTGTGTGTGTGTTTAGTTACAGTAGGAAGATCCATATTTACTAATGTATTCTTATAGTATAATCCATATTTTCAAGCATGGAATAGATTTCAAGCATTTATTAGATTCTATTTTTTAATGTTAGTATCATCATAAGACATTGTAGTAATAAGAATATTACCTATTTTTTTTTCTTTTGAGACAGAGTTTCACTCTAGTCACTCAAGTTGGAGTGCAGCAGTGTGATAACTGCTCACTGCAGTCTTGCCTTGCCGGGCTCAGGTGATCTTTTCACCTCAGCCTCCTAAGTAGCTGGGACTACAGGCATGCGCCACCACACCTAGCTAATTTTTGTATGTTTTTGTAGACATGGTATTTCGCCTTGTTGCCCAGGCTGATCTCAAACTCCTTGGCTCAAGGGATCCACTCGCCTCAGTCACCCAAAGTGTTGGGATTACAGGCATGAGCCACAGCACCTTGCCTCCTATGTATTTTTCTTTTCACTGGTTTGTTAATTTTTATTTGACTTTCTGACATCAAAATAATTAGACTTTCATTTACTGAGACTGGATATCTATAAATAATAAAACTTAGCCTTAAAATTTTGGATCCCCAACCGAACACATTTGTTTACTGGATTTACCATTTCAAATACCTTAAAATTTTGTTCAAATATCACTGACATATAACTAAACTCTTTGAAACTCTTTGGAATTCTGTAGGTAGGAGAGAATAGCTTGGAAGATCCCCATCAGAATTGCACTTACCAAAGCATTTGAAAAGGGCATTTAACTTCAGCTACTACTCCTCTTTTACCTGCCCCCACATTGTTGATTGTCACAATAAGCAGTCTCGTCGCATTGGTATTCTGAAGCTATTACACATTTTTATGAGTTTGACTTTAGAGAAAATAAAAATATTGGACCAATTACATAATAAAAATAAAACACCATTTACTCAATGATGAAGTCCATTTAGTTCTGTTTTCTCTGACCTTCCTCACTCTGCCTCCCCCATTTCTTTCAACCTTCTTTAAAGTTCAAAACCGACTAGAACACCAGGAAGAGTAAGTAAAATATAAAATGTCAGGAATGTGATGAATCCACCTCCCAGAATTGGTATCATTGACATATATGTTGGGTCATTTGAGATTTTAGACAGTATAGGGTTGACTCATCCAACATTTTCAAGAATATTCCAACCTAATTGTATGCATTCTATCTTTTAGGAGGCCATTACCTGATCATTTAGTCTTATTTATTAGAGGGGAATTATGTTTTCTAAAAATAAATGAAATGGTACAGATTTAGATTCACCAACTTTACAAACCACAGTAGTAGAGAACAGGTAATTGAAACTGTTCAGCATTGGTCAGGAAAGTAACCAGCACTGGGTGATAATGTAAATCTTACTGTCAAGAAGAGTTTAACCATTCAATTTCAATGGTTAGGAAAGAAAAGTTTGTCATTTTGGCTGTTGACTTGAATATTCCCTACTTAAAATAAAAACTATTCTAGTAAGGTATTGTTTCATTTATAATTCATAATCAGGCTTAATTTTAAGTCAGTTAACTAGCATTCACCAGAATCCTTGCAGACAGAGTAAAAATATGTTAGCTTGTAACAGTTGGTAAAAACGATTTTCTAAGGCTCATGATAACCCCTATGAATGATGTCTTTATTATTTCCTATTTATAGAACTGTGTAGATAAAATGCATTAAATTGAACTAAGAGGATATTTAGTTGCCGAATACGACTTGTATATAGATGAAGTCTTAAAACTTCCTCTTGGCATAATTAGAATTATTTGGCTAGGTATCATGTGAAATGATTATATAATAGTATTTTACTATAATATGAATATACCTATTATTGTAACTTTATTAGCTGTGCTATAGCTTCATAACTATTTTTACTTGCAAATGTTTTGCTAACAATGGACTGAACTTGACAAAAGGGTGAGGGGGAAAAAGAGGCTTTAAAATACGTAGGCATCATCTTTTTAGCACATTGTTGGCTTTTATTCACTTTTATGACACTTAGCAACATTTAGTGAAGATCTTTGTTTCAAATTGAGTTGCACAGCATTCAGAGGCAAACTCAATTGGAAATCCAAAACTTTCTGCTTACTTAAATTGTCTAGGGCTAAGAAGGTATTTCTAACAATGATTTAGAATGATTTAATTAAAATGATGTTTATAGCACTGCTTCCCTTTACTTTCAAGTTTTAGGTGATATTATAGCTAAGTCACTTTTAGCTCACTGAGAGAAGGACCAAGGTGACACAGCCCCAGATATTTTCTTAAATTTCCCACGGAATTGGAGATCTGTTGGAACAAAAACTTTTCCACCCCTCTGCCAGTGGTCCTTAAACCAACAGCTTTGGCTTCATCTGTGAATGTGAGAGAAATGTAAACATATGAATCCTACTCTATCTATTGAATCAAGATCTCTGGGGGTGAGGCCCAGGAAACTTTGTTTTAACAAGCTCTCTAGGTAATTTTTATGCATTGTTGAAAGTTTGAGAACCACTGCCCTAGGCCAAGGAAATAAAAAGGAAACAGACATAAAGTAGGCTAACATCGAATGAGGCTGGAGAGTGAGCATTGTGTAGCTATCTTCTACTATCTCCAGTTATAGCAAACAGCCGTTTGCTTCGTATCCTATAGTGTTCTTAGAGTGTTCTGTAGCATCTCAGTGATGGTTTAAAACTACATAAAGTGTGTTATGTGCATGTTGCGGAGGTCAGGAATTGTAATAAGCAGGTATGCAAAGAGACTAAAAAAAGTCTTTTAAATACGTTTGAAAAAATAGAGTACGAACATTTAATTCTTGGATAATTTCCAATTACTACAATTTAATAGCACTCAATTGAAAATAATATGGTCTTACGATCAGTAAAAATCTATGTTGTAAAACCATATTAATAGGGTGAGACAGAAATGATGAGACTTTTACGCTGCTTGTTTCTGAGAGTATTTGATAAAATAGCAAGCATTATGATAAACACATGTACCATTTTTTCAATATGTTCAAATGATATAAAATATTTAGTTTTATTTGTGCAGAAACTAATAACAGTCATTGTGTAACATGAGGAAGCACTTACTCTGTTCATGTTTTAAACAAGGCAAAGCAGACAATTAGAATACAGAGAGCAAAAAAATAGAAACTGCACTCCATTTAAGACACTACCACTGCAGGCTTAGCAAATTATGTCATTGCTGCTAAATCCAAAATTGTTCCTTTGCCACTGCCTAAACTTCAGAAGTTATTCATAATTAGAAATCAAGATTTCCCTGTGCTCTTACACTTGATTTGGCCTCATCCCACTCAATAATTTTGTGATTTAATTCCTCACTATTAACGTCTAAAACGGTTTTCTTAGAACTAAAGATTACTTTTGTAGTCTTTGTATTACCTTTAAAAGAGCTAATGCATTTGTCCTATTTCTGATTTAAAGTACAAAATGCCTGTGCACCACTTTTCAGATGCAATGTAAACTAAATTCCTAGTTGTCAGATTCCATGTCTCTGAAATGTGGTAGACAGAGACGGAATCATAAAATCTGCTTATATAAACAATATGTTGGGGTTTTAATTTTTATTTTAAAGCATAACATTGTGAATAAGTAAATTCCATAAAATCCTAGTAGAGCAAAAACACCAGTGAAGATCGCAAATGGAGAAGAGGTTAAACCGTATTTCCTCTCCCTGTAAATATTTGAAAGCAGTTAATTTTATAAGTTCGGAATAGTTGCCCTATATCCACAATAAAAACATGTCAGTATTTTATGTGAATTCCTTAGAGTTAAATATACAGGCTGTGCTCATGGCCTGGGGGGCCAGGAATTCCAAACACTGAGGATGCTAGTCATTTTTACCTTTAGCTTGGGGTTTCAGAGAAGGAAGTCTTGAAGTCCCCTCAAAGTAAATAGGAAAAATGGAGATTTCCTTAACAAGGTAACTCCACAAAAGAAATCACACACACACACACACACACACACACACACACACACACACACACACACGAACTAAATCTTTAATTCCTAGATATATGTTTTTACATTTTTGTAAAAATCTAAATAAAATTGCCTTTCTGAATGCAGGAATTTATCAGTCTGTTATGTCGAGTTAAAATTTAAGGCTATTTTAAAAACAATCATCGTGAGCCCAATGTTACTATTATGACCGTCTGAGGCACTTTTAAATTGTAGGTGTCACTCACATTCATACTGAAAACATGGTCTACACCCCTACCAGCATCTTTCCTATGCAAATGACTGCAGATTGAAACACTCATCAATAGGTGCTATAGTCTGCAAATAGTTTCCTTGTCGGCTTGGCAACTGTGTGACTCATGCTGTCCGACAAGTGAAAAGAAAACCGCAGTCAGCAGCTATTCAGCAGCAAATCATTAATTAATTACATTTTAATGAACCTTAAGCGGCTACTGCGGGAGCCTTCAGAAGTTTATCAAAAATGAAGAATTGCCTTGTGTAAATCTTGAGCTGACTGAAAAAATTCAGAGGGCCTGAGGGTAACAGTTCTATGTGATTTCCATATATCTACTAAAACTTCATAGCTTTAGTAATGTTAGTATATTAGCGTTTTATCCTAGGAACAATCCATCCTTGTAATTTCAACACCTGTTTGCCACCTTTCTATCTTTTCCTTCTTTGCCTTATTTTTTGTATTTAATAAATGAAATAACATCTCTCTAAAAAATTACCATTGAAAAAACATCCAGAACTTGAATCTCAGGAGTATAGACTGTACGTAATTTAGTAAATAATGATAGAACTGGTTACCTAGAAATATGCATGTTTTTCTTCCATGGTAATGAGTTTGTCCTCTAAAAGGTATGTCTTAATATTGGTGTTTCTCCACTCATTAGGTTTACGGTTAGCTATCAATAGATTCAGTTTCTGAACTGAGAAAATATTTATGGAGGCCTCTCTATTTTGAGTCTGACCTTCAATTATTCTGCCACCTCATTTTATAAAGCAGTGCTTCTTCACATGGGAGGACAATAGCATCTTCACGAGGGGGAAATCTTAACAGTCCCATGCCAGAGGATTCAGTCATTTGTGAGTTGAGTGTAACTCAGCCTCTAAATCAATGGCAGCTTTGCCAAGTGTTCTACCTTTTCCTTTGGGAACACTGCAAATCAAGTGACAGCTCACACTTCAGCACCGTCTAAAACTGGACCCAGTCAACAGTGCCAAGTTTTCACCAATATCCTAGGGACTGTGTGTTTATTATTTTGCCTTTATAATCCAAAACAAAGATTTAGCTTCTCATTTCTGACACTATTGCTAAGGGTAGGGGAAAAATGAGATAACTCGGGTTCATGATAAAAATCAAACTGCAATTTTTTTAACTCAGAATTTTTTTTTATTTGAGGTATGCTTGTTCTTTTCTTATTCCATGATAGTAGCATAGCCATATACAACAAATTTTACAATAGAGAAAACTTTTCATAAAAATATCTGCCTTGAACCACATTTTTAATTCTTCAATGGTTACTACTGAAACTAGTTATTCTATATGAAAACTTAATTTCCCTGTGGTAGCAAGTATTTATGAAAAGGAATATTCAGTAGGGACAGTTGTTACAATACTGAGCACTGAATTTTTTTTTAATATATTACAGTGCCAACACCCAAGAAAATGAGATGCAATGGATTACAATTGAAACTGCAACAATGAGGACAAAAAGCATTTTCAGATCTCCAAGTTAATTGTACAGCAGCTTCCTACACACATATGATCAACCATATAATGATCCCATCAAAATAAAAAAAATCTAAGCAGAAATGTCTCATTTACATTAATAATGTTCACAAATTATATGAATTCATTTTGCAAGTGATGGATAATTTAAGCTTTCATCATCTAAAGCTTGTCATTTTTTTCCAAGAGAAATGGATTGTTTCATTTTTAATGAGTGCAATAATAACACATTTAGTTTCAGCAGATGTAAAATAATGCACACAAAAAAATGATTTGAAATTTGCAGAACAAATAAGGAAACAGTACTAGAATAACCCAAAGAAACATGTACTATATAGGGCTTTTCTTCTTTCAAGGGGTCAAAATCTGGTCAAATCCAGCGTATTGTTTCAATTTAAGCAAATAAAATCAATATGGTCAGGGAAGCAAAGTGCACAGAAATTTTAATTAGTTAGGTTTCTTTTTCTTTTTTTAAATTTCTGTCTCAGACAAGTACTGTTGGCTGACAAGAAATATGGCATTCCTCACCTAATACAGTAAACAAATAAAACAAAACAAAAACCCTCTCTTAATCACTACTAGACAGCCTCTAGACAATACATTCCTGCAAGGAATTGTAAGTGAAAGGATTGGATGCCACTTTGTTAATGAAACTTAAAGAATAGATTGTCAGGCATACCGGAGTTTCAGATGCATTTCTGAATTCACATCTGTGGGAGTTGTGGATTGTCACAGTTCATTTGCTTTTGTAAAATATCCACAATTTGCTGACAAGCAACTTCAAAAGTCCATTCATCGATTGGGTGGGTGGTGAACCCCTTTCAGCATTTTTTAAAACTAAGTGTTCTTTTGCTACTGTAATATAGAGCTGGTGAAGAAAAAGAACGAATGCTAAAATAAATAGTATAATATAAAACACTTCATACAAAGTAATTCAATGTGCCATTAGTTGTACAATTGCTTCAATAAACAAATACATGTTATAAAGGGAAATCAGAAACAAAATGCTTTCAGTTATGGAACTTGCAAGCACCATGACTCCACGTTTGTTAATTCCTTTGGGAAGTGCCATTTTTAATTTTTGGTTTATTTTCAGTGTTGTGCAGGCCCTTGCAACTGCATTGTTTTTCTTAATTTATATCAGGAGTCACAGAATTAAAATGAAGGCATTTTCAATCACTGAAGACTATAGTTGAAAATAGTTAAGTACCATTATTTCTCTTAAATTTAGGAGCTGAGGGTGTCAGTCAAAATATAAAAATGTTGTTTGAATTTGTTTGTCTTAAGTAGCCAGATTGCCAGTGTAAAATACTTGGGAATGCTAACACATTTCTCAGAGATGGGCACATAGGAATAAAGCTCTATTCTGTATATAATGTCCCAAATGGGACCTCGATGAAGACCTACACAGTGCATAATTTCTTTTAAGTTCTTTTAAGCAGTCTTGTGTTATGAATACAATTAAAAGTCCATCAGTATCCCAAGTACTCGTGCATTATCTACCCTGCCACACTTCACTAATGCGTCTTATCATTTAGGTTGCTAATACTGTTCAGTGTAAAGACAGTCTTTCTGAGGTAGACTGTTCAAGTTCAAGGACAAGTCTTTTTCTTACGAAATGCATGACATTCAAAAAAAGACAACAAATAAATACTACATGTACAATATGTAGCAATGAGGTAGAAATGGTTATAAAGAACAATGTTTGAATATACATCAGATGAAAAAAGAAAAAAAAGAAATGAATATTCTCTAGCAAGTGTATATAATCCACAGTGGAAACTCATACACACACACACCCACATACAAGAGAGAGCGAGAGTTAGAGACAGAGAGAGAGAGAGAGAGAGAGAAGAGAGAGGAAGAGGAGAGGAGAGGGATGGAGAGAAGAATGGTTGGGGAATGGGGGTAAAAGAGAGAGAGATATTAGAGGGAGAGTTTTAAGCCCAGAAATAAACTTTTGCTTTTTTTTTTTTTTTTTTTGTATCATAAGACAACAAGAAGGAATGAATGTGCTCCCAACCTTGGTGTACTACAGAACCATTTTATAAATATTTAACATTCTATAGGACTGATTCATATATTCTCACACAACTCTGTGGCAAGGCTGACCCATGCTGCCGACATTCTACATATCACTGAGACAGGGAGGTGAAATTTTCCTGCTTCCAGTCTAATTGTCTTTGACAATTGCAGTGCCTAGTGCTACACTGCTTGTGTTGTATTTAAAAACAGGGGAAAGAGGAGAGACTTGTTCATTAAAGATGCAGTATCCCTGGTTCACACAAATGCATCTGGCAGGTTCAAAATCGAATGTCAACCAAAGGTCTTAGCAAAGTGTGAGCTTCAGTTCATGTGTTGGTTAGTCACAAGTACAGCTGGTTGTGAATTCTGAAATACTAATAGCTCCAGGTTTGCTAATGTGCTTCATATAAAAATCGGCAGATGATTCAACAACTGAAGGCTTTACGTTTCAAAAGAAAAAAAAACACATTAAAACACTTCAAATTGTAACATGATCATGTGTATCTCTGCACATATGAAGAAAGGAAGTAACAAGTTGCTTCTGAATAATGAAAAGTAGACGTCTGTTTTAAAGTTCAACTAGGTGGTGATGAAAGAACACACACACATACACACATACAAACACACACACTAATTTTATATTTATATATATATATTAGAACTTTACTTTAGTGGCCTCAATAGTTCAACAAGCTGCGTCCCTTTCACTTTGCAAAATACAGATTCAATGATCATGCTACCCAATTCTAAGAAACATGAGAATGTGAGTACAGAAGTCTCTTTCTGCTTGGAGTTGGATACATTTTTAGAGAAAGAAATTCTAAATGTCTCTAAAAACGTATTTTCCAACCCACAAATATATTTAAATTTACAAAGACCTATTATAGGAACTAATTTGGATTTTTTTTTTTTTTGGATGTGTTCTTTTGAAAACTGCATAGCCAAGTACTATGCAACCCATGTAAATTGACCTTGCTATTTTACATAGCATAGCCTCTGGATAGCTTTTATCACTTTCCCAGATGGTGTTTGGCCTATGTATTTTAGTGGAATGGTTTATTTTCTCCTTGATAGGTTTCAAATGCACAAGAAAACATTATACCCGTCTATCTGCATTTGAGTAGAATACAAACTGACTAATAGATAAACATTCTGTGTGAAAGTAAATAGCCTTAAAGTATACTGCCTTCACATTCCATTGATCAGCTCAGTCAGCAAAGTTTTTCATATTGTCACTAATGTTCTAAATATTTGGGAGAGAAGCATGCCAGAAGTGTAGAGTATTTCCATTTGTGTCACATATAAGGTCATTATGAACTACCTCTTGAATTTCTATTGATCCCAATACTGAAGTGGTTTCCTTCACTTCCTTTTTGTCCCTGTTGGAAATGTTGCTGCAGTTGGGAAGAAGGGAATTAGGGGCTGTAAAGTGGAATGGCTCAATCTCTTAGCCAGACAGTGAGGGATTTGGACTGGCTCATTACCTTACCTTCATTAATAGCCTTCTCCAAATTCTTAGCAGTCAAAAAGAGGCCAAGGGTATGAAGCCCCATTACTCAGTTGTACTATCACCGACTGTACACATTCACTTCTGAGGATGTGGTACCCCACCCCCACTCCAAGTTCCAGAATAGATGGTCAGAATAGAGCTCATTATTAAGCTAGTTTATAGAAGAGCTCATAATGCTGCCATGCAGAATCAAAGAATCACAGGAGAGCACTATCTACTCAAAGGTCAGCCATATCTCCTCCAACAGATCTTCATTTCTTCAACATGCCCAATTTCCTAAGAGATCAAATCTTGGATTTTGTGAGGCTAAATGAAAATCACATACGACTTCAGCTTCTGTCTAAATACATGGATTTTTGACCACTTGCATCTCAAATTAATTTTTAAGTCACTCAGAGTTCTAATTTTTAAGTCACTTAAAGCTAAAAGCCAAGATGTATGACTTCAATTTATTTTCAGTTTTATAAATGAGTGTAAAACACAATAGTGCAGTCATATATTTGGCATTAAATCTTACTAGCCACAAAAAAATGTGGGTCAATATTGGATTTTCCAAAGTTGTCTAAATAAGACTGGGTTTGTCAAAACTTGCCAGACGCTTTCAAGTGAACACAGCATGTTGGCGGAAATGAAATATAATGTCTAAAAGTCAGAAAATAGGTCAGCACTGTGCAAAAGTAAACTTGTCAGTGAGATCAATATGAACCTACAAGTTAATGTGGATATTAGAATTTCCTTACAAGGGATGCACAGGGTAGACCCAGAACACGATTGTAGCATTTATTCACTTGCGAAAAGCAGAGGGCGTATTTAAGTATTATTTTTTGTATCCTTAATGAAAGGCACTGCTTTTTAATATGGAATATTTATATTTAAGCACAGCTTTAATTGACAGAATGTCACAGTAAATTAAATTCTGGTTCAATTGCTCAGTTTTTAGCAACATAAAAAATAAAAAAAGGGGAGTAAAGATCAAGCATCATAAAATTTCAGAGATAAGAAATCCCTCATGAGCTTTCTCTATGTTAAGTGTTTCAGAGAATTGGATATTGTGGATAAGATCGGTAAAAATTTTTGTAAGAAAAAAAAAACAGAAAGGCCTTTCTTGGGGCTTCTCATTGCATTTATTTAAATTTTTTTAAAAATGTACATCACTTATTTATTGAATACATAAAATGCCAGTGCTTTGCAACAGTTTTGTTACTGCATCTCTAAACTAAAAAAAGAAAAGGGGAAAAAACCCAGGAAAATACATTCAAAAGGCCAGGCTGTTCTGCTTATGCATGGGCAGTGGCTGTGGAAAGCTACAGCCTGCTCTGTGACAGTTCAGAAGCATTGCCAAACATCAGCCCACTATCAATGAAAGGTTGCACATAAAGCATTAAAGGATACAAAGAACAACTTGACAGAGAGCAGGAGAAAAATAGGAAATTAAGAAAAATGCCACTTATGCCATGGGTAGGGGTGGGGCTGGTAGACTGAGGTGGAAGTAAGCACAAATGCTGATGTCTTTGGAAACTAGATTTACGGTGAAAGATGGAAGAAAACAAAGTAACATGTTTGGCAAGCTACATTGCAGTGTGTGTGTCCACTTCCAATTTTCTACTTTACTTTCCAAGAGAAATGTAACAAAACTGAGGTAGAAATAAAGCAGGAGCACTACAGCCCAGATTTCAAAATGAGAAGCAAAATTGCACTGACAAGAGTGGAGTCAAAAAGAAGGGGAGGAGATGGAGAGGTTCTTTGTGGATATATATATGTGTATGTAAGTTGGTTTGTTGGTTGGTTTTTGTTTTTATTTATTTGTGTATTTGTTTTGGTTGCTATCCTCTGCATTCTATCAAACAGCACGGCAAGTCTATAAGCTAGATTAGTGAATAGAATGACACCATTCCCAGCAGTTTTAAGAGATAACTTGCAAACTACCACCACCATCACCACCACTACCACCTATGCAATAAAAAGGCAGTCATAGTTTTTAGGTACTGTGACTTTCAGGGTCCTAAACAGGTCTTGTGGCTGACAGGTCTAGACACTAACACAAACTGAATAAGTAGCTTTCAATTAACCAGTGTACCTTTTAAGAACATTTTCACTTAATTATCAAGGAGCAATGTACTAAGAACTCTTGCAGTTATTGACATAAAGAATTATTCTGCTCTGGTTAATTCCCCATAATTAGTAAAAGAACTTAAAAAAATCCTTCCATTTCTACTTTAAACTGTAAATATTCAGTTGTATCACACTTCAGTATTTTTCTGGATACATTCAAAGTAATTTTCCTTGCTATTTTCCAATTGTTGAGGTAAACATACATTTTAATATAAAGTAACATTGAAGCCTATCCTATTACTCTCAGCAGTACATAGTGCTTTCAACACATTCCTTTGAGGTACTGTACAAATCACAATCACTTTCCTGAGTTTTTGCAGACAAGAACATTAAAAGAAATGAACTGCAGAAATTAAGGTCCAGATTACCGTTACCCTGTTTTACCTGTTCTTAGCTTAATACTGCAGAACAGACAGGATTGAGGAATACTGTTGCTCTTAAAATGGCAAAAATCTGGTTTTCTGTCATAACACAACTGTTCATCTCTTTAGTCCAATAATGTTTGAAGTTAAAGCTCTTTATATTAGCACATGCCACCAATGTAATTGTGAGGCAAACAAAAAATAAAGCACCACTCCAGGCACTTGACAGCAACTAAATCTCGAGAACAGCAGAATGGAATCAACACACGAGGTTCATGTCCTTCTGAAATCAACACACTTGCACCTTGCTCCTTGGTGAGTGTTGTCTAGCTTGAACAGAACTGAGCATCCACATATGCTTTCTGTCATCTGGGGCTTTCAAATCAGAAGCTCTCATTTGATGCACTTTTCCTCCAAATCTACCCTGACTCTAAAGATGCAACTTAATCGTCATCTTCCCCAGTACCCTTTGCAATTTAAACTCTACTGGAAAGGGGCTCTATTCCCTATGTAGCAGGTTTTATGTGTGTGTGCCAACATTCATTACATTTTTTTTTTCTAAAGAAGTTATCACTGACTGCAACCAAACATTTTGTTCCATTCAACATACATATCAAGCTCCTTTTGAGATATGCTAGGCTGAATCTTGCAGAAAGCATTTTCAAAGTCTTGATATGTAACGGGCCTCAACTGGCTGGGCATAATGGCTGAAAGGTCTGTGGCTGGCATGGCATGGAGGGGGCCCACCACTGCTTCCTGACACAAATGAGCCACATCTAGTCCAGAAAAGCCTTCTGTGCGCTGGACGAGCAGTGCAAACTCCTTGTCATTGAGACAGTAATTGTGCTGTGAGAGCAGTTGTACTATTATCTGGTGCCTCGCTGTGCTGTCAGGAAGTGGGATTAAAAGTCGTTTCATGAAGTACCTCCGAAGGGATTCATCTATTTCTTCTGGTTTACTGGTGGCACAAATTACTACGATTTGGTCCTCAGCCGAAGTTAGTACAGTGTCCAGTTGCATCAGAAATTCGGTTCTCATCCGACTGACTGGACTATGTTCCTCATTCACTTGAGAGGAGAGAAGCATGTCAATGTCACTAACAAAAATCACCGAGGGCTGGCGACACCTGGCCACAAGAAAAGAGGCATGGATAATTTTCTCTGCTTCTCCTAACCACTTGGCGACTAGTCCAGAACCGGCAATTTTGAAAAATGTGGCCCCCAGCTGACTAGCGATGCATCTGCCCAATAATGTTTTGCCTGTCCCCCGAGGTCCAAATAAAAGGATGCTCCGAGGTAAGGCCGTCAGTCCACTGAACGCGTCTGACCTCAACACTGGCCATAAAACCTCCTCTTTAATGACAGCCTTCACCAGGTCGAGACCAGCAATGTCATTCCAGTCCACTGGAGGTCCTTGGGTGATAATCTCATTGGTTACCAGGTCGATGAGGTGCGTGTCAGTATTCTTCAGTTGCTCGTCCACAGAGTGGTTGGATGAGGTAGCTGCACGGAGTCCAGGGCCTTGCATTGGGTGAGAGAGGAGCTGCCTGTGCTCGTCCCCATGCTCACTCATTACTGGCGATGTGTACTTCCCAAAGGATTCACTGGATCTTGATCCCAATGAATTTTTAGCAGTACTGTAGGAAGGAGGGGTCAGAGCCCTACTGGACTGGCTGCTGAATTTCCTTTGCTGTTCAGAGGACATTAGCTGCTTCGTTGGCTTAAATGCTAAGGATGATGTTTCAGCACTTCTGTCAAAGCCATTCCCCCGATTTGTGTTTGAAATGCTGTTGTCGGGCATTCTGTACATAGGACTCTGTGTAGATCTCTGTTGGCCATAGCTGTAATTTCCATAACTGGAGTCCATATCTCCTTGCCCTGCCATGTAGAAAGCTTTCCTTTTGAGAGAACTTGCTGAACTGTTTGTCAGAGCCGACGGTGCAATAGGTGTCAAACCATGGCCCTGGTAGGTGTAGCCAGGAACAGTGGTGGGGGGTAGGGGGGTGGGAGCAGGAATTCCTGAAGGCAGGTACGCTGAAGGCGGAGGCGGTGCCCCCCCAGGGCTGTACCCAGACCCCACAGCAGTCTGAGGAGGATAGCTAGCAGACGGATAGCTGTAACTGGAGAGGTTAGAAGTCCCATTGTAGCCTGGGACCAAGGCTGGTGGCGGAGGAGGTGGTGGTGGGGGCTGTAGTAGCCCAGAGCTATGCAAAGGAGACGGATGAGGTGAAGGAAGTGCAGGTGCTGGCTGGCTACTATAAGTAGAATGCAAATATGATCCGTTGTATCCTGGGGCATATTCCTGAGATGGGAGCCCTGCATGAAGACTGGGTACAGTGTGGCTTCCACAGGTACTACTTGAATAACTAGGTTCTGTCAGGTTGCTGGCTACCCCAGGAGAGCTTCCTATACTCGCAGAGACATCTGCTGGAGGGAGGGCTGAACTGACTCCAGCTTTGCTGGCAGTGATAACATCCGGAACACAGTTCATGGGATAAACAGCTTCTGAATTCAAGGAAGGCTGCCAGGGTTCACTTTCATTTTTCCGACCGTTCACTAGTCCTGATGGTGTGTCCGAATAGTTGCTGAGTACGGGTCGGTCCACAGGACCTTCCAAAATGCCGGAATACTTCTCTGCATATTTTTTTAGTAGGTTGGATGCAGTCAGAGCAGATATGTCATCATTCGCCCAGGCGTACTGATAGGTGCGCTGCAGATGACCTCTGTAGGCTTCAACTTTGTGGGCAGGAGACCGAGTGGTTGAGGTGATGTCAAAGTGCTGTTCTGGCCACTGGGCATGCTCTGGCGTCCACTGCATCTTCAAGCCTAAGAATTTTGGGGGGAAAAGAGTTAATTTACTTAAATAGGCATCAGAACTCTTAAAGCTTTTCCCCCAATTTCTTTTGTTACCTATTATTTTCCATTAATGATATGCATACTTTAAAAGATCTACACTGTTTATAATACCTATTATGATCCCTATAATAAGTACTCTTTAAAATGGACTAAACTTCAGCCCTGTTTAAAAAGCACACTGAGTTTAAAATATAACTCTGTAGTTACCTATATTTTTTGCATTTGTAAGGAATAAGTAAATCTATTTCTGTCAAGCCCATCAGCTTACCTACTATACGCACATACACAATCACATATATATGTACACACACATTCCTGTCAAATTAGAATTCAATCATAGGTTCTTAAAATAAGCAGACATTTTAAATATCTTGCACATGGCAGTATTAACATGTACAATATCTAGCTATTCTGTCTGTTCACATCACAGTTTGTTTTACATTTTAAGCAATATAAAAATGAGACACAGCTGACAGATCACATCTAGGATACCTCTCTTATTTGGTACTGAACACCTAGTTAGCACAGTATAATGCTCCCTGCGCAGAACAATATGACACAGACATAGCAGGTCATTCCATAATCCAACTCTCATCTAAAGTGGTCCACGACAGTTTCAAATCTGCTTCGTGGAGTGCAGCAAAGCAATCTCCCAGGCAGCGCTCCATCGCTTTCATCGCACAAAGCCTACAACTCGGTATGAATTACAACTGGCTCCTTTCTGCCTCTCAGTTCTGTTGTTGAGTCTCTGAAAAAAAAAACAAGCATCACTTGTCTGTCGGTCTTCTAGCGTTCTCCCTCCTTCTCTTATAATCCCTCCTCCCCTTACAGCCTGCAAGGTACTAAGAGGGGAGAATGTGTGTGTGTGTGTGTGTGTGTGTGTATTTATACACATCCTGTCTTATACATCTTCATATATATATATATATATATTATATATGAGAGAGAAAGAGAGAGAGAGAGAGAGAAAGGAAACTGAGGGGAAAGGGAAGATAAGAATGGAGAGAGATTCTGGATTCTAACTCTTTCAATTTCTATAGGAAACCACGTAGGGCATACGCTAGAGGAGTACAAGTAGATAATGAGATGGTCTGGGTAATTCTATCATCTGCTGGGTTACTAAGTGAAGCAAAGTTGACTATGTAGCAAACTACAAAATGAGCATTTTCTCATTTAAGAAAAAAATACTAAGCAGTCAGAATAATTTGAATTTTAAATTGTAAAGAGACTTTAGAAATTACTTTATTTCACAGATTAGGAAACCAGGGCCCAAAGCGATTTATAATGTACCCTCGAGGTCTCACATACAGTTAGTTACAGAAGAGGACTGGTACCCTGTTCTCCTTTTTCCCATTGCTGGCTCATCTCAGTCTAATCTCTGCTTGGTTTAACACTTCCTATTCTGGTACAGCTATATTAAGCATCTCTCCTTCATCTTTTTTGTATTACCCAAAGTGAATTTTGCAAACTGTCTTGTGCCCTCTGGCAGAGATGCCTTGATAAGGAGGAGGCCTGGTCTACATGAAGCATCTGTGGCATCAACCCCCTTCTGAATTACTACAGTCTATTTTGTCAGTTTCTACCCCCTTCTGTGCTCTTCCTCCAAGCTCTGTGGCTCTTCATTGCCTGACTCTGGCTTCTGACATGGCCGGCTCTGACTTACTGCGATAAACTGAACATAACACACAGTTTGGTAACAGAATGGCATGTTGATTCCCTTCTGACTCCCTCTTCCTTGTTTGCAAAACCACTGCACCAGACACTGGAAGTTAATTAGCAGGATGATGCTGTGCTAATTGTGTTAATTTACAAGGTTTTAGTCAAAGAGAATCATGCCAGGGCTGGCACTGCTGTCATGCTTCCGACTTAATGATTAAGAAATACTGAAAACAAGGTGGGAAGGATTGCAGTAATTACACAATAAATGAATAAAGCAACAGGATTCATTTGCAAATATATTTTACTGCAATTGTACTCATTTGCATTTTGATTTTTAAAAAGGATCCATGTAGATATTCATTTGCAAATCACAACTCAGTTAAATTAAGTCTGAATGCTGCACAGTGTAACTTAATCAACCTAAATATATGTATATACATATTAGTAAAAATTCTAAAGACCTCAGTTCTCTTGTACATGCAACAGATTCTTTCTTCAATTTCCCTCAACTACCCCCAAAATTCATATTTATGTTTTAAAACTTTATATATTATTAAATAATCTCATTGAATGGGAAAATAGTATTATAAAATCCTGATGAAATGCAGCTTGCATCATTTCACTCAGAGAAACTCTGAGGATGAGTTCCAGGGAGAACTAAAGTGGTATTCTTAATTATTTCTGCTTTCTCAATCATTACTTTTTAAGGGGGAGGAAAACACACCGCAAAATGGGTGAAATGACCGAAACCACACTTAAAGGGGAAAAGCTGCAATTTTAATGAAGCAGCATTTCAGGAATCATACTTTCATTAAATTCAACTGGAAATTATTAAGAGCAAATCACCAGGAACCAATCGCAAGTAATCAGTATCTAAATGCTTCTAGTGTCGTGGGATTTACTTCAAGCCTTATAAAAAGGAGAGAATATTAATGTGACTGTAATGTAGAACTGTCTAAGAGACCTACAAATTCATTAGTCCTGTAAATTATTTCTAGGGAATTTCTATTATGGTTCTTTTCTTTAAAATATTATCAAAATACAGAGTAGAGAAAATAAGAACACACATATGCTGTGAGTATAAATGTGATTAGTTTGATACAGAAAAACGTGAAAAAAAAAGTCTTAAAGGGCTCAACAAATAATTTAGAAGTACAGGCAATGGAATTTAGCACAACACACACACATACGTACGCACACATAAGTTAAAGGACGGCTTCCTTTCAGTTTGCTGAGCTAAGCCATTGTTAGCATAAGTTAATAAACATACATAACAAATATTATAAAGAAATATACTTTTTAACTCAAATGAAACTGCTTATTTTTTTAAAAAAACACAGGAGGTGGGAACCCCCCACCTGTATTAGCTTAAGTAATGTTTTCTTGTAAATATATTATTCATACAAGAGATGAAAAAATGATTTTAATAAGTTATAATCACTGTAAAAGACAGTAGTATACAGTTTAAATAGAGTGTCCATTTCATAGGGTATTTTTGCATGGTTTAAGTCTAGCAAAACTAAATTTCGTAAGATTTCTTTTTTACCTGAAATTAAGCAAAGATCATATTTATCAAAATTATCTATTTGGAACAATTACTGGATACACCATTGCCTTTTGATTGTCATGCTATTTTTGGATGTGCTTACAAGATAATTGAAAGATTATTTATTGATGCATAGTAAATAACAATAACCTTTGCAGAGCTGCAAAAGGCAAAATTGTATTTTGTTTAAATACAAGGCAATGGACTTGTTCATATCCCCTGAAACGAGAATTTATCCAGTGCTTTAAAATCATTAATGTTATTTAAAAGCATAAGCTAATCTAACCACAAACTAATTCTTGATATTAGCAGGAGCTGAGGAAATCAGTGTTCAGGAGATTGTCTTGGCCTTCGAAGTACAGAGCCTTTTGGTTGGTTCCTTGAATTTTAACACTAACTGGAAATTGGTAACCAAATTTATTTTTTTGTTGTTATTGTTATTGTGTTTATTGGTGGTGCTATTTCTGATATGAAATGGAACAAAACCACAGAGCCAAATGTTTTCTGAACAACAAAAACATCCTGCTTTGTTTGACTGTATTGCAATTATGTGTGAGTCAGAAGCAATACACCTGTGTCACTTAACTTGGCACTCAAATAATGGGTTGAGTTTTAAAAACAGCTTTTATATGGTTTCTCTTCAGAACATGGAGATGGATCTCAGAAACAATACTATTTTAACATTATTAGAAGCATGACTTTAGAACAATAACTCCTACTGTTGTTTGGAAATAGTTTAAATAGGTACAGTAAAAATTCAGAAAACAGTGGAAAGTAAGAAAAATAGTTTTTAAAGATAATTGAAGAATTGTTGCAAAACATCAATTTTTACTTTTGAAAGGATCAGAAAAATCTTAATACAGCTGGCAAATTTCATCATGCAACGTGTTTTTTGAAAATACACAATCTAATAGAAAATTGCTTTTAAGATAATTTAAGTGTTACATAGGAATGACAGGTACTAGAGTAAAACATCTGAGCATTGTTCTTATTTTATTGTTATGGGATGACTCCATGTATATATAAATGAACAAATCCATATTTCCTATATAACTGGATAGTACGGATAACATTTGCCATTCTTACCATTACTGACCATTTGATAACTTAGGTTTAATTACTAACCAGTTACTGCCTTGTTGCTTTACTTTTTCCATTTTGCTCTTTAACTAGTTTCGAAACAAAACAACTATAGCATCCTCTGAAGTTCTGCCACAGCTATAAAATTTTAAACAGTAATATAGAAAAATGAAGGGTATAAAAGCAACTTTCAAAATGAGAGGAAAATTGGAAATAAAAGGTTAGGTCTTCTAGAATCTGTTTTTAGCATATATTCATAGAAATATCAATGTGAGGCACTCACTACCCAACCCACTCCTTATATACGTGTACTATTCAACAGTTCATCAGGTCTAAAATAGTTACTCCCTTTTACAATGTTCCCATAGGGTAATTTTGGCTGCTAGGGGCTCTGCCTTCATTTGTAGGTTTTCTCAGACTTCCTAAGGGCAGGGACCTGAGGCAAACACCTGCAGGCATGGCAGGTTTGCCTGCTCTAAAACAGATGCATAGCACTCACACAGGCCTGCATGACAACATTACTACACCTATTACATTTCTTTGAGCTATTGCACCTCTGAACCTTTCATTATTTTTTAACATTAAAAAAATTAATATAATATTAGCAAGGGTTTCTCTGAAAAACAATCACTACTGGGGTAAATACTGTAAAGTAATTATAATACTTTACAGCCTCTTCTTTCTGATGCAACAGATTTATCATCTCTTGGGTTGGAAATGGCAGAACTAACATACAGAGCATTCAAAATTTCCAGTAGAAAGTAGAAAATTCATTGGCTAAAAATACAGGTCTATGCAGTGAAGAACCTTCTGAAAGAAGGATTGTACACCTCCTGGCACTGCAAACTGGCCCTGTGCAATATCTACTTATTATCATTCTTCAATGGGAGTGATGACCAAATGAAATGTTTGAGGAGACTAATGCAGCCTTGTCTACTCATCCTCATAAGCCAAGAGGCCAACACAGCATTATCTAGTATTACTAGTACTAACTCATTTGATCTGGAAATTTCTTCAGCCCATTCCCCGATCATTCTTGGCTTTAAAATATGGCATAAAATCTACAAGTAACAGAAAGGGAAAAAAGTGAGGAAGAAGCACTGAAATTACGTATCATTTTTACCTAATTTTGTTCCATCTTTAGAGGACCAAAATTAGAAGATTTTATAAGCTGAATGTAACAGAGGGGCTGTCAAATTTTAAATTTAGTCAATAAAAGATGAACTATGTACAAAGCATTGTGGTTCAATGCTAAAAAGGAGGATCCATTTTCTATAAGGTGATGAAACCTTTTCAACTCTCTTTTTCACAATTTCACAGTCTAAATTCTCCAAAATTAGACTCTTTGATTTTAGAGATTAACAGAACTTTAAAATGACCTAACCATTCCAGACATCCTCACTTTTCGATTGATGTTTCACTTATAATGATGTCTTATAGGATTGGATACTATTTTGCATAATATAGTATTTTATTTGGAGCCATTGATAGATTGTTGGGATAGAAAGGGACTGAAGGAACATAAAGAAGGTTCAAGAATTTTGTTTCACGGTGAAAATTCCAGCCTGTAGAATAAGACCACTGGCAGCATTGCTTACATCATCACTTATTTATTCTAATCTTGGTTAAGTTGCTTAAGCACATCATACTCACTCAGCTGTGATATGTGGACAATAATGGTATTATTTCACCTTACTGTATTGCTATTAAGATTACCTGAATAATATTTTGTGAAACTATTTCCCAACTGTGAACTGCTACACAAACATTTCTTAGTATTCTTTTATTTTGAAAAGGCCAGGGGTGCATTAAAGACAAAACAAAACAACACTGGCTAGACAGAAAAAAAGTAAAATCACTCCCAGAATTTATAAGTCAGTTTTCCTTCAACCTCAGGACAGCAACTGTAAATGAAATTTTCCAGTGGGACTGTTGGTTCCAAGAAAGATACAGAAATTCTCTCATTCTGAGCAAAACAAAGAGCATAATCTCTTTAATCAAAAAGGTGTCAACATTTTCAAATGTTTTCAAAGTATTTTATTTATTTTTGATGTTTCCTGTGACTCAACATTTTAGAGATTAAAACTAAGAAATAAAGTACTTAGAGGTTGAAGACTAGTTAAAACTCATTTTAAAACCTGCAGTTTCAAAATAAGATATTCTAATTATATAACAATACTGTCAAATACTTTTTTCTCTTTAAATCATATTTTCACACCTCAAGACTCCAAATTACAATACATTTTGCAGCAGCCTTCTCAACCCATTCCATTGTATTTGCATAAAACAATGCTTTTTTTTTTTTAAACAATTATGAAGGCATTTCTGGCTAAATGGGTCTTAGTAAATATAGTTCAGATACCTCACCCTCTTACAGAGAAATTGCAATCTGACAGCCTGAGGGTAACATATACCCTGCAACTGTGTTTGGTTTGGCCAGCACAGGGCTTTAAAAATCACTCGACTTTATGTTTTAAAAGATCCGTCTCAAAAAAAAAAATCTGTATTTCCATATTTCCCATTTTTCAGACAAGATCTTACAACACTTCATTCGTGCCTGGCAACAGCTGTCCGATTCTGGGGACCAGCTCCCTCCTTGGGGCATATCCTACCCTTTCCACTTTGTCATGGTGCTCCTACCCCCTGACAATGTCAGGTATTTTCATGGTATCTACCAGGTCACACAGGCATTTAAATTTAGGACTCCACTTTAGAGCTTCAACTCCAGTTTCTTAACTTACATACCTTTTCTTGAAATCTAGAAAGTATTCAGCTCTAAAAGTTAAAAACATTTTCCAAATACTTTTTTTTATGATAAGAGAACCTCCCTACCCTCTTACAACACAACACGTGGGAAATAATTGATAACTTTCTTATTGATACAGTGTCATTAGTACAACAGTGTGGAATGATGAATAATGAATGGTATCTTAAAAAACTGGTCTCAGATGCTGTTTCAGTGTTCCCCCTTTTGCTCTAATTTGTCAGATATTATTTTTTGCTATTTTCCTATCCATTTTCACCATTCCTAATGTGCTGTATGTTTGATACCACAAACCAAAGCTTAATTTAACAGTGAGTGAAGCATCTCCTATTAGTTGAATACACGAGCATTAGTACAACTTTTATAAGGTTATTTAAGCTACTCCAAAGTTATGCTTCTTATTTCCTACAGAAAGTTGTTGGGTAGATGGTACGCAGGTAAGCAACAGATCTTGTTGTCTAAATGTCTTTATTTTGGGCTTCATAAAAGCCTGTATTTAATGTTACAGGCACCATGACTTGGACTAGGATGGTATTAATATATACTCTGTGTTTAAACTAAACTTGTAGGTAGCTTATGATCTGAATTGGGTTCTCTACAATGCATTAAATTGTATCCATAGCAAGAAAATATTCACCCAACAAATATGACCAAGTGTAACGGTGACTATTTTTGCCAAAATTTCATGTGGTGGATAAAACTTGATATGCATGGGTCTGATTGGTCATTATTTTTAATATGCAATAAAATGGCTTGCATTTATGAGAATGAATGCATAAGCATTATGCAAAGCAAATTACAGTGATGAAAGAAATATCATTTTTAGACCACTGAGCCTAGATTCACTATATGATCAGGACAGAAACCATATCATTTAAAGCAACCCAGGAAATCATGATCATAATTCAAACAAGTAATTTTTCCCTTAAAATTTCCTATACTTAAAGTATACAAGTGAACATATTATCATGCTCACACACAAATCCACATAGTTTAAAATTATAACTTAGATCTATGATTTCTGTGTGGGGGTAGGGGGTAGGTTTTGTAAATGTTTCTGTGTAAAATTTTTGAATAATAATCTAAAACCAAGTAAAAAAAAGTGTACAAAACTGTGTATATTCTATGGTAAGTTATTCAGAAGGATACATGAGGATGCGTGTACATGCAATTTAAAATATACAAATAATTCACACTCTGAATCTTCCTAAGTGTCAGGTGTCATTAACTATTGTAAGGGAAAGAGTCTGAGGTAAAAGGGCTGATTTTCCCATATTTAAAAACTGTTATTTTGTTTATGCTACCTCTGTGAATTTTAGACAATTTATAATCAGTTTAAATAGCACTTTGTAGTTAACCTTTAAAGTTGTTACTTTGCAGCCTTTCATTTCTTATGCCCTCTCTTTCCTTTTTCCGTATACATTTTTCAATCCATTAAGGCCATCTACCCTTCCCCCCAGATCATCAGGACATACCACGTATGTCCATAGGGACTGCAGTGGCTAATGAATATGTATGTTCTGTGTCACAACAGAGCACTACCCTTGTTCTGCAGTATCAACCCTCTTATGTGTGTAAATAACAGGTGAGCTGTAGCATGCAGGGATAAATGGGGTTAACACAACCTGAGAGCCCCATGCTATATTCATAGCATCCAGCCTGTATGATTGATCCATAAACAGAGTACTAAATGCCAAAAGTATTTTGCATTTTCTGAGTGTTTTGAATCTTTATTTTTTAAAATATTTTGCAGAGATAATAATTATCATCATCCTAAAAGTCTGAGGTTATTCCAGTTGATTCTCAAAATACTGTTTTGCCGTACAAAATATATTTGCATTTTTATTTAAGAAACATCTGGCATGATACCAACCTTGAATTATGACATGGCTAGTATATTTCATCAATCATAATCCTAAAATGGTATACTAACCACTAGGTGCACATATAACTCTGTGTAAATATTTGTGTGTGTGTGTGTGTGTGTGTGTGTGTTCCATTTCAACTATCTAAATGCAAAGCCCAATTTAGTTATATTTAAACTGAACTCTATTCATGTTTTGCCCAACACACCAAGCTGAAAACGGTCAATAAACAAATTAAGAAATCTTCCAAACCCCACAACCTTGCTTAAAATGAAATTTGCATTCATCTACTTCTCTGTGTTCCTCTGGAACCATACTCTAAAAAGACAGTTTACATAAGACAAAATAGATATATAAGTCTGCTTATGTAAGATTGAGCACTGTCTCATATAATTAGACAAAAGAGTAAGAATGTTATTCACATGTTGAGGGTAAAACTGTTCAACCATTCTCCTTAAAAACTTTGCTTTAGGTGACTCTAAAGTATGCAAAGCCCAGACAAAATTTGTTTGGGTTATTTATGCATTTTTCTCTTTTTGGCAATTCGTGCATTAATTTTTAATGCAATAGCAAAATAGTGTCTTGGACTTCGAAAAAAAATTCTATAGTCAGGGCTGGGTGACATAGTGCATTAATTCAGTGTCCTTCACTCCTGGGACCTGTGTATAATTTAGTCCAGCCTGAAGAAAATAACTTTGATATGAAAGTAGTGGAAAAAGCTACATATGAAATGAGTTTTGGTAGGTTACGTGTTGTTTTTTTCCAAATAAGACGTTGTAAGAAGATAAACTGATTTAGAATACAACCAGCACAGCCTAGGATTAAAAGTGAGAAGCTCTTAGCAACAGCAGTAGTTTCCTCACCTCTTCATTTTCCCCACCCTGCCCCCTTCTAGTGAAATAGACCTGGTGAAATAGACCTGAGCACCACGTATAATTGGGATCCTCTGATTTCCAGATAGACTGAACATTGTTAAGGTGCAGTGTGAACGACGGTCCAGTCATTAGCGCGGTTGGCTCTTTCATTTGTAAAAACAAAGAATGCTGCATAATGAGCAGAAACAGGAGAGGATATCAGCATCTTCAAAGGAAGTGGCATTTCCTTTCCTGGAGAGGGTGCCCAACAACCTAACCCATGGGAAACAGGAGGAGAGACTGCAAGTAAAGAAATTGTTTCTTGAGATCCCATCTCTGCACAATTTCATCTACTGTTATGATGCAAAATGCCATTATGTTAAAAAAAAGTTTAGGCTTTGGCTGAATTCAATAAATGGCTGATCCAGTCCTGTGTGTATTAATCACATGAAAAACATACAGATTCCTCTTCTTTTGCTCATGGTTCTCCAATTAATTCCAACTCAATTCTCTTCTGTTGTAAATAAACAGGGCTTACTTTGTCTCTAATATAGCAACTAAAATTAAAGTTGCTCTTTACAAAAATTAGCTGGGTGTGGTGGTTAATGCCTGTAATGCTACTGGGGACGCTGAGGCACAAGAATAGCTTGAACTGGGGAGATGATGGCTGCAGTGAGTTGAGATCATGTCACTGCACTCCAGCCTCGGCGACACGGTAAGACTGTCTCAAAAAAAATTAATAATAATAAAGTTGCTCCCAATATTGTTTTTGGTGGAGTTAAAGGCATAAAGATGTTGTTACTTCCAGATGGTCTAAACTATTGTAAAATTTTATACTTCTTATTGATGATTATGACTATTTTACTGGCCTCTTTAGTAATGGGTAAGTAGCAGTGTTTGCTAATAATTTTAGAAGACGGGGATATTTTTCAGCCACATTTTTATTATTTATTTATTTTATTATTATTATTATTTGAGACAGGGTCTCACTCTGTCACCCAGGCTGGAGCATGGTGGCACGATCTTGGCTCACTACAAACTCCACCTCCCAGGCTCAAGTGATCCTCCAGCTTCAGCCTGCAGAGTAGCTGGGACTACAGGCTCACGCTACCATGCCCAGCTAATTATTGTGTATTTTTTGGTAGAGATGGGGTTTCACCATGTTGCCCAGGCTGGTCTCAAATTGCTGGACTCAAGTGATCCACCCACCTAGGCCTCCCAAAGTGCTGGAATTACAGGCATTAGCCACCGCACTCAGCACAGCCACGTTTTTGAACTACCAGATAATTTAAAAGAAATTTCATTTTAAGTGTGCTAGTTTTACTTGTTTATATTAAAAGAGTAAGTCAAATTCTCCCTGCTACCTCTTTAAATCATGTGCCTCTTCATAGCACACAAATTCCCTAAGCAACACGAAAACCCAACTCTGTCTAAAACCATAAAATAATATAGGTAGGCTACACAAAAATTCAAATCTGGGTACCGATATGTGCATATGTAAGCTTATGACTGCAGTTGTGGAAAGGCTATAGAGAATATAAGGGAAAGAGTGACAGAAGAAAGATTTTTAAAAACTGTTTTTATCCTAAAAATGATCTATGCTTTACTAGCTTTATTATAGATAATCCAAGAAACCAAAGAACATTCTAAATTATTTAACTAACTTATGCACATATTTTTATCAAAACTAAGTATTATTTGAGGTTTTCTTTGGCTACATATTTATTATTTGTGGCTTAAACCAAGTCAAAAACCTTAAAGAAATTCTGCACTTATAAAACTCCATATCTTATTGGTGATCTCAAAATATATGATGAATGCTGATTTCCTTAATTGAATACCCATTTTTGGGAAGGTCTAGGTTTACAGGAAAAGCAAATAATTAATGCACCCCTATTATTACTATAGAATTATGTTTGTGTTTTCTATGCAATACTGTTCTCCTTTTAAAATAGAATAGACAATTAATAGAATTAATGGTGAGTCATAGGTCTAAAAGTAAATTCCTAATTTTTGAACTGACATACCTAGAACCAGTATCCTTTTAAGCAAATCTTTTTAAAAGCACCAGAATGCCTACTAAGAGTACTGTAATTTTGTTTGTACTTTACTTTCAATCTTCTGGCCATTATATGATCACTTAGCTAACTTGTGAAGATTTTTCTGGTGAGGATGTTGTATTGTGCCCTCTGTTTATTTAGTGCTTCTACACCCAGCCATTGTTTTCATATTTTACTTTAGAAATTATTTTATCTAGCTCAATTTCAAATAATATGCTCTAAAAAAATCTATTCAAAAATGTAGCATAAAATATTGGATTGCATCCCTGGCCATAGCTTCCAGAAGCATTAAAATGTTACTAGAGTACCCAAATGACAGCAATGACAGCTTAATCACTTAAAGGCTTTTTACATTAACAGGTTTTTTTTTTCTATTTGAGTACTAATATTCAGGCATGATTTGATATGAGGTTACCTGTTAAATACAGCTAAATAACACACCTTTTAAAAATATCAAAATCAAGTTTGGCATCTAATGAACATTCCCTTATGCTTTCTGAAATATTAGTGCACATTCGTAAAGCTTTGTTTCTTTTATTTTTTCCCACCCAATATATGTATTTTAAAAATTAGTCTGATAATTAGCATGCATGGTGCAATAGCTCCCTGTATTGTTATAATTTTAAGTAGAAGATCCATGGATAAAACAGAATTGAAAGGTGAGCCTATTAATCTAGAGAATAACCTCCACAAACCAAATAGGAATGAATCATTTTTAAGTCTCTACCCATTTATAGCTTTATATTCCTAAGAAGAAGAGAAAGAAAAAAAAAAAAGAGAGACACAAAAGGTGACCTTATTTAGACATATTAGTCAAGGCAGCCTTTGCTGTTTTTAAGCAAACATGATTGTGACTCCACTTTTTCCATCCAGTTTTCCAGTGTGTAAATTGGATGATGACTTGGACAATTCTCTCTTCATTAGTGAGCTGTGGAAAGGAAATACAGAGGTGGCTTTTTCTGTTTTAAACTCTGCAGTGTCTTGTAGCTGGATTCCAAAGCATCAAGGAAAGATTATATATACATACATATATATATATATATATTTTTTTTTTTCCTAGACAAGCTGTCGTAATTGAAATGAAGTCTAATCAGACTCATTACTGTTTTCAGCAATTTGCACCACCAAAGATGCTTATTAGGTAACTGTGTTTAATAAACCACTCTTTAGAAAAATACCAGTAATGAGCTCTTAACAGCCAATCTTTAGCGTGAATGTAATGTGAAAAGTGTTCCTAGCGCTGAATAGATTTTCACATTTAGTAGTGTCATAATTAAGCTCCATGAATTGGTTGCTTTGATGTTAGATTTATTGCAATAATCTCTTTTTTTCTATTTTAAATATACTTGGAAATACAGTTATCTTCTATTAGAGCTGGATTATATTCATTGTACAGCAAATTTTAGGCTAGTGCCAACTTAGTCAAGAGGTTTTTCAACTTAGGACTTGTTAACAAATGGTAACCAAGAATTTTATGACTGATAATTGATATTAGCTATCAAGTCTTTCTTCATCAGTATTCCTATACTTCAGAAAAAAGCCTTGCAGTCATTGGATTATACATGAAAATGTATCCCAGATATAAATATATTCTTATCATTAAGAGGAAAAATGGCATTTCTATCACTAAGCTAAAACATTAAAAAAATGGACATTCTGAAAGAAACAACTAAAGAAATGTCAATTTTTCATAATAGCAGATATAAATAACATTATATTGCTTTATTAGATATTGTTGTTAAAAATGTGAATATCATTTTCCTCCCTGATTGTTCCTTTTTTGCAGCACTATTTACTAAGCTCTTAACATTAAAGGACAATATTGTGGTTATATATTATTTATATGCACTAAGGGTGGTCATGAGAGTTAGCTAGGCTTCTTATTGATAAGGGAGAAAAAAACCCACTGTTATATACCTCTGAGGACAAGAGTTTTTCCATGCAAGATGATGCATGTGCTAAAATAAATATATTATCTATAAATGTATGTTGATTATTCCATTAATAGAATATATCTTGAGGCATATATATATAATGATTACACAGAAGAAATTGAACATTTTTATTGTTTTGGAGGACAACTAAATCAGTCTTATCCGAAGCTCTTCAGCTTGTAGTAATGGAATGAAACCTCTCACATGGTAACATAAATATCTTTTGCTTACTAAAAGCAACCCAAAAGATGACACAATCAGTTTTGAAATGAGACTCTGGTCATTCTGAAATGAATCCATAAAGAGAATCAATAAATGAAAAAGTACAAAAAATAACAAGAGACCAAGAATTTATACCCATTCATGACAAAATGTTAAGAAGGATTCTGTTACTGAATGATTCCTCTTCCAATGCAACCTTTCTTTCTTCTAACCTCACAAGCTTCACGACTCCTAATTGAAGCCAATAAGCCTCCATAACTGTTTTCAGCTTTCTGAATCAATAGGGCCATGAGAACCAAGACTGTCAAATTAATGACTTGTTTCATCTGATTTTTTGGAATGCACTTCTTTGAATTACAAAGTAGAGAAGAAACCAAACTCATTCCCTTGTGAATTGGTATAGCTTTCAGATCAAAATGTCTTCCTGTTTAAGCCTTGAATAAATTTGTATTAAGAATCACAAAAGAAAAAAACAGCGGATAAAACTACTACAAAACCTATATCCTGCATCATTAAGTTACTCACAGCTAGACTATTAAAAAACAAATAAACAAAAAACTAAGAGGGTTCATTGCCTTATGACTTCTTACAACCTTAAACAAATTTATTTATGAATCATGTCAGGTATGAATGTTTTATAAAAGAGAATGTATGCTTTCTATGTTTGCTTTTATTACAAAAGAGACCACAAGATGTCAAATAATAATAATAACAATATAAAAATCATTTTGGTGGGTTTTAAAAATAACTTTCCATAATGATAAATTTAGTTTTAGTTATGAATTTTAGTTAGAAACTAAGTATCTATGTCAGAGGTGTCTGAACTAGAGCAACTTCATCTTGAATAAGGGCTGGGTAAAGTAAGGCTGAGACCTACTGGGCTGCATTCCCAGGAGGTTAGGCATTCTTAGTCACAAGATGAGATAGGAGGTCAGCACAAGATACAGGTCATAAAGACCTGGCTGATAAAACAGGTTGCGGTAAAGAAGCCAGCCAAACCCACTAAAACCGAGATAGTGACGAAAGTGACCTCTGGTCGTCCTCACTGCTCATTCTACGCTAATTATAATACATTAGAATGCTAAGAGACACTCCCACCAGTGCCATGGCAGTTTACAAATGCCTTGCCAACGTCAGGAAATTACCCTATATAGTCTAAAAAGGGGAGGAACCCTCAGTTCCAGAAACTGCCCACCCTTTCCCAGAAAACTCATGAATAATACACCCTTTGTTTAGCATACGATCAAGAAATGACTATAAGTATACTCAATTGAACAGCTTATACTCCTGCTGTGCCTTTGGAGTAGCCATTCTTTTATTCCTTTGCTTTCTTAATAAACTTGCTTCCACTTTACTCTATGGACTCGCCCAGAATTCTTTCTTTCGTGACATCCAAGAACCCTATCTTGGGGTCTGGATCAGAACCCCTTTCTAGTAACACCTAGTTAACAGCTATTTCATCAGGATTTAACCATGGGTTATATAGAGAGTTGGTAGAATTTGCAACTTAATTTGCAGTTTTAATTTCTAACTTGAGAAACACAAGCTAGGGAGGATGGATATATGCATGAAACAGATTCTAGTGCAGAGAACAAACAATGCATAACACATATGATCATATAAATCAAGGGATGGGTCAACTGGGCATAATAAAATGGTAACGGTAATGGGGAGCATGTTAATCAAGTAAGACTTTTGGACGAAGTGGGTTTTTATGCTTGAGCTTTTGGCCCTATCATGCAGACATCCGCCAAAAGATACAGAGAAGTAATATACTCAAGTTTCTTCTCAAAATGAATTAGAGCTTATTAATCCTTCACACTGTGAAGGACCTACAATACCAAGTATCAGCCTTACCATTCTTACCCGTTACCAGTTTCATCACTTGCCATATTCCTGAACTAAAAAAGATTAAGCAAACACCCTTCCACATATTTCCATGAAACAAACAAACAAGCAAACAGACAAGCCAAAGTGAAACCTGAGCATTCAACTTCTTTTCCTAGACCTTCCACTGTTGAAGGCTTACTATCCCCCATTGCTCACCTTTGGCTTTAGCATGTGGGCCAGTGAGTTCCCTTCTTCTCTTCCCTGCTGTCAAGTAGTTTATCAATTATGAGAATATAGGTTACAGAGAAAATATATTGTAAGTCTCAAAATTAGAATACAAAAACACTGCCCTCGACTCTCTGAATCTTGATAGCTTTTACCATCACTAGAAAAAACAAATAGGATCAGTTGGCTACACAGTTTAAAAAATGACAAATGGTGATCACGCTCTAATAAATCCAAATGCCTACTATTATGTGAGAATCTTGCCCATAGTGCTAGGGAATATACATTCTGGCTCTGATGGACTTTGCAATCTATCTTCAGGGGAAATTTAGCACAAAAAACCCACTCAGTTCCAAATCTAATAGAGAGAGGTGGCTATACAGAGGAGCTAATAGTTGAGGTAGATCTTGGACATTGAATAGAACTTCCTCATTTAGAATAGAGAGAGAGGAGGTTTCCTGCCCTTGACAAAAGTTGGTCAAAAGCACGATGAAGCCAAGTATGCATGACAGGTTCTGGAAGCAGAGTGGTTTGATATCGTTAGAAGATAGGACAGAAGTATATGTCTATGCATGGGGGGACCAGATAGAGGTACATACGAAGCTTGAATTCAGATTGCAAAGGGACTTGACTGTTTGGACTTTATCCTACTGCCAACATAAAGTGCTGCTCTGATTTGTTCTTAAGCAATGTATCAATAATAAAGATATACAGGACAAATTCGAGGGGACAAATAAGCAGGGTCTAAACTTAAGCAAGAGGAAGGAAAAAACTCCACAAAAGATTTCAGAGGTAGAGTCAAAAGGATGGGCTAACCAATTATATTTGGAGGAATGAAGGAAAGGAAAGGGGGCATTTAAAGGAAATCACTGGAAAAATTTAAAAAAAAATTGTGACATATCTGTCCATTGGCTAACAAAGAGATTGTGGTGGATACTGCATTTAATCCTCAAAAAGCCCAGGGAGGGATTTTTATTACCCTTTATATATGATGAAGCAGCTTCCCTGAATCTAAGGAACTTTCTTAAGGCCAGCCCAGAGCTAAAGTTGCAACCTGGAACATGTGCCCCCAAATTGCTACAATTTGTCTCTCCTTGGAGAACTACTGGAAGAGTTTTAGCTTGTACAAGCAATGGGTTGGCTGCTGGAAAGATGAAGAGAAGTCCAAGCTTTACAAGGAGGTTTGGGAGTCTTAAGCATATGGGAATCCACTGAAACTATGGTAATGGAAGACAGAGTAGAGAGAAAGTGTGTAGAATGAGATAAGAATAAAACTCTTCGGTTATACAAATTTTAAGGAGTAGGAAATGAGGATTGGAAAGGCATTTACAGAGTACAAAGAGAAAAAATAAAGTAGAGAACACGCTGTTGGAAAAGACAAGTGAGGATTTTCAGACAGAGTGTTTAATTGTAGCACATACATCAGAGAAGTCAAGTATGATTAGGAAAGAAAACAGGCAATGAACAGACTAGAGCTGATTTGTGGGAGAGCAATATCAATGCAAGGTGGGATCAGACGTCATGGTGAGTTGGTGATGGAGGAAAGGGGTTGTGAGAAAGTGAGATGGCAAGCATTAGAGGATTTTCCTCATTGATAACCATCTTAAGAAAGATGGGCTGTAGGTTAAGGAGCAAAGATGGAGCGGGGGATTTTTTTAAAGGATATGGGGGAAAATCTGATCATTATCCATAGTCAGTAAACTACGTCAAATCTAGCAGGCCAAATCCAGTGTGATATCTTCTGTAAATAAAGTTGTATTGGAACACAGCCACACCCATTTGTTTATGTATTATCTATGGTTGCTTTCTAGCTACAAGTAGAGATGAATAGTTGTGGCAGAGACCATATGGCCCACATATCTAGAAATATTTACCGTCTATCCCTTGCCAGGAAGTCTACCAATCCTTGCTCTAGGCTGAGGGGAAAGAAATAGTGGAAAGGGATAAATAAAAGACACAATACTGTATGAATGAGGCATGGGTGAGAATTGATGGAACAGATTCTTCAAGAAAAAACAAAGAGATGGCATCAAGAGGATGTATGTTTCAGACCAACATAGGGTGAAGAAAGGGGCACTTTTTTTTTTTTTTTTTTTTTTTTTTTTTTGACAGGGTCTTGCTCTATCATCCAGTCCAGTGCAGTGGTATAATCTTGGCTCACGGCAACCTCAACCTCCTGGTCTCAGGCAATCCTCTCACCTCAGCCTCCCAAGTAGCCAGGAATACAGACAGGCACATGCTACCCATGCCTAGCAAACTTTTTTATTTTTTGTAGAAACGAGGTGTCATGATATTGCCCAGATTGGTCTCAATCTCCTAGACACAAGCAATCCTCCCACCTCAGCCTCCTAAAGTGCTAGGATTTCAGGCATGAGCCACTGCACCCAGCAGAAAGAGGCACTTCTTTGTTTGAGATGGGTAGGAAGGAGCTAAAGGGCAGGTAGAATCCATTTGTTTTCTGGATCTCCTTTCATTTTTCTGAAGACATGTTTAGGAGTCAGTTAGCACTTCTGTCTTCCTATGAGCCAGTCAGTAGACCTATGTTCATGTCCTATTCCATATGTATTGATTGAGTCCCCAACACCAGGCAGGTGCAAACCCTGGCCAAAAGGAGGGTCAAGGTGAAAGGCAATGCGGAAAGATCAAGGCAAACTCATCACCACCATGAGAAAATCACCACCTGCAAGCCACAGTGGACAACCTTTCTATTGCTATATATGACAAGAAAGAGCCACCCTTGAAACATAGGCCTAACTGACAACTGCATTCCCAGATTTAGCAAGGATTTGTACAAAAAAAAGGGGGGGGGGAATGATGATTGTCAGTCATTACTAAAATATTTAATAAGACTTTCAGTTTTCAGGAAGACATAGCTTTTGAATAAATACATAAATCTATATGGAAAGAAATGACTACTGCCTGAAACAACTTTTTATTATCTCTCCCTCAATTAAAAAAATCCCATTTCATTTAGAACTATTAAAGATTGGAAAATGTATTTACAATATTAAACAGGTTTCGTCTTCATCATACTCCTCTCAGCCCTAAACACAAATACATTGCTATCCTATTATAATCTTCCTATTTCATAACAAAAGAAATGATTAAGTGACTGAGAATTCTTCCTGTGGTATAGCTTTGGGTCTTACTTTTTTCCTTTGAGTTTACGAGTTGAGCTCTTAACGGCAGGAGAGTTATTCTAGGAGGGCAACTATGTGGGAAGCAGAGCTCGAGTTAGGAAAAGGGTGAATTTGCAGTTCATACCCATTTTACAACATTTGAATCCCTGCTGGTTTCACTGGTGTATCAAAAGATCCCATAACGTTTTATTAGCTAATTCTTAAGACTGTTATGGATTTAGTATTCTAAATATTTTCGTATCTATGCCTACTATATATCATGTGATACATAACGTAAGCATGTATTTGCACAAAGAAAGGGAGGGCTTAAGAATTAAAAGCATTTAATGTGTTGATGGATGATGCGAACTTTGTTCTCCAAGTTTATCATCCATTTAAATCTTATTTAGAAATTAGAATGCTAAACTATCCTTGTTTGGGTAGTAAGATACCTGATTCCCTAAGATAAGCTATTTCAGGTTAACGTACCCTACTCTTAGCTTGAGCGTTCTCCTCCAGCTCCCCTCCCACTTCTCTCCTCTTTATCCCTCCCCTTGTCCTCTCCCCTTTCTTCTAGGAACCTGTCTGAGACTTTGGTCCCTTCCCTCCCTTTCCACCATTTTCCGTATCACTTTGTACTTATACTGCATTTTGTTTTTATGTATTTTTACACTGCATTTTATATTCCTACTTCAAATGTACCCCCTACTAGACTAATCTCTTTGAGACCAGGAATCCATATCATTAGAACAGGGAAGGTAATTTATTTTGTTCGCAGCTACATCTCCAGTGATAAGAATATCCACAAAAACTTGGTGCTATATGTATCATGCAGACTCTAACACATACATATGTCTAAATATTTAAGGTAGGCTGGGCGCAGTGACTCACACCTGTAATCCCAGCACTTTGGGAGGCCGAGGTGGGTGGATCACCTGAGGTCAGGTGTTCGAGACCAGCCTGATCAACACGGTGAAACCGCGTCTCTACTAAAAATACAGAACTTAGCCAGGCATAGTGGCGCGTGCCTGTAATCCCAGCTACTTGGGAGGCTAAGGCAGGAGAATCACTTCAACTCAGGAGGCAGAGATTGCAGTGAACTGAGATTGTGCCATTACATTCCAGCCTAGGCAAGAAGAGCGAAACTCCATCTCAAAAAATATATAAAAATAAAAAATATATTTAAGGTATTTAAAAAGTAATAAAGTATTTTAAAAGTTATACACTTGGCAAAAAATGTTTAACAAAATATATTTATCTCCCTATCTTGAGGATTACACCTGGAAAGCGTGGGTTCAAATATCGAATTTCTAACTCCTGGGTCATCAGAGCTCTTCCAGAATGGGAGAGGCTAACCTATTGCCAGTTCTTTTGCTCTCACTCTCTACCATCCCATAGCATAAAGGCTTAACATGTGTGCTTTAGAACAAGATTCCATCTGTTCTCTGCTATCCCCCGACTTTCAACCAGCTGGCACTTGGCTTCACCTTGGTTCTAGGAGTACATACATTGAGGTCACTTTCCAAACCTGCGGGGAGAGACCTGGAGATCCCTGCATGGGCACTGGAAGTAGCCTCAGGGTTATTTGTGCAGGGATTCCAGGTGCATGGAATGTGGGGATAAAAACAACTTCCTTGAAAGTTTGTTCAGAGGATTAAATGAGATAATGTAAGAAAAGCCACAAGCACACTATGTTACTTTCTAGGAACTATGCCAGAAGGAGTTCCTCTTTGGTGTTCTAGGAGAAAGAACTAAAGAGAAATAATGAGAAGTTACAGGCGGGTAGATTTCAGAAGCATAATACAAAATGCTCTCTGATCCTTTCACTACTAATTTATGATTAAAAGATTTAGATTCCTTTCCTAATCCTGACAATAACTTACTGTGTTATTTTTCCTAAAAATAATTTTCCTAGGCCAGGTTGGGTGGCTCATGCCTGTAATCCAAGCACTTAGGGAAGCCAAGACAGGAGGATTGCTGGAGCCCAGAAGTTGGAGACCAGTCTGAGCAACATAGCTACCAAAAAAAAACCTTTTAAAATTCGCCAGGTGTGGTCGTGTGCACCTATGGTCCCAGCTACTGGGGAGGCTGAGATGGGAGGATTGCTTGAGCCTGGGAACTGGAGGCCGCAGTGAGCCATGAGTGGACCACTGCACTCCAGCCTGAGCAACAGAATGAGACCCAATCTCAAAAATAATAAAAAATAAAAATAACATAGTAATAATTTCCCCAAACAATTATAGTTATGAAGTATTAAGTTCTCTATAGTTAGATGTGTATAAGGGGAATAATAACAATAGCTAACTTTTGTTCCACTTTCTACGGGCCAGGAAATGTTCTAAGTGCTTTACATATTTATAATCTTTTATTCCTCAACGTCCTATATTATTTCCATCTTTCAAATAAATAAACTAAAGTAGCAAGAGATTAAGTAACTTGGCCAAGTCACACAGCTAATATGCGTAGGAGCCAGGATTCGAAACCAGGCAGTCTTGCTCTTCCAGCTCAAGCACTTACAGCTTCCTCCACAAACCTGTTTCAGGGATATTGCTGCCTAGAGGATTTCCAGGTTTCTTTCCAACTCACAGAAGCCTTGTCTTTCTAACTAGCATTGACAGAGTCCCAGAATGAACAGAACTAGATTTGGTATTGTACTGACCTTTGGGGATAGAAAATTTTAAATGCGAAATTAAACCGTAAAATTTTCTTCTGACCTCATATACTGTTTCTAGAGACCTCATGTATGGCTGAAGTTCTTGTTTATGACTCCTAAGTCTCAACCTCTGGTTCAGATCTCACTCTAGAGCTCCAGAACCTATCGATTCAATGAATCTATCTATTCAATTGCCTACCTGATGGGCACAAACTGAACATGTACAAAGTGAACTCACCAACTACCCAGGCATTCTAGCTTTTCCCTTTCCACCCTACATTCAATCAATGAGAAAGTCTCAATTTATCTCTTAAACACTAAAATCAAATCCCTCTTCTTCATTCCTTTGCCAATGCTTTAGGTCAGCTTCAACTCTTTTCAGCACAGTCTCTCAGATTTTCATGTGCTTTTCATTCCAATTCTTTTCTGTACGTATGTATGCGTGTGTGTGTGTGTGTGTGTGTGTGTGTGTGTGTTTGGCTCACTTTAAAAAAAGAAAACATAAAAACCAGTTTCCCAGGTTTTAAAATACCAGCATATTGTATTAAAATATGGAAAATACTTAAACATAAATAAAGTGACCATTATCTATTATTATATAGCTATGACTTCTATTCAAGTCATTTTTCATGCCAAGTCTTCATTTTCCCTTGACCACTTTAATATATTTTGAATTTCTGTAGGTATTTCTATTTCATAAATTGAGAGTATATTGTATATGCTACTAACTTTATAGGAGTAACTTAGACTTTCTCATACTTTATATCTTTGTATATGCTGAACCCTTTGCTTCTAATGCTCTTCCTCACTCTACACCATTTTTTATTTCCTGGGCCATCTACACCACAGCCAAACTGCAACACTGGGCTCTCTCATTATACTATGAGGTCCCTGAGGTCGCTTATCTTTTTCCTCTGCTCTTTGTAGTTAGCATTTTTGTGTGTGTATGTGTGTCTACCAAAATCTATGAACTTGTAATAATGATGCTACAGTGCACATTTTGTTCCACAAAATTACCTGTGATAAGTAAACATGAATCCTCTATAGCATAGCATTCATTTATTAGACTGATGAACAGTTACACATACATATGCATTAGAATATTTTTGGAACTTAAGAGGAGTGTTATAACTCTCTTATAATAAATCGCTAGGTAAGAATTCCTCAGCCAAATTTGGCACTTACTCTGTTGTTTGAAAACTGTTTGTTTATGTGTTAGTCTCTTTCACTACTAGGCTGTCTTTTTCATTTTATGTTCCCAGTACCTTGAACTGTATTTTACATAGAGTATGTGCTCAATAAACAAGAAAGAAAATAATTTAAAAAAATCTAGTGACAAACAACCTGCCCTACTAAATTTTCCTCAAACATAGAAAAGTCACTATTTAGCTAAATAATACCTGTTGCTGTTTATAAATTCAGAATGATTGATATTTGCTATTAATACCTACTATGTGTATGCTTAATTTCAAGTGTACTTGATAATTATAATATTAATTGATGTAGCCCTCACAAAATAATAAACAAGACATCATTAGAATATATTAGAAATGCTACTGAATAAGACTCTCATGTAATAAAATCACTACCAAATATCTAAGCTGTATATTTAAATATTATGTTTAAAAGTCTTATATGGGCTGGGTGTAGTGGTTCACACCTGTAATTCCAGTACTTTGGAAGGCCAAGGTAGGAGGATCACTTGAACCTACGAGCTAGAGACCAGTCTGGGCAACATAGTAAGACCTCATCTCTACAAAAATATTTTAAAAATTAGCCAGGTATGGTGGCGCATGCCTGCAGTCTCATTTATTCAAGAGGCTGAAGTGAGAGGATTGCTTGAGCTCAGGAGGTTGAGGCTGCAGTGAGCTGATTGTACTACTGCATTCCTGCCTGGGCGACAGAGTGAGATCCTTTTTCAAAAATAAAATAAAATAAAAACCTTATATGGGTAACCACATATTAGAAACAAACATTGTAAGTAGGATTTAAAATTTGTTATAGATTAAATCACATCATTTGCATCCTATTTGTAAAACTCTATTAACAGAGCGTATACCATGACTGGTCTAAATGATATTTGATATCTAATGGTTAGAGGGCACAGACTGATATTTAAGTAAGGTTGCACCATGGTAACTTTGATGGGTTATTTTATATTGAGGATAACCAGATATGACATTTTTAAGAAAGGTCTAGATCACTAAAGAAAATGAAAAGAATGGCTTAATTGCATCAGAGGGAACTGATCTTTAACATAACTTGGATTAAAAAAAAGATAGATATGTATAAAGAAAGATATATAGATGGATAGCCATAAAGATAGTTTATTTTTGTTTCACCATTTTTGAGAAGAGTCATGCTATAAAGTGTTTTTCAAGAAATCTAAAGAGAGTAGTAGGTACTTCCAAAATCAGTAGTGTAGCATGCTGTTACAATGATGACATAGATTATTCATTGTGGTTGATATGTTAGGATCAGTTCTGGGTTGCTTTAGAATACAGCTTGCCGTTTTACAAGCTTGACTGTTACTGTAGATTTTCTCTTTTGTGTAAGGTGCTTAGTTAGATTAAACTGTTTGCTACAACACTACCTCTCTTTTAAAACTGCATACCCCTTGTTTCTAATGGTGATTTTTTGTTTGTTTGTTTGTTTGAGACGGAGTTTCGCTCTTGTTGCCCAGGCTAGAGTGCAACGGTGCGATCTTGGCTCACCGCAACCTCTGCCTCCTGGGTTCAAGTGATTCTCCTGCCTCAGCCTCCCGAGTAGCTGGTATTACGGGCATGTGCCACCAAGCCCAGCTAATCTTGTATTTTTAGTAGAGACGGGGTTTCTCCATGTTGGTCAGGCTGGTCTCGAACTCCCAACCTCAGGTGATCCGCCTGCCTCAGCCTCCCAAAGTGCTGGGATTACAGGCGTGAGCCACTGCTCCCGACTCTAATGGTGATATTATAATGAAGATGGTATGGATGAGCAACTGCACAATAGCTTGCTTTTGGTAAGTATTTGAATGGGTAATAGAAATTGATGGTAAATATATCCCCTCCATTTTCCCAAACATAACACTAGGGATGTATGTAAGACTTGAATCCAGAGGAAAACTAACTGTAATATTAAATAGAATTTACCAAGTAAAGCATATGTCTGTTCATATATAAATATATAAATAAAATAAGATATTAAGAAAAATAAAACACTCTTAATTATAAAGGAAAAAGAAACACTTTCACTACCAGCCTGGCCAACATGGTGAAACCCCATCTCTATTGAAAATACAAAAAATTAGCCAGGAGTGGTGGCAGGCGCCTGTAGTCCCAGCTAATTGAGAGGCTGAGGCATGAGAATTGCTTGAACCTGGGAGGTAGAGGTTGCAGTGAGCCGAGATCACACCACTACACTCCAGCCTGGGCGACACAGTGAGACACCGTCTCAAACAAACAAACAAAAAACGGAACACAGAGCATCATTTATTCATTCTGTCAGTAAATGTGTATTGAGGGACTATTCACTATTTGCAAATAAAGCAGAGAAAAATTAAAGTGAAAGAAGAAATGCAACAGTAGCAATCTAATTACAAACTCAAAACTAGCAATTGTTAAAACATACTTGGGTTCTCTGGAACTTGAAAAGAGACCATGCATTCTAAATATTCATCTCCTAAAGAGTTTATGTTCTTCTGGGGGTTTAAAAAAATCTTCCCACAAATCTAATTACGACAGTTTTTTACTTTGCCTAATAAATTAAATCATGGCAGCATCTCCTATGCTAGCAAAGGAAATCAAACTGGAGAAAACATACTCAGTGCTGACTTCTGGCATCTAAGATTTAATGGCAACTCATGTCTTCTTAGTGCCTCTCACTTAGAAGAGATAATGCATGTGAAGATAGACAAAATTGTAGGTTCAGTCATATCAAAATGAGATTTATGCCAAAATAGATCTGGGAATGTCAACAATTGCAGAATAAATGACAAGTTTTTGGCTTCTCAAAAAAGAAGAGTGAATTCAGTAATTATTTAACTTTTTTTTTTTTTGCTATTAGAATGTGAAGCACAATCCTTTCTTGCACATGCACATAAGGCTTTAAAATTTTTATTTTTCCTTGAGCAAGCCTTGGAAATAGAGTAAAATGCTATGTAAGTAACTCTACAGACCAATATGTATCCTAGTGTTTTTGGTCTTCTGACATATTTTAGGCAGGATGTGACTTTTGCCATAAAAAAATAAAATTGAAGTGCCACTGACAGAATCTCAAGTAAACAAAGCATCAGCAGAAAGCACGGTGCCTCTGTGTGCTGGGATCTCCAATAGACAGTCATCTGCAAATGGACAACTTTAATTCGATTCCTGGCACCATTGGCTGTGCTGAGAATTCTCCTATCTCTTCACACCAGGGGTTTGCTCTTTTAAGCATTGCTCCCTGAAGGGAAGGAAAAACTAGAGAGAGAGGATTTCCAATGACCCTGCACAGATGAATGAATATGTCAATGGTGAATATTGGTTCAGCTTTGAAACGGAATCCTGCCGTGGTCTTGCTTCTCCAGCCCTTCTACGCTAGTGTGAGAGTCGCCAAAGACTTGTATGAGCAGGAATCTTTAAAAGATCAAGACAGAGAATGAGAAAGTAAAAACACAAGCAGAAAAAAGGCAAAATGCTTTTTAAAAATTAATGGTAATTTAAATGTTTGGGAAATGCAATTCTCCAGGGACAAGTAAGAGAGTATTAACTCTTAGGTTTTAGTGGGGCTTTACATTTAAAACTTGAAGCTCAGAAAGGTAAATTCCAAAACACTAATTGCTCACAGAGTCAATTAGTAATGTGGTGCCCATCTGACAAGTCTTAAAGAACAATTAAATACTGAATTGAGCACTAAGCACTTCAAATCCTCTTATTCTTTTCCTTGCCAGTATTAGAATGAAAGCATACACAGGCACAAGCAAAAGGAAGAAATATCAATTCCATTTGTTTGGAAGATGAACATTTCAGTTACTAATCTTGTAACTGGGTAGATGCAAAAATTCTGCCTGAGTAACTGCAGCACACACATTTATTTTCACATGCTTTATGGTTAGTTTTCATTCAGCTATCAATCAATCAATTACGCTGTGACATGATGTAATTTCCTAATCATACTAATATTCATGCTTTTATCACTACCCAACCTAGAGCACATACATTTCAATGAGACAGAAGTCTAATTATTTAAATATGTTAGAACATATTACATCTCCAAGGCTGTTTCCTTTATGAGTTTTTCTCCTCTAAAAAAAACATCTAATTTAATTGTAAAGAGAAAAGTATATTAAACAGCATTAAACCCCTCCAGTAAGCAAAACTGATATTTTACAGATCTCAGAAAGTATAGAATTTTTATGGATTCTCACTTAAAATTTATGTTGTTTGCTTGTTACTAAGAATAGCAAAATAGAATTTTCGGCACAAAAAATAATTTTACATAAGGTGGACAACAAAAATATATTTAAATTTTTTTCAATGCTCTTTACCTGATAAAAGTTATTATAGTGACTACTAGAAATTGTTCTTTACCTCTCAAGTGTGGTTTTGCATTTTTCCTATGACTGGCCTAATTCTCAGAATTTTTTTACAATTAAAATTTTTCATACTTAAAAAACACAGCACATTTATTTAATCCTTTCAATGTTACCATGACAGGTTCCAGAAAAATGTTTAAATTTTTCAAGTAAGATCACTTCTCTGATGCATAGGTTGCAATATATAATTATAAGCTTTATTGTGCAGATTAAAGGCAATCCATCTTCTGTATAATATAGGTTAAACATGGCAAACAAGTTCATGTTCCCTCAGATTTTTACAGGGGAAAAAAATTCAATCAGGTACCACAATTGTCAATTTCTACAGTGCTCTGAGGCCAATAATCCACTCAAACCACGGTGATAGTGCCTCAGATACATTCTTTACCACAATATATTTGGATATACATTTCCAAAAGAGCCGTGAAAATTCCTTTACTCTCTTCAGTGGGGAATGGACCCAGATACACTGAAACCAAATAGGAAATAGTTACATCATTAACAACAACAACAAAATCTAAAAGGCATTTTTTTAACACGAAATCAATTATTTTTCAAATAATATTAATAAAAGTTGTCTCTTCTAAATTCCCCAAGGAAGACTAAAATTCATTAGATATTCCTTTTGTACCTTTTCCAAGTATTTTATTGCTGTTGGTCTAACATTCTAATATTTTAAGTTTCTGTAAACATAAGTAGATATATACATGAATATTTTATGCATAAAGCAGCTTAGCTTAATATGTCCTTCTTAAAGAATTGTTATTGTTATTATCATCATCTGAGTGCTACCCTTAGTGCTACAGTTATTACCCTCATGAAAAACATTTCATATGAGGCTGGATACCTTCATATACTTGTACATGTGTACAGGAACTGCTTCCTGCAAGAAGTATCATATTACCTTTCCAATCACTTTTAAAATAAAACACTTTTACAGAAAATTTCCAACTGGTTTATAATTAGCACATCATTATAAAATAGTAATTTTTCTAATTATGAAAAAATTAACATGTTTAATCAAGTTAGATACAGAAAATACTGAACTGGAAAATTTCATAACATTAAACTTAAGAACATTTTCATGTTTATGTAACAAAAATAGAAGAATCAGAAGATACAGTTAATTTCTAATCATCTTCACAAAAACCCTCCTTGGTTATTTATATCATAATTTTCTTTGACCAGTACACACTCTCACTCTGCCACCGTATCTCCTTAATATATAGAGTCATGAGTGTGTGTCTACACACTTATTTCTACATTTAGGTTTCCATTTTTTTATTTATACATTTCAGCTCAGGAAACAATCATTTTTAACAATTGATTTTAAATATAATTTACTATTTTAAGAGTCTGTACTTAAAAAGCGATTTGATTCATTTGTCTAGAAGCAGAGTTCCTTATATGAAGAATATCACCCTTTGGTCTTAGAGTTCGTTAATAAATCAAGACCTATTGACTTGAAAAAAAATTCCAACTGTGTTGATCCTAATGCTGGGTCTTTGAACTATATTTAGCTACACAAAAAACAGAGTTACTAAATATACCTGGGCAGAATGGGAGAGTCCTCTTATACTAAAGACAAAAGGCCAAAAGAAAATCCCTCAACAGGTACTTGATCAAATATTTAGAATAACACTGGTACCTATGAATCCTGGCCCTTTGAACCTCAAGTCTCCTAAATAGTGATAAATACCAGAGAGCCCCAAAGAGTCTCTTCCTTGTCCCTTAACAGACTGCTTGGCATCAAGTGCTCAGTGGGCTGGAAACCCACAGCTAGCCAGGGAGGGACAGCACAGACAGAACCATGTTTACTCTGTCAGAGGCAGCTGATTAGGATGACACCAACTCTTAACATTAAACGTGCTACGCTGGGCTTTACCCAGAGGGCTTCCCGATACTTGGGGCATTCACCAATGAAGTTCACAAACTATGGTATATGTTAATAATGGAGAAGAGTAGGCCGCCATAGCTGCTTATGCAATGCATGTTAATGAAGAGCTTTCTTGCTGTGGATTTCCCTCAAATTTCATTTTAAAAAGCTAGAATTGTGCAGTTTAAACTTATATAAAGAAAAGAGAGTGTCCAGAGTAACTTAATCATCATGATTTTTGTATTTGACTTATTTCAGAGTCAGGGAATCCTAAAGGAGAATCTCAGACACCAGTGGAAAATTAAACAGCAAAAGCTCCAATTTCATATCACTGAATCACATAGCTTGAAAGGAATTTGTACGCCATTAGTTTAGCCCCTTCATCTTACAGTTAAGGGGGCTGAAACCCAGAGTTCTTACAGATCAGGAATGGCAGAGCCAGGCTTAGGCCTCCTCTACCAATCTAGGAAACGTTCCATTATACCACTTTGACTGCCTTACACCTTTTCAGAAAATTAAAAATTCACATACTGGAATATAATTATAATGTTAAAGATACTCCTTCAGAGGCAAATGAGTTAGAAATCCGATGCGGAAGAAGAAAATGAGATTGCAATGGCAGCAAATGCCATGGCAAATGCCATGGCAGCAAATGCCCAATGGCAGCAAATACCATGGGCAGTATCCTCAAAACAATCAGATTCAGTGGGTACCAAATATTCTTCTTAGAATTATAATATGACCTGTGTTGGTAACAAATAGGGATGAGCTTAAAATTTTATTTACTGAAAATCTAGTAAAGAAGTCTGAAGTCTTGCATTTATAGAATCTACGCTCTTTAGACCACTCAAGCTCCAAAGATTTCTGACAGAATTCATGTTTATGCATTAGGATGTATTTCACTAATAAAGAATACTGTCAAACTGTCTTATTAATCTCTTATAGCATGATCATACACCAGCCTAACCTGATAGACTCATTTGGTTGTCATTTTATGTGAAATATTCCTTTTCCAATACTATAGGACATTCTGGCTTCAAACTTAGGTCACTTGGGAATGGCTGAGTCATGACTTCCCAGCATGTAAAATACCCATTGAGAGTTTATTTTCTGAAAGTACATTTACTCTCCAGCTGTTACAGTGTAGTTTCACACACTGTAAGCCTAGGCTGATGCTAACCACTAGCACCCTAGTGATTCAACGAAAGTAATGACTGCTTCCCAAAAGCTTTCAGAAATACCTGTAAACCCTGTGGGACAGTGACAACAATGTTAGATATAGAAGTAAGGAAGTCTCCACTCTGCTAATAACTAGTGTGTTCACTTAGCACTCTGATGATCTGCTTCCTCATCTACAAAGAGTTACCTTAGCTTACCCTTAGGTTTTCTTTATATCTAAACAGTTATGCTAAGAAACTTACTCAAGGTATTACAGAAATGGGAAAGTGGGTGAGTGCTTTATGTGCCTTATCTAGGATAACCTAGAACCTATAAAACACTGTGGACTCTCAGAGGAAGGAGTATCTAATAATGTATGGCAGACTCTTCATTATGGATCCTACCAAAACTCCAAGTTTTCAAGGGCAGGTGCTGAAGATAATTCATGTTTGTATCACCAGCAGCTAAGACAGTTCTTGGTCCATGGTAGGTCCTCATTAATTGTATGTTGGATAAAATCAGAAAATAAAATTAAGAGAATAATTTCATGTATAACAGCATCAAAAATAATAAAATGCTGAAGAATAAATCTTAAAAAATTCAGTAAAAAACATATACTCTGAAAACTACAAAATGTTATTGAAAGAAATTAAAGATCAAAATAAATGGAAAAAATATCTCATGCTCCTGGATTGAAAGACTCAATATTGTTAAGATGGCAATAATCTTCAAATTAATGTGTAGATTCAGTGCAATCCCTATCAGAATCCCAAATTACTTATTTGTAGAAATTGATACACTGATTCTAAAATTCATACGAAATTGCCAGGGCCCAAAATAGTAAAAACAATCTTATTTAAAAAAAGCAGGAGGAGTCACAGTTCTCAATTTCAAAACTTACTACAAAGCAACAGTGATCAAGTCAGGGTGATGCTGGCATAAGGACAGACCTATAGATCAATGGAATAGAACTGAGAGTCTAGAAATAAATGCATGTTTATGGGCAACTGATTTTCTACCAGAACATGAAGACTTCAATCGAGCAAAAACAGTCTTTTCAACAAATGGTGATAGGACAAGTAGGTAGCAACATACAAAAGAACGAAGTTGGACTCCACTTTACACAATATACAAATGTACAGGGGTGGTAGCTGATGCTTGTAATCCCAGCATTTTGGGAGGCCAAGGCAGGTGGATAACTTGAGGTCAGGAGTTTGAGACTAGCCTGGCCAACATGGTGAAACCCCATCTCTACTAAATATACAAAAATTAGCTGGGTGTGGCAGCATGCACTTGTAGTTCTAGCTACTCAGGAGGCTGAGACAAGAGAATCGCTTGAACCTGGGAGATGGAGTGGGTAGTGAGCCAAGATCATGCCACTGCACTCTAGCCTGGGCGACAGAGCTAGACTCAGTCTCAAAAAAAAAAAAAAAAATGATTGCCGGGCACAGTGGCTCATGCCTGTCATCCTAGAACTTCGGGAGGCTGAGGCGGGTGGATCACCTGAAGTCAGGAGTTTGAGACTAGCCTGGCCAATATGGTGAAACTCAGAAGCTGGGTGTGGTGGCGTGCACCTGCAACTCTGGCAACCCTGCAGGCTGAGGCAGGACAATCGCTTGAAGCCGGGAGGCAGAGGTTGCAGTGAGCTGAGATCACACCCCTGCACTCCAGGCTGGGCAACAAGAGCGAAACTCTGTCTCAAAAAAAAAAAAAAAAAAAAAAAAAAGTCAGAATGGATCACAAACCTAAACGTGAGACCTAAACCTAAAGGTAGGCGCTTCTCTTAGAAGAAAACACAGGGATTTGGCGAAGAATTCTTAGATATGACCCAAAAGCATGAGCACCAAAAGAAAAATAGATAAATTAGACTTTACTGAAATTAAAAACGTTTTGCTTCAAATGAAAGGTGGAAAGACAACTCACAAGAGAAAATATTTACAAATCATATATCTGATTAAGGACTTGTATTTAGAATATATAAAGATTACTTAAAGCTGAATTTTAAAAAGACAAATACCCCAATTAAACAATTGGCATTAATTTGAATAGACATTTCTCCAAGGAAGACATCTAAATAGCCAATAAGCACATGAAAAGATGCTGGACAACCTTAGTCATCATGAAAATGCAAATCAAAACCACAATGAAATACCATTTCATACTTCCCAGGAGGGCTAGAATCAAAAAGTCAGATAATGACAATTGTTGATGAGGATGTGGCAAAATTAGAACCCTCATACACTGCTGGTGAAAATGTGAAGTGCGGCTACTTTGGTAAACAGTATGTTTTCCAGTACTCAAAGGATTAAAAAGAGTCACCTTATGACCCAGCATTTTCACTCTTACGGATATACCCATGAAAAATGGAAACACATCCACATAAAAACTTGTGTATGAAAGTTCACAGCAGCATTATTCACAATAGCCAAAAATATGGAAGCAACCCAAATATTCATCAACCTAGGAATGGATTAAAAAAAGTCATATCCACTGGAAAATTATTCAGCTTTAAAAAGGAATGAAGTACTGGCACATGTTAAAACCTGAGTGAACTTTGAAAAATTATGCTAAGTGAAAGAAGCCAGACAAAAATACCCACATTATATGATTTGATTAGATGAAATGCCCAGAAAAAGCAAATCTATAGAAATAGGAAACAGATTAGTAGTTTCTTAGGGCTATGGCAGGGGAGGAGGAATGGGGACAATGGGAGATCAGAGCTAAAGGGTACAGTGTTTCTATCTGAGATAAGAAAAATGTTCTAAAGCTGACTATGGTGATGGCTGCATATACCTGTGGCTATACTAGAAACTATTGAACTGTACACTTTAAATAAGTAAATTGTATGGTATGTGAAATATATTTCAATAAAACACTTAAAGAAAAAAATTACATATCAGATGAATAAATAAATCTGAATCTTGTAGAATGATGAAGTAAAATGACATTAGAGACAGATGGAACACTATATGCAAAGGCTTTTCAGGTATGATAGGATATGGCATGTTCAGGAAAAGAAGAGAGGTGTGCCTAGATCATGAAAGCGGAATGTAATAATGGTAGGAAACAAGGTTGAGCTCCCATTCAGGAAAGGCCCTAGCATTGCAACCAAAAAAACCTCACCTTTGGGTAGAATGGGGGAAAAACCTCTATTTGAACCCTAAGTATTAGAATGATAATAATATAAGAATACTTTCACAGTGCCCAGATATGCCAAACAAAGTGGAGTTACTGAAAGCAGCCCAGTAAATTAGATAGGGAGAAAAGAAACAGGTATTATGGCTTCTGGGGAAAATTCTGTGCCTGTCCTAACTCTCACGCCCAGGCCACAGTGATACAGGGCTTAAACTAGTTTCCAGTATTAGAAACCAGCTAAGCCATGGTGAGCAGAGGGGCCCTTTGGATCCTGACAGTGGTTATGTTTGCAGGCAAGGGCTTAAAGAATGATCAATTAAGTACCTTCCATAAAGGAGTATGGCCTACTCTAGCTAGCCTCGCTCACATTAGAGCATTGTTTGCTTGGAATATGAGGTCTGAGTCATACCGAAAAGGCAATGGCATGAACCTGATGCTCCACAACTACTTACAAGAAAGTATATACTGGTCATTTTCCAATGCTTTGTAAATTAGGGGACAAAGGTTCCTTCTACAGATGGAGTCACCCTCCAAACTTTTATTTCACTTCTGCCTGTAAGAATAAATCATTAGTAAATCCAGAACCTGGACTATATTTGCATATTTAAATTGATCACTGTCATGCAGCAAATTCCACTGCAAATTTAGGATGAAAATTATTATTTTTCATCAGTTTTGTTTATGAGTATTAAAATAAATATGTAATGATGCCTTTTGGTAAATGAATGAAAAGTTTTCTGGTTATTTAAATTTACTGTACTGTCAAATCAAGAGCAATTTAAGTTGAATGAATGAATCTGCTCAAAACCCTTCAACTCTATTATAAGATTAACTTGACATAGTGGCACAATATAAAAGAAATGCCTTTGTTCTATTGCATCCCTTTTTTTTTGTTAACTAAAAGTAAATTTACAAATTTACTCAAGAGTTGTAATGTGTTTTAAAGTAACAAACAATTGCTGCCATGTCACTAAGCTCTAAAACAGAGACTCTAAACTATAAAATGTTTTGGGAGTTTATGAATGTCATTGAAAACATATGCTGGGGTAGTAGGTTAAAAAGAAATTAAGGACTCATGCCAACATTTTACTTTTCAAGCTTTGGAGTCACACTTCTTGTATGTCCAAAATTTTGCAGGGACAAATCTCAAGATTTTACCTGATTTTATTATTTTTTTAAAAAAAGACAGCTATATGCTCTTTCAGTGAAATAACAATACAATGAAAGTACTAAGAAAATAAACTTTATCATTGTTCTTTAAGAACTGGCATATAAATGTGCCTCTGAGCCAAATAAACATTTTATTATAAACATTTGGTCAGTTTATGCACCATTCTATTGAAACAGGATAAATAGGGACAATCACCATCTCTGTTGACAATACATTGATCTCACATTAATTTGATTGAAGGTGGCTTGCCAACACATCTCACTTTCTCCATTTGAGAGCACTCAGATAAGAAAAACACAGTGATGTTTAGCAGATAGGCTTGGTGACACAATAGAATGCAACTCATTGAAGAAGTGTAATTATAGTGATTACTTCAGAAAAGAGCAGATACACTGATGGGAAGAAGTAAACACTGCCACAGTTACGGGAGCCCAGTTCCCTTTTGGTATAGATACAGGCTTCCCTGACAACACCAACCTAGCAATAAGACTACAGAAAGCTCTCCAAGTTAACAACATAAAAGCACTAAAGGTTAGAAAATGGCATAAGCCAATTTCCCAAAGTGCTGGAACAAAGGCTCTCTCTGTTTTGGGTGAATTCAATATACCAAAGAGATTAGTTAGAGAAGGCCTCCTTCCAAAATTAAAACAAGGTACATACAAACGTCAGAAAAGTATGCCCCAGTGGAATGTAATTGGCAAATGCTTTTTAAAGCTGTTATTTTGATGGTTCTGAAAAATAAGTCATGTGAGCTGTCCCCTTCTTTCAGGTAACAGTCCCTTGAGATTCATTGTAGCTGCAGGGAGGGTTCCTCTCTGCATTAATTAAGCATATATAATCTAATGGCATCAAAGCACCAAAGAACTTTATCATAAAATGACAAAAGCAGGGGAAAATATCACTTCTCATCAGTCCACTAGATTAGAGATATGGACAGAAAGAAAAACAGAGCTTGAAAAGGCCTTCAGAGCTCACCCTTGACTGTCATTCTGCAGACACAGAGACTCCAGCAGGTCTACCACCTGGCCTCAGATCACACAGCTAGTTAGTGAACAAGCCAGACTAGAACTTTAGGCTTCTGACTCCCAGTTCTGTGTTTTTCTTCCATAACCTGATTATTTTTCAGTAACAAACTTTATAAAACAAGAGGGAAAACTATTCATACAAATGTACAATGTGAAAGTTATAAAATACATCAAAAACATTTGAATCATCTTTTTTGATCGCTGTCAGCTCTCTGCGAGGTTGAAATATTTTTATGTTAGATGTATATGTATGTATGTGTAACTATATATGTAGATATGTAAAGAGAGACAAAGTGAGAAGCAAAGCGAAAGAGATATGTAGAGAGACGGAGAGATAAGAAAGACTGTGAGAGCCTCAGAGACAGAGGATAGGAGACAAGGTGTAATAGATAGATTAATAAGTGCAAAAGGCAAAGAACAAGTGGCTGAGAGAGACAAAGACAGACATACAGACATAGACACCCAGGCACATGCAAGCAGGCAGAAAGAAAGACACAGACAGTGAAACCTTAAATGATTTGCAAGGTCAAAGAGCTACTACTTGTCAGAGTTGCCCCCCAAAAAGCCAGTACTGAAATCCAACCCCAGCCCCACTGCCTGCACCCCCACCCTTCCACAAACCACAAGGAAGGCCCCAAACCATCACAAGCAGAGGAGAATTAAAATACAGTACAATTCTTTAATTTTATTTTGGGTTGCTATTCTTCTGTTTTGGGCCCCCATCCCAACTCCCAGCCTCACCTCAGAACAGTATGATTAGAATGGAATGAATGAAATCTTCTTAACAGAATCAAAGCAATGACTATTGTCTAAATAGTTGAAAGAGTCTCTTTTTAAACGATTAGCCAAGTCCTGCCCTGGGAAATAAAATACAAAGAGAACATATCTTTTTCCTGTCATTAGGGATTTAATGACTTTTAAAACATGGGGTTCTTAACCTGAGATTCATGGAAGCATTTGCCTGTGTCTGTAAACCCCTTGTTATTGTATGTAAAATTTAGAGCATGAGTGCGTTTTTCTAGAAAGATTCTCAGAGGTCTCTGAATCAGGAATATCAGGCCACTGCTTTATAATGTAAATCTGTGAAAGGACTAATGGCAATACATACATTTTTTGGTACATCAAAAATTAACTACCTGAATAATTTGGACAAAATTAATAGCTCAATTTAGAAAACCAATGAAAATCAATCATCAGTGCTCCCATACCGTAAACACTTTTGTTTTGAATGCAAAATATTTTCCCATTCTTTTTACTCCAGTAACTTTTAGCTTGCAATTCTATTTATGAAGAGGATGTAAGAAGACGAATTTCATTTTAAAATTTATAAAATAGTCCAGTTTATAACTAGCTTAATTAACGTCTGGGATGATTTGGTCATAACACCAAATTGGTACACTTTAATTTTTTAAAACAAATCCTATATAAAAACATACTGTATTTAATTCAAGTCTATTCTTAATGAGGTACTCTATTCACCAACACTGGAATATACTATATTTTGAAGCTAGACCAGAGGAAATCATCTCATATGTTAATATGTATTGAGTTTCTTGCATGCAAATTAAAATAGAATTATAAAAAGAATTCTCCTGTACTGTCAAAATACAACACAAGCAGGCCCATGGGACCATGTCAAAGAATTAGAAAACCATTACTGTGGTAGCTAGTTTCCAAATGGCCTCCAATGAGCCATACTCCTCAGATATTTTTTAGTCCCTCCCACAGTGTGTCTGAGTCAGACCCTGTTATTCCCTTTCCCCAGCAGAATTCAGCAGAAGACACACTAAGCCAGTTCCAAACTTTCAGTCCTAACAGCTTCGCCTTTTCTGCTTTTGGGGGTCTGACTTTTAATGTGAAGAAGTCTGCCCACCCTGCTGCAGAGGCCACATGGAGAGGTCACATAGAGAGAAAAGGCCCTGAGACTAAGGCAAGAGAGGCCCAGATGTTCCGTGTCCCAGCTGAGCTCAGCCTTCCAGCTGTCCATCTAGGCACCCAGCATTTGAGGGACCACACTGGACATTCCAACACATAAATCCTGTCATGGCTGCAGCCCCAGCCAACGTCATCTTGAGGAATTGCTCATGTGCACCTAGTCAAGGCAAATAATCATGAGAAATTATGAAATGTTATTGTTTTAAGCTACCAAGTTTTGGGGTATTTTGTTTGTTAAGCAGCAATAGATAACCAGAATTGAAGCCAAGGGTAAAATGGCACGAATAGTGAGTTTACAAGAGGAAATTTAGATGATAAAATGTTAGTAACTGAAGCTTATCCCTGCGGAGCATGGAAGAAAAACATTTATTAAGTGCTAACTAATTTGCCCATCACTTATCTCATTAAACCTCAACATTACACTGACAGAGAGTCTGAGTACCATTATTGCCCAGCGTCACACAGCCAGGAAGTGGAAGAGCCAGACTTGGAAGAAAGATTTGATTTCACAGCCTAGATGCGCTCATCCCATTACATTGGAGACTATGCAGAGGGCAGAAGGGAAGGAGAGAGACTGACACATAGAGAAAGGCTTGAAATTTAATTATTTGTGATGAAAACCTTTCTTAAGCATACCTACACTTAAAAAAAAATAGAATAGATGCAGTATTTCCTAACCTGTTTTAATGACTAATCATCATTATTATTGAATCGATATTGTAATGTGCTATAATATAGTGATACACTCAGGGACCTATAGAGCTTACTAGAGTCTATATTCAATGATCCCAAATGCTACATATATTAATTATAGCATATATATAATATTTAACACATAATATATATACTATACACATAAATATATATAGGCATATTTATTTTTAATTCCTTTTTCTGATTTTTTAAAATTATACTTTAAGTTCTGCGACACATGTGCAGAATGTGCAGGTTTTGTTACATAGGTATACACGTGCCAGGTGGTTTGTTGCACTAATCAGTTTGTCATCTACATTAGGTATTTCTCCTAATGCTATCCCTCCCCAGCCCCCAACCCCCAACAGGCCCCAGTGTGAGATGTTCCCCTCCCTGTGTCCATGTGTTCTCATTGTTCAACTCCCACTTATGAGTGAGAACATCGATGTTTGGTTTTCTGCCTTTTTCTGATTTTTATGTATTTTTTGTTTCTCCCTTGCTGTTAGGCTGTGTCCTATCTCTAAGGAGGCATGGAAAGCTGAACCACCAAACTTATGTGATCTTTGTGAAAACAGAAGATTGCTTCTGAGTGAGATACTACAGGGCTTTCCTGTGAACAATGTTCATGAGATTTAGTACATGTGCCTTCTAACATAAAATTTCATGTTTGAGGTAGCTAAACTGCCAGACAAGTACATTCTAAATGAGAAAGTTGCTGTATAGTTACTGAATTCCCTGCAATATTGTGACTTTGTATAGGAGCTAAAGAAATAGTTTCTGTGTTGAGGACAGCCTGATGATTTTCGAATTGGGCTCAATGAGGACCCAGGGCGCTGCAGAAACACAACAAAAAATGTTGGATAGATACTGCAATTAAGTAACGTTCTGCACATACTAAAGACTTAAAATTGTCCTTTCATTGCTTTTATACATTTTATAGTCTGGGTTTCTGAGTTTGACTCAGTGTGCAAGTAAAAAGTTCTACTGATAGGCCGGGTGCGGTGGCTCACGCCTGTATCCCAGCCCTTTGGGAGGCCAAGGCATGTGGATCACGAGATCAGGAGATTGAGACTATCCTGGCTAACACGGTGAAACCCCGTCTCTACTAAAAATACACAAAATTAGCCAGGCGTGGTGGCACACACCTGTAGTCCCAGCTACTCGGTAGGCTGAGGCAGGAGAATCATTTGAACCTGGGAGGTTGCAGTGAGCCGAGATCAAGCCACTGCACTCCAGCCTGAGCGACACAGTGAGACTCCATCTCAAAAAACAAAACAACACAAAAAAAAGTTCAACTGTTCAAATACATTTGAAAATCAGTAATTTAGGAAATGCATTGCAGTTGAGGAGGAGTTACAGAGCTGTGAGATTGTCTGGCAAAGCTACCTTAAATATTTTGCAAAATTTTATGTTCTATATGCAATAAGACATGTAATGCTTTAAAAAATGAGAGCTAACCTTTATTAAAGCAAATTCATATTGTTGATACTCTGCTGGTGGCCACTGTCTGACTCAAAGAGCTACAATATTGGTAGGGCCTCTAAACTCAGTTCATTCTGTTTAGGAGATAAAAGACTTTTGAAAGCAAGTCATTACATCGTGGGCAAATGTATTTATGTTGTACAACACCGTACCATGTTATTGTTAGCACCAAAGCATTCAGCAGGCTAGGGTTGCCCAAGAAGTTTCTAAATGCCAATTTTAAAGGACATAATTTAAGCAAACCTTATACCTAGTAATAATTGCTTCTTTCAAAGTGAACTTAGGATATTCATTGATCAAAATGTGTACAGCTATCTTAAGGACATCTGCAATTACTGTTGTCATACCTCCAGTTAGGAAGTTCAAATGCTTAAAACTTTGTTAATGACTACTTGGATATGTTTGAATGAAGGTCACCTGCCCCTCTATCCGCAGCTCATATACAGCCTTTTGTACACATAGCTCGGGGTCCTTTACAAAGAACACTAATCAAGAACAAAATAACGTTGTAGCAAATAATCTTGTCACAAATTCCATTACACTGTAAAAGCTAAATAAAAAATAACAGCTTTTCTGCCTGTATTTAAAAATTTAGATCACTTAGTGTCAGGCAATTCACATAAGAGAATTCCATAAGAGAGGAAGATGACAGGACCATATCCATTAACCAACACACACACACACACAAACACACACACACACACACACACACACACTTTCACTAAATAAAAATGTTAAGAATCAATCTAGAAAATTAGTATTCTACTTAGGGATAGGATTTTTCTACATAGTTTTAATATATCCTACCAAAAAAAACTAGATAAACTGACTGCTCTGAAGATACCTATGAGCAAATACATTCACCCAAATTTAGGCAATAATAGAGTATTTCTCATTTAAACATTTATACAGTCTAAATTTTTGCTTAGGTTAACCAGCATATGTTCTGCTAAAGAAGTTTATGTAGTTTTTCTTGTTTAAGAAGAAAAGTGTGAATGATTCCCACTCCTATCTGTTGGGCTTCACAAATACACTTTGAACTTCCATAATCTTATTATAATCCATAATTTATCTAAAATGTCTGTATTTGCTGAATAATTTTCCCTGGTTTCCGTCCAAAAAAACAAAACAGAAAAACCCAAAAACCCTCATTTCTAATCATCATTCCTGATTTTTAGGTAAAACAGTAACAACAACCAGAAGTTGTCACTTAGTGCATGCAGGAAATGACCAATTACTATAGCGTGAGGAATACTGTTTACTCCCATTCTTTCACTCATTCAACATCCTTAAAATTTGCCTAACACATGCAGGACAGTGTAAAAATGATTAAGAGAGAAGATTTGGAGCCAGACTTCCAGAGTTTGAATTTTAGCCCTACTACTTACTAATCATATGACCTCTGGTATTATAATTCACCTCTCTGGACCTCAGTTTTTTCCATCTGTAAAGCAGTACCTACCTCATAGGATTATTGTGAAGATTAAATGAGCTCATCCATGTAATGTGCTTCAAATAATGACTGGCATATAATAGGGACTCAATAAATATCACCTCTTTCTATCATAGTTTAGGCCCTGTGTTAGGTATTAGGAATGCAATAGTAAATAAGAATAGGCACATGCTCCACCCATGCTACACATTCACTCTAGTTCTTGAGTTTATGCACTATATACATTTTATAATATATTAAAATATAAGCTTGCCACTTATATGAAAAGACAACGAAAAGACCTTAAAAATGGGGAAATTTTTGAAATTAAAAAAAGTATTTTGGATAACAAATTGAAGGCAATATTTTGCTCTGTTTAAAGTTTAATACATTGTTGTTTCTGTTAAGGGGAAAGTTATGTGACAATAACATTATCAATTTTCTCCAGAAGCCAATTATGGTTTCAGCTTCTTTTGTGATTTATTGATTACTTTAAGGCATTAGTATTAATATTTTAAAGTACTAATGCTAATGTTTTATATCAGAAAGTCATCTATTTTAAGCATACAATTTTAAAATATTTATGTGATCTTAATCTATTCAGGGTAACCCCATCCCCTCACCAATGAATCTCTATCTATACGATGGAAGTCAGTGCAAACAACAACAACAACAAAATATTTTGTGCAACAGGAATTTATTTTACAGGACTTTTTTTAAAAAACTTTTAATTTTAGGTACAGTTTTAGAGACACTTAAAAATTTTTTTATTTCAAAAATAACAGAAAAGCAATAGGATTTTTTAAAAGATCTATGCCCAGTGTCATCTAAGTAATCCCTGGTTCTGGACTTAAGTTTGCATGAATGTTTTGCTAAACTGGAGCAAAGCGCTAATATGAATATAAGGATAATTTGAAAACTAGAGTAGCCAGGCCTCATTTTGAAGAAGTGAGAATCTGGCTTGACCTATGAATGAATAATCTCGAGGATTTGGAGGAAGATGGAAAATAAGAGCTTCCCCATATAATTTTATTAACTATTATTTTTATTTCCCCCTTTCTATCACTGATTTCATTCCATTTCTAGAACTATCATGGAGCTTGCATTTCGGAATCTTGGACAGATTGCTATGCAATATTTAATATACTATATAATTTTATTTGTATTTGAAAGAAGACATTTTGGAATGATCAAAAGTGCTTGTTAAATTGTAATTGTTTATAGGCAAAGAACCTCATGTTATTTGGCTTTAATTTTGATACAGTACTTGGCACCAACTAAGTGCTTAAGAAAAGATACATTATTGATGAAGATGTTGACATACTAATCAGGTTTTCACTCATTTTCAAGACCATCAATGCTGGACCCTAGATCTATTTGTGTAGGGTAGTTGGAACTCTGATCCCACTTTCATTCCTGGTATTATTAACTGGAGTGTTACTCAGTGTTCTATTTAACTTGTAAGCACCAATAAGATCAGGATGAAATGGATTGGGATGTTTCTGTAAAGACGAAGGGGAGAGGCAAGGAAATAAACATCCATTCAGTGCTAGACTCTAGGCCGAGTTATTTTTCATAGGCCAGATTTAAAAATAACTAAAAGAATAGAACTGGATTGTTTATAACACAAAGAAAGGATAATACTAGAGGTGAAGGATACCTCATTTACATGTGTATGCTCGTATCAAAATATCTCATGTATACCATAAATATATACATACCTATTATGTACCCACAGAAATTAAAAAATTTAAAAAAAGAAGTTGTAAATGTGAAAAAAGAGCAAAATGGTGATTTTATTCCCAAAGGAGGAGCGTACCAGTAGGAGACTGACAAACCATAGAGGGCACTTCAGCCCGGGATGGGAAGTTGAAGCAAGGTCCTTTAATGTAAACCACCTTTTATTGTAAGACTTTAAGCTAAAACATTCCCCGTGTTAAAAATGTGTGTTGGTGTGTGTGCATGCATACATGTGTACATACTCAAGAGACGTTTTATTTTATTTTAAGAAATGGTTTTCAAGCTAGTAAATAAATACAGTATTTCGGGCCATGACCTTCTTTGAAGTTGAAGTAGCCAACACTTGACAAACCGTTTGACTTTTGGAAGCAGTTCATATGCCAAATAGTTCCTCAACATTCATTTTACAAACCTCATATACATTAAGCACCTATCTTTGCCAGCTGTCAGAGTTATAGAGAACAATTTCATAACTTCAAGGACCTCAGAGTCCAATGGGACAAGATCACAAATAATTCTCAAACGATGTGCTATGACTCTAAAGGTTTAACAGAAAAAGATGATTAACAACTATACAGCCCATGACAGGTTTTCAATTGACACTGGAAACAACAATCTACACAGTTCAGAAACATCATATATACCACAGCCCTTCTATGTTCCTAGCCCCACCATCAAATTCTACCAGCAGCTTTTGTCACTAATCATATCCTCTTCACTAAAAAGGTAATCACATTTTTATAATTCATGAGTGATTAATCTGTTTTCATACATCATATTGGAAAATCATGTTATATTCCAGACTCCTGAGGCTGATGCTATCTCTCTCCCACATATATCTTAGTTTCTAAGAGAAAAATATGTGGTTTAAGCTCTGATGATTATAAAGTCTAATATAATGGAACATCCACTACACTACATACATAAACACACACACACGCACACACACACACACACACAGAGAGAGAGAGAGAGAGAGAGAGCTCTACATTTGCAAAGATAAGTCCTACTCTAAACACTCCATGCAGAAAAGACATTTCAGTTCCTGCCAATATTCTGGAGGTACTTACAGCATAAGTGGACTGAGCTAGGGAGTCTTTCATTGCTTCTTCAACACCTTTTGTAACAACTATTTTAGCAATGTCAAGTTACAGCAAGGTTAAGAACACTACTTTGAATTAAACGACTGAGATTAGGAATAAGTAGGTTTCCTTTTACAAATAATCAAATACATAACTAGTGTTAACAACCAAATATAATATCTCCCCAAGACTCTTAAGGTTTAAAATAAATGAATCTTTAAGATCATTACTTAGCTAATTAACACTAACCCCTAGTTGCTGACTCTTACTCTTAGAGACATCTAGAGATAATTTTGGAGCTGCAGACATTTTTCCTGGATGCTAATGAATGATAATCTTATCCTGTTTATTGGGTATCAAGAGTTCTAAATAGCCAGGAGCTTTAAGGGAGGCATTGTGACATGTCACTCTAAATTGAGTGAGATTAGAAATGAAACTTTTATGGTCATAACGAAACAGTGAGAAAAATAGGAAGGTATCCTATAAGAGCATAAAACTTGAACAGCTGAAGTTGTGCTCAGAACGTCTAGGTTCTGGAACTAATTCGGCTCCTTTGTTGAGCTGACCAAGGCAGGCCACACTCCTGGAGGGGCTCATCAAACCAAACTTCTGTTGTATGCCATGCCTGAGAAGATTAGATTGCCTCCACCTCCCCAATCAGAAAAACTGGGACACTAGATGTGGCATAAAAGCTTGGGTTAGAAATCTATTGAGGAGTCAGAAGCTAAGCTACTAAATGATTTAAATTGCTTCTAACGGGCATTATTTTCCACTGTTTCATCAATAAGGAAGCAGGCACAGGGGCCTCTGTACTATTTCAGAGGGTGGGAATGCTTTCTGGAGTTAGATTGTCAAGAGCTGCTTTTTAAAATAGCAATACTCTTATCAGAGTAAAACTTGCCTGCTGAGTCAAAAGGAAACTTGGCTTCATCTACCTTTAGAGCCCAGGAAAAATTTAAAATGTAAAGATGCCTGGCATGTTTCCAGCTGTTGGCTACTACAGATACTTTTAAATATCCACTCTTTATTGTTCTGAATGTATATGGAAAACAGATACATATTGTAAATGGAAAACAGAAAGAAGGCCATCTTTATAAGGCCAACAGACTGAAAGCAAACAATAAGAAACCTGTATTTTTCTTTTGTCCTCTGAAGAATGTGACGTTACTGTAGACTCTCCTCCAAGAGAAAAAAAAAAAAAAACAGAAATGGTTGCCAAGGTCTATCTCATTCCTTATGTTAATGAAGGGAAGGACCAAAAAGAAATAATATTTCCAATAAAGACACTGAATCTAGTACTAATTTGATGTCAAGTCCCCACAGATTTTTGTTCAGTTCAATTTGAAGCCATCACAGAACTTTGTTTTAGGAAGCCTCCTCGCTCTCAGCAAATTCAATTAGTAGGGATGATACAATAGGTTCTCTAATGGTACATGACTAGCCTGAAAACCTACGCATTGATGAATTCCAATGAAAAAATCTGGCATACATACCATGCATAGAATGTGTCAGAAGAGGCATATCCTCACATAATGTTGGGGGTGTGTCAAACATCAGAATGTCAGAGGGAGTCTGTGTGTGTGTGTGTGTGTGTGTGTGTGTGTGCATGCACATGAGTATGTTTGGGTAGAGTTTTCCCCAAGTTGTCTGAGTGAAGCTGAAAATTCAAGAGGAATTCTACAGAAGACTCATGTAATTAAAAGAAGCCTAAATGTAACCAGCAACGAGTTCTTCCACTTGGCCAGAGTGTGGTGGTAGGAGGGAGGCAGGATTCCTCATTACACATTTTAGTAGGTCATGCTAAATAGTGTAGAATATAAAAGGAATTATTCATACTTCAATAAAAAGATTTTGCAAATCTGTAATAGATGGTATAGTGCACAATGTATTCAATTTGAGATTCTGAAAATTTTAGATATATATGGTAATTTTGTGATTTGGAAGCTTAAGAATGAAGTGCAAATTGTAGTTAGAGCTCACTTTCCCAGGTTTAATATAAACTTACAAGCTGGGAGCAACGTAACAACACTATTTGCCTATTCCAGGGTTTTCCAGAGAGGCAGGGAACTAGGTAGAAACTACTAAAGGAAAAGAGGGAAGAAAAACTAGAAAACCATCAGCATTAGGACTATTTCATTCTTTTAATAGAAATAATGCCACAACTCTGTTTTTTGGGAGGAATAAGTTGTTGTCTGCGGAATAGATATTACTGGGGTAGTCTTAGGGAGAACATTGCTAGTGGTAGGCAAGTTATTCTTCAAAAAGTAGGGAAACTCTTTACACATCTCACAGGCCTGTCTGTGGGATGTCCAACTCTGTACAGAGGAATTGAGTGCTGGGACCCAGGCTGTGACAACCCAACACATCTGGCCTCCGGGGCACATGGGCAAATCTGGCTGATAACATCCAGTTATCAGCGAATCTTCTTAAGAAACAGCTCTCTCTCTCTCTCTCTCTCTCTCTCTCTCTCTCTCTCTCTCTCGGTCTTAGTCTGTTTGTGTTGGTATAAAGGAATACCTGAAACTAGGTCATTCATTTATAAAGAAAAAGGTTTATTTGACTCACAATTCTGCCAGCTGTACAAGAAGCATGGCACCAGCATCTGCTTCTACTGAGGGCGTCAGGCTGCTTCCACTCATGGTGGGAGGCAAGGGGAGCAGGCATCTGACATGGCAAGAAAGAGAGGGAGCTAGAGAGAGCAAAGGAGATGCCTGGCTTTTTTCAACAAGCAGTTCTCATGGGAACTAAGAGTGAGCACTCACTCTCTCCGGCAAGAATGACACCAAGCCATTCAGGAGGGATCTGCCTGCACAATCCAAACACCTTTCACTAGGATTTACCTCCAACATTGGGGATCAAATTTCAACATGCGATTAGGCAGGGCCAAACAAACCATATCCAAACCACAGTGCTTGTCTTCAGATACCATTAGTGAGAACAGAATGAAGCAACACTTACTAGGAGTATCAGTTCTTTCACCCCTAAATTCCATTATGCTGTGAGTGTTCTTGAACCTTCATCCAACAACTCCTTGTGCCCCACGTAATTGTTTCACAGCCAGAAAGGAGTCAGAACAGCCACATCATCTATACCCACAAAGGAATCTTGCTCTGTTCATCTAACCTTCGAAGTTCATAAATTTCTTCTTTTCTTACTAAATGGTCAGATGTTCTATAGTAATTACAAAAAAAAATTCTAAAAAAAGAAAGAATGATAAATAAGTTCAGAAGATTTACTTAAAAGCCCAAGTTAATTTGTGTCTTTGGAAACAAATTGAAAAACAAGATGATGAAAATCACAATAGTGCAAACCGAGAAGAAATATTTTCTGGAAGAGCCTCTGGAAGAAATTTGAAAGGCACACTGTTCTATTATCATTGCTACTATTTGTTTAATAATTGAGATGAGCTAATATATTCCTCTCAACTGCCAACCTAAACTACTAGAACAATCTGTCCTAAGGAATACCAAATGCATTCTTTAAATGAATCACCAAGGGCAGTGCCATGGTGATCAAACCAGATATTCTTCTGAAGGTGTGATTCAGATACTCATGGGCAGATAGAGCCCTCGAAGGGCTTGGAAATGTATCCAGATTATCCCTAGATATTGAATGAAACCCTAAGTCCCATCAAATGAAACACCATTTTGGGGGGTTAGTCCCAGAGAATCATATCAAGTGGTCTGAAATATTTTGGTCAATTTATGAAGGGATAGACATCAACTGGCTTCTAAAAAGTGAAAGAATAGGCTAACTTTTAAAAAAGTATTTCTTACCAGGGTAATTAGATTATGATTATTTGTTGGGAAACACAAATCAGATGCAACTTTTTTCTTCTTCCCCTGAAGTGGTAGAGATTGTCACCAAAACATGTGGCATGTGCATAGTAAAGAGGCCAGGTGTGGTGGCTTATGCCTGTAATCTCAGCACTTTGGGAGGCTGAGTCCAGAGGATCACTTGAGGCCAGGAGTTCAAGACCAGCCTGGCCAACATAGTGAAACCTCATCTCTACTGAAATAAAAAAATTAGCTAGGCATGGTGGCACAAGCCTGTAATCCCAGTACCTGGGTGGCTGAGGCATGAGAAGAGCTTGAACCCGGGAGGCAGAGGCTGCAATGAGTCAAGATTGCATCACTGCACTCCAGCCTGGGTGACAGAGCAAGACTCTATCTCAAAAAAATAAAAAAAAACAAAAAATAAAAAAAATTAAGGGAAAAAATGACTTATCACAGTCTGATCTTATTGAATAAAAGAAATCAACTCCCTCTTAAGAGATTTGTTATTCTGGGGCCTCTGCATAGCCTAAATATTTCTGTAGTGCTCTATTATTCTGCAAACTTTCATAATAATATTCAATGCTGCATAATGTAATTTAGATGTGAAAGAATTGATGCACCTTGTAAGAGCTCCTTTACTTCCTTCTCATTGATGGTATCTGATCTAATAGGTGGAGAAATGTGCTGAATTGTCACAGCATACATTTCAGTGAGGAAAAAAATCACTACAGCATAGAAATATTTATGGAAGTGCTGACAACATATCAATTAATAATACCTGCAACATACAAAGAGAAAATATTCTATCTTTTACAATTTGAGATAGCCAAGTCAAGACTTAATTTCATACAACCTCCATGTTGCAACACAGCAAATAATTCCACCTCTGGTGGACTATTCAGACTTGACTGAGATTTTGTTAACAGCCCAAGACTGAAAAAGAGCAACAAACTATATATACATATACATATATATATATATACACATATACATATATATGTATACACATATACATATATATGTATACACATATACATATATATGTATACACATATACATATATATGTATACACATATACATATATATGTATATAGATATACATATATATACATATACATATATATGTATACATATATACATATATATATGTATACATATATATATATATATATATATTTTTTTTTTTTTTTTTTTTTTTTTTGAGATGGAGTCTCTGTTGCCCAGGCTGGAGTCCAGTGGCATGATCTTGGCTCACTGCAAACTCCTCCTCCCAGGTTCAAGTGATTCTCCTGCCTCAGCCTCCCAAGTAGCTGGTATTACAGGCGCCCGCCACCACGCCCAGCTAATTTTTGCATTTTTAGTAGAGACAGGGTTTCACCATGTTGGCCAAGCTGGTCTTGAACTCTCGACCTCAGGTGATCCACCTGCTTCAGCCTCCCAAAGTGCTGGAATTACAGGCGTGAGCCACCGCGCCTGGCTAGATTTTTTTAAAACTATGATTACATATTAACTTTAAAATGATTATTTATTTATTATTATTATTATTATTTTTTGAGACAGAGTCTCACTCTGTCACTCAGGATGGAGTGCAGTGATGTGATCTCGGCTCACTGCAACCTCTGCCTACTGGGTTCAAGCGATTCTTCCATCTCAGCCTCCCCAGCAGCTGGAACTACAGGCATGCACCATCACGCCTAATTTTATTTTTGTAGATGGAGTTTCGCTCTCATCACCCAGGCTGGAGTACAATGGTGTGATCTCTGCTCACTGCAACCACTGTCTCCCAGGTTCAAATGATTCTCCTGCCTCAGCCTCCCAAGTAGCTGGGATTAGAAGCACCCGCCACCTTGCCTGGCTAATTTTTGTAGTTTTAGTAGAGATGTCATTTCACCATTGATAAGGTTTGGGTGTGTCCCCACCCAAATGTCAACTTGAATTGTATCTTTCAGAATTCCCATGTGTTGTGGGAGAGACCCAGGGGGAGGTAACTGAATTATGGGAGCCAATCTTTCCCATGCTATTCCCGTGTTAGTGAATAAGTCTCACAAGATCTGATGGGTTTATCAGGGGTTTCTGCTTTTTCTTCTTCCTCATTTTTCTCTTGCTGCCACCATGTAAGAAGTGCCTTTCGCCTCCTGCCATGATTCTGAGGCCTCCCCAGCCATGTGGAACTGTAAGTCCAACTAAACCTCTTTTTCTTCCCAGTCTTGAGTATGTCTTTATCAGCAGCATGAAAACAGACTAACACAGTAAATTAGTACCAGTAGAGTGAGACATTGCTTAAAAGATACCTGAAAATGTGGAAGTGACTTTGGAACTTGGTAACAGGCAGAGGTTGGAAGAGTTTGGAAGGCTTAGAAGACAGGAAAATGTGGGAAAGTTTGGAATTTCTTAGAGACTTGTTGAATGGCTTTGCCCAAAATGGTGATATCAATATTGACAATAAGGTCCAGGCTGAGGTGGTCTCAGAAGGAGATGAGGAACTTGTTGGGAACTGGAGTAAAGGTGAATCTTGTTATGTTTTAGGAAAGAGACTGGTGGCATTTTGTGCCTGCCCTAGAGATCTGTGGAATTTTGAACTTGAGAGATGATTTACCGTATCTGGTGGAAGAAATTACTAAGCAGCAAAGCATTCAGAAGGTGACTTGGCTGCTGTTAAAAGAATTCCATTTCAAAAGGGAAACAGCATAAAAGTTCAGAAAATTTGCAGCCTGGCGATGCAGCAGCAAAGAAAAACTCATCTTTTGAGGAGAAATTCAAGCTGCAGAAATTTGCATAAGTAGCTAGGAGCCTAATGTTAATCCCCAAGACCACGGGGAAAATGTCTCCAGGCCATGTCAGAGACCTTCAGAGCAGCCCCTCCCATCACAGGCCCAGAGGCTGAAGAGGAAGAGGTGGTTCTGGGGGCCGGGCCCAGGGTCCCAGTGCTGGGTGCAGCCTAGGGACTTGGTGCCTGCCCTGTGTCCCAGCTGCTCCAGCCAGGGGTGGAATGATATGGTTTGGCTGTGTCCCCACACAAATCTCAACTTGAATTTTATCTCCCAGAATTCCCCCTGTTGTCAGAGGGACCTGAATCGGGGGAGGTAACTGAATCATGGGGGCTGGTCTTTGCTGTGCTATTATTGTGATAGTGAATTAAGTCTCATGAGATCTGATGGATTTATCAGGGATTTCTGCTTTTGCTTCTTCCTCATTTTTCTCTTGCTGCCACCACATAAGAAGTGACTTTCACCTCCTGCCATGCTTCTGAGGGCTCCCCAGCCATGTGGAACTGTAAGTCCAATTAAACCTCTTTTTCTTCCCAGTCTTGGTATGTCTTTGTCAGCAGCTTGAAAACGAACTAATACAACGATGTTGGCCAGGCTGTTCACTGGCTAATTTTTTTTGGTATTTTTTGGTAGAGATGGGGTTTCACCATGTTGGCCAGCCTGGTCTCAAACTCCTGACCTCAGATGATCCACCTGCCTTGACCTCCCAAAGTGCTGGGATTACAGGCGTGATCGACCGCACCTGGCCTAAAAAATAATGTTGGTTTTTTTTTTTTGAAGACTAAGTATATTGTTGAAGAATAAGTTAGCAAGCTCTGGAAGAACCGTTCTGAATTGTAGATGTCAGGTTGTTTTTGTTTGTTTGTTTGTTTGTTTTTTGAGACGGAGTTTTGCTCTTGTTGCCCAGGCTGGAATGCAATGGCATGATCTCAGCTCACCGCAACCTCTGCCTCCCGGGTTCAAGGGATTCTCCTGCCTCAGTCTCCCAAGTAGCTAGGAATACAGGTGCCCACCGCCACACCTGGCTAATTTTGTATTTTTAGTAGAGACGGGGTTTCTCCGTGTTAGTCAGGCTGGTCTCAAACTCCCAACCTCAGGTGATCTGCAGTTATTTTAAAAAGGATAGTCTGCCGGGCACGGTGGCTCACACCTGTAATCCCAGTACTTTGGGAGGCTGAGGTGGGCAGATCACCTGAGGTCAGGAATTCGAGACCAGCCTGACCAACATGGAGAAACCCCATCTCTACTAAAAATACAAAATTAGTTGGGTGTGGTGGCACATGCCTGTAATCCCAGCTACTCAGGAGGCTGAGGCAGGAGAATTGCTTGAACCCGGGAGGCGGAGGTTGCAGTGAGCTGAGATCATGCCATTGCACTCCAGCCTGGGAAACAAGAACGAAACTCCATCTCCAAAAGAAAAGAAAAGAAAAAAAAAAGATAGTTTACTCTTTGGCCAGTAAACAAAATGACGACTTACGAGTTTTAACAAAGATAGTTTAAAGACTAAACACAACTTGGTGAACCCCAGTACTACTATTGATTAGTTTTCTGTCTTTGGGCAGTTAGTGGCTCTATACTCATCCTGAAAATGGGTGTAATTGTAGGTATGTGTGTGTCTATGGTAAGGGATAGGCTGGAGGCTGGATGTGATCAGGACTGAGGATGTAGATGAGGCAAGTGGGTCTTATAAAGGAATGGATCCCCAGGAGTCTGTATTAAGTAGACTTGAAGTCCCTCCTACCCCCCTTTAAAAAGTAAAAAGAACAATGACAGTTGAAGATCGTTCTGTTGTTAATCGTTCCTTTCTTTATAGTGTCTCCTTCAGCTGGCTTCCAAAGCTGCTTCATCTATGATCCTCTTCTCCAGTTATACAGATGCTGAATACTTTTGTACATTTCCATAGACTTACATACCTGAAAGGTTATCTAAGATTCTTATTGTTTATTAAATTCTAGTATATATATTTTATGGTTTACTTAAAATTTTACTGATACAAAACTCTAGCCAGCCAGCCATTAGTTCTTTCCCCGTCTATTTATTAATCATAGGTATTTTTCCAGAACAGTCTTAATTCTACTGATTTTATTTATAAGGGCAGCCAGTAGTAAAGCATCATTTCTTTTCCTGTTCTCCTATATTTAAACCAGCTCTAAATCTACTCGTAGGCCAGAGATTCAACTCAGGTTCATGAAACAGCGCTGCCCTAGCAAAAATCTACTAAACCTATCTTTAATCTTCAGGAAAGTTTAACTGTTACTCCAGATTTAAAAATTAAGCTATGTGAGTCAACACTCTAGCCACAAAAATGCAACAAGCAACAGATTTCCTTCAAATGAATTTGCTATTTCGTAGTTAGTTCAACAAACCAATAACGTGGGTTCTAACATTGCGTCACACCAGTACTATGGTCTGTTGATATTTACATGAAGATACCCTGGAAGTAAATTGTAAACAACTCCCCAATCTAAGCTGACTGTCTCCTGTGTGGAAACTGTTTCCCCAATGGGCTGGTGAAATGAACTATAGTTTTGTATAGTAATTCAGAAGATAATTGATTATTTGCCAAGAGTCTGTTTGTGAGTTGCCACTTATTATTATTTTTTTATCCACTCCAGGGACACATTTTCAATTTCACAGTCTTTTGCACATTGTGGACAGTGCTGTTTAATTTCTTAAAGGAAAGTGCACATTCTCTTTCTATTGTCGTTAGACTAGTGGCTCTCAAAGAGCAGGCAGGGACTATATATCCAGGGAGTAAATGCCTAGGCTCACATTTGCATGCTCACTCCATCCATAGCCTTGCGGCTTAAGAGGGAATTAAGGAAGAGCCATTCTTCATGTAAGAAAGGACACCTTTGTGTCTCACAATCTTAGATGTTCTGAGGGATAGTAAACATTCTTGAAGATATTACTCTTTAATTGTTTATGGATTATTCCTATTTTACTGTTAAAACATGAGTTTTTAGCAGAGTTAGGGAAAATTTTGTCAGGAAACAGTTGTTTTCCTCCTACAGACTAACATTCCTGCAGGCAATGCAGCAAATTAACCAATATAAATGTTTCCTTCAAAACACAGAAATCTTTTATCTATTTAGGGACAGATCACACAATATAACATGCTGAACTATTTCTATTAAGCCCAAAGATGACAAAAAAATTGAAAAGAATAAATCCATTATAAAGAATTCATATCTGCTGCTTTGTGAGCAATCTATAATACACCGTATTGTGCAAACTATAGGAGATGATGACCTAACAATACAGAATGTAGAGAGGGCTTTTGACAACAGAAAATCATAAGAGAGTATCATTTAATGGAGAGTGAAAAAAAATGATCCTGGATTCTTTTTCCCCCTTTATTTGTTGTATCACTTTGTAAAACCTCTCTATGCCTTGCTCTCTTCATCAGAAAAATGAGACCTATGGTTTTATTTTTACAAAGTGCTTTAGGATTTAGGAGAACCCAGAATGTATTATATGATGAAAGCCACCATGGTGCATGTCACATGACTATGGCAGAAAAGGAACCAAAAGCAAAACATGAATCAGCAATGAACACTCATTTTGTTTGTTTAAAACCCCAGGATGTGCAAATATATGTCAGAGCTGAAGTTGACCCTCTTCCTTTACAATCACATATTACTCTATCAGATTCTGGTTTTGAAACCTGAGTTTGGTAGAAAGAATATGGATGCAGGAAGGAGTAAAGGACAGGAGTAAGAGGGTTTCTCTCAAGCAAACCCCAAGTCACTAGGGGTGTCACCAACAGCTTCACTAACAATCCCCTAAAGGACCAGAGACAGAGGGCATTATTAGCCTTGCTTCTTCGCCTTCCTCAAGCATTCCTTTATTCCCCCAAAGGATTATACATTGACAGGGCAAATCAACAAAGCAGAAGCTGTCTCCTCCAACTGTCCAAAGTTATATGGGTTTTTAGAACCATAGGAGAGTCAGAATTGGGAATAATACGGACCATTACATTGAGGGGTAGGTCAAGATGATATATTAGAAGCTAGGAGTTCTAGGCTCCAATGCTTATTCCAATATTAATTTACTGCATTACTTTCAACAAACCAAACTCTCTGGACCTCTATTTTCTCAACTGACACTGAGGGCAAGGAAGGTAGAGAATTAGTTTAAATGATCTCCTTTTAAGACCTAGAATTCTGTTATTCTTTGAGTACATGGTTAATGACCCAGTGGAACCCAAGAACCATGTCTTGTGGATAAAAATATCAAGGTAATTTTCTAATCCAACTCTGGTATCAGGATGACAGAAATGAGGACACAAAGCCTCAAAGAAGTACCATAATCACACAGCTAGTGGCAAAATCAGAATTTGACTTTGGGGTTTGAACATAAATTTGGATATACCCCAGAAGATTTCCTGTAAATTTTCTGACTTGAGAAGTCTAAAACCAAATTCACTAAAAAAAAAAAAATTGAGACTCATGCACAATGGCTATATATTTATGTGTGTGTATGTGTATATATATATATGTATAAAAATGTACAAAATATAATCAATGTATACCGTATTTATCAAATGAATGCTATTCCCATCTGAGCCTGTTTTCCTTTCTGTATTCTCTATTTTTGGTTAGTGTCACCCCAGAGGCATAGTTTCCAGAAATAGAAGGCCTGTTATCAGTCCCTCTCATTCATCCCACTCTGAACCACTCTGCATTCACACAGACTCACCAATACAACTGATTTCATCTCTGACTTCTTTCGCCATTCTACATTCTTTCTTTATCCCCAACATGTTTGTATCATTTAGGTCTTCATCTATTGCTTCACCTGTTCTCTCCTAACTGGCCTAACTGGTTTCCTTTCTTCTGAATCCCTTTTCCATACTATCCCCACAAAAAAAAAAAAAAAACTTTTCTAAAATAAAAATGTAAACATATCTTTGACCTGCTTGAAATCTGTCAACATTCATTAGTTTACCCACAGGAGGAAGTCTAAGCTTCCTAGTGGGAAAAATTAAACCCCTTCTGTCCAAGGCCTGCATTTCCAGCTCCATTCCCTCCATTCCCACTTAACATCCCATGTTTCTGTAAGAACAAATGTTTGCAGTTATTCCTCAAGTACTGCATACCACTGTGCCTTGGCATATGCTAGTATCTCAGTCTGGAAGTCCCTAATCCTTTCCCATTGTTTACTTGAAAAATCTTATTCGTCTTTTAAAACCCAAATAATTCATTCCTCTACTGGGCTTCATCCAACTCTACATTCCCCTTGGGATTAATCATATCCTGTTCTAGGCAGCTTCTGTACTTTGGACAGGGTTCCACTGCTGCGTTCTTCACACTGTGCTGTAACTGTTTATTTGTATGCCTTCCTCCCTCACAAGACTCTGAAACCTTGAGGGCAGGAACTGCATCTTCATCATCTCTGCATCCCTAGCGCAGAGCCTGGAATATAGATATGTGTGTACGTCTTTGAATAAGTAAATAAACAAGCAAACATTCATTCACTCAACACCTGTTTTATTCAATGTCTCACAGAGTTCAAGGAAAGAGAACACCCCTACCTCCAACCCCCCCCCCCAAAAAACCCTCCACAAGTAACAAACAAGAAAAATATCTGATAGGGATATGAGCTACCTGGATACTTAAATTGGTATAATAGAATGGAGAATGACTGGGTGTCTATAGTGGTTCACATTAGCAGAAAAGTCATCTTCCAACCCATGAATGACAAAGACTGTCTCACATTGGGACCCAAACAAATAGTATTTAAAGACACCATGGGGCTAAAGGAAAGCACCTAGGGAGAGCATGTAGATTAAAAAAGAAGGGTCAAGCCCTGGGAGCCCCTATAACATAAAGTTCAAACTGAAGAAGAACCAGTAAAGGATACCAAGAAGAAAACCAGGAGACTGTGATCACCCAAACTAAGAGAAGAAACTATTTGAAGAAGGAGACAGTGGTCAACTTTGTTGGACCCTGGTAGAAGCTCAAATAAGATAAAATATTCAATTTGCCACATGCAGGACAGTGAGTGGTGAGCTGGATAAAGGCTTTAGGAGTTGAGATAGGAATGAAAGCCTGATTTGAATTGAATTCCATCTCTTCATAAGAAATCATGAAAGTATATTACATGGTAATAAAACACATTTTCCCCCTCTCTGTCCAGTTAAAGCAAAGTTTTAAATAGGTAAAACTTATAAGAGATGTAGTAGGCCAGGCGCAGTGGCTCACGCCTGTAATCCCAGCACTTTGGGAGGCTGAGGCGGGCAGATCACGAGGTCAGGAGATTGAGACCATCCTGGCTAACACGGTGAAACCCCGTCTCTACTAAAAAATACAAAAAATTAGCCGGGCGTGGTGGCGGGCGCCTGTAGTCCCAGCTACTCGGGAGGCTGAGGTGGGAGAATGGCGTGAACCCGGGAGGCGGAGCTTGCAGTGAGCAGAGATCGTGCCACTGCACTCCAGCCTGGGTGACAGAGTGAGACTCCATCTCAAAAGAAAAAAAAGAAAAAAGACATTTAGTATAGATTTCAGGAAGAATTTCTTAGCATAATTAAGAAAAAAAGGAATATATATATATATATATATACACTATAAATTCTTATTATATAAAGGAAAGATATTCATCCTGCTGTAAGTATTAATTTGATAACTCCTTTTACTCATTTATATTTTCTCAACTGAAAAAAAGTTGGCCCCCCAAAATATGGAGTGCATTTCTTAAAAATCTACATAACTAATAACAACTAAACAAACACTACTTCAGCGTTTTGTTTTGTTTAAGAAAGGGTCTCACTCAGTCGCCCAGGCTGGTGTGCAGTGGCCCAATTACAACTCACTGCAGCCTTCAACCTCTCAGGCTCAAGTGATCCTCCTGGCTCATCCTCCTGAGTAGCTGGGACTACAGGCGCATGCCACCATGCCCAGCTAATATTTGCATTTTGTATTTGTTGAGACAGGGTCTTCCTATGTTGCCCAGGCTTACTTCAGCTTCCAGAAACCAATAAATAAGAATGCATTTCTATCCTTTACATCTTACATATAAATAAGAAATACGTATTTGACTTCATACATATTGTCTGAATAAACCTCTAATTTTTATATTTGTGGATTAGAAAGGAAACCATTTAAAAATCTGTAGATTAAAGATAAGATGAAATGGCACAGTCTATAATCAAACTTTCAGTCACAGCAAAGCTGAATAAAACAATTTCTTTTTACAAATTCTACGTCTTCAGTTGCTCTTGTGGCTTTCTTCCAAAGAGATGACAAAGAGTTCACAAGTCATAATCTGCCAAACAAACTCCCAAAGAAATGAAACTTAATATACGTCAAGATGTTAGCCTCTATTTCCCTAGTGACAATAAAATTCTTTATTCTCTTCTAATTGCTGAGGACTTCTATGATTAAAAATGATTATCCTTAGAACATGGGTAAGTAGGATTTAATAGAAAAGTTAACTTAAATTCTCGATCGTAACCTACTAATGGTTACAGAAGCATTGATGCCCACTCTTCCAAGGACCAAAAGATATTTAAACATTTTTACATCAATGAAGTATCTAAATAAAAAACAAGAATTAATATTACAAGATTTATGTTTTTTATTATATAGAAAAAGATGTGCAAGAAGGTAATTCTGATGGACAGCAAGCTCAGCTTTAGCAAAACTAGAGTGATCTGCTTGGGTACATCACAATAACTATAATGATATTAGAATAAATGTGATCCTTTTTAAATTTTAGCTGCCACAAAGCATTATGTCAAATACTAAAGTGATGCTGTGTTAATACTACAGCACACAATGTGGCTGGCAACTTTGAGTTAGAATAATAGAGTGAGAGAGGTTTTTTAAATGAGTGTTGGTCACTTAGAAGTAAAAAAACAAACCCCCCACAACAAAGAAACAAGTACCTTAACAGTGCAAAATAGCTACCCACTGGAGTTAGTGGTAAGTATATAGTGCAATGAAGTCATCAACTAAACAGCATGTAGTGCTATATGAACATAGATTTCTGAGTCCAGATCTGTCTATGTTTATTTAAACAGCCTCACATTCAAATTCTAATTATTCTACATGTCATCTTTTCCAGTGTTTAGCTTATCGATAGCTTACTTATAAAAGTCTGCTTTTTAAAAAATTTTAGTTGACAAATAAAAATTATGTATATTTATGCAGTATGACATCATGTCTTGGTCGATGTATATATTGTAGAAAGATTTAATCAGGCTAGTTAACATACTTGTCACCTCACCAACTTATTAAAAGTCTAGCTTTTAAATTCATCCACAATGTATATTTATTTTGTAATGAATGAAGTATTCTCAGCAATTTAATATCTTCCTCAAAATACATTAAACACCTGATCTAAAGCAGTTCTTTTGATATATATGCACAATACATAAAACAAATTTGGCAAAGAGAAAAAAAGACATTAGCCTTTACGACAAGACTGTTGTCTGTATTTCTGTTTATTTTTGGAGAGTCCTTTTTAAAGAATACTGTTGGTTTGTTTTAGGAGCATAATTAGCTCATCAATAATATTTAACCAACCATAGCATCAAGATCAGTCTGGAACTGGAACTACTATATAACACGGTGATTCCCATTATCTATCCAGCTGGCGTGACTTGGCAAACAGTATTTTACAAGATATTGCACCAGCTTGTGATCGCCCAGAGATGCAATGTGCCCACTTTCTATGAGTGCTGAAGGTGTGGCATGTAACCTCTGTTAGCTGCCATCATCCATTTGCTACACTCTCTCAATTGGCAAATATTCCATGTGTAGCACAGTTGAGGAGGTTTTATAAATACAAGGCAGCAAAAACAAAAAGCATAGATAAAAAGGAATCAACCTCTGTGGCATACTAACCATTTAGGGAAGTTGAAGAGATCATGCAGAAGAATCTAAACATGCAGAAAAGGGACTCACGATCATGGAAATACATCTTAAGCATTTGGGGTGGGAGGTATGTATATTCTGAACTCAGAGCTCTACACAGTGATATCTTGGGACAAACTACGCTATCCTTTGCCTCCTGATTTAATAAAAAATTGGTAGATTTACAGTCATTTACAGAGCTACCCCTCACTGGTCTGTGATCAGTCAACATATTAATAACTGAAAGATAACTCACAAAATTACCCATGTAGTTTAAAAAATTGATTACCCATAAACATTTTCCAGAAAGTAACCAAAAATCAAAATTTCACTTTTCTAGGTTTTCTTGCAGTTTTTTGTAACTAGAGAGGATTTTTACTATAAGCCAAACACCCATAAAAATGTGTTAAGTCCTATAAAACATCAAATAATTACAGCTTCTGATTCACATTAAAAAGCAGGGGCTGATATCAAGTCACAAAATAGGTGAGTATTAACATGACAAGGATATGAAACATGCATGTAATAATTCTGAAGTTTTCATCATGACTTATCTCAGATAAATTTAGTATAATCTCTTCATAACTCTGTGAGTCATTGGCCAACTCATTACTATAATATAATCAATATATTATTGAGATGGAAATATCCTGGCAATATGGCAAGGCTCTAGAAATGCCAGTTTCTAAATTGATGTCAAAGTATTACACATGTGTCATAAACGGCTAACAAAGGGATGCCAAATCATCCCTGTTGCTGAGATAATTGTTTTACTTTGAAGTTTCTCAAGATCTATTGTGTTAGTTCCCAGGTCAGAGCTATCTGCCTCTCCTCTGTCCATTTTTTCCCCTCATTCTTCAATCACAATGTAGAATTAGAAAACTATTTGACAATTAGATAACAAGTTATTTCAATGGCTCTAAAAAAAAAAAAAAACTACTTCGTTGATTTTGTTAAAAGAAGAATCCTTGATTTCCTTGCTAAGATTTACTGAGGAAACTGGGTATATTGTGTAACTCTATGATATAAGCTTCAGAAAGCTAGGAGACTAAAGGATGAGGTTGGGGCACATGTTTATAGGATGAAGTGCCCCTATTAAGAATCTATGAGAAAGGCTTTCATGCCTTAGTTACATTTTCTGTCTCCTCCAATTAGACTCCTCCAATGCTACTGAAGGGCTTTAGTACAGTGCTCTGCACACAATAGGTGCTTCACAGATATTTGCAGAATGATTTATTGAGGAGGAATCCATAGATGATCTCACAGAAATTCAAGGAAAAATCTACTATGTGAAAAACAAAGTGCCGATTCCATGCTTCAATTCCATGATTCTGGCAGCCAGCATAACAAAACAGCCACAACAATAACAAGAAAAAAAAGCCACGATGATGTTTAGAAGTTAACTTTAAACTCTTCTGTTGTTCATAGAGTCATATGTATATTTTCTCTCCTGGGTGCAGAGTCCTTAGTTCAGTGTCTTTTGAGAAAACTGTAAAGACACACATGCACACTCTGACTTACTCTCTCTTATTTTGCACATTTATTTGAATGAGATGTATTTTACCTTAATTTCTTTAAATGGCCATTTCTGTAACTTTCCAAAGAGGAAAGAGATATAGTGAAGTGCAATAGGGGACCAAAAAGTTACATTTTACATTATTGATGTATCTTTAATGCCAGTGCATATCTCGTTAGACTTTCTGATCAGAAAATGTAAGTATGTGTGTGAGGATAGGAACTGAGCAGCTTACGACAGAAAAATATTATTCAAAATAAAAAGACATCCCTTATTTAGAAGGGATGCCAGTAGGAAGCTTTTAAAATTAACTTGCCCTAAATGTGGAGCCTTGGAATTGGATCTGCAAAGTGTAAATAAACACCTACCTTGAGATGTGGGATTCATTTGAGGATTTCTTCAAATGGAAACATACTTGCGAGACACTGGGTCCCTGAGGGAAGAAAGCTATAGAAACAGGTTTCATTTTTACTGTTTCCTGTAGTAAGTTGAATCTGACAGCTGATTCTCTTCTGGACAAGGCAAAATTTTTAAGCCAAGAATATAAACATAGTCAATTTTTCTGTTTTTGTTTTATCCTAGATGGTGCCTTATTCCAAGATTTCAGTGTACAATGCTCAAGTTCAGTGAACTTTCCAAGATTACTATGCATTTCCCAAGGAGAAGAGACATACAAAAATTACTCTGCCAATTACATATGCTAGTTTCATTAATACCTTCATTTAATTGACTGGGATTTATGAAAGATCTAGTAATGAAGCCATACTGTGCCATAACTTATCCCACCTTGCAAGAAGAAAACGGAAGCTCAGATGGATTAAAACTATATGCTCTCTGGGGCAGGGACGGGGTCTGTTTTGTTCTTCAGTGTATTTTCATGGCCCTACACAGTGTAGTGTGGTGGTAATAGAGCACAGCCATTTGGAGCTCAGTGTCTGGAGTCAGACAGACCTGGCTTGGGGCAGAAGCCTCAGGTGAGGAAACAGGTTAGGCTTTAAAAATAAAGACTTAAAGGTGAACATGTATTACAGGTAATATCTCAGTTTCCTCACCTCTTAAAATGATATGAATATCTAATAAAGTGTTGGATAATGAAATAATACATGTAATGTGATCAAATAGTGTCTGTTACATAGCTAACATTTATTAATAAAATTCTCATCATTATCCTTATCTGGCACTTGGCATCATTATAAAATGAATGGCTGAATGCAGCTATTATACACAAAATCAGAACCCTGGTTTTCTCACTTCTCTCTCAGTACTCACCTCCCTTACATGATACTATACATGTAATTGGAAGTTACCTGAAAAGATTGATGAATTTAGTTTTACTAACTCCAATTTAGTATCTCTTGCAGGCAGGTGGGAGGGAGGAGCTTTCCATACTTATGTTTTGTGCCAGCTGAATGTGCGTGTGTGCGTGCGTGTGTGTTTTACAGTTTTTGTTGTGTTTTGTTTTACACAAATGAATTACGCTTTTCTAATGTAGAGATCTGCTTCTGAGCTAATGCCCTATTTCATGACTTCGTCACTATTTGCAGCTTTCTAGAAATGCTATTGCTGGGATTCCCAGCCTGAAGAGTTTTATATAGAGAAAAACATGGACAAAGATAATTCTGGTCTAAAGCTGTTTTCAGTCTTGCACTGCCAATTATATTAACTGTCTTCAAGAAGACACACTGAAATTAAAATGGCAAATTTAACTCAGACTTACAGTAATGTAGGCAATCATTTAATTTCACAAAACTGAAATGATTTGGGGGCTGTGGTGAAAATATTTTGAAGGATACCATAAAGTGGAAGCAAATTTAATTTTTTATATAAGCAAATCTTGAAGTAGGAGTGAGGAATTCTATAGGCAACTAAATCTTTGAAAATAATAATGCAGTTTTTGGATTTCTTTAGTGCCTTCTTCCTCCAAAGAATTGCATGATCATCACATGTATGGTTGCTCTTTACAACATTCTTGACAAAAAAAAAATAGTAAGAGTTCAATGACTTTTTTTCCCACAGAAAAGGTGAGGCATTGAGTATTTAAATGGCTTTCTGAGAAGAAGTATGGTTAGCTCATAGGTGGAACTTGAACCTTTGATTAGAATCTACTAGCTCTGACAAATTTAAAGTAACATCTAAATATGACCCTTTAGGAATACTTCTAAAACCTGTTCACATTTAAGTCTTTATCTATGAAAGTATTTAGATGAAATCTTAGAAAATTATGTAATGTACAGACAATGGATTTTTTCCATGCCACATTTGAGTTAACATAGTTTCTTCTTATTGATCCAAAAGATTTGAAGTAATATTAACAGAAGTGGATGTAATAGGGCCTGGATAAACTCTAATTTCCCCCTTTTCTTGTCACTTCTTCCATGTCCCTTGTTTTTAATTGCTCTGTTTAATCAAGAGAGTATATTGTTTTTGTTCTTGTTTTGCAAGATCTGACACACAGATCATGTCTGTAACAACCTGGAATACGTGACATCACACACATAGGAAAAAACTGTGGCCCTAACTACTCAGAATCTAGAATTTCTTATCACAGACTAGTGATTCTTAAAGTGTAGTCCCTGGACCAGCAGCAACAGCATCACTGGGGAAACTGTTAGAAATGCAAATTCAGAGCCCTAGAGATCTACTGAATCAGAAATTCTGGGTTGTAGCCCAACAATCTGTACTTTAACAAGTCTTCTGGGTGACTCTAATGCATGCAAAGCTTGAGAATCGCTGACCCAGACTCAGAGCTTCTTGATCCAGATATCTGCATGTGCGCATGCCCAGCCCTTGTGTTTCTAGCATAATTCTTTTTCTACTTGCCAAGTCCCTTTACTTGAATGTCTTTTCTTTTCTTTCTTTCTTTTTTTTTTTTTTTTTTTTTTTGTACAAGCATGTCAGCCTCTTCTTTTCAATTGTATGGAAACACTGCACTTTTATGTGGGAGGACAGAAGATGAGTAGGATTCATCATATATAATATATATACATCATATATAATATATATATAATTTTAAAATATTCACTTAAGGCTCCTTTTACCAAAATGCCTCAGTGGCACAGGAATCTTGTACCGCAAAGCAAATACCTGGGAGAGCTGGAGGGAGGGGTGGGGTGTTTTGTACAAAATGAAAGGGTATCAACAAGCATGGCCTACAAGATCATTGTGACTTCAGTATTTAGAAATGTAGTTGTCAATTTATTTTTAATTATTTTAATCCTCAATGCCAGTGTGGAATCAAATTGCCATTTACAATAATAGAAGACTTAAGTCTGAATCCGTAAATAAGGCATGCTGTGGAGTACACATATGAATTCCTTTTTTTGCTTAAATTCATTACATAATGTTTCTGAAACTTGAGTAATCTATAAATTCATTTTCAAAGGAAAAATTATTTTGAAACTAATACTAGTTACAGACCCAGTGCCTAGATGGAAAAACAATGTTTTAAAAAATTAGAGTTCTTCTATAAAAAGTGTTTTTAATTGGAAATTTCTCTATCAAAGAAAACTTTTATGTTTATTCGTACAAAATGTATTTTAATTCACTAAAATGAAAATATATAATTAAAACATCTCATGGATTCCTGGAATATATATATATATATATATATATATATATATATATATATATATATATAACTAGAGTCTGTGCACCCGAATCTGAGAAACATAGTTTTATACTAATCTAAACCATACCTCTGAATTCTAAAAAGCATCTAAAGTAAAAGTGAAATGTGTGACCAAGAATATTAAAATAATAAATGTCATTTTGTAACAACTATCAGAAAACTTGAAAAGTATTTCAGTTCATATTTTGAAGCTGATAAATATCAGCTCTGTGGTTAAGTTTGTCTTAAAACTCAAATACCCAATTTTATTTACACAGATAGCCAAAGTCATCTGTTAGCCTGAAACATATCTGAACAGTACCTGAAGTCATCCTTTTGAGAGCCCTTTACCTGTACTATCCAAGATATGTACCTCATCACAATTTAGAGGATATTCAGAAATGGAAATTCCATAGTTTATAATACAAAAAAGAATTAGCACTCAAAATATGTATGCAAGGAAATATTAATAAAGGCAGTAACTGATAACATGTACATACCCAAGGGATAATATATTTCAATGAAAGGAGGGAGGGATAGCTTTCAAACTCTCACAGTGTCACCCACTCTGCTTATGTGCTAAACTTTGTTGACAGCAACAATATCCTTGTTGACTCTTGCACGTGTACTTTAAGCCAAACAATCTGTCTCAAGAAGGATGTGAACCATCAAGTTTGCAGAATGGGCATGGCTCTGCCAGATTTTATCTATCTGAAAGATGATATGGCTTATTCCCTGCATGGAATAGGAAATAAAAGGTGTAAAATAGGAAGCTCTACTGTTTCAAAGTTTCATTTGGGTTTCTGTGGATTCCTAAGCAAGACATGCAAATAGGTAAACATAACTACCCATAACATCCAAGCAAATATGAACAATTTTATCCCAAATACCTTAACCCCACTGACTTCTCAATTAGCACAGAATTCAGGGCTGCAATGGTGTAAATGGTCTGTCTACATTTGTTCTGTCCAATATAGCAGCCACTGGCCACATGTGTCTAGTGAGTACTTGAAATGTGGCTACTGCAAATTAGGAACTGAATCTTTTATTTTATTAATTTAAACAAATTTAAATAGCCACATGAGGCTAGTGGCTACTATGCTGGACAGCAGAGAAGCTAATCTTTTTTAAAACATGATTTCCTACATTTTCCTTTACTTTTATTAGGCTATTCTGATATTAAAATAACTTCTTATTTAAAAAAGGATTCTTTCAAATTAAATTCTCTTTTTTTATTCAAAATCATTTTCTTTTGTTTTGTGTTCTACTCAGTGACATACTTGTGAAAGCCTTTTGAAACAATTTTCAGAAAGCCTGACACTGTTGTCTTTGTTGAGCTAGGTAACTTTAAGTCACTTAGACATTTTAACCTTTCCTATCTTTTACTTTCCCTGCTCTTTTCCATATTCCTCAACTTTCTAGATATGTGAAGCCAAAATAAGATGCAATATATACTGAATAACGCAATGGGGTTGTGTGGAAGAGGAGGAAGGAGAGTGACCTTTTAAGAATAGTTTTAAATTTTGAGAAAAGCTGAAAAGATAGTAGAGTTGCTATATATCCTACACCCAATTCCCTCTATTTTTAACATCTTACATTACTTCAATATGGTGCATTAGCACAACCAATGAACCAATACCAATACACTATTGTCAACTAAAGTTAATATTTTATTCGAATTTCCTTAGTTGTTACCCAGTATTCCTTTTCTGTCCCAGAATCATCTCATCCAGAATACCACAGTGCTTTAAGTTGACATGTCTTTTTTTTTCTTTTTTCTTTTGTGAGATGCAGTCTCGCTCTGTCACCCAGGCTGGAGTGCAGTGGTGCGATCTTGGCTCACTGCAACCTCCACCTCCCACGTTCAACTGATTCTCCCGCCTCAGCCTCCCGAGTAGCTGGGATTACAGGTGCCTGCCATCACGCCCAGCTAATTTTTGTATTTTTAGTAGAGACGGGTTTTCAACATGTTGGCCAGGCTGATCTCAAACTCCTGACCTCAAGTGATCTGCCCACCTTGGCCATCCAAAGTGCTGGGATTATAGGTGTGAGCCACCACGCCTGACCAACATGTCATCTTAAGCTCCTCTAAACTATGAGAGCTTTCCAGACTTTCTTGTTAACTTGCTTTTAATTAGAACTATTGGGGTTGAGCAAATTTACAATTGAGTCACTAATACTTGAGGAAATAAGAATAAAAATAATTTTAAGATAAAACAGATGATATTTCACCAAAATCCTGGTAAGCATTCCATGACAGAGACCTTTACAAATAACACCAGTCACTCTGGGCCATGGAAGATATCCTTGGGATAGTCTTCTAGATGCAAGTAACTCATGGGTAACTACCTATGAGGTGTTAGCCATTCCCTAGTAAGAATCAACCCAACAATAATACAACCTCAGTTTTATGTCCAGTTCATTGAAGAAATCATGTGAGATTTGAGATACCTTTTACTTTCCTCCTACTACCCCACTCACACACATATACAATAAGTGGTCTATGATTTTATCATTAATGAAAATTAAATTTATCTGGAGTAATTTATTCTTCAAAAACTAGTCTTTGGCTACTTAGTAATTTGAGTTACTCTATACCAGTGCAATGGCAATTGAATAATTGTGTTACTGCATTCTTATACGTTGAAGTTGATCATTATAAATATTAAGTATCTCTGATCCTTGTTGGATCTACAAATCAGTTACTGGCTCTTAAAGTCTGGGAGTTATAATGAATCTTAGAATGCACACTATTTGAGGCTGGGCGTGGCGACTCACACCTGTAATCCCAGCACTTTGGGAGGCCGAGGCGGGCAGATCACGAGGTCAGGAGATCAAGACCATCGTGGGTAACATGGTGAAACCCCGTCTCTGCTAAAAAAAATACAAAAAATTAGCCAGGCATGGTGGCGGGCGCCTGTATTCCCAGTTACTTGGGAGGCTGAGGCAGGAGAATGGTGTGAACCTGGGAGGCAGAGCTTGCAGTGAGCAGAGATCACGCCACTGCACTGCAGCCTGGGCGACACTGCGAGACTCCGTCTCAAAAAAAAAAAAATGTACACTATTTGAGCTAACTGTGGATCCTACTTTTTAAAGTATACCAGCTTTAGTCAAGCATTGCCTTCCTAATCCTGGTCTAACTTTCCATCTTCTTTCTATAATAGTTGGATTTCTTAAGCCAACATTTCCTTGTTATTGAGTGTTTATATGAGAAGCAGGGAGGTTTAAAGGTTCAATTTTCCTTGGTTCCTTGCTTTCATTGCACATGATTTAAGATACTATTTTTCCACTCTTCTTAAAATGGCTCCATGTCTTTAAAAATATGCTAATTGTCCTCTATAATCTGTTTCAGTTTCTACATCTAGTGAAAGTTCTAACTTATCTTAAAAAAAATCAACTTATATATTACAAACTGTGAATAGTAGAACTTAAGAACTGGAATCAACTTCCACATTGTCTGGTACATGCACTTTCTTTGATAAGTGAGAAATATGAAACTCAATACTTACCAAATGTCATGAAGTTTGTTAGCAGAAGAGTCAATTCCAGAATCTAGCTACTGTAAGTCTAGGACATAAAGCGTGGAATGATTGCACTACGCACTGCCTCTTCATTTCATCTAAAGCATGTTTACTCAAAGGGAACTAGTCCCTAAAGTTCCAAGAACATTTTTCTAAAATGGTGTGATCTTTTAGATACAACAGGGACTATGTAGGCATACAAAGACAGTATTGGGTGTACACATTAAAATTAACAGTTTATCTCCAAAATTAAGCCTTCAGAGTCTCCTTTAACATAACATATCATCTGGCTCCTTTTGTCCTCTACCCAGTCTTTCCAGACCATTTCTCTTCTACCTTCTTCTGGAATACATCCCCTTTTATGATTCTTGCTATCATGGTATACATCTTCTTGTGGCACCGCAAACCAAGCACAAAATCTTACTTCCTCACTACAGCCAACTACCTCTGGACTCCTTTTCTGAGACAGCCTCAATTCTCTGTAGCAGTAGGTTAGCAAGTCATGGGAGAACAGCCAAGGGATCAGGCTGACACCACGACAAGCCCCATCTCATCTGCCATCACCCCCTCACCTGGAAGCCTGTGAATTGATTTGCTCTTCTAGAATTAGTGCTTCCATCCTTTTGTTCATGCTGCTTGCTCATTCTTCTTTTTACCTTCCGTCCTATAATTTGGCAGCTACCTACATATTCTTCAGAGGTCAGATAAACCATCGCCTCTCTGTGCTTCCCCCCAATCTTCCCCCTCCCCAGAGCTTCATGCAGCCTCTTTGGGGCTCCCGGAGTCCACTGTATATAACTCTATTATAGTACTTGTTATATAGTAAAATTATACCTACATATATGTTCCCTTTTCATTAGATTCTGAGCTCCCTAACAGAAAGAAAAAAAAAATGCCTTATTAGTTCTGGTATCCTTATCAGCCTGTCTAGCAGAGAATAAGCTATAATAGTAACATATTATTTGAACATATGGCATGTGCCAGACACTATGCTAAGGTACTAATAGGAATTATATATTCCTCACAATGACCTTAAGCAATAGTGCTGTTATTACGATCACTTCACAGAAAATTGAAATGCAGAGAAGTTAAGTAACTTGCCCATGTTCACATATCAATTAAATTTTAGAATTCAAATACAAGTCGAAATCTAGGGCCATTTTCTTAAGTGTTTTATTGCTTTTCTGAGGAGGGGTCAATAAATAGTTGTTGAATGAACAAATACCTGAATGTGAGTGAATGAATGGAAAGAATCCTATACTAAAGCAAATAATACTAAGGATTTGAAACGCTTCATTAAACTGCTTGCTTAATGCATAGGCTGGAATGGTCCTTGGAGTTCATGTAGCCCCTTTACAGAGGAAGAAATAGGTTCCAAATGACACCACAACTTTTCTCTCTACTTTTGACAATATTGTATATATATTTATCTTTTTAAAAATGTGACTCCTGGTGGCCATGAACAGTGGCTCATAATTATAATCCCAGCACTATGAGAGGCTGAGGCAGGAGGATCCCTTGAGTCCAGATGTTCAAGATCAGCCTGGGCAGCATAATGAGACCCCATCTCTTAAAAAGATAAAAGTGACTCCTTAAGACAGAAATACATACAAGGCAAAGGAACACATGATGACTGCACGCCTGGCACGATTTTGAAGCACGATGAAGGGCAAATATGTTTTCAAATATCTTTGTGTCTGTGTATGTGTAAAACTTTAAGAAAGAGTGTGGACATTCACTGGGAAGTTCATCAAAGTAAGTTTCCAAGGGACAAATCATGCATTTGAATACTTTTCCAGGGAAAACGATGGAATCGCTTTTCCTACTGGCTTATGAAGAACTCTGTGGAGAATGCTAGAATGACTGCTGTGAATAAAAGGGCCTGAAAACAATCCAGAAACACTCTTTTTTCTTCAAAAGACAATTCTCACTAGTCCAGCCAGGAAATGTGGCTTCGAATAAGGAAGGCAAGTGTGAGTTGGCTCACACCGGATTGGACATATCCCAAGTGTATTTCTCATGAAGTTGCAGTTTGGCCTTGCTTTCAGGGGCTGATGTGCTAAGAGACCAAGACTGCGAATACTCAGAGACCTCAGGACAAAAATTCTGGCAGACACCAAATTATTTAATCTACTTTCTTTTCCTGTTGCAATCTTTTGTTAAAACAAACAAACAAACAAACAAAACAAAACAAAACAGAGGTTAAAATGAAAATAACGTGAGTTTATTCTAATGGGAAAGGAATTTGAGGATATAAAAATCCCATTTGTTTCATTCTCTAACAAAAGAGCATTTCATAAACTGAGTACAAATTCAACTTCATATTTTGGGATATGATATTTGATTCTAGTGAGTTTTAATTACTATTAGCAGGAGCATAAAATAACAGTCTATAGCCGCAGGCAATCCAGTAATCCAACACAACAAGTATTTATTAAGCTTTGTCTATGCTGGAGGAGATATAAAAGGAGGAGTACGTGGCAAAAGTCATGCACTTCAAGGAACAGACATGCAATCTTGTTATGGAGAAAAGACACATCCAGAAAATAATTACAGAACAGGACAGTTTAAAATGGTTTAAATATAATCAAATAAATTACCTTTACAGTCATGGCTTATAAGGAGAGACTTTGAGGCAGAAGTAGGATGAGACCTGCATTGAATGATTGCTTTTATAGGTGAAAGTGAGAATTTTTTAAAAAGGCATTCTTGTTACAGTAACAATGTGAACAGAAACAGAAATATGAAATAGCATTCATTCAAGTGTTCATTCAACAAATATTTGCTGAACACCTGTACGTATAGGGCCTTGTGTCAAGTGCTAGCATGACATTTCTTCTTACTTTTCAGAGAAAGTGAAGAGACTATGCTAGCAGGAACAAAGGGCACATTTTAGCTATATGACTTTGGATGAGTCACTTAACCTCTTTGAGCCTTAGTTTCCTCCCTTGTGAAATGAGAGGATTAGCCACCAGGGGTTGTCAAAGTTTCTTCTTCTTCTTTTTTTCTTTTAGCAGTGAAACTCTTTTCTGTTCTAATGAAATCTTAAGCACAACCCAAATATATTAAGAAACCAGACTGGATTTGGTCTGGCTAAAGGGAGACATATGGGTTGGAGGAAAAGATAGCCTGGATATGCCTTTTGTTGAACATCTTTCTCCCTTTTCCTCCCCAGCCCATGCCTCAAAGCCCCCAGGATTACAAGTGAAATAGTTTTTAAAAGAATTCACCTTCCTGAATCCTCAATTCTCTTCTACTCGTAAAGTGTTGCAATAGGAAATATAAGATATCAGAAGATTAGTTTTGTAAATAGAGTTTGATTACAAAAATCCTGAATTTTAGGATGCTAAAACAGTATAGGTTCTTAAGTGAAATGACAAAATTGTTGTTTCAAAGATTGTTGTTCGAAAGTGTCTGGTAACACCATTTAAGAGGGACTAGAAGAAGAAAACTAGATATTAAGCTATAAAGGCCTGGGCTAGGCTAGCATTACTGGGGATAGGAAGGGTCAAACCAATACAGCAGAGGGAGAATCTGCAGAACTTGGTAAGATTAAACGGAGAGAAAGGAGACAAAGAAGGAGTCAAAAATAGCATTCCAATTTGTAAATCCAATATGGTACTACAGATAGATATGGGAAGTAGATCTCAAACTAGGTGCACATTGGAATTGCCTGGGGAGCTTTAAAAAATACTGATAACTGGTTCTCACCCCCTGGAGACTCTGAATTAATTGGTTAGGGGTGCAGCCTGGGCAGTGAGATTTTTAAAGCTCCCCAGGTAATTCTAATGTGCGGCCAAGGTTGAGAACCACTGAAATAGAAGGGCAGGGAGTAATGGCAGGCCTAGAGAACATGTTTTAATGAACTATCTTCTGATGCTTTTATGGTCTAGCTAATTTTTTATTAAGGTTGTTTTTTTTCATACTCTGCTTAATATTAAACACCAATCATGTTACTACAAAGTTATACATAATATGATTTTTCCTGTATCATCCTGTCAACATATCTCTATGGGATTTGCAAAGAAAACAATCTCTGTGTTTTTCCAATGTTGAAAATCAATGATAAAATCTCCACTAATGAGAAATGTGTGTTTTTAAGTTTATGTGTAAATGCTATACTTCAAGAGTTTTTCTTTATCATAGATCATTATTACAGGATCATTATGATGTTTGTCCAAAAATTATCTTTACACACACACACACACACTTTAGAGACTTGTAAACAATATATTATTCAGTCATTCCTATCTTGAAATACTATTTAGTCTCTATAAAGGTACTACAAAAAGTCAAGAGAAGTTCAGCCTTTACTCTGCCTAAACATAGCAAAAGCAAGCTAGATGAAATTTTAAGTCACAGCAGTCCCTAATATTTGCATAGCCTTTTTGCATTTTTAAAATCCTCTACAAATATTATCAAGCTGGATTCTAACAATAGTTCTATTATTTGATCATAACAGATAGTCTAATTTTGTATTCCTGGATGAGGAAATGGAGACCCAGAAGTCAGGTAACACGTCCAAGTCCCAAGGATAGAATTTAACCCATTAGGTCTCAGGTCTTTTCTTCCCTAGCTTGGTTGTCTACATTCTCTTTCAAGCACACAATCTAGTTTTCAGGTACATGTCCCCACTTTAGGCTTTCAGAGGGAGAGGTAGATGTTTATCACTCAAAGTGATCACTTTCTCCTCTATGAACCACAGGGCTTTATCAGTAAAATCTAGTTAAAAACATTCTTTTCTACTTTTATTAGAGCTATGAAAATGCGTATTTTCATTATTGAACTGTCAGTTTCCTTTTTTTCTTCTTCTTTCTGAGACGGAATCTTGCTCTTGTTGCCCAGGCTGGAGTGCACTGGCGTGATCTCGGCTCACTGCAACCTCCGCCTCCCAGGTTCAAGCAATTCTCCTGCCTCAGCCTCCCGAGTAGCTGGGATTAAGGCGGGAGCCACCATGCCTGGCTATTTTTTTTTTTTTTTTTTTGTATTTTTAGTAGAGACAAGGTTTTACCATGTTGGCCAGGCTGGTCTCGAGCTACTGACCTCGTGATTCACCCGCTTCAGCCTCCCAAAGTGCTGGGATTATAGGCGTGAGCTACCGCACCCAGTGAACTGTAACTTTCTTTAAGGTTGGGTCCATGATGACTAGAAGAGTCATATTTCCTATTCCATAAACACCTAACAGTTTCATTTACTTAGCTAGGTATGGGACTATACTCTCTCATTGCTATCTTCTTTTTTACAATTAGACTTTGAATTCAGAATCAGAAATATTTTTCAAATTAATCTGTACTCCTTGTTCTACCCTTTTGTGATGAGTTGGCAACAGCTCTTCAGATAAAGAAAAACTGTGAAAATATCTTCCTTGGGGTCTTTCTTCCTATTTCCAAAACAACTTTCCAAGTTACTTTAATAATCTCTCAGACAGAAGTTTTTCAGATCAATCACTTTTTCTGACATCTTCTAGATAAATACATGTTTGGCCGTGTTCCCCTTAGGGCATAGGCAGTCCAAGACAAAAACCATGACTTCAAAAGTGACATGATCTGTGTAGCATTCAGAGGAACTACTACCTCCCTTGGTAGAGGCTCATGATTTTAGATTAAGGTTATGTTAGCATTCACAGCCACCACAGCTCATCAATCAGAAGGCTGAGCCAGACTTCTTCTAGGTCAATATTAACGATCTTGCAGTATCGTTATCTGAAGTAAGTGGAAGAATACTTTAATTTGTAAATCTAAGCTCATCAAATAGTTTTTCCTAAGACATGCAATACAGTGTTACTGGAGGAATAACTAGGAAGCCAAACCCAGGTGTGCTCGCCAGTAAACTGACTTTCATTATGGATATTGAAAGAGAACTTCACTTTCTCAGCAATGGGTTTCTAGAACTGCATTAAAGACATGTGGCATAAACTACTAAGTGAACATATCATGAAAACATCTGAAGACAACAATAAATTTTTAAAGGCAGATTTATAGAAAAAAACACATGTAAAATCTATCAAAGGCACAAAACTATTTGGGACAGTCATCAAATTTGGACTTCGTCAATTTCGCAGTAAGCCTTATAACAGTTTCTCAATCAGTATATCCAAGGAGATTATTGAAATAGTACAAAAGCAATGACTGAGAAATGGTGTCATAACATTTTTTTAAATAATGAGAATTCTAACAAGTTATCTTTGAAGTTTAGAATAGATTGCTACAATTAGAAAAAGATGGGTATCCATCATCCCACCCTGTCATATTCTGACATAAATAAAAGGAGGATGAATTTTAAATTACCTCTACTCATGACAGTTTTATCCTAGACAAAGTTCTCGCCACAAAACAGAGGGTGAAGGACTTCTAGTAGAGCTATAATTGCCATAATGTTGATTAAATGTACACTTAATGTGGCGAAAAGCTTTTCTGTGGCATGGCAGAGTCTTTCTAGTGCTATTTAAAAACTCTTCAAGTACAATCTTCTAAAAGTGGTACTTTGATGAGCAGTGCAACAACATACCTGAAGTTTCATTGCTATATAAAGCAGAGTTGGGAACGGTAAAGAAGTGAGAAGTGTGGGCGAAACTGCCTTATGTAGATTATCACATTACACATATAGTCCTAGTTAGGAACACACAAGCACACTAGTTTTATTTTATACTTACAATTTGGTTTTGAGACCAAATATTATCAATTTTATTGAATCAATTCTAACAGTATCTCATTTACTAGGCCTGGCTCCCAGTGACATTTAGCTATTTTCCCAAATCATATACCTGTGTTTATGTATGTATGTGTATATATATATATACACATACACACACACACACACACATATATATATATTCTTTTTAAAGTGATAAGTGTTGCCAAAATTAAAGATGATCAGAAGAAAGTGCTATTAGACAGAAAGCACTTTCCAAGCAGGAGGCCAAGTGTGCTTTGAAGGGCAGAAGACGTATGTATTTGTAAAGAGTGTTATTATTTAAAATAATCAGTCATTACTTAATATTAACACATTTTATATTATGATGTATGTGTGAGATTGTGTACACACACACACACACACACACATACATGCACAGCTACATGCTTCCAGAGACATCTCTTTTGGTATTATCAAAATGATAAAGTTCATATCATGATTCTCAGAGGCATTTGGAAGAGTTAGAGGAGAAAAGAAACAGAATGGTATTCAAAGCCATAAAACTGTGTCAGGGGATCACTAACTTCTTCTCCTGTGCCCTCCAAGACCACCCTAGATTTTTCTAGATATAATATTGAAGGAATTGTGTCTAAACTTTTTAAATGGGTACTAGCAGTAGCCAGCAAGACAAACAAAACCTTTCTCCAGAGCAGTGGAGAAGAAATGGTAACAGAAAGCTCAACCACTAGGCTTTGAGTGCTAGTTTAGAGAGCAGAACACACTGTCAATTGACACTTGCCTTTGACAATTTGAACAGAGTCGGGTCACCTGACCTCAGGCCTCATACACAGCTTAGTAAACTGCATTGCTCCCCAAAGAATAATTTATCTTTCCCTTTTCAGAGTACTAGACTTCACTCCAAAATGAGGTAACTGAGACTGGTCAACTGACTTCACATGAAAGAATTACTCTTGAGGAAGACAGTCAAGAATAGAGAATTTAGTCACAGAGGCAATTAGTTTACATTTTATTCTACTTGCCATTTGATTAAGTACACGTTTACCTAGGGAACAAGATGTTTTGCATGGCAACTAACAATGCAAACTTAAATTTTAAAGTATATATTTTTTATCCTAATGCTAATTCATTTTTCATAATCTGTTTTTAGTAAAATTCCTGTTTTTCAAAGTAGAAATAAAAATGAACAGTAACATGCAAAGTTAAATCAAGAATGAATGTCCTCACATATCTTGGGTCACAAAGACCAACATTCCTAAACAAAGGACCACAAAAAGGCATCATCCCTGACAGTTAAGCCAGGAGTTAGTATACAGATGCTTTACAAAGTGAGGTATTAACTCTCAGTAAAAACTGTATTACACGTCAACTATACGTCACAAAATAAATGTTCAGTAAATCTCTAAGGATTTATTTTACTAGTCTCCATTGACAAAACTTGCCAGAAAATACCAAAGCACACAATTCACCTCACAAAGAAGATACATGTATATATACGGCATTCACTCTTTACTGAAGTGAAGAATTTTAAAACTAATGTCTTTATGGCAATGCCTGCTTATAAAAGATACTCTGTGTAAAAGAGCCAGGAGATCCATCACCAGTGAAATGAGTATCCAATGAGACCTATCGTGTGCTCAGAATGTGGGAACTCAGGAATTGAAGACATGGTCCTAGGTCTGACAATCACATTATAAAATAGCAAACAAAATGAAGACATAATCTAATTGAGAGCTATATTGAATGTTACAGATAAAGTGGTGGAAAAGATTAGAAGTGAAGGAGATCAGCAGTCTAAAACAGTTACATGTAAGATCATAAAATGATCCTTAATATTGGCACTAGAAAATGACAGACTGGAATGAATAGACAAAGGCAAAAATCGAGAAATGTGTGTACAGTATATCTATGTGAAAGTTAAAAAGAAATCGCTGTTTAGATGGAAGATGAGACCAGGTTATCATAGTTTTAGAAGAGGAGTTTAAACTTCATGCAGTGAATGTTGGGAGCTACAGAAGGCTTGTGAGTAAGAGGGAGACAACATGAACACATTGTTTGTGGACTACCCAGCCCAGATAATTCAAAGTTGGTCGCAAGAGGGAGAACCTAAAGCCAAAGTTAACAACTCTGGATTCCTCTTTTATTCAACAAAATTGGATAGTAAATATCAGATAGTTTTTGGTCATGTTTTCGGTAAAGGACAAGCAGAGTATAACAATTATTTGTAAAGCAAATAGCACATCGGATAATATACAACAATGAGGCTGGGTGCAGTGGCTCATGCCTGTAATCCCACCACTTTGCAAAGCCAAAGCCAGCAGATCCCTTGAGCCCAGGAGTTCAAGACCAGCCAGTTCAAAACCCTATCTCTTGAAAAAATACAAAATTAGCAGGTGTGGTGGCACACACCTGTAGTCCTAGCTAGTTGGTAGGTTGAGGTGGGTGCAACACTTAAGCCTAGGAGATCGAGGCTGCAGTGAGCCATGATTGTACCACTGCACTCCAGCCTGGATGATGGATTGAGACCTTATCTCAAAAACAAAAATGAACACACACACACACACACACACAGAAACACACACAGAGAGAGAGTGAGATTATGAGAGGCTGGAGCAAAATCATAGCTCTGGCATCAAGTCTTTCAGATAACATGTTAGACACAGAGCTCTATACTGCAAGTTTGAAAGTGATGCTCATCTGGTTTCATAGGTACCACATATATTTGTTGATCTATATCACATATATGTCTTGATCCATATGTGGTTTAACTTTCAATGTAAGTTCTCAATATTTTATCTATACCTACTGAAATGCTTGATTGACTATCAGGCATGCCTTAGACAATCAGAAAATAAAATTTTAATTTTAACAAAGTAAATATATGCCTAACAAAGAAAAGGATCAAACAATACCATAAAATGGAAATTATCAACCTTTTATTTAAAAACAGTAGAGAATTTCAATCGAGTAGTGTTCAAGTATTGAGTCAATCTGAATTACACAGAGCCTTGACCAATATTTATTGCTACATGTTTTAGAAGCAATTTCCATTTTGATGGGTTGCTTCAAAAGTGGTATTCTGAAGCAGTTAGGCAACATAAAAATATAGGATCAAGATTATGTCTGTCAGATGAAAAATACAGCATTTATGCAGCATTATATAATCCATTCGCTGGTTTATGAGCCCAAGGTCCCCATGGGAGTGTCGCAAACCCACATAATAGCTACAGGGTTATATTTTGCATTTGAGACTCCAAATGAGCAGCAAATACTCTCTAAAACCACAAGTGTAACTAGAATACTTGTACTTGGTACCATAAAGTAAGTGCAAAATTGTAAATAATTTCAATCTAGCAGCTAAAGATGTCCTTGTTTTGGGTGATGCCAACATTAAAATATGTGCACTTTTCTTCCAGTTATGTCAGTCCCCCTCAATTGTTAAGATACATACAACATAAATCAGATGGTCAAATTGGGCCTATGAAAGAACAGTTACCAATGATTCAATGTCAAGGAAGCCTACTACAGTGTTCCCCAAGGATGAGGCCAGTATTTCTTAAACACTCGAGCTAACTGCCTTCAATAAAGAAAAACACATGATACTTAATTTCAAACAGGACATGACACCAGGGATAGCTGGTGTGGCTAACTCAGGAATGGACATAATTGTAGTTCAAAACAATAGGTTATATCTTCAATATAAATTTAAAAATCAAATAAAGTATCGGTATACATTTATACATTTATGGGGAAATAACACAATGGACTAGCAATCTCCAGCAGCAGAAACAAATGTGTCAAAAAGCCGTAGAGCTGGGTGAGAATCAAAAACTAATGCTGTTTTGGGATAGAACCATTTGTAAAAAGCAATCTAATCTAGATAAATACACACAATATATAAGATGTAATAAAGCAGTTATATAATGCATTGGCATTTAGTATGATTATTAACAATACCAGTCTAGTCTAGGCAACAGTACAGAACACATTTAAAAATATATAAAACAGGATATATGTAAATATTAAAGAAGTCTGAATTATGTAATCTAGAGAAGTAAAAGTTGAAAGGTGGCTCAAGTATATATAAATATATAAAAGATTATTTTATGTGTATTTAATTGTGGCACATTTTAAAGAGATGGAAAAGAATACAGTGTTGCTAAGATAGAGATATACCAAAAATGTAATTTTGTAATTTTAAAGTCATTGGAATTTGTGTGTGTGTGTTGGGGTGGGGGGCATTCTTACCTAACAGGCCTTCTCATGATTTTTTAAACTATAAAACATTTTTTAAACTATAGATTTAGTCCACACCAACACTGCAGATTTTACCAGACAGTATGAGGAACTGACTTCCGACTTAACATTTTTCAATATGCTGTTGGGTAAATTATCAACCCAAATAGTCTTTCAGTCTTTTGCTTAGAGTGAGGATCATGGGACTCAAAAATAAACTTTTTCCCAAAGGAAATGGACCGTTGGCCACTGACCACAGAATTAAGAACACTGTGCACTTTGTTTTTAATATAAGACTAAATTTATCTTTCAAATTGATGGGGTTTCTAGAGGTCACAAACTGACAGCCTATGTACAAAACACAGACTGCACACTGTTTGTAAAATCTTTGATTAGTTGCCTAATTTAAAAAATTGATACAATTACATTAAAATGGGGTATCTGCTGTATCTTGAAAAGAAAATAAAGAAAAGAAAATATGGCAACCCTCTGCCTTTATTTTCACAAGTCAACAATCTGCTGATGCTTCATGGTGACAAACGAGGAACAATCTTGCTACCTGTCCTCCTTCACTCATTTTTAACCAATCTAGTTCCAGGAGGCACCTGAGTTTGCCATCCCTGGTTTATAAGGATGGACATTTTCATACTCTGCTACTTGATGTGACCTATTTTAAACAGTGACTTTAGTATGCCTAGACTATCTTACAACATGTTAATTAATCCAAGAGAAACTAACACCAGTAAGTCAGAGAGTGGCATCCTTCCATGAGTGGTTATGCACTTCAATTCAGCCAGATTTAATTTGGTTAACAAATATTTCATGTTACCTACACTAAAATGGATTAGTGGCAATCAACTTTCTCTTTTCAGGAATTGAGGCAAAAATTAACCCTTCTGAGCATTAAAAACAAACAGAAAGCAGAGTGGAAGTTGTGGAATAAAGAGGAAAATATGTGCTATAACCAGGGCCAGAGGAATTTGCAATTAGAATAAAGAACAAAATGTTCTGTCCAAAGAAAAGACAAATCCAAATCTTTTTAAGTTTCTTCCCAAGGATTCTCTCCAAGAAGTGAAGACCCAGAAGCAAGTTCATCTTTAAAAATTTTAAATGCTCAATCAAATCTATCTTAAACATTTGTTTTGTTATGCCTAGGGAAAAGATTATTTTTCTAACATTACTGTCTTAGCAAACAATGATAAGCTTCACAAAAATAAAATGTTCCATTTTGCTTTATTACTGAAAGCTATGAACAAAATTATTAAAATTAAAATATGAATTGAAATATTTTATAGTCCTAAACTTGTTTAAGTAAAAGGATTTTGTATTGTCATTTATTTGGATAAAATATTATACATAGGAACATGATTCAGTAAGAAGCAGGCATAGGGCCAGTCTTTCTAGAAGCATCCAGGAGATTAACTGGAAGTACCAGTAGGAGGTGTTGGTCCCTTTCATAGTTAAAATTATTTTATAGCTAGGCTCCTAAGTAAGGTGTTAAAAACAAGCTCAACAATATATAACAATATGATATTAATGTATTTTCTTCTAAGGAGCTAGAAACATTTCATATGCTTCAAACATAATCTATTTTTATGCATGGCAAAGATGCTAATAATGTTTCTTCAATTAAATGAAACAGTCCAAATTGAAAGCTATGAGAGTATTAGGAAAAGATGTTTAAAAAGTTGTCAATCTATTATAGATTTCTTTCTACTGAAGATTATGATTCCCGAAAGGGTTTGAATGTCTATTCCTGAAAGGTAATAGAGGAGACAGACTTCTATTAATGTTAAGTCCTCTGACATTCAGTCAGTGAAAATAAAAGGAGAAAGCATTAACTTTTAACAGTGGAGATGTTAAAAAGAAAAAAACAAACGAGCAAATTCTAAATAGCTGTGTGGAGCAAGGTGACTCAGCCTAGTTTAACAGAGAACGAAAATGTAATCAAATGAAACCTACGACCTCTGTACCAGAGAGAGTGAGGGAGACAAGAAGGCAAACACAATTTAAGAATCTGCGAAGAAAAAGTAAAAGAAGTCACATATGTGTGCAACATTCTGCTCAACCTTGATGCAATAGGTGGTCCCTAAAAGAACTGCAGGTCTAAAGAGAGTCAGGCAAGCGCCTTGGTACTTCCTTTAACCGCAACTTCAGCATCTTCCCATGACCCATTTTCACCTAAGGAAACTGAAGGCAACTCCAGGCAGCAGGGCAGAGTGAACCAGAGCTATGTGAACTGGTCACCAACCACCTGAAACCACACCTCTAATTTCCAAGTGAAAGCAAATCCCCTTGACTTTTGCCTCAACCTCTAAGCAGATTCCACAACTGGCATAGGCCCTTTATCTAGTCAAGAGTGGGATGTAGGTGTGTGTGTACCTGTGGTGTGTGTGTGTATCTGTGTGTGTGTATTCAGTGGAGTAAGGGATAGCTAAAACGACCAGAGGAGTGAGGAGCAAGGGGTTGGATCCTGAGGAGGAACTGCAAGAGTGAGAAGGATTAAGACAAGAAAAAGGACAGAGACTGGGTCCCATTCTCTCACTTTCTCCAGTGCCTAGCATAGGGCTTTGCACAATATAAAGACTCATGAGTGAATCAGCAAAAAAGCATATCTGTTGAAATTATATGTTCACTTTACAAAGCATTACAAAATGTGAATTATCAGGGAAGGACTCCTTTTCCCTCATGATGATCACAATTTAAAGGAACCAAAATTAGAGTAGTTACATCAATAAAGAAACCTACAGATAACATACACACACACACTTACGCACAAACACACACAATAATCATTTGGGTTAGAAAAGAGAACTGAAAAAGAACACATATGTGCTAGGGAATACTAGTAAAAACAAAACATATTACTTCATAACTGGGAGAAACTCATTCTTGCCAGTGGGATTTTTCTTCTTTTCTAAATATATTAAATATCATATTGGAATATATCTGAGGTGATACGAAACATATGTGTTAGATGGTATTATAAACCAGAAGGATTAAATACCACATCAAACAAACTGAGCCACATTACTCTGTATTTCCTTTCCTTAGCTGTTCCGGAACTTTAGAAATAATACAGGTAACACAGGACCTGTACTTCTCAGCCTTTCTTTTGAGAGCTGTAAACAAGTCTTTCTCTCTTTTCAGCTTGTTCAAGGGAAGAGCTGGAGCATCCAGCAGCTCTCTGCCACCATCTCATGCCTAGACGGGGCTGCATGTTTTATTTCTATCAATATTCTGTAGGTCTAGGTTTGGTGGAGCTTTTTATTCTGATAGTGGAAGGAACTACGTCATATTCCAAGCAAAGATGCATGCTCACCAGAGACAACAGCCATTCAAAATGTTTGTTTTGCCCCCACCAACTTGGGATAGAATTTTTTACAAATGACAAGGGAGAATAAATGCTTAAATCAATGTTTCTCATGGTATGCTCTATGGAACACTGGATTATACAGTTAAATCAGTTTGGGAAATGTGTACTATAACCTCCTCTTCAATATTCATAATACCTATTAGCATTCTAGGGGCTCTAAGAGGTCCTATTGTAAAGAAACCCAATTAACCATAACCCTAACTTACTTGACAATGGAATCCTCTCTTTTACAGGATGGGGCAAGCAAGAAGGAGGGTGTGAGGGATGCAGGGAACTGCCTTCTCATGACATTTTTAGTAAAACACAGAACCAGATCTTAGAACTGGATGAAAACATAGAAAGTGTCAATCCAGTCTCTTACTTTACATATGAAGAAACTGAGGTCCAGGAAAGTAAAGTCACTGGGACAAGATCATATAGCCATTATCTACATTAAGAGCAAAAATATTGGCCATGTCCTTTAATGGCTGTGCTCAATCATTTTACTACTTCACCAAACAAAGAAAATGTCAGGTTAGATACTCCCCCAATCCTACCCTGTAAATTCTCTACCTCCATCATCTTACAGTCCTTCTTTTCCTTTCTAAAAATTGTGTTAGAGATGGGGATCTCGCTATGTTGCTTAAGTTGGACTTCAACTTTTGGGCCCAAGCAATCCTCCTGCCTCGGCCACCTGAGTAGCTAGGACGACAGGTGTTCATCACCACACCCAGCTGTTCTGACCTCTCTATTTCATAGGCTAGCCCTTTCTCCCAGGCCCCAGACTGCACTTTCCGCCCCCCTCCTTTGAGATCTCATTGTCTCACATATCCCTTGCTGTTTTGAGCTCGGTGTCTCTGTCTCTTCTGACATTAACTGTCAATTTTCAGAATGTCCAAACTTTATCTTTCTTCATCTCAAACTATCACCACAGTCACTCTTTTCCTTAAATTCCTTAGAAGGTGTCTATATTTGACATCTCAACTTCCTCAACTTTCATTTGCTCCTCAATCATTAAATTCTGATTTCATTCTTCCCTACTTGCCTACAAAATTTTCCCACTACTTAATCCCCCACCCAGCAATGTTCCAGGCACATGGAACTTGTGATTTGTTATTGCCTCTTGACTACCTAATGCCCATCTGCATCTCTAGCTCATGTAAAATGCACTTCCTCCCTTCCTCTCCCCACCTTCTCTTATTAGTGATGCCCTCGGCATCATGCCTCTGCTCAAATATCACCTTTCCTAAGAAAATCATCCTTGATTCCTTAGAGCTTGTCATTTCTTCAGTCAACATGCAAAATATCTTACACACACACACACACATATTTTAACTCATGTAACCATAAAATTTGTTGTCCAAATCAGCACACATCTGAAAATGAAAGACTATTAGTAATTACGTTAGAACAACAGGTATGAACTGTGACCATCCTGGGCAAACTAAGATGTATATTCCCAGTAATTATAGCACTTAGTAGTTCACACTGTGCTTTACTTGTTCACAAGTCTGTTGTCTACCCAACAGACTGTAAGTTCCTCAAAGACAAAGACATTTTCCCACCCAGCAAAATGCTTAGCACATCTTGGATTCTTAAAAAATAGCACGGCCAGGCACATTGGCTCACGCCTGTAATTCCAGCACTTTGGGAGGCCAAGGTGGGTGGATCACTTGAGGTCAGGAGTTCGAGACCAGCCTGGCCAATATGGTGAAACCCCAGGGTCTCTACTAAATATACAAAAATTAGCCGGGCATGGTGGCATGTGCCCATAATCCCAGCTACTTGTGAGGTTGAGGCAAGAGAATCTCTTGAACCTGGGAAGTGGAGGTTGCGGTGAGCCAAGATCATGCCACTGCACTCCAGGATGGGCAAGAGAGCAAGACTCCATCTCAAAAAAACAAAACAAAACAAAAAAAACAGTGTTTTTGGATGAAGAAGCTGAATAAAGACATGAAAAGAAACAGTGATCTAAAAAGAAGAAGACTGTTAATGGTAACAATAGTTTCCTAGGTAGGAAAAAATTCTTAATAAGAGCAGATGTTAGGTGGTATAACACAATCATATATTTCAACAAAACTAGGAGTAAATCTGGTGAGGTGCTTCTGAACCTCAGAGTGTTTCCTGGTACCCCATGAAACAGACTAGAAAAAAGTAAATGACTTAGAAATTAGCAACCTATTCTACCTGTTTTCCCACCTCACAATCGTTTACTTATCACTTAAGGCCCAACTTTAATGTCACTTTCTTGGATGAAATATCGCTGCAAGTATCCAGGAGTTATTTGCCTCCTCTTTCATATTCTCAGAGCACTTTGTGGAGATTCAACATTAATTTTGAGAGAGTGCCAGGAAAGTTCACATACACTGTGTCACTTATTCCTTCTTATAATCCTGTGAGATAGTGTTATGATCCTCATTTTGTTTTATTGTTTTTGTGTTGTCTTGTTTTGTTTTGTTTTGTTTTTTTAAGAAAAAGTCTAGCTCTGTTGCCCAGGCTGGAGTCCTGTGGTCCAGTCTCAGCTCACTGCAGCCTCAATCTCCCTGGCTACATCAATCTTCCCATCTCAGCCTCCCAAGTAGCTAGGACTACATTTGCACACCACCGTGTCTGGCTAATTTTTTTTTTTTTTTTTTAAGAGACAAGGTCTCACTATGTTGCCCAGGCTGGTCTCGAACTCCTGGGCTCAAGCAATCCCCACACCTTGGTTCCCTAAAGTGCTAATATTCCAGGTATGAGCCACAGCGCCCAGCCATGATCCCCATTTTGGAGACTAGGATATAGATACAGAGGATTAACAGAATTTAAGCGCTTATTAAAGGGCTATGCTTTCCCTGACACAGCACTAAGCACATTGTGTCATAATTTTTTTTCTTTTCTTTTCTTTCTTTTTTTTTTTTTTTTGAGACGGGTTCTCACTATTGTACAGGCTGGAGTACAGTGGCAGGATTTTGACTCACTGCAACTTCTGCCTCCCGGGTTCAAGCGATTCACCTGCCCCAGCCTCCCGAGTAGCTGGGATTACAAGCATGAACCACCACACCCAGCTAATTTTTGTGTTTTTAGTAGAGACAGGGTTTCGCCAAGTTGGCCAGGCTGGTCTTGAACTCTTGGCCTCAAGTGATTCCTCCGCCTTGGCCTCCTGAAGTGCTGGAATTGCAGGCATGAGCCACCACACCCAGCCTCTGTGTCATGATTACTTATGTGTCCATCTCCCCCAACCCGGAGTCACACCACAGTGGTCCTCTCAGAGGCAAGTCAGGATGTGAAATGTATTAAATGAGGGTGAAGGAAGGTGTGCTGCCTCCTTCCTAAAACATAAACACCCAAACACTCCTCTTCAACACTATACCTCATCCCTGCTTTCTGCAGCCCAACTTTCTTCAAGTCCAGGTTGGCAGAGACAGAAGGAAAGGGAGAGGCACTAGGAGGTCAAGAGCCTTTGAAATCCCGCAGCTTTGGGTCTAGAGGGTAGTTCCACAACACACCAGTTGGTCATGGGACCATATGCAAGTAATTTTCTCTGAGCCTGGTTTTCTCGTGTATAAAATAGAGATAATAAGAGTTATACCTTGAGGTTGTATACTATAACAACATATACTATATACCATAGGTAAAGCACATAAAATTGCACTGAGCAATCATATGTGCTTATTGTTGTTATTACAGGTATTTTTCCTTATCCCTCCCTCCAATCTCTCTATCTTCATTGTCACTTCTATTTCCCTATCATCCTCTTGAGAAGAGATAAAGAAAAAGGGAGATAGATGGAAAAGGGCACTCCCTTCCTGCTCACAGTGCACCACCGCCATGGAGTATGCCTCAGAGAGCATGAGCTTTGGAATGAGAAAGATGTGCTTTTGAATTCTGCCTCTCCTGTTTCTAGCTGTGAAACTGTAAGCAGCTTATTTAACCTCCTGGAGGCTCATTTTCAAGTTCTATAAAAGGGATCTGTTCATTCCTCCAACATATACGGGTTTTGGTTAGAATTAATGTTATTCTCTGCCTCTCCTCATCTTCCCTGGGAGGTTCTCTAACAGCCCATCCTGAACACTTTCAATAAATTATTGAAAGAAAATGGAATTGCGAGAGGATAGCAAACTAGGGAAAGAAGAAAGATAGAAGACCTAGATGGCCTGTGGTCATTACCTGCCCCTTTGCTCCCTCCTCCTCCTTCCCCCTCCCTGGCGCCACTCCTAGTCTCCCAATGCTACACTTTTAGAATGCCAGCCCCAAGACAGGGAGGCCCTGAAGCTGAGACAATGCAGGTCTTATTTCCAAGATTCCCCCCACCCTACAAAACAAGGATGAAGGGAGTGGAAGTCTCCCGCCCTGTCACCAGAGCTACAGAGTAGAACACCACCTTCCCTGCTTGCTAATTGTTAATTTGAATCTCTGAATACATCTAATTAATGAAAGATGGTAAAGTCACTTAATGCCACAATTCAGATAAATAAGGAAACAGAACTTTTGTAGACTGGTCAGGAAAATTAAGCACAACGCAAACTATTCCTTCTGTGGGATCCTGCATTCTACCTTTCAATCGCTTGCCAAGGAACTTTTGAAACATGCAGAATTCTCACACCAGAGCCTGCCAGTAATATGTCATGAAAATCATTTCAGATGTTTTAAGTTCCCGTCAGTAAGAAAGACGTTTCTTAAAAGGGAGGCTTGAAAATAAAGTTTTCTTGTTTTAACAGAGAAGAAACAAAATACATGGAAAAGAAATTTGGTTGGTTTTTGTCTCTCTAGGCAAGGCAGTCTCATGTTGACAAAGTAATGGAGAGTTTCACTGGCACCCTGGGGAGAGGAAAACCCTCCCCTTGCCTCTAGAAAGGAATGTACCTAAACTTACCACAAGGAACCCTACAGGAATAAATGAGGGAAAGCACACTCTACACAGAACCCAACAATAGCTATGCAACAGGAACTTTCTAAATCTAAGAGCTTTGTGAGCTTAAATTTCACAAAGCCTAAATCAAGAAAGAAGTTTTTAGTTGTTAGAACAGAGAAAGGCAGGTATGAAGAAATGGTTTTATCAGATGTTTTTAGTTCTATAAAATTAAGATAATTTTTTTAAAACCATGGTAGCTTTCAAAAAGCACAAAAAGCAAAACTGCCATTTTATACTGATTTTTCTTAAAAAGTGACATGTCAACGATTTACATGTTCAAAACCACACAGCTACCTAATTACCCTCTGGAAGTATGTTAGGTCAACATTAAAAATTGTCAAGCCATATAAAATATTACAATTTTAGGTTAGTGTATTTTCAAATGTAGAGCATTCCAAGTTCTACATGTTCACATGAATGTACTTTCTTACCTTGTTTTACATTTAGAACATCTTTCCAAAAAAATGATAAAAAATAATGACGCAAAAATTCACTGTTACTTTCTAATGGTACAGTTTCCCTGAGAACAAAGGTTTAAAAAATTCCTATTCAGGGAGAAACTTAAGGTTCAATTAAAGTTTTATACTAGCTTAAGAAAGGAATCTTAATAGAATCTGTAGTGAATTTTTGAATAGAAGAGCTATTGCCAAACAGCTGTACAGAAATTTTTTTGGTAAATCAGATAATTTTAGTATACTAGAGGGACCTGATATTCAGGAGGCTGAATGAAAAAATAGTTTATAAATTGAATGAACCATTTGTAATATAACCATGCTCTGATATCTACTTAAAGTTTGGTTTATTTATACTGCATTTCTAAGCTTGTGAGGTGAGTTTACCTGCACTTAGGAACATGTTATTTTTGTGTTACCCTATGACTGACTGTATGAAATTATGATTGGAAGAAGAGATACAGAAAATTGGAAAGGAAAGAAGGAGGAGGAGAAGGAAGGAGAAGAAGAAGAACCCCTCCTGAAACAGATTCTAAAATACAGAAAAGCCATCATGCCTTGTGTTCGCATTTTGCACCAGTTATGCACCTAGTAAACTATTGACATTGTGATTAGTTATAACGCTGGAGGAACATTTTTTGTTCTTTTTGAAACAGAATAAATTGAGAAAATAATTTCACCACAGTGACATAAGGAAGGCACTTCCTTATGTAACTGACAAAAAAGTGAGGCTGTTCAAATCATTTGGAAGGCTGTTAAGGGTACAGATGTGGAAGCATGTGAATAATGAGGTCTTTGAGCAGTTTCACTTGAAGAAGAGAAAGAAGGAAGGGGACACTGGGGCAGGGCTCTGAAATATAGTTTCATAGGATAACAAGAAGCAGGATTTGTCGCAGAATGGCGACAGTGAGAACTCAGAAGGGTCTGGAAGCTCTAGTTTCAGAACACATCAGCCTGGATGAGAGAAGATGAAATCCAGAATTCAGAGGCTAGGTTGCAGCAATGTCATAATAGGCTATGTTGTGGGAGTGGTGACTAGCAGATTTATAGAGAATGCAAAAAGGGGAGAGTTCAGTCAAGGTTACAAGCAATGGAGGCCATTGGAAGAGGGAAATGGAACACTGTGGTATGTGAAGATGTTCCATTTGAGGATAAGAAATGCCTCTGAATCTGGGATGGCATTTTGTGAAAGCAGAGAGAAGTCTAGTGTCTAAAACTACTGATGGCTTTTCCTCTGATAGCTCTATCTTCTCACTGAAACAGGGCCCAGGGCCCAAAACAACACACAGCCATGATAATCAATTAACAAGGGCTCTAAAACAGTGCCCTGTACTCTCCAAGTGCTTAATAGACATATATCAAGTCTAATCAATTCATATTTCTGGAACACACTAGATGTACAACTCTTCACTGGGTGCTTTATTTAGACACTTTCTTGATGCTTTCTTATAGTACAATTACTAAGGAAATATATCTCTATATAAAGATACACATGCATTTAAGGGAAAAAAATTTGCATTTCTTATCTCCCTAATAAATTGCAAGGTCCATGTAATGGTTAAAAAAAATATCTATTGAGTCAGTAGCTCAGGGCTCAAGTCCTCTGCAACTTCTTAATTGTTTGACCTGGGCAATTTCCTTAATCTCAGTTTTGTCTTCTGTAATATGTGAATTACAGCACTGAGTCTGCTTACCTCTTGGAATTGTGAGAAGCAAGGAAAGTAATGGATATAAAGGTATTTCATAAATTGCAAGCAGCTACCCAAAGGTAAGATTACGTATTATCATCTTTACCATAGTTGTGTACCCTACAGTTAGTCAATAAATATGTGCTGATTCAAAGCATAATCTGGACACAGGAGGGCCCAAACACACACTGCAACTACCAAAGATGAATGCCTGGTGCAACCAGAGGCTGAGTGTAAAGATACTGACAAATCAGTAGAACCTGCGGATGGTTCCCTGGAAACCAAAGTGCTGCAAGAGAAGCCACTGTAGATATTAGAAGCTTTAGCCGACAAAGCTCCCAGCAGAGTATACAGTGGCATGAGGGGAGGCCCCTTTGGGACTGACTCACTGAGGAAGCAAGGCATCCAGACGAAGAATATCTGCTTTATTGGTGCTTTTTGCTTCTCACTAGAGTAGCTGAACGCTAATCAGCATTTCCCTGCCTTAATTATTGTTACAAATGTCCCCATTTTTATTAAGATTTCTTACCAGTCGAGTCAGCTCTGGTTTCTCTTCCCTTCATGACTTTAACTTTAACATGACACTTGAATCTGATTTCCTCACAATTCAGTATTTGATCAAAGAGCTAGCACCTTCTGGTGTAAGTACTATCAATATAAGTAGAAAAACTGTAATTTTGGAAACTGAGTCATCCAGATTTTGCAACCTCGCCCCCAGCTCTGTGATTTGTACCATCAGTGCTGGGAAAGTAGCACTTGTTAAAATTTCTAAAAATAGAACCAGTGCTGTCCTCCCAGCCATGAATATCTACCAACACAAATTGAATAAGCCTGGTCCAAATGAAGCTTTCAAATACCCATTCTCAGTTTTCACATATGTAATCAGCAGAGACAGATCTACCATGAAGCGTAATGAAGCTGATCCTCACTAAATACTGGCCCCTTCCAATGCCTGTACCTAGTTTTGCATTTTTAATTTTGTACTATTGTTCTCATTAAAACACGGCCCCCATGTTGTGCAAGCTTCAGGCTCCACAAAACCAGGATCTGCAGCTGATAAGATATAAAGAACTACAGATTACACATCATTCTGTTCAGACACACTGTTCAGTGTCACCTTCACATACAAAAGGACAAAGTCTGTAAGAGAGGTAAATTTCCAAAGCACCACATAACCATTATCAGGGTCACATTTCATATCACCACCATTTATAACATTGTGAATCTGTCTATTGCTTTCTACTCCTAGCACCTTGCATGTAGTGGTACCATTCCTGATGTTTCCATTTCTCAAAGAAAGTTATGGTTGTAGCTCCAAACCAAAGGCTACTCTGAAAGAAAAAAGAAAAAAGAAGAAAAAAGTCCCTGTAACGTACTTGTCAGAAACAAAGCAATTATGAACATCATATGATTAAAAAGAAAAGAAAAAGGAGTCATTTAAATAATGAACTCTAACTTGACTATTTAGCGATTCACTATTTAGCAATTTGCTATTTTTATTACATTTTAAATCAATCCATCTAACACAGAAGTTCTTTCCACCCCGAATAGTACTGTTTCATTGCTGTAAACCTATATTTCATGACAAGACAATATCTTTCTATAATAAAATGGTAATAAAAAGAGTACCAATTATCCCAGTATTTTCTCAAAATAGGTAGACTTTCTTTCATGCCTTAATTTTATGTTTTCCTTTGCCCCATACTAAAAGCTCGGCATAATTATCCCTGAACAGGTTGAGCAAGGTCTCCGCAAAATCTGCTCAGGGTGATTATTTAGCTTTTTTTTTTTTTTTGGTATTTGCAGAATTTAGCTGAGACTGTTACAAGCGGTTTATCAAAATAAATGCTTGATTGGCTTTAGCAGTTTTTTTGTAATTGAAAAAATAAAGAAAAAAGAGTTTTCTAATAAATGGAGGGAGAGAGAGGTTAAATACTTTAATTACTAACTTGCAAAAAGATTTCCATTTGAATATGGAAACAATGTAAAGGGGTCCCTAATTTTTGTGGGACTGGAATCACTCCAGAGGATTTAATGATACTGCTGGGCAACTGAAACTGTGCAACTGAATAATGTGATTTCTAAGCATATTTCCTTAAAATTTAAGTGCTAGGGAACATTTAAAAATGGTTACTTTAAAAGGAAGGTTGAACATGCAAATTTGTAGGGGAGAGGAATTAAAACAGTGATTTCTTTCAATGATACATTTTTCATTTTCTATTTTAAAACGAAAACCAGTTACTTTTGAGTCAACAGGCATGTGACAGAAAGTGCTACATAGAAAGAATTTTCCCATCAAGGACTGCTGGATGTTAACTGAAGAGCTCAGGTAAATATGTCTTCTCCTTTTAAAGCATACTTGACATTTCTGACCTTTGAACTCTGATTTTCACTATTTGTAGGGCTCCTTACTGAGGCCTTAAGATGTAAAGGTCTTCTTGAGCTCAAATGACCCTCATTGCTTCCTGGCTCTACTCATATATGGGCACTGTGTTATGGGAAAGCCATGTTAACTTGATTTCAAGGACTCAGCCACTCCAGCTACACATCGTAACCCCAAAATGGAGATTTCATAAACAAAAGAATCTCCATCCTTCTAAATATCAGTTAATTCCACCTAATCAGATATATTATCAGCACTAATCCTAACACATAGATTACCAGCATTACAAAACAGCCATTACTAATTAGCCCTCATTCCTAATACCGCTAGCCCAGGAAAGCCTATCCACATTACTATATTAAAAGAGAGTCTATTCTGAATTGCTGTTTTGTTTGGAAAAGGGGGAAAAAAAAGTCTGTGTTCCATTCCAGCTGGCAGAGTTTTCCTAAATTAGATTAACTTTTAATTTAAATTAAAAATTTTTAAAGCTTTACACAAAGAGACAGTAATTGCCCATTTGAAACATCCAAAAAAGGTGATTGAAGGGTACAGTAATATGCTTACATGAATAATAAATAATACTTAGCATTTAGATAGAGCTTTCCCCTCATCAAATCACTTCTTTATAAGCATTAACTAATTCATACATTATCCTAGCAAGTAAAATTAAATGATGAAATGTTTCTCTACTTTGAAGTTGGGTAAACTGAGGCATAAAGTGGCAATTCTGTGGTGATGATGACACGTCAGTTTCAGAACATGGAGCGTAATTGTCAGGCATTTCCTTGTGGGCTGTGTGTGTGTGACATTAAGCTAAATCTGAAATTCATTTTTCCCACAGGCACTGCGTGGGCTTTGGTGATGTTACATAGGCCAATTTTTATTCCCATCTCTGTCAATGGCTATGAGGTATTGGACAAAATACTTAGTATCTTTTTGCCTTAATATTCCAATCTGTCAAATGGGAATAACCCACAGACTGTCTCTCTCTTTCTCTCTCTCTCTCTCTCTCTCTCTCTCTCTCACACACACACACACACACACACACACACACACAGTGCTTAGTAAATGCTCAACAAATAGCGGTTACTATTCACCGTTAGTAAGAAGTTCCTAAGACAACTACTAACAGTAAGCTAATGGGATATTTCAAATACTCTGACAGGAAATGGAGCCATAACCCCAACTAAGTGTTCAAATGGAATAAAATACTCCAAATCTCCTGGAAAAATATTAATGGCACATCTTCCAAGGCAATGCTTAATAGTTCACATTATATGCAACTAATGTACCTCCAGTGAGTACACAAGAGGTCCATCCAATTTTAGCATTAAAATATCCTCACAGATTTAAGATATTGATTTTACTTTTCTCATCCATTGGTGACATAATGACTTAAGAATTATGGTGAATTCTGTGACAACTTTATAACACTTCTAAATGGATGTATGTTTTTATTCTAATCATAAGAGACACCACATACATCAAAAACATCTATAGTACATACGTGTAAAGAAACATGTGTTTAATACACATGTGAATTTGAGAAACTTTTGGAAAAAGTCCAACATTCCTCAGAGGTCTGCAGCCCACAGTGTGGGGACCACTCTCCTAGAGGGTAAGAAATAACATACTGTTCAACACTCTTCGTTGCACAGCTGATACCCACCAGAAAAGCTGAGTAGCACAATCAGTTTCCATGTTCTTAAAAATTTTCAGATGGAACTTCATAGTTCCATAGTTTCTCATAGTGTTTTGGAGCTGAAAGAGAATTTAGAAATCTTTGGATGGAAGTCATCCATTTTAAGATGAAAAACACTGAGACCCAGAGAGGTTGTGTTTTTACCTGCTTAATTTCAAGACAATGGCAGAACTAAATTCTTAAAATTTTAGTTACAGGTCACTTTATATAAAAAATACATAAGTTGACAACATGTGAGACTTCCAAAAAACATCTAAAGAAAAGAGTACTATGTAAACTCTATTTTATATTGTTTATTTTTTGTCTTTTTTTTTTTGACAATCCTAATAGATGTGATGCAAGATTACTCCCCACAACTCTCAAGCAGCTCTCACAATCTTTTATTATAATGGTTTTACTTTTCTTTCCTTTAATTTTTGAATGATTTTCTATTAACATAGTGACAAGATAGGCACACTGTATACATGTTTGTTTTTTAACATAACTGGTTTAATATAAAAACCAGTTAAGGAATGCCAACTACTACAGAAAAACTAAAAACAACGTCCATTTTAATCACTTACAAATGACTGCATTTTTAAGCTGCTGGAAATTTAATATATGTCCATTTCTCTTCATCTGGAAAACTTACATGTTGCAAGAAAACCTTGCTGAAACCTTATTTTGGTCTTTGTGGAACATAATCTCAACATCTCAGACAGCCTGAAGCATCCTGAACTACATTTTCAGCTTCCTCTGGGGCTCTGTGAAGCTCTATTCGTATTGCATATTACATATAGGTTACTTTTAATGCTCTTCTAAAGCTTGTTAAATGCTACGCAAATTTACACTTTATGGCTCTAATGTTTAACTTATCTATCAGTAAATTTGAACCACAAATCATCTAGTTTTCCATGTTGTTTATTTCCAACTATTATTATTTCTAAATGGGTTCTATTTTAGAGAACTATATTTTAATTAACAGCAGTTACAAATTATTTACCTGAAAAGAAATACCTTGAACCTTTGCCCAAGACATCCAAAAAGGTAAAACCAAGTATGTAAAGATGGCGGCTTAATAGTTTTACTTAAACTGTGACACTATTAATAAGCACACACAATCCACTCAAATATTGTATATTAAATGTGACTTCTTCTTACTGGGAATTTTAATAATATTAATATATCATAAAATAAACCTAATCATGATGATTCAAACAGGTGCCTGTAAATGTCTGTATTTATTTCAGATTTAGACTGAGCTAATTTTTCTTTTTGTAAAATGAAACTAAAGTATACTGATTAAAATACACAATTCATATCTTTGCATATCATCCAAACAAATCACATGTAGACTGCATATGCTTTTGGTTTGATATAATTCTGTCCTGAGCTGCATGCACCCTAAAACCCAATCTTTGAGGAACAGCAACACTGAAATATTAGTTGTGCATCACACAGGAAATCTTGTTGGCTGAAATTCTGACAAAATTTTATTTTCAAACACAAGGTTTTATTAAGTTTTTCTTTTCTAGAGCAATAATCTCATTTAAAACAAACAAAAAAAATTATGCCAGTATGACCAAAGGTATAAACAAACGATGAAAACTTTCATATTCCTGAATGTCACGGCCATTGCAGCATCAGTTACATCTGGAAGGAGAAAAACTTAACATTTCTTTTCTGTCTTCATTGCCTAACATCAATAAAATTGTACAAGAGTTATATAATTATTCTTAATTTCTATTGAGGAATAAAATTTCAATCCTCTTTTATTTCAAAACATTCAGGAAGAAAACAACCAAGCTTACCATGTTTATCTGTCAAAACAACACTCCTCTGGCCAACATGGTGAAACCCCGTCTCTACCAAAAATACAAAAAAATTAGCTGGGTATGGTGGCATGTGCCTGTAATCCCAGCTACTCGGGAGGCTGAGGCATGAGAATCGTTTGAATCCAGGAGGTGGAGGTTGCACCTTGCAGTGGGTCAAGATCGCGCCACTGCACTCCACCCTAGCGACAGAATGAGACTCTGTCTCAAAAAAAAAAACAAAAAAAGAAAAAACACTCCTCAATAGTATGATCCTCATTTTATTCTCTAGTGGGTAAACTCTGCCTGATATCAGGTTATTTCAAAGAGTGTAGTGACAAAACAGAAACAAAGAAGATTAAAAATGCAGAAGAGATGGAATTTGGAATTTAAGTGTTTTTAGTAAAGTAAAATAATCTTTGTGAAATTATACAACCAAAACTAAGTCCATATCAAGCAACATTTGAAAAATATCAACAGTATTTAATCATTATTGTAAATCTCATTAAAATGAGATTTCCAAGAATGCAGGCCTTTTATTTTACCCTAATTTTCAAACAACTTGGCAGTGATCTATTTATGGAAATGGCTTTGTTAAGGAGATAAAAAAGTGAAACTATCTGTGAAAAGAGGTGAAGAGTGGGCATTTTTTCTTTTCCTGTAAATCTTATAATAAATAAAAATATCTGTAGTTAGGAAAAATACATATTTAACAGAGATACTACTGGTCTTGATATAACCAGAAATTTCTAAATACTTCCAAATATACTATTTCAGTCATTTGTTTCAAATAAAAATTTATATTTAAGATTGTTTACATAACTATTTTTAAGCCACATTGTGATATCAAATCCTATTTGTCTTTATGTTACAATAGCACAAATTTCTCAACATTTTAAAAGAAGTTTCTGTGAAGAGATAATTTCATCATTGGGAATTCTCAAAAAAAATTAATTTGATGTCATCAGGATAACTGAATCTTGGCCACCTCACATATTGTTATTTTGATAGAATAGTTAGAAAATTAAAGGGGGAAAACACCAAAGAAAACATACTTGTTATATAGACACCTGCACACTACGCTGTGTTTATTGTTCCTACTATCAATAAGAATGATGTCTGTGATAGCTGACCCTAACCAGTGCCTTAATTAACTAGTATTAAATGTAATTAAGACTGTTCCAATTAAATTTTAATTTTTAAAAATTAAGTACAAACTCAGTCATTCAATAAAATGTTGTAGTCCTTTGGTGTGTTTCTAGGCGCAGAATATAGCAATTTACTATTGACAAGCACTAACGGAGGAGGTCATTTCACAAGTATAATGTGGACAAAGGTGAACCGGGCAACTGATGAAATCTGTGGCCAAGGCGAAATAGCAATCTCTAAGCCAAATGGTAATAAAGTTACTGAAATGAAGCAATGTAGTTTCTAAACTGAACTGTCATAAAAGAGGATATGGGCTTCCAACTGGCATGTCAGTAGTAATTAAAATATTGTTTCTGTCTTTTAAAAAGTTTCAAATGCTTATAATAGTCTTATCGATTTTTATTCAAACAGCTAAAAGTGAGGTTAGGAGAATCCTGCTAGATGGGGGCAGGAGTGGACGGTGCTGAGGTTTGGAGGGAGGAAAGGCAAAATCTGTAAGGGGAGAAAAAGAAAAACAAGGTAGACACAGGAGTCTAGAATTGCTTCCACAAACAAAATACTATACTACCCCAAGTAAGGAAGTTAAAGGAATTCAGAAGTTACATATGATATTAATGCTTAAGAAGTAATGGTTGCATATAGACTATTGTTCATTGTTCACAACGATATAGAAAGTTTCTGTGAGATAAGATGACAAAAGTAAAGTTCTCAAAATAGATTCTTCCTGAAGAGTCTAAGGTACCGTAAATACGGCAATGGGTGTCCTTATGCATACCAGAGTGTAAGTCTTCATACATTCTGATGCCATAATGAGGACTCAGATGGCTTCCTTAGAAAGCCAAGTTTCCACGTGCATCACATAACTTTGACCTTGGCAAACACAGAGAAGGAATACATCACCTTGCAGTAAGGAGTTGTGCAGCCCAAATTCAAACCCAGACACTCCTTGGGCAATCCAGACACTCTTTTTGAGGTGGAAGCCTTTCTAAAAAGTAATATTTAGCTATAGAACAGCCTCCATGCCAGTTTTTTATGTAATCCACTTTACAACTAGCTAATTACATGGGATCATCTTTCACTTAATTGAAACTACATGCACATTATTAAGTAAATAAATGATTTGTCTAAGCTGAAATATAAAGTACAAAAGAGTTCATCTGGAGAGATCACAAATGAAATCATCAGCGACCTACAGCCCAGGCCAGATAATCAAGCAGACCTTAGTTTCAGTATGCTGGAGAAAGACCAAAGGTTTGGAAATATCTAGACTTTTTTTCTTCTCCTTTGAAAGGTAATCCTACCTTATAAACTACAGCATTCCCCATCCCACTCAAGAAGCGATTTACTATGTGTTCAAGGATCTATCTGAACAGGACTTTGCAGACCTCAGATTCCATTACCCGAGAAGCCCCTTCTTCCCAGTATCTGCCCAGCCCCTATAACAAGGTAAAATAAACATAAAACACATACTTCGGGAATGAAAGTTGGGTTTTCTTTTCATATTTATGAGAAAAAAATAGAATGGTGTTTTAAAATGGGCAGGTCAATCAATTTATTTTTACTCTCACTCTTGAAAGCTCTAGGATAAAAAGGAATACACTAGCCAGATGTAAACTGTTATTTATTTTCTCATTGCCTTACAAATGTTAACATATCCTATCATATGACAACCCATAAGGAAAATAATAATACAAATATTAATTGAATAAGAAATGTTCAATTAAAACTAATAAACAATTGACTGAGGTTGTTTCTGTACTGTGAAGCAAATGGCAAATATTTATAAAATCTCTCCTGAAGTTTTGTGCCTTCTACACAAATGTTAAAAATTCTGTGTCAAAGTAGTGCTATCAATTAGTGTTCTAGTACTGGTCATTAGTGTTCCAGCAAATAAAATACCCTCGATGCAGAAAGGAATTGTGTCAATGAGCTACTTCCTTTATTTAGGGATAAGGGTAGTCATCCATTCACTCTCTAAAACTGAGAAATTTCAGCCTGGAGGTCTATGATCCTTAGAAAAAAATACAAAGTAAGATTTAGCAAGGATACAAGCTACACTTTCGTGGAAATTATGAAGATTAGGCAACTGCTAGTCTATCCTTGGTTCATTTTGCTTTTTATTTTGGTTAGGCTAAATGCCCTTCCTCCACAGCAAATAAATCTTTAAGAAGCTGAAAATCACAGGCAATTAATGCATTGGCCAACAAGAGAGTCTTCTCAAATTATAGTTTTGGATGGGCCAAATGGCAGGTGGAAATGTGTTTGCAAAAAGCAAAGTAAAGCAAAATGCAGGCAGACTTGCACTGCTGGAAGACAGAATTGAGTTCAGTTCTGTGCAAGACTTTGTGCTGCCTGACTATGACATAATAGTGCTAGCTAAATGAAAGGTTTTTATTTAGTGCCAATTTTAACAAAACCCACTCTTTAACTTATGACACAATAGGGATTTGGAGGCCTTCCTCATCACCTTAGAAGGAGTTAAACTAGAAACCAGCATGAGATGAAGGTACTACTTTATCTAGTAGAGTTCCTACCCTCACTCCAGGTAATAACTTACTTGTTGGTAAAATAAAGACCTATGGCATTAGCTAAAGAGACACAATTACAAGATTACACAGAGTCAGTGTTCACCTGTACACAATGGCTTGTCTGACTGCAAAGAACCATTCATTTAAAATCTTTTCAATTAATATAAACTTTTTATTACTTCACTAAAACTAAAATCTACATGCACACATGCACTCACACACACATAGACACACAACATAAGAAAAAAAGCATTCATTTTTAACCACAGAGCTGCAATAAAATCAAATCTCCTTTTTACTCCAAAGGCATTCCCTGTATTAGAAGACGCTTGCAGCTTCTCAAAGCAAGTCCAGTTACCATAACAAATGTACATTTTACCAGCCTTGGAATTCTAATTGTGTTTAATACAGTTTCATGTTGCATCAAAGTACAAAATCAATACCATTTGTCCAGCATACAGGAAAAATGGAATCTATAAATGGCTCTTATTGAGTAATTAAACACCTATTATTGTCATGGGTAGTGAAACAATGAATATGATAAGATAAATTTTTGCAAGAAAATACTGCAGTGATTAATACCTCCCTACGTATTAAATAAAAATGACTGCCTTTTGTGCAGTACTGCTGGCAGAAGAACAGGGACGCGAGAAGTAGTTGCCAGTGCCACAATAACAGGCTAACCTTGAACTGAACTCCTTTCCTCAAGAAATTAAATGCTGTAGCAGGACTTTAAATCCCCCCACTTAGAGCTCATTTGTGCGCCATGTAACCTGCAGTTCCTGAAGAGAACTCATTATCTTCAAAAGGAGAATCACTTTATAATTTCTTTATGAATGTGTATATTGTTTCTACAAAAAAAAAAAAAAAACTATTTCAGTGTCCAAAAAGGATAAGAATATTAACAGTGTAAGCAAGGCAAAGAGACTTGTACCAATCAGATACTATTTCTACTTCCAGGAATTCAAGTGCAGAATGCAATCTGTTACGGAAAACTGAACGTTAGATTAAGAATGAGGTTAGAGGAAATGCATATTTAGAAAAAGATATTAATCTGTTAGACTGATGCTAACGCTCCTGGTTATTCTGTTGCTAGAGTCTTGTATCTTTCTGGATATCTCCCCCTGCCCCTCCCTCGCTCTCTGGAATAAGCATGAAAGCTGTCATTCCACAGCCCCCACCCTCTGAACACACACGTACACACACTCCCCACCTACCACCCTCCACATGGTTCCTCCATTGCTTTGCCTTTTTTTAAACATAAGAATGATGCACCAGGAACAACTACAAAGTACAAAAGATGAATCTATGGATGTGACACTTGTAAAGGGTAACCCTATTTCACAAGTGAGATGGGACAAAAAAGAAAGAAAAAAGGCCACTGAAGCAATAACTGCTCACTGAATTACCATTAAATTGTAAGATTTACAATCCAATGTACAGTAAGTGCATATCTAATGGAGTTTGTCCTCTAAAAGAATATAAAGTGAATCTTTGCAGCATGAGATGTGTGTAGGTGATGTATGTTTCTTTTAATCTATTTTTTAATTAGAAACAAAAAAGTTAAAAAACAAAAAAAGGACACACTGTAGAAACACCAGCAAAACCCTGAGGCAAACTTAAAAGCTTACTTAATTTGAAATGCACTTTATATCAATTACTCTCATTTTCTATCAAACTGAATTCATTCTTCCAAGTACAAAATGTAAGACATATAATCAAATACATATAGAAAGATAACAAGTGCTATTTTAAAGGCAACATTAATACACGAACACCTAAACTTTTTGAATTGTTTGTTAAAATAAAAACCGCTGAGTTCAAATGCTTGGTTATATGTTGTGAGGTTTTTTTTAAGGCAAAATAAAACAGTAATATTTTTCCATTTAATAAAGGCAAATAAATTTTCATGTTGCCAACATGGAAAGAATTCAAATACAATGTTAATGTAATCAAACATCAATCACATTATAGCAATTTTTATTTTTATTAACACAAACAACCTCCAAAAGAAATGGACTATTATGCAGCAGAATTATTTAAAATACTCTAATTGATTATTTAATAACCATTAAAAGCAAAAGCTATTATAGTAATCATTTCTTGTAGTGCTTTCTAAAGTAAACGTTGGTGAAATAGTGCCCATTTTCACCTCATGACAGACAAACACCTAATAAACGTATCTGGTCAGAGATTCAGTCACATGAATAATATTTTAGCAAAAACTCTGAGGATGAGGAAAAGTAGCTTAAGTAATATTTATTAGAAGATTTGTTTATTTTGTTTATGTAAATAGGCATCTTATTTAAGTGATATTACAGAAGTCATTGTCCTTAAATTCAGTAAAATATAAAACTGTTACACCAATTTTGCAAATCTCTGTTTTGTTCTTCTCACCTCTCTCCCACAGGATCTGAATTTTATTTTAAGGGATTAACAAGTAGCACATATGATCAGCAATGATAGCCTTGTTCTTTTAAACCTTAGTGAATCAAGTTCGGTAAAGGTGAAGTAGTGGAATTATCAGTACAAGTGGCTATGTCATCAGAGTCTTCAGAAAGGTGCTGTAAAGAAATGCCTAAATAAACAGCAGTATAAAGGATTTTATATATGAGACATACACACACAGATGTCTCTTTCACACACCACACACACACACACACACACAGAGCCTGCCTCTGGTTATTAAAAATATAAAACAGAGGCACTACTGTATATAAACCAAAAGACATTTACTACTGCATGTAAACCAAAAGGCATTTGTAATCCCCCTTCACATCAGTTTTAACTTTGATTCTAGTTTAAATGATGTACCATTTTCTTCTCCTCCTTGCCAAGATATTTGAAAGATTATCCCAAAAATCAATTGGTTAAAGCCCCTCTCTGTGCTACAGTGAGCCGGAGAATTTCCAGCATCTGATGAGGACCAGTGGACCACCTGATACTTTTTCAGCAGGGTGATAAAATTAAAGGATGGTTTTGATTTGCTTGAAGGATTACTTCCCTTCCTTAATTGTTTAAAGTGCACAGTATTAACACAAAGAGGGGGGAAAAAAGAAAATTAAGAAGGTGACTGTAGAGCCTGAGCTAATTGCAAGCTGATTAGATTGTGCCATGCAAGAGCTCTCCCTCCGTTACATACCATCACAAGCTCTGGTCTTTTCCACCCTGCTGCTGCAGCAAACAAGCTGATTTGCTAACAAAGTGGTCAGCTCGGGCACTTGCACAGCGGCTCACGGGGTCCACAGACGGCTGCTCTCCATGCAGAGAATCTCAAGCTCCATTTTCCAATCTGATTACACGGCTCCTTGTTCCAGGAGCCTTAAACCTTCATGGCAGTTTACCAACATTTTCATCACTTTTTTCTTTTACAAAGCAAAAGAACTGATAAGCTCTCAGGTACCCAGGATTTCATAGTCAATGGCTGGCCAGCAGCCAGCATTCCCTCACCACATAACTGTTTTGGGCCACACTGCATAAAGCAGACAGGATTTACCAGACTGCACAGAACTATTAGAATTTTGCCATGTGTACAAGTAAGCAGCATGTTTCTGTCCTTACAGATGTTGACTATTGTGTCTAATCACATCTAGGAAGCACAGAAACCTAGTAAGTGTCCTGCGTCACCTCCCCCCAAAAAAGAGGCAATGCAAAGCAAACCAATGAGCATATGTCCATGAATTCCACTATTACCCTAACTAACCTGTTCAGGAATTCTGCCTCGTAAATGCAAAGTACTAATTACTGTTTTTAAAACTCCTGGTCTGATTACCTAGACCAATTACCTGGATTACCAAGAAACTGATCCTAGCTACTTTCCATTAAAATCTAAAATATTGTGAGCCACTAAAAATAACTGATTAGCATCTTCCAACTTTGGCAATCCTCTAGAACTTACAAAAAGCAAACCAAAAGATGTAGAAGTGAAGCTCAAAATTTATCTCACCTAAAGCAGCTTCTTGAAAATTAATCTTATACCCATTAATTCCCAGAAATCATGTCAGGCAGTTAGCATGAGTTTCAACCTAATACATTCACATTCAAAAGTTTAAAACAATGACCACTATAGCATTCCAAATTAAACATTTATGCATACACTCTTTCTCCTATGTAATATTTTTCAAATTCATTTTTATTTATAGCCGATGGGCCTAAAATGTGAATTTAACACTCACATAATGCGAATGTCCATTCATTGTGTGCTTCCTTTCAACCAAACAACAATAAACAAACAAAAAATAACACACCCTCCTTCATCCATGACCAGTAACTTTCTAATAAAGATAAAGAAAAGGAAAATAGCTTATACTGTCTGTGGCTATGCCTGGTTCATTTGTGCATCATGTTGATCTACCATAAAGGATTTGGGGAGGGGAGAGGAGAAGGAGAGGAGTCTGCAGTTATGGGAAAAATGTACAACTCGGCTCACACAATGCCTCAGTACTCGAGCTCACCAGTGCGCTGACCCTCTGTATCTTGGAGTCATTAGCTAGAGTCCCAGCCCTGCCTCCAGGAGGGGGGATTTGAACTCACACACCAATGTGGGGAGATTCGGGATTTTGAGCATGCCAGCCAGAAGGGTCATTCCTCCTTGCTGATGAGGAGGACGCCTGTCCCCTGGGGAAGGAAAAACTAGATGAGTGACTGTCGCAAGATTCAGGCAATGGACATGCTGCTGACTCAGGAATGGACTCTGACAGCCACCCTGCTTCACTCCAGCCGCTCTGAGTGGGAGCGGTTTCAGGGCAGCAGCATTGACAGGTACATGCAAAAGTTAGGGGAGAATGAATGGAAGACAGAGGAAAGAGGGAATGAATGAGCAAATGAAACAGCAACTCCTTTTCCAGACATACACATACAAGAAATAAACATTTTCCTTTTATACAAGTTGATACTGCCCAACAAATAAAAGATATGGTTGTGGATATGCATTAGAACACCCACAGCATTTCTGAAAGGACTTTAAAAGAGGACACTCATTTTAAAAACTGATAGGCTAAGGCTGGGTATGAATCTATATCCACAACACTGCAAAAACCTATAAACTCAAAGAAAGTATACACATACGCCCATATATGTATTTGCATGTGGGTGGTATTCTGCATAAATGACTGTCAACTTAAAATGCCATTCTCTAATTTATATGCAAATTCTACCTCTGGTAAAATAAAAACATATTTTAAGCAGCTTATAGTGCCAACACATTATTCCCATGAATGATTCCTAGTAAACTATTTATGCCAACTGTGGGGCTTTTTTATGATTTATTGGATGGTGAACGAAACCACTTAAACTATAGTTGTCTGTATGAATCAGTAATTTTCATGTTTCTAATTAAAATGTAAACAGCGTAATGAAGACATCAAGTTTTTAGGCAAATGTCTCTTCCAGTGCCACTTGGGGTATGGTAATTACTGGAGCAGATCTATGGATGCTTCTGAATCTTCCACAAGTCCAGATTAAAAGCATTACTGCTAAACCTGGCTTTTTACACAAGGGAATTGTGTACTTTAACCCATTCCCAGTTTGCTTACATATGCACATTGGCACTACCTTTAAAAACTGGTCGTTAAAAAAAATCAAAATGGAAAATAACAAAGGATGTAATTTATATTTAAAATGTTGATTATAAAACATTTACTAGCAATCAAAACACTGGAAATAGATCCACTCCAGTTGGATTCCCTACCATTAGCTTTTAGGAAAAAAAGAAAAGAAAAACAGCAACCAAATTATGTCTACCTTAAATTTATAGAGCCAGCATCTGGGTTGAAGGGTGAGTGGATAAACTGGTTCCAGATTCAAAGATAATGTTCATTTCTAAGATTTCTTTTGTTTGAATAACAGTTTAAAGTAAAATAAGTGTATAATTTAAACATAGTAAAATATATAAAAAGTAATCATATATAATCCATGGAATAAAATCTTGTCATTTTCCCCTATCATATTCAAAAATTAAAAGTGCCTTTGATATAAAACTATAATCTGTTTTCATTTTTATTTCAGCATTTATTTCTCTCTGGAATTCGTCAAAATTTATCCTAAAGCAAGTGACCTCTTACACATGCTGAAGAAATACAGCACCTCTTCTGCTTACAACTGTTAATTGAACTTCCCTCTGAAGCCTGTTTTTCCAAGTTATCCAGTACATTGCTTTACATATTTACTACCCAGCACTTGAATATATTTTTTATTACAATTTTGCACCACTTGCCTTCTCCAAACACCCCTTAGAACTATGTAATAATGTAGCTACCCTTGGAGTGAGTAGTTAACAGCTGAAGTCTGCAGTGATATGAAAAGTCTAAAATGCATGATAAAAAGAGGATTCTCCTACCCTTATTTCTACCTCCGCCCCTGGACTCAAAGTCCAAAGACTGACTGATATGGCCAATTTTCATATTATTTTTACAAGAATGCTAGGCATGTTGCTAAGGTTAACTACGGAATTGAGAATGGTTAAGAAATGTGAATGTGTGTGGGGGTGAGTGGGGCAGAGAAAGAGAGCAATTTTTGCACTGTTATGTTTTATTACCAAAGTAATGCAAACAAATAAATGTATATCCACCATCCTAGGGTCAGGGGAAGCATTTAACCTAAAAGCGTTTTCTACTACTCTTCCACTTGAAAACATATAAGCTTTTTCTTTTTCTGATGTGGGCATAGAGTCATAGTATTTTGGGGTGATGGAGGGGTGGGACATTTGAGAGAGGTGTATTTTGGTAATTTTTTTAAAAAAATTTAACACCTCTGAGGGCTTTCAGAGGGAAAAAAAGCTGATTAAACAAGACCAAGTGTTTTTTGTCGGCTTAAGGGTGATATCATAGTTGTGTTCAATATCAGAAGTGTTGCAAGTACAGGCATCATTTCTATTCGCTTTGTGCCAGAAAGGTAAACACTGGATTGCATTGTGGATTAAAACAATAAGAAATCCCTTTCCTCTCAGGCTTTCAAGGCCGTGTTAATCGGGTGTAATTTTTAATGAACACTGGCTGCTTGGTACTTATTCAAGACATTTCATTAGAAGGTTATTCATTTAAAAATCAACGTTTCAACCATATCAAGCTGTAACCTTTCTTGAAATGTAAATGAATGGTTTAAATGAGAAGATTAATAAAAAAGGGATGTTCCAATTCCAAGCATGGCATGCTATGTATTTTTAAATTTGTCTATGCCAGATGCTGTCAGTCAGAACAAAAAACTGTCCAAGCAGACAATCTGTGCATCTGAATGTTGATCATGTTGGAAAGTACAGGGGGGAGGGGGGAGAGTGTGTCAAGGATTCATGGTCCTTCATCTTTGCAGTAGAGCAAACACGTCTCTCAGTATAGCGACAGACAGCTGCTTCCACTTTCTAATGTGCCCTAACTTAGATCACTGAAAGAATTGTCAGCACTCAGAGAAACACACAAAGATAACACAGCCAGCTGCCATGGAGGGGAAAAACAGCACAGCTCAGAAGAAATGGGATTTGTTCCATTTGCATGATGCTGCCTCCCCTGGGCCCCTTTCTTTCAAATCCAAAGCACAAAAGACAACACTTAACATATTTGCTTAAAGATGACAACCTCATGTTGATTTCATTTGGATGTAACAGTGTCAGGATTACAGATATAAGAATATATTATATCTGTAACAGAGACTGACAAATGTACCCATCAGTGGAACTGTCTGATTCATCTGCTTATACAGCCATTTTACCATCCCAAGGGTGCCATCTAAGTAGTAACTTTAGAAGACTGAAGGTCTAATTTTATTACACCACATTTCAACCTACTAAACAATATTATTTCTAAAATAGATCATTTTTATTGGAAGTCTCCCTGATGAAAAATCCAGTAGACACCAGAGAATTTATGAACTGTATGGGTCCTTTGAACTCAATATACTGCCCATTTTAAACAACTTTTCTTGCTGTATGGCAAAATCCCCATATCAAATAAGTGAAAGTTAGAAAGCAAGAGAGAGATTGTATGTTTCGAGTGCCTAAGTATATTGATATAATAAACAGATTATATATATATAAGACAGAGAGAGTGAGAGAGAGAGAGAGAGAGAGACATATTACAGATTATATGGATAACTATAAAATCAGGCCTTACCTGGTCCATTTGAATAAATTCTTTGTAACAGCTTACTTCTGTCTATTTCATTATAGGTCTACCCTCAATACAACATCCATACTTCAACAGCAGCTATATGAATAATCATTGCCTGTCAATATCTTTTGTACATATACTCAATCTAATTTCCTGTTAAGGTGTTTTTTAGGCAGAAGATACGACAAGAGAATAATCTAAAGATGCATTGGCTAGCCACTAGTCATTGTAATATGTACAATGAAGAAAACCACGATTCCGATCTGAAGCCTACATACTTTTACAAATCTTTATTCTGTCTGACTTTATGGATTTTAAGTTTATTTCTTAAGTGAATAAAAAGATTTAGGATGATGTGATTGAATTGATTTATTTACATCTACATTACTTTGATTTACGTGACTGGAATTATGGCGGTAAGAAGGGAGACACAAGGAGAAGGCAGAGAGGAAGCAATCACTTTCTTCACATAAGCAATACATACACAGACATAGGCACACAGACACAAACACACAAGTAAATGTCTGGGCACACTCAGCCCCACAGCCCAACCAACTGACTTCCCATAACAAAATGTTGGCTCCCTGTGTGCCTGCGTTGTCCAAAGGAACGCTCTAGTGCTTGTTGCTATTTACTGGCAACAGTATAATGCACTCATTTGGTCTTGTTTTCTAAAATAGAGTTAACTGCTATATGTAAAATTTCTGCACAGCAGATGGTTACCAATCATTATTTTCCATTTGTTTAGTTTCTAGTAAGAAGAAGAAAACCTGTGGGGTAGTGATGCAAAGAAAAACTAGCAGCCTGCATGATAACCCAACCAGTGCCAGAATATGCATTTTTTAAAGAAAAACGAAGAATCACTTTGATCACGTAGCATATCAAGACTAAAATTTTGAGGGATGGGGGAAGTTATTCATCCCAGTCTCATCCATAAAGCAAAATGCCATTTGAACAATTTATTTTTTAGTATAAAATCCTCTAAAATTTAGCCTCTATATGTTTTTAAGTGATCAAAGTTTCTAGAAGCAACTTATTATCACCATTAATGTTTGTCATCACCCAAGCTGAAATCATTTTTTTTAAACCTCTAAGTAGCCCAGTTGTCCAACAGAAAATGGGAAATAGGAGCCATTTGTGGACAAATGCACATGCACAGAAAATTAAGCTGTAAATATCTGGACCGGGTTATTACTGGAATCTGGAAACATCTGGGGCTACAGAATAAGCCAAGCCCCGTTTCCACAATGTCCAGGTAATTGCTTAAATGATTTATACCTTACTGTTTCTATTAAAAATGTCTTTAAAGAGAAACATTTGTAGGCTTGGTTCTGCAATAAAAATTGGTATCTGATTTCACTTGTACAAAATCTTGTGAAAGATGCTACATTTCTTCAAGGACATATGCATGACTAAACTAAACCCTGGACAAAGACAAGGCTAAAAGAAGGCATGGCCGACCACTGAATGAAAACAATTGTATCATGATAGCAAATTTTAAATGGTTTATTTGTGATTAGTTTCTATTCTAATCAAAAGAGTCCATTAGAAAACATTCTTTTCATGCATTTGGGACAAATATATTCAAGCCATTTTAGGGTAAACTTGTACCTCATCCATTTTCAATTTTAGTTTTAATTAATTTCTCATAAATCTTATTTACTGACACTTCAACTGAATATCAAACCAAACTTAACCCCTAAGGGACAAATAAGTGCCACCTCCAAGACAGACTTGCACCACTTAGTTAAGAATCTGGAAAGGTATTTAAATAGGTTCACTTAGATGGTGTCTGTATGGAGCTACTAACTGGTCCATTCAGAATGAAAGAGCTTTCAACACTGTCATTTGTTGCAAAGACAGGTTGCTCTACTAAATAAACACACACACACACACGTGTGCACGCATGCATGTACCTATGTAGTTGTATTGGCCTGAAATAATTTTATCTTTTAATTCAGATCATAGGCCAAAAGGACAAATATAGTTTCATATTTTTCAAGAATTGCTGTGTCTAGATCTAGCCAAAAATTCTATTACTGACAGCTGTCAACTATGCATATAGGGTCAAAATAAATAAATAAGTAAATAAAAAGAAAGGGAAGGAAGGAGGAAGCAGTAAAAGAAGGCAGACAACAAAATAAACCATTAACCACTGACTTTTAACCATGGTTCATACTTTGTGGCCACCAACTTACATGATTACCCTTTTGAGAAGGATCACCCAATTTTCTTCTACCAGAAGGGTAAAGGAAAATGGGTGCATTTTACATGTAAATAATTCTCATGAATATTTTTATTAATTTAAAACCCCACAGCTTCCTGATTATAAACCAAGTAGAATTTTAAGCCTCTTTTAAATATTCCCTGGATTTAAGTTGGTTGTTGGCAAGCTACCACTATAAGGTTTTACAATTTGTGGCCTTTACTCTCAATCTGATGGCTTTTAATCTATATTTTAACAATTTTAACTCACTTGAAGCACATTGAATGGTTTCTAGAAAACCAGAAGTGTCTATTTAACAAAGGAACTAAACACACGGGTCTTCACTGTTGAAGTCACACTGCAAAAATGCTTTTGCTACTTTTAACATATTGTTTCACAATCTTTATTATTCTACCTTCAATGTACTGTCCTTTACTATTAGAGCTCTTTGCTGAAGATGCAGTGTTTTTATACAATTAACTAAGCAACATTTGTCCATTATAGCTCACTAAATGGCACATCTTTGTAATGATTCAGGTTCAACAATCAGCACTACAGATACTTTCTTCTGCGTAGAGTGTATGACATCAACCTAGATTTCAATATGAAGTGGTAAGATAGCATCTAGAACTTTTCAGCTCTCAAGAGCCCAAATTGGAAGAAAACGAGTGAGCTTTCAGTAAAGGTTATAGGTTTTCTTAGTAAAATTGTGTTTTTAAAAGAATGACAATAGAGTCTTTGTTTTTTTCTGGGTTATTTAACGAAATAATGTGAGCAAATGCTTTTCTCTGGTACATCTTTAGGTTTAAAAACACAAATATGAAATATAAATCTTGTCAAATACTGTTGCCTAACTCATTATAATTTAACATTTGATCAAATTGAATTTGCCTTAGAAATACTGTAATGCTATTTATTGTAACATTCACGGCAGATTTGAGAAAGTAGCTGACCCTTCCACGAGCACACAAACCCAACTGGTAAAGCTATTGAACACCTAAAAGAGCTATTGGGTGAAATCCCAGCTAAATTGTTTACTGCCCAGTATTCAGTACAAAATAAATTAATAGACACTATTTAGTTAGATAAAGGTCCCAATTAAAATATTAACCAAAGACATTCACGAATTAAGTTATCGTATCAACTGTAGATCAACTAGTTTGCATCTCACATTTTACCACCCCAGTATCATCATGTTTCCAAGGAAATCTGTCTTGAATACTGATAGTGCACATATTTGCAAACTGCCTATTTATCAGAGAAAGGACAAAATAGAAAGAAATGCCTTAGGAGGTACTTATTTCCCACGTTCAACCAAAGGCAGAATGACCAACTGTCAATCAACTCTATATTGGTAAGAAGTCAATCTGGAAGTCTCAGAGTCTAATATTTTATGATTTCTGTACCCTCAAATTTTTCTGTCTGCAAACACATGAGAAAAAAATATTTCATGGAGAATAGTGATTTAAAGCTATTTGTTACACCTATAATCAAAGTAGTCTATAGATTTATGTTTTATAAGATTTTAAAGATAGCATAATGTTTTTTATAAAAGAGTTTAAAGGCTCTCCTATCTAGAGATACAAAAATAGAATTAATGACTGTAAGCTCCTTTTTAAGTATATAATTATAAAACTATTTTTCAGGGTTATAAAGTCTTTCTTTGGTAATAACATTATATAAAGAATATAGAAATTTCAATTTTTTAATGAAATATACAATTTTCATAGATCCATTCTTTAAATATTTAAAAATCATCTTTTAATTTTTTAAAATAAGATTAATAAAATATTAACTGGCCGGGCATGGTGGCTCACGCCTGTAATCCCAGCACATTGAGAGGCAGAGGCGGGCGGATCATGAGGTCAGGAGATCGAGACCATCCCGGCTAACACGGTGAAACCCTGTCTCTCCTAAAAAATACAAAAAAATTAGCCGAGCGTGGTGGTGGCAGACGCCTGTAGTCCCAGCTGCTGGGGAGGCTGAGGCAGGAGAATGGCGTGAACCCGGGAGGTGGAGCTTGCAGTGAGCCGAGATCGCGCCACTACACTCCAGCCTGGGTGACAGAGCAAGACTCCGTCTCAAAAATAATAATAATAATAAAATAATAAAATAAAATAAAATATTAACCAAGTGATAGTTTCCTATGCTTTTATCAATTCAATTCACCAAACATTTATTGAATTCCTATTATAGGTCTTATGCTATACACACATGTTGAGGAGATAAAAAATAAAAATGAATTAGATGTGTGTGCTCTCAAGCAATTTACAGCTTCATAATAGAGAAACACAAATGCCTAGCAATCTATAGTAGGAGAAAGATGATGGTAAGTGATCTAAAGGAGACATTTCAAATGTTCTAAGGGACAATTAAGTAGACGTCGAAATCAATCCTAATTAGGGTGCCTCAAAGAAGGCTTCATGGATGATGCAACAACTGACCTGGATACCAAAGTCCTAGTAGGATTTCAACAAGCGAAGAAGAACATGCCAGGAAGCAAAAAGAAGGTGGACAAAGACTAGTTGCTGATAAAGTACAGGAAAAAAGTATTGCTTTCAGTTTGATAAAAGTCCACCTTTCATACTAAATATTTTAAGGATTTGAGGTTTCTAACTCCACTGCTTAAGTTAATCTGATTGCCACTCTATTGAAATCTCTTACAAGAGAAAAGCATTAGCTAACTAATACCCATCAACTCTTAAGATATTAGAATTGCTGACACTTTTGCATGCAACCAATTAGTAAGCATATTTAATGAATGCTTATCATCTCTTCTGATGGGCTTAACAAAGTAATAAATGGTCCTTGAGCTTTCTACATTGTTTCCAAGATAATTTTTGGAGCTTTCTTAAGAGAAACAAAAATATTTTGCATCTTTTAGACGACTAGCAAGGTCCAAGTTACTTGAGTTCACTGGTCCATGACAAAGCAGTCATGGAGTATACAAAACTGCAAGAAATCTTAGTCATCATCGGATCACCTCAATCATCTCTTCTTTTATAAAAAAGTAAACTAAAAACTAAGGCTCAGTGAGGTTGAATGGCTTACCCAAGGTAACAAAATGATCTTCGACTGTGGGCTTCTGCTGACACTGTCCTTCATCATCGTTACTTTCCTGAGATGTTCTTGCAAGACTGACAGAAATGTTTTCAAAAGTCTAGATAGGTTGTTGAACTTCAGCCGGATGATGAGCTATCTGTACATGTCATTAGTATATTCAGTTCTGAATAGATATCTTCATTTTTCTAACTTCAAACCAGGAAGAATGACATTTTTTTAAAAGGTAAAAATTTTAAGATCTCTTGATATATATAAATGTTTGGTTTACATTAGAATCATCTGAGGAGTTTAAAATCTCATCTAACTGATCTGGTGTAGGGCTTAGGCAAAAGTTTTTTTATTATTTATTTATTTATTTTGCTTGTTTGGGGCTTTAGTTTGGTCAGGAAGTTATAGCAAGCATTTACTGAGTTGATACAAAATTTAACATCAAATTTTTCTAAAACCAATTCAAAGTATTCAATGATTTCAACTTCCATAATGGCAGTAAACACATTAGTTTCCAAAAGAAGCCTTAAAGGACATATACCTCCATCTTCAATGGATTTTATTCTGTCACTTCATTTGTGGCCTAAAAACTTGAGTATGTTAAGAGAGAATAAAAGAGTCTGAGAATAAGTTGAACCATCTTTAAAGGCATATATATATGTTTTCACACTTTTTAAAATTATGGGGACGAAAAGATACGGAGAATATAATTTGTTAAAATAGTGCTACATGCTATTTACTGATTATTAGTCAATGATTCTTAATAACTGATAAGGTTTTTTTTACATAATTAATATTAGGGTTTAATTTACAAAATTGCCAATATCATTCTGTGTAACAACCACATGAAAACAGTCTTTAATGTTAGCTTTGCCTCAATGACTTTCTCGAACTTGTGCCTCCTTCCCCTATTCCTACATGTTGTCCATGACAACAAATGCTGCTTTACTCTTCCCTAATATAAACCCTAATATTATCCTCTTAATTAATTCAAACTACTTCTCATGATCTAAGTATCATATTCCAGTGGCTGAAATGAAATTTGATTTTCCAGATGATCAAGTAATAACCAGTCTTGCAGACAAATATCAAAAATTTTTTAAAAAGAAAGAAAAGAAAAGAAAAAAACAGCTCTTCAAAACGGTACACAGCTAGGTAGGTAGGAAGATGGCTTAGACAGCAAGGTTCTTGGTGAGTATGCCAATAGCAAAATAGCAGAAAACATTTTCCCCTTAGCCCTAAGCAAAGGACACCAACAAGCTGTTAGAAAATAAAGACAATTTTTTTAAAAATTATGTATTTAAGTATACATGTGCATTCCAATCATATATCAGCAACACCTCCCATCTTAGTGACTGTGGCATTTTGCTGTAGTAGGGTAAAATTTCAAGGAACTACCATTACATGGTGGTAAAATTGTAGATTTTTTACCCATGATTATGAACAAACCTATATTATATGTTGTACTGTCCTTACTAGATATCTTTAAAAATAAATAGTACAAAATAGTTTACCTATAAGTTCTTTTTACTTTATGCTAAAACAAAATAAAACAAGACAAAAATTAAAAAAGTAAACAAAAAAGGCATTATTGCACTGTATATGCTCATTTAGAGGCTTATTAAAGAACAAAACATAATAAAGAGCTTTCAATTTTTTTTGTAATACTTTAACTGCCAAAAATTTTATTGATGGAGATTTCACACCCATGTTTTTAAAAAATTACCAAAAGAATTTTGCTTATGTGTAATTTTTTTCACTTTCTAAAGAGATACCAGCTCCAACTGGACATTCATTTCTGAATAAAATTCTACTATCTTACCATCCATGAGTAAATTGATATCGATGATTGGTTGATTAGTACTCTTAGAATTATAGGAAACATATTTTTCCAATTAGGTAACACTTATTGTATTCATAGTATGTTTAAAATCTTCCCACAGAAAGAAAAAGCACTGTTCATATAGGCATGTAAAATTCCAAAGCTGGTAATATTTTTTCCTTCCAGTTTGTCAGACAAGGATACAGGCCATTCAGGGTCCCAATGTCTACATTTGGGTCCTATCAGTATTTCCCTCCCAAAAACGTTGCTTAATCTTCTGAATAATGCAAATGAAAATCTCTCTTTAAAAGAGAACTTTGTACTGACTCTACTGGCATAGGATACCACGATAAGGGCAGGGGGGATAAGACCCACATCTTTTGTAAGTTGGGCCTAAAATTGACTCCAGATTTGCGAGTCATGAACAGAAAGTCAGTTTTAATATAGATGTGCTTTAGAAAGTAAAAATGGTGATTATTCTTAACAAGTTACATATTGGGAATTATTCTTCAAAAATGACTCATAAAATATCTTTTTAAGTACTTAAAGTCATGAATATGTTCTACTCTTTTACCTCTGCTTGAATGTAATTTTTCATTTTCCAGGAAAGGATACATTTTCTAACTAACCCCGTTAACCTAAATACTCATAAAGGAATACCAAAAGTGTCCCTGACATCAATACCTTCACAAAGAAATATATCTATGCACATGCACAAGAACATATTCCATTTAGATAATCAAAACTGTAATTTTTATCTAAAAGATTCCCTTAGATCCATGTAATTCCTAGCAGTAAAATTTATCAAAAGCACTTAGTTTGCAAACAATGAGACTGCCATTATCTATAGCCTTATTTCTTCATCCATATACTTTAATTGAAAAGTACAAACTATTAAGCATAAAAGAATAATAGTACTGTTTATTTCATAGTATTTGTTTGATCTGAAAATGGGGATTGTAATGAAAATGCCTTCAATCTTAAGGGAACCTTTTTTATCCTACTCAGAATAATTATCTTGTAAGATTAAAATCACTGAATCATACCGAATTAAGATTTATAATTTAGCATCATTGAGGTATATTATTTAAAAGAAAGAGTTTACAATCTTCAATTTGAAATTGAAAGGGAAAAGAAATGAACAGATGAAAAATAAAAAAGCTCTTTTTGGCACAACAATATACTATATTGCCACTTATTTACCCAGATTCCTAGTTTAATCATTTTTAAAGCAAAACATTTAATATGAAAATACAAGATTCCAAGTATAGGAGTAAAGCAGGAAAAGATGAGTCCCCGTTGAAATTATACTACAGAATATGGAGATAGAACACAGAACATTAGAAAATGTGAATTGTGGCTAACTACCTACTAAAATATTTCAAGTTTGCAATGGCTTAGTTAAAAAAAAAAAAAATATTCCTAAACTGTGGGGTAAATTTTTACTTAAATGGGACACTGTTATAATAGTTATTTCCCAGCTTTCTTTCATTAAAGTGCCTATCAGTGTGGAGAGCAATGCCTTGTTATTACACAGGGCAAAGATTTTTCTTCTTAGAAAGTCTCATATGTAGCATTTCTCCCGACAAAGTCTAACAAGGCATTCAAAATAAGTTCAATTTTTTTCTTCCTCAAAAATATCTTTAAAGCCCCCCACTTTCACCCCAGTCTTGGATTACATAAAAGAATAGTTACTTTTTCCAAGCTCTTTGATATTTCCCTTCCTGGCAGAGTCATCTGATGTGAGAAATATCTTTTGAAAATAAATGGTGCAACTTCAAGTGCACTCAGATCCATACTTGCTGGACATTCCATCATATCTCAGTTTTGATTTGAAAAAGCCACTTGACTTCAAAATTCAGTTTTAGGTATCGCAATATGAAGTTTGATCTCATTGAGAAGTACTTTGGGAAGCAACGATGTAAATGTTTTGTCCACCTATCAGCACAGAACGTTGGTAAAGGAGTCATATGACTCTAATTTTCAGGGAGAGGGAGGTTATTGCAATACAAATTGAGAAGCTAAGTCCAGGATTTGAATACAGCATACTGCAACATTAGTGTTACCGCATGAAATGGTTACTTTTCCTCTTTAACACAGCTGTCACATGTTTATATAGCTAAAATACCACTTTCTAATGTCCACGTATCAATACTGACACTATTATAACAAGGTTATTTGGGGGTCTGCCCCCCCCTTCCTGTCACTCAATGAGCATACTTTCGTTTTTTTAATGGTCAGCATTTTGTATCAGATAATGTAGGATTTCTACATAAAAATACTCATTTTTCTTGTGCCTTAACCGAGGAGGGATAGTGGCAGTACTTGGCAACAGAGAACCTCCTAAGCTCTTACTACTACAATTATTCTGGGCCTGGGATAAGTATTGAAGTATGTAACTGCATGCAAACCATTAAACACACACACACACACACACACACACACACACACACACACAAAGTTCCTTTTAAGAATACTTGAGCAAAAAGTCACATGATATATAGGAGATATATGAGACACAGGGCAAGATGAGACAAAAGCAAATATTTCAATCCCCAGTTCAGATATAGAAAGAGCAGGAGATACTTAATGGTTCATTTCCCATCAGTTTTCTTACTCAACTCTCATTAGTATCTTTTTCGGCAGAGGCAGATGGAATCATTGTGGAATAGTCAGTCTCCAATAGGAAACCTAGTGACTTCTACAAAGGTGGCCCCAGATAAAAGTCTGTAGGTGGTGAAGGCAGGGCTGGCTTCATTGCCCCATCATTTGTTCAGGCACACAGGCCCCCACCCCACCACACAATACAGGGCCCTGCATTTTGTTTAATGCTGTGTGTTGCTGTCTTCAAATTAATTTTTGAACAAGATGCCTCACATTTTAATTTTGCGCTGGGTCTCAGAAATTATGTAGCTGGTCCTAGGTGAAGGTAAAAATGTCTCTTAATGGTGAGGATAGTAAGTCAAAAGATAAGCAAAAAGTTTAGAACGACATACAGAAACCCACGGCTTCACATTGCACTACCTTTAAAATTTTATCTGAGATGTTACTATTTCCAAGAATAATATTTCATCATGAACTAATGCATGAAAGTAGAGTTTACCCATTCTCAGATGAGTTTACTCTCATAAATAGTTGACATTTAATTATCAGTTGTTTAAAAAGCATCCAGTTGACATAAGGCAAACAGTTGAATTGGGAAAAACAAAATAGGTATATACATACACACATATATATTTCATATATCTACATACACATATGAAATATATATGAAATATATATATAGCTAAAGGGAGTTAAATGCAGTTTCTGTTCTCATGCCAGGAATATATCCATAAGCAAAATGGAATAAGTATGTAAAATACCAGCAGAAATTAAAACATAGCAAAGAAAGAGAGTAAAGGTATTTTCAACATAATGAAATGGGGTAAAAGAAAACATTTTATAGGTATTTTACATTTCATATTCTATAGTATAAAAAACTTTACTGTATATTATATATCCTTAATAACTGTTTGGTTAAAAGCTCCTCTTCCTATGAAAATGAGAACAGAAACCTAGTAAGAAGCAAATTTTCCAAAATTATAAAACATACTTTCTAAAAAACATTTCCCAACACAAAAATACCAATACTTAAGCTGAGCTATAGGGTAAAAAACGTTTAACCTTGGGCCTTCATATAATAAATCATGCATTCTACTTTCAAGATGTAACAGTTTCAAAAATGATTGGAAGCAGTGATACTATAAATGCTTTGTGAAAGTCATGAGAGCTAAAATATGAGCAAACATATCCATTTATACATATATTTAACATAAATACATCTAAATTGAAATTCTCCTTTGGATTTACTGCTTCTGATACACCCTGAAACAACAGCCCACCATATGCAATGTTAAGCAAAGTGTCAATATTCAAATAACAAGACAACAAGCAGATTTGTTGCATAAAATATGTAAATATTATTAACAGAAAGTGCCATATGATATCTCATGTTTTGATGGTTTCTGATCACCTATCTTTTCTGCCTCCTCAGTATCTTAGCTAAGACTACTGTTGTCAACAGGTACTTACGGATGTGCTGTATTGAGGCAGCGCTTCTGAGCAGGCACCTGTGGTGCTGCCCTAAGGAAACTTAGCATACCCCTTGCTTTTGATTTGCTTCGAACTTCAATGTACCATTTATTTTGAGTATATTCTTTCATACTCCTTATTCCTGCTATTTTACTTTTTAAAATAAACATTTCTGAAAGAAAATTGCCATTTAAATGATAACATCAAAAATATCAAAAAGATTAGTAATCAGCAATCATACCAAAGCAGCTATGCTTAAAATTTCTGCCAGAAGTTAAATGAAAAAGTTAATGCTAAAAATTCAAGTTTAGGAAAAAAAGAAGAAAATGACAAAATCCAACCATGGAAAGCACTTGCTAAACTGGCCATTTATTTGCAGTGTGTCAAAAAAATTCTTTCATTTTCAATAAACAATAATATAGGTACAATCTCTCTCTCTTGCTCCGTGTTTGTGTGTGTGTGTGTGTGTGTGTGTGTGTGTGTGAATTGAAAGGCAGAATTTTGGGACTTGTAAGCTTCTAAGTGGTACCCCCAAATAATTTCTAAGTTCAGTTGATTTCAATAAAACACTAGCTCTTGTATATCTCAAAAGAAAGACACATACATTTATTTTTTATTGAGAGTTAAAATTTATAGCTTTTTCTGAACCATTTGTTTATTCTAGTTTATCAATGACTCAAGAAAAACAGCAGATATGCTGATTAATCAAGTTCTATCGATCAGTAGCATATGTCAATATTTCACACAAACATCTGCAGAATAGTTTCTTCCAATCAAAAATTTATAAATCAATTTAAATTCCTGGTAATTAAATTTATTTGCTCTTCAACAATGAACACAGTACTTTATAAAGAGTAGTATGTGAAATCTGCACTCAAGAATATATTGATCAAAGGTAAAATAGCACCTTTCTATTTCTATTAAACCAAGGTTCTAAGAACTAGAAAGTTCAAACCTTAAAAGCCTGCAATTGTTTCAAATACATCTAGTAATTCTGTTGATTTTGGGCCACTAAAAGTGATTACTTAATTAGGCAATCATTCAAGGCATCCAAACACTCACACAGACAAAAACAGGGAAGTATTAGCATGGCTGTCTTCACCTTGACATGAACATTCTGAAAAACAGTGCAGACTCTCAAACTTTGTGGATCTGTCCCTATGAATGTCCTGAGTAAGATACTAAATTCTAAAAGGTGACAACCAGAAGCTCAGGAAAAAATAATTAACCTATAATGAAATTACCCATTTATCTTTTCAGGTGGTTTATATCTTAAACTATCTTAGAAATGCAAAGTAATAATACAGATGGTCTCTATAGATTCTTGGAAATACTACCTATTTTCTTCTCTCTGGTTACACTCTTATATTATCATCTAAAAGTAATTAATGAAATTTCTGCACTCTTGTATATCTATCAGAAGTAACTACCTACAAAAAGGTTTTCAAAGTTCCTGCCTAACATGAATAAAAACAAAAACAAAAAATATTTTCTATTTATGGGAAGGAAAAAAATATCAGCCCTGGAAACTCAGCTACAGGAGTCTTAAATATAACTAAAGAATAAAACCCCCTATTTTCACTCAGAAGATATCAGATACTGTTTTAAGAATCTTACTGATGAAATACAGCCAGGAGAAAGAAAAATACTCTATTTTCAGAAAAAAAAAAAAGATGTTTCTTGAAATAATTCCAAAGAGACCCTATAAACTGTGTTTTTAGGAGAAGAGAAAAGCAAATCAACTCACACATACAGCTTCCAAACAGAAGTCTTACCCTCTTCCAGGAAAACAACAATGAGACTTTATTACCCTGCTATGATTCTTTCATTTCAGACATGATTAATTAGCAAGTATTACACTTCTCAAAACTCCCACCCTACTCTTCCCTGCTTATTTGATGATAGACCCACATGAAATAACAAGTTGCCTCCAGCAGTGTAAGACAAGTATCCAAAAACTCTATTTTAAAGAAGAAACACTTCTTTCCTATCTTTGCCTCCCAAAATGAAGCAGGCTGCTTCTAACTGCTTTCACAATTTTGTTTCAACTTGGTCATTTTCCTAACAATACCTTTTCAATTTTAAATAATGCATACAACATATTCATTATTCAAGAACACATAGCATGTTTAATCTGATACCTCTATTTTTAAGCTGAAATTCCAAAGGACTTATGTGTCCATGCAGTTTATATTGATAACCATAAACATGCACAATTAATAAACAATAGAGACGATGTGTACAAGCATGTTTTGGGACATGGTTTTTGTAGAAATAATGTTTCTTTTCCAAATAAAAGCTAATTTGTCACAAATATAATGAAGATAAGAAACAAGCATGAAGGAGTAAAAGAGAGGAAGAACAGAAGAGGATAACTAAAATTTGAATGAAAAACTCTTGACTCTCTACATATTCTTCCAAAATAATCTTTCAAAATAATTTTCCTTTTGAACAATCTGTGTTCAAAACGTCCATTCCATGTGCACCAAGAAGCCAGCCATCACTAAATATATTATAAATGTATATTCTAACAATCATCAATTTATAAAGTCTGGGATTTCCCCTTCAACCTTTCAACTGTTACGTCCAGAAAACTTCACACATAGTGAAATCCTAATAAATAGATCTTGTTGGTTCCAGGAAACATTTTTAAAAATCTATACTGGTCAAAATATCCTTGCTTTTTTTCTGTTGTATTAAATTTAGGATCAAAAACATCAAAGCAGCTTCCACCTCGGACCTAACTTTTAGAGGATCAATGTGACAAGGCAGTCCCTGATAGATGTTTCTCTTGATAAACGACTTGTTCAAAAGAGACATTGTAGCTTTCATTTCCTGACCACAACACACTTTTAATTTGCAACAGCAGAGCTGCCAGAGTGTGAGCACTTGCCCACTTTCTAGTCTTTTAGGTTTGTAGCTCTGGTTCCTTTAGGCCGCACATTTGAGACAAACAAAATCTAAAAATAATCAGAGTAAAGAATTAGAAAACAAGAGCCAGTAACGCCACTTTATACATATACACAAGTGTCTACTTTATATATATGTATGTAAACTTTCACCCCTAGAATTCTAATATATGATAACAAGGCTCCTAAGTTAACATCATTTGCACATCGGACATTTAAACATAGGGAAATGAATTATGTGACTATTATTTAATAGTAAGCAGAGACTTAAGAGGGGGGCAATTTACACACTCAAATCTGCTGTTAAATGTCATGAATTATATAATTGCCTATGCCAGTATGTTTTTCATGAATTATTGCAATGATTATTATTAGTACTACCTAGAAATCACATTTAAGTATCAATACGGTGAACAGTCAAACCATCCAATTTCTGCTCTCAGCACATTGTCCGAGCTCCGATTTAAAATTTATAAATGTAATATCCTCCTCATCACAGGCAGCAGCCCAATCTGCTCTGAATATATATTACAGCTTTAACATCACAGAGGGAAATCGCCCATCTGGCAATCCCATTCGCTCCAACAGCTCCGGGGGAAAAAAAGCTGTGCTCTCTCCTCCTTAAAACATTTCTCAGGGCAAATTATGTGCATCTAAAATAAACAGTCTTCTTATTGATCGCTTCAAAGTCAACAAGTTCCAAATGCAAAATTCAATCAAATCTTTCCTATCGTGTAAGTGTGGTGTGTATTTAGCTCAATAGTCACCAGAGTCCAACCAGACGTGTATGTCGCGCAACGGGTCTTGTAGTTCCTCTCTTCGTATTCACATTTGTGTTAGGAGAGAGCAGTGACCACGGCCACACTACAGACCCCTGGCAGCTTTGCCCCACTGTTATTTCTTTTTTCATATTCTCTCTTTCCTTCTTTCTCTCTTTTCAGGAGGAATTAACGGTCATGGGGTAAACATAGCAACAACCAAAAAAAAAAAAAAAAAAAACAGTCTAAAGTGGACATATCCTTTGGTTATGCAAAATACTTTAACATCTTTTTGTTGTTGTTGTTCCCTCTGTCTTAATTGAATATTACAAAGTGTACACAGGGCACTGCCACAAGAGCTATTGAAAATCCCCTCTCACTCCATTTAACTGACTTTTTTTTTTTGTAAAGAAAGGAAAGAGCGATTTCAAACGAAGTCAATTTCAGTGCCTGATTATTTAATTCTGTCACAAGTTAAAAGTAAAAAGCGCTGACAGGCAGACGAGTGAATGGAAAGGGGGAAGAAAAACCTATCCCTACTCTTTAAAAGACATCAAGGACTTTGGACAATCAAAATATAATTTTTATTTTCATGTAAAAGACACCTCTTCACTTACCCGCCCCCCCCAAAAAAAAACCACACTCAGAAGAACTGATTACTCCACAAAGTGCAAACATCAAGAGCAGATAGTCAAACTGCATTAATAGATTGAGAAAAATAAAATTTTCATCCAGTCCTGTTCCTGTGTGTGTACATATATATAGATACACTTTCATTAGTTAGTAATCTTTCCCAACACTCCTGCCCTCTCCCCTTTGCCCAGCCTCCCTCCTTCAAAAAAAAAAAAAAAAAAAACCCACACTGAGTTTAACTAATTTACATACTATTTGACTTCAGCAGTTATATATATATAGTGCATTACTAGTAACGTGCAACTTCTGGATGACAGCTAAAACCGATAAAAGTGGATTCAAGTAATATATTAATCAAAACTGCAATATACAAACAAGTGATAGCAAAAGAAAAAAAAGCATGGTGACATTAAACATATATTTTTTAAAAAAAGGAATTCTATATCATGAGCAACTGCTTGCCAGGCAGTCTTCAATGGTTTTATCATGCTATTTCATTTGTCTTTCCTATTTAGATGCAAAGGAAGTAAATTCCAAAACTGACATACCATAAACACTGGTGCTACTGATCATTTCTTGCTGGCAGCACAAAAAGCTGAATTGGATTTCTCACAAGCAGGAATTCCAAAGGTTGCTTTTCATTAAAGCCACTTTTCCTCTCAGCTATCAAATGTCACTGCCTTGAAACGTGGGCCCTTTCGTCAGGTATTCATTTAACCTACATGCATATAATTAAGGGGGAAAGCAACATCAACAAAAAGGGGATCTCAGATCACAGGAGAAGAAAGAAAGGAAAAAAAGCACATGACCAGGAATGCAAGTCCATGTCAATTTCACTCACTCCCATTGAAACTAACAAGAGCTCCGGGGAGGACGGTAATAGGATCAGTGGATTGTATATACCATTAAATTATACATCTTTCTCTCCCGTTCCTTGCCAACAATACGCCCACCACGCTGTACCCCCTCCTAGATGATGTGCTTACATTTTTCTGCAACCGATCTTCTGACATTTTCTCGTTCCCCCAGCCACGAGATTGTAATTTAACCTCAACTTTTTGTGTGTGTGCAAGATTCTTATTTACACTTCTTATTTACTTAGAAGTTAGTTCCCGAAGAAAGTCTAGCCCCACCCTATGGCTCCGCTTTCTTATTTTTTTATTTTTGAAGTAAAAAGATAGTAATAAGTAAGCCCAATATAGCGAAAAGCGAGATTCTTGCAATCGCGAACTCTTAATCCCATACTATTGTTACAATGATTAAGCAGCAAAAATATGCATTATAATGTTTCAGGGCTACTTTGAACAGAGAAATTAGACAGCAGGTTGGCGTACAGAATAGAAACGAGTGGAAATTGAATTTAATGTTTACGGCACAACTGAAGATCTCTTTTAATTACAGGTCTTGGATGTATTTATATTCTTTAAAAATAAAACAAAAACAAATTTAAACAGATGGTAGAAAACTACGAAGCTCCTCTTACCTGAACGCGCGGAGAGAGAACCCGATAGGTTAGCGTAGCATCGATCCGATGTGTTTGCTGATGAATGGAAGCTAGGGTTAAGTGAAGGTGCCTATGATTTGAAATCATTCCAAGTTTTTGAAGGGAAGACGGACTGCAGCCTCTGCCATGTTGGAATTTCAAACCCAAAACAGCTGCTTGGAAGGAGCCAGCATGCCAGAGGCTGGGCGCAGGCGCAGAGCGCCGCAGAGCCAAATTCAAATCACTTTCACACTAAGAGCCAAAGATCAGTTTTCAAAGGAGAGAGGGAGAAAGAGACGGAGGCTGCCGTGAGGGAGAGAAGACGGGAGGCAGTGGCGAGAGGCGGGCAGTGGAGAGAGACGGGCAGCGGGAGGACCAGGAGGGAGAGGGAGAGGCGCACGGAGCCCGCGGAGCTGGAGGGGGAGAAAGGGAGGCGGGAGGCGAGCCGGCGAGCGAGCTAGAGACGCGCCAGAGATTCATGGGCAGGGAGGGCTCAATGGCCGCGCCGCGCCGGCCGGCCGGCCGCTCGGGTCATGTTACACGGCCGGGGCCGCGGCGGCCGCCCAGCCTCGCCGATGCGCTCACGCGGCCCGGAGGGGGCCCCGAGGTCATGATTACGCGCGCGGGGACTCGCAGCTCTCCCTGCACGCACTCTCTGGCGGCCCAGCCTGGGGAAAGGGGAGCAGCGCCGTAGGGGGAAGGGGGCTTTCTTTCCCACGCGTGACCAGCCGGCCCCTGCGCTCCCCGGCCTGCGTTGGAGGGCCCGGGACAGAGCCGCGCTGCTCCCCGGCCCGCGGGCTCTTCCCTGCCGGTTCCCGGCCCTCTCGACAGCTGCGGCCCGTCCGCCCTTCCCCACCCCCTCTGCGCACGGGACGGGATCTGGTCTCGAGAGCCTGGACCTCACCGGCACCCTCCCCGGGGCCCCCAGCACCAGCCAGAAAACGACTTGATCTGCTTAGAAGAGGCAACTTCGGGGAGAAAATTCGCGTTCGCCCAGTTCCCCTCCCCCGCCTCCCTGTGAATAAATAAAATCCTAAGTGTCTAGGTGTGCGGTCCCCTCTCGCGCTCCCTGGCTCCCCTCCCTACCTCCCCCAGGCGGCTCGGGCTGGAGAAAGCAGCGCCCGGGGGGCCCTGGTGTCGGCGGCTGGTGCGCAGGCATAGACGTTAGGCTTCTGCCTTCCCAACCCCCCTCTATGGAGTAATCTGGGGACCCAGGAGTGGGAAGAGAGTAGGGGCTTTGTGGTGCTGGGAGCCGAGGAAGAATGAAATGTGCAGTTGAGTGTGTTGCTCGCATCCCAGGGAGCAATGCAGTGCTGATTGTCTGTTGCTGAGATAGCCTTTTGTTCGGAACATAAGGTTTAAGAAACACACACACGTTTTCTGGGGTCTCTTGTTAGATGTAAATGTGCGGCATCCAGACGCTTACTATGCAGTGTAAGCTCAGTTGGTTTACTAATCACCCCGCCCCACCCGCAAACAATCAGGATCATTTGAATGGGAACCTCATTCAGACTTCTAGGCTGAGAGTATTGCCTTCAACCTATTTCATTCTAGACTAGCCAACCATCCAACTGAGATAATAAAGCAAACAATAACATTTGATCATGATGTCTACGAGATAATGTGCCCGGCAAAGTTCTTTAGGAATTGTAATGAGAAAGAGAGTGAATTGGGTCATAATTTCTCTTCGTTTTCATTAAATATGACTTTAATAGATAAATGGTGAGTTTATACTTTGGCCTGGTAGACATCCAGTCTTCTATATTTCAACGAAGCTAAGAATGAAAGAGGCAAATTATATATTCCACCAGGAGCCCATCAAGCTGAAAATGTTACCTTTGAAGGTTGGAACCGAAAATGCACTTGCTGAGGACTGACCCTCCTCATAAGGGTGTTCACATTTCCCCCAGCTTCTCTGTTGTAGATTTGATAGCCTAAATTGCAGCTCTCCAGATGCTGAAATGCAGCTCTTTAAAAATGCCAAATATATACTTTGAAATTAATTCCATTCACCTTTTATGATGTTCTTACCTTTGAATGGATGCCTTTAGCTAACACACTGAGAAATAAAAATTATTTCAGTTAAATCTAGGCAGATGACAGAATTTAAAAGACAAAAAAAGAGTGATTCGAGATCCTAAGAAATATTTCTAAGCAATGAGATTTCTATTTGGAATGGATTTGACCTTTCTGTGAATTTTTTAAAAAAGGAGTCTTCGAAATAAAACAGAAGAACTTTATTCTGATGTAACAGAGAACACTGAAACCTCTTTAGTTATATTTTACAAGATGGCTTTGAAAATGATATTACGAAAAGTTGTTCATTGGATTTTACCACAAAGAAATAAGTGTAGGGAAATATCTGTGGGTCACTGTTGGATTGAGTACAGATGAATTAAAAAAAAAAAAAAAAACTGTGAAGCGCTCATAATCGCAGTTATTGCCCATTTGGGGAATGACGACCAAAAGTCCTCTGGACACACAGCAGATGCTCTGTGCAATTCGGGCAAAACTGCTCTGTTCTTGTTTGTTAAAAAAGTTCAGAGCTCATCAACCTTTAACATTAAATCCTAGCGTTGAATTTACAGTTCCTTGTGTAAATTCAAATAGTGAATAAAATATATAATACAGTGCCCACTGAATATAAAAACAATGTATTTTGATGACAGACTTAAAGCCATTCATCTGTAATATCTAAAATAAAACAACCCCTGCTCTTTAAAAAGAGGAGGAAAAAGTGTGGTCAGCAAGAGTTTATTAATAGATAATAACTGTACCTTTCCAATTCCCTTATAGATTCATTTGAAATACACATTATAAAAAAATCATTCAACATGCAAATAAATATAATTAACTTTGGAATCAAATAATTGGAAAACTGTTCAAAAGAGCACTGGATAGAGGTACAGAGTTTCTAAATTGTTCAAAATTACATATACTCTGGGAATAAAAGACACTTACATAATAGAATATACATTATGGGACTTCCATAATAATAAGATACACAGGAGAGTTCGTCATTGCACTATTTCTCCCTTTTTTTTTAAGTATAGGTAAAAGTTGCTTTTCTCCAATTATTTTAAGCAAAGGAAAATAAAACTTGACTTTCTTTTCCACAGAGATTCATGGCATTGTTTGCGATGTTCAGTTTTTGTTGTTTTAATAAAACTATCTTTAATTATGTGGTATGATTAAAAAGCACTTTAACAGTCATCATATTCTGTATGCATTTATCTTCAAAACTTTTAATCAAAAGAAATGTTTCTGGCTGTAGCTGACATCCATCTCTATAATATCTTTTGAAACTTCTTGATATAACATGAGAATTAAATATTGAGTGTTTAAAGGAAGTTGATTGGCTAGTCAGGGAAACAGTTATTTCAGAAAATAATAAATTTGACTAATTTTTCCCACTCTATTAGCAATATCATTTCTCTTTCTATTTTACTTTTTAAATGCACAGACATTATAATGCATAACATTTTGACTAATATGTGAAATTCTAATACACAGTATACTCAAACTTGTGCTTTTTAAGAAAATCAGAAGAAAAATCAACATAACTCTTCTTCAGGAGTGTGTGTGTGTATGCCTTCCTTTCAAGATAATTCAGAGGGGAATTCTACTTTTTTCTGCTTTTTCTTCTCAAAATAATGTAAGCAACAACAACAAAAGTGAAGGTTAAGGGAATAAGCAAAGTGATACTGAATGTGATTTTGCAAATGACCATAGACTTGTCTGCACTGGACTAAGGAAAATATGAGCTAGGCTGGACACAGAG